>NC_000015.10:56401874-57026874 GCF_000001405.40 Homo sapiens
ATGACTACTGGGTACATAATGAAATGAAGGCAGAAATAAAGATTTTCTTTGAAACCAATGAGAACAAAGACACAACATACCAGAATCTCTGAGACACATTTAAAGCAGTGTGTAGAGGGAAATTTATAGCACTAAATGCCCACAAGAGGAAGCAGGAAAGATCTAAAATTGACACCCTAACATCACAATTAAAAGAACTAGAGAAGCAAGAGGAAACAAATTCAAAAGCTAGCAGAAAGCAAGAAATAACTAAGATCAGAGCAGAACTGAAGGAGATAGAGACATGAAAAACCCTTCAAAAGATCAATTAATCCAGGAGCTGGCTTTTTGAATTTTGTCTATCAACAAAATTGTTAGACCGCTAGCAAGACTAATAAAGAAGAAAATAGAGAAGAATCAAATAGACGCAATAAAAAATGATAAAGGGGATATCGCCACGGATCCCGCAGAAATACAGACTATCATCAGAGAATACTATAAACACCTCTACACAGATAAACTAGAAAATCTAGAAGAAATGGATGAATTCCTGGACACATACACCCTCCCAAGACTAAACCAGGAAGAAGTTGAATTTCTGAATAGATCAATAACAGGCTCTGAAATTGAGGCAATAATTAATAGCCTACCAACCAAAAAGAATCCAGAACCAGATGGATTCACAGGCGAATTCTACCAGAGGTATAAGGAGGAGCTGGAACCATTCCTTCTGAAACTGTTCCAATCAATAGAAAAAGAGGGAATCCTCCCTAACTCATTTTATGAGGCCAACATCATCCTGATACCAAAGCCTGGCAGAAACACAACAAAAAGAATTTTAGACCAATATCCCTGATGAACATTGATGCAAAAATCCTCAATAAAATACTGGCAAACTGAATCCAGCAGCATATCAAAAAGCTTATCCAACAAGATCAAGTCGGCTTCATCCCTGGTTGAACAAGGCTGGTTCAACATACACAAATCAATAAATGTAATCCATCACATAAACAGAACCAACAACAAAAACCACATGATTATCTCAATAGATGCAGAAAAGGCCTTTGACAAAATTCAACAGCCTTACATGCTAAAAACTTTCAATAAACTAGGTATTGATGGAACATATCTCAAAATAATAAGAGCTATTTATGACAAACCCACAGCCAATTTCATACTAAATGGGCAAAAACTGGAAGCATTCCCTTTGAAAACTGGCACAAGAGAAGGATGCCCTCTCTCACCACTCCAGTTCAACATAGTGTTGGAAGTTCTGGCCAGGGCCATCAGGCAAGAGAAAGCAATAAAGGGTATTCAATTATGAAAAGAGGAAGTCAAATTGTCCCTGTTTGCAGATGACATGATTGTATGTTTAGAAAACCCCATCGTCTCAGCCCAAAATCTCCTTAAGCTGATGAGGAACTTCAGCGAAGTCTCAGGATACAAAATCAATGTGCAAAAATCACAAGCATTCCTATACACCAATAACAGACACACAGCCAAATCATGAGTGAACTCCCATTCACAATTGCTACAAAGAGAATCAAATACCTAGGAATCCAACTTACAAGGGATGTGAAGGACCTCTTCAAGGAGAACTGCAAACCACTGCTCAATGAAATAAAAGAGGACACAAACAAATGGAAGGACATTCTGTACTCATGGATAGGAAGAATCAATATCGTGAAAATGGGCATACTGCCCAAGGTAATTTATAGATTCAATGCCATCCCCATCAAGCTACCAATGACTTTCTTCACAGAATTGGAAAAAACTACTTTAAAGTTCACGTGGAACCAAAAAAGAGCCCTCATTGCCAAGACAATCCTAAGCCAAAAGAACAAAGCTGGAGGCATCACACTACCTGACTTCAAACTATACTACAAGGCTACAGTAACCAAAACAGCGTGGTACTGCTACCAAAACAGAGATATAGACCAATGGAACAGAACAGAGCCCTCAGAAATAATACCACACATCTACAACCATCTGATCTTTGACAAACCTGACAAAAACAAGAAATGGGGAAAGGAGTCCCTATTTAATAAATGGTGTTAGGAAAACTGGCTAGCCATATGCAGACAGCTGAAACTGGATCCCTTCCTTACACGTTATACGAAAATTAATTCAAGATGGATTAAAGACTTAAATGTTAGACCTAAAACCATAAAATCCCTGGAAGAAAACCTATGCAGTACCATTCAGGACATAGGCATGGGCAAGGACACTTCATGACTAAAACACCAAAAGCAATGGCAACAAAAGCCAAAATAGACAAATGGGATCTAATTAAACTAAAGACCTTCTGCACATCAAAAGAAACTACCATCAGAGTGAACAGCCAACCTACAGAATGGGAGAAAATTTTTGCAATCCACCCATCTGACAAACGGCTAATATATACAGAATCTACAAAGAACTTAAACAAATTTACAAGAAGAAAATCAACCCCATCAAAAAGTGGGCAAAGGATATGAACAGACGCTTCTCAAAAGAAGACATTTATGCAGCCAAAAGACACATGAGAAAATGCTCATCATCACTGGTCATTAGAGGAATGCAAATCAAAACCGCAATGAGATACCATTTCACACCAGTTAGAATGGCAATCATTAAAAAGTTAGCAAACAACAGATGGTGGAGAGGATGTGGAGAAATAGGAACTCTTTTACACTGTTGGCAGAGTGTAAATTAGTTCAACTGTGGTGGAAGACAGTGTGGCGATTCCTCAAGGATCTAGAACTAGAAATACCATTTGACCCAGCAATCCCATTACTGAGTATATACCCAAAGATTATAAATCATGCTACTATAAAGACACATGCACACGTATGTTTATTGTGGCACTATTCACAATAGCAAAGACTTGGAACCAACCCAAATGTCCATCAATGATAGACTGGATTAAGAAAATGTGGCACATATATACCACGGAATACTCTGCAGCCATAAAAAAGGGTGAGTTTATGTCCTTTGCAGGGACATAGATGAAGCTGGAAACCATCATTCTCAGCAAACTATCACAAGGACAGAAAACCAAACACCGCATGTTCTCACTCATAGGTGGGAATTGAACAATGAGACCACTTGGACACAGGGCGGGAACATCACACACCAGGGCCTGTCTGGCGCTAGGGAGCTGGCAGGGGGATTGCATTAGGAGAAATACCTAATGTAAATGACGAGTTGATGGGTGCAGCAAATCAACATGATACATGTATACCCATGTATCAAACCTGCACGTTGTGCACATGTACCCTAGAACTTAAAAGTATATTAATAAAAAAAATTAAAATACAAAAAAGCCGGGCGTGGTGGTGGGCGCCTGTAGTCTCAGCTACTTGGGAGGCTGAGGCAGGAGAATGGCGTGGCGTGAAACCGGGAGGGAGCTTGCGGTAAGCCTAGATGTCGCCACTGCACTCCAGCCTGGGTGACAGAGCAAGACTCCGTCTCAAAGAAAAAAAAAAAAAAAAAAGGAAACTGAGTTTGTTGGTTAAGCAAATTACCCAAGGTTATATATAGGTAGTGGCAGAACAGGATTCAAACTGTGTCTGACACCAAAGTCTGTGTTTTTTCAACAAATCATGTCATTCCCGAATCCCCCAAAATTAAATGAACGTAAGTACCATCTATTCCAAAATCTTATCACTCTTTAAGAGTTTAATACTTGAGACTTCTAGTTCACAATGAATGTACTAAGCAGTTATGATACACTGGCTATCTGAAGGCTTTTATAAAAGCTTCCATTGGATCTGAACTTTCCAGCTTGCATCCCTATCTACCCTGCCAGATAGGTATAATAATTCTCATGGGTTATGTAGCCATGAGAACTCAAGATTGAATCATTCTCTGCTAAGTCTCATTTTATATCTCTATACAAACAAATCTCGGTGTACAGTTCACAGAAAATGCCAGAGCTTGAGTGTGATGGACTTGCTTTTATAAATCTGCAAAAGCCAACCATTTTTAAAATTATTATGTATCACTTAAGCTGCTAATGCTAACAGATGGAGTTTTCTGAAATACAAAAACAGAAAGCATTTTACTTCAGCATTGGATTTTGTTTTTCTGTTAGTGATTTCTTTAAAATCAACTTTATTGAAGAATAACAAATACAATAAAACATACTTGTTTTTAGCTTATAATTCAATAAGTTTTCACAAATTAATATTCCCTCATAACTACTACCATAATCAAGATAATGAAAATTTATATTACCCTTCCAGAATATCCTTTGTACTCCTGCCCCATAAATCTCCAACCTCTAACTATGGCACCAGGCAGCCACTGAGCTATATTTTTTCACTACAAATTAGATTTTCCTTTTCTAAAATTTCATACAAATGAAATCGTGAATATGGACTTTTGTATATCTGGCTATTTTTCTTCAGCATAACATTTTTAAGGTTCATCAATGTTTTACATGTGGTGTGGTTCATTTCCTTGTATTGCTCCATATTACTTATTTATGGATATGCCATATTTTGTTTATCTGATCACCAGTTGATGTGACATTCAATTTTTTTCTAGTGTGGGCTATTAAAAATCCACAGTGAATTTCCATGTACAAGTATTCTGTGTGAACACGTTTTTATGTATACCAAATACTTAGGAGTGGAATTTGTGAATTTTATGGAAAGTGTATGCTTAACTTTTTAAGAAACTGCTAAACTGTGTTCCACAGTGATTGTACCATTTTACATTCCCACTAGCAATATATGAGAATTAGAGTTACTCTGTATCATCACCAACACTTGGGATTATTATCTTTTTAATTTTAGCCATTCTAGAGGAGAAGTAGTAGTATCTCATTGTAGTTTAATTTGTATTTCCTTTATAACTATGGATATTGAACATCTTTTCATGTGTTTCTTGGCCGTTCATATATCTTCTTTTGCGATGTATTTGTTCAAATTTTTTGCCCATTCGAAAATACTAAGTTGCAAATTCTTTGTTTACCTATGTAATTCCTTTATTAGAAGAATATATATTTTGAATAGTTTCTCTCAATCCGACTTGGATTTATTTTCTCAACAGTGTGTTTCAAAAGACAGCAGTTTTAAATTTTGATGAATTACAAAATGTTATTTTCTTGTGGCTTTTGCTTGTTTACCCAAAATATTACTTTCTTGTGGTTGGTGCTTTTTTCCCCATTCTATCTAAGAAATCTTTATCCACTCCAAAGTCATGAGACTTTTCTCCTGATTTCTTCTAGAAGTGTTATAGTGTTTGTGTGTGTGTGTGTGTATCTCAAAATCATATATAAATTGACCTGTAATCTATTTCAAGTTCATTTTGTGTGTGACAAGGATCAGAGTTCACTTTTTTGCATATGGATAATACAGTTCTTTCCTCATTTGCTTACCATGGCACCAGTGAAGGAAATGAATTGGCTGTGTTTATGTATGGGTCTTCTTTGAACTATTCTGTTATATTGATATATGCATTTGATATAATTCATTAGGAAAGTCATGTGCACTGGAGTTTTCTTTTGGAAGGATTTCAATGACCAATTCAGTTTATTTAATGGATACAAGTCTATTCTGATTTTCTGCTACTATTTGAGTCAGCTTTGCTAATTTATGTTTTTCGTGGTATTTGTCCACTTCATCTAAGTCAGATTTACTGGCATAAATTTGTACATAATATTCTTGTATTATGTTTATTATATTTATAATACCTGTATGATGTGTAATAATGGCCCCTCTTTCATTTCTGATACTGATAATTTGTCTCTTCTGTCATTTATTCTTAATCAGTCCTACTTTAAATGTATTTACAAATCTCAGGTATAATGCATTTGCTACCCTCACTTTCTGAGAAGTCAATTCCCTCTCCCACTTTTGGAGATGATTATTAAACAGTTGGTCTTTTTTCCTCAACTTTCCAACACCCCTTCCAACCTCCTTATTCTTGGCTCATGACTTTGCTTCCTTTTTCATTAAGGAAACAGAATCAAAAGATAACTTTATCATCCTTTCACTAAATTTACAACCTCGCTGCCTCTATACCACTCCCCACTCCAGTTAAAGTGAATTAGTACCTCTTCTGTCTAAAGCTGACCCCTGCACTTGTGCACTGGATTCTATATACTCTCTTCTACTCAAGGTCTCTGCACTGGCAATTGTCCTTCCTCTTGCAAAATCAAATTTACTCTTATCAGATTATACTCATTAGTGTACAGACATTTCATAGAATCATTCATATATCTATTTTAAAACTTCTTTAGATCTTACATCTACCTCCAGTCCTATATCATTGCTCCCCTTTACAGTGAAGCTTCCCAAAATTATTGTTTATACTCAGTGTCTCTATACCTCATGTGCCATTTTCTCCTGAAAATACTTTTGCTTAGGCTTCCATCTCTACCCTGCCATTGAAACTACTCTTAAAAAGGTCACCAATAATCCACACTGTAGTTGTGGTCCATTGTACTTGGTCAGTTATTCCTCACATGAATTTATATCTCAGCAATATTTGAAATAGTTGATTACTCCTTCCTTGAAACACTATTAATTTGGCTTCTGGAGCACCACAATCATGATTCTCCCTCATTTTCCTGGCCTTACGTAGTAGAGTGCCCAAGTCTCTTCTCTGTCTATATCTAATCCTTAGATTATCTCATTCAGTTCCATGGCTTTATATACCATCTATATATACGTTGATCATCCTCACATTTTTGTGTCTTGCCCTTACCTCTTCCTTTCTGCCCACTTGATATCTCTATTGTGTGTTAAACTTCACATGTCCTAAAGGAAGCTCTTGCTTCCCTGCCCTCAGCAAACCTGCTCTCTTCCTTCTCCCTGTCTTAGTAAAAGGCATCACCCAATTGTTCAGTCTAAAATTGAAGAGTCATCTTGATCTGTTTTCCTATATCCAGATCCAGCTCACCAACAAGTCCTGTCAATTCTGTCTTCAAAATACATAGAATAAACCACTTCTCAAAACATTCATTACATCTACCCAAGCCCAAGCCACTATCTTTTATTTAAACTATTATAATAACCTCCTAGATTGGCAGTACCACAGTGGCCAGAGTAATCCTTATAAAATTTAAGTCAGAGCCAGGCGCAGTGGCTTACACCTGTAATCCCAGCACTTTGGGATGCCGAGGCGGGCGGATCACAAGGTCAGGAGATTGAGACCATCCTGGGTAACACGGTGAAACCCCATCTCTACTAAAACTACAAAAAATTAGCCAGCGTGGTGGCGGTTGCCTGTAGTCCCAGCTTCTTGGGAGGCTGAGGCAGGAGAATGGCGTGAACCCGGGAGGCGGTGCTTGCAGTGAGCCGAGATTGCACCACTGCACTCCAGCCTGAGCCACAGAGCGAGACTCCGTCTCAAAAAAAAAAAAAAATTAAGTCAGATCATCACACACATACACATATGCATACACACTTAAAATCCTCCAAAGGCTTCCCGTGTCACTCAGAATAAAATCCAAATTTCTAAGTAAAGCTTACAAGGTTCACCTAGGCTTGTCCTGCCCACTTCTCTTATCAAAACCTAACACTGTGCCTATGTCACTCGGCTGAAACCACACTGACCTTCTAGGTGATTTTTGAATATATTAAGTGGATTCCTACTACAGGATCTTTGTCTTCATTGTTCTTATTATCTGGAATTCTTTCCCCAAGATCTTTATTTGATTATTTTATTTTTTTAGAGAGAGGATCTCACTCTGTTGCTCAGGCTGGAGTACAGTGGTGCAATCATGGCTTACTACAGCCTTGACCTCCCCAGCTCAAGCAATCCTTCTGCCTCAGCCTTCCAAGCAGCTGGGACCACATACATATGCCACAATGTCCAGCTAATTTTTAAATTTTTTTGTAGAGACAAGGTCTCCCTGTGTTGCCTAGACTGGTCTCGAACTCCTGGGTTCATCTTCCCACATTGGACTCCCGAAGTGCTAGGACTACAGGCGTGAGCCACTGTGCCTGGCCTCCCTAAGATTTTTACTTAAATCATTACCTCACTTCATTTGGAAGACTTCCCTGACCACTTTATTTTAAATAGTTTTACCCTTCCCTCATTGTTCTGTCCCTTTACCCTTTTTTTCTTGATAGTCCTTAACACTGCCAGATATTACATATGTCTATGTGTATATATGTGTTCATCTTCTGTCTCTTCCTCTAGAATGCAAATGTCATGAGAGGAGGAACTTTGGTTAATTTGTGTGCCCATCATATAGAATAGTATCCTGCATGTAGTAAGTGCTTAATAAATGTGTTGAATAAATGAATGAAACCTATTAGGTATAGATAATATTACTCACAATTTCAGATATGGAAATGAGTCTACCACAGCTGGCAGGTTTTCTGATTCCTAGTCCATTCTTTTCTACCTTAGCCACTTGTTTCTGAAACCATATCTGATTATTTATTTATCCTCATCTGATTATTTCTTATCTGAATTTCTGTGGTGCTTCGTGTTATTCCCAGAGCATTTACTACATTTTGTCCTCTGCTGTGGCTGATGCATGCCCCTCTCTTTTCTTACTCTCCCCCAGTGCCTTTTATGAATGCTTTAATAATCATGAGAGAGTGGTACATCATTTCCTCTTGAAGCTCACAGTATTTGAATTTTAATGTTAAATTTGATTTTCTTAGGTTTTTTTTTTAAAAAAAAACTAATGTGCAACTCAGGACTTCAGATTTTTCGTGAAATTTTTGTCTAGCAACCTGTAACTCCTTAAATTTTTATAACAGTAGAAATTTGTTTAGTGGATTTACTCATATAGAAAACTTTACTTCCTACTTTACTATTCTTGTGGCTATCATTTTTCCCCCACACCTCCCAAGAAGAGGGCAGTATTGATTCAGGGATAGGGGACATCATGTGGTACAGGATGGTTTTCATTTTCCTGTGAAATAGGTTACAAAGTCATCAGCAGGCAAGAGGGGAAAGATTCATTTCTATATTCTTAAGAAGGAAGACTGAAATGAGGCAGCAAGAAATGTGGACTTTGTAGCTAATGAGAATCTTTGCCTTTTCTATGTGAACAGTGAGATAAATCAAGCTAGCTCTTCCTGTAGCTACCACCCACAAAGCTGTGAAGAAGGCTGTGATAGCAGATGGTATCCATACACAGTTTGATTTGTTTAGAAACCTACATAAAGAGCAGCATGTGTTTTGTTTTGTTTTTCCCCTTAATTACTCAGAGCCAGGGAGACCAGTTTTTAAATAAAATGTAGTGATATAGCCAGGAAAAAATTATAAAAGAATATAGACAACTGTATTTTTAACTTCATCATTTCAACTCTATAATATTTATTGAGTATCTTCTCAATTTATTGAGTAAGGCTCTGGACTAGGCCTTACTTTGTAGGGGATATAAAGAAGAGTGGGTTTAGTATTACAAAATAAGTTCAGTTTAACTAACGTGTGTTAGTGTCTTTTATATCCCACTGAAGTGCTGAGTATACAGAAATTAAGACAGTTCTTTTCTTCAAGGAGCTTAAACTATAGTGGGGGAAATAAAGTTAAGGGATAGTTTCAGTACCACATAGCAGATATGATGATAAATGTCTCTCAAGGTGCTATACAAGCTTTGAAGAGGGTACTTAATATAATCTGGGTGGATAATGAGGATTAGAAAGGAAATATGTCCTGGGAGAGCTAATGCCCTAGAGTACAAATCTAGCTGAGTCAGTAGGTGCTAGCTATGTGAAAATGAGTGGGCAGAGATCAGGGCAGGAGGAAGAGCACAGGCGAAGACTGAGGCAGGAAACACCATGGCTGTTTGGGAGAGATCCAGTTACTGCTGGTATTACTGAAAGTAACATCTTTGGCAGGAGATGAGGCTGGTTGATTATGGTGGAGTTAAGAGTTTATCCTCTAGGTTCATGTTTCTTCAGGTGTTGGCCTGTTGACTCTCTGCAACAGAATATCCTAGGATGTTTGCAGAAATATAAGACTAAACTCACCCCAGGATGTGGAAAATAATCTATAAGATCTGTTGTTTCTACTTAGAATTGGGATTTTCCTATAGGGCTATATAGAATGTTGTGCATTTAATGAATATATTCTGAAAAGATTTACTTTGTCAGGTATACAGAAAAACAGTGGAGAGTTTCTCTTAACATTGGTCTTTTTGGGAGGTTCCCAAGAGAAGAAATACAGTTATAATGAGTTGTTTATAAAATAGAGGACAGGTATACTGTGTCTTGAGTCAATAAAGAGAGAGAAAATTCCAAACGAAAAGTAATTTGAAAGCCCGGTTCACAACTACATTTTTTAGGATATATTTCTCTAATACCAATTTGAGGCAAGAATTCCTTGAGACCTCTAACACTTAGTGTTCAGCCTCTACCCCCAAGCGTGTGTGTGTGTGTGTGTGTAAAGTTTGAGAGAAAGCAAGGAATATGGATATGGAAGATACTGCAAAATGATAAAGGGGGAAACTATGATATATTTATAAATGTTCCATAATCTTTTTTACTATACAGGAATTAGAAAATAAAAGAAGACTGCAAAAACAGGCTGCAAGTAGTCAAAGTGCCACAGAGGTTCGCTTGAATAGAGCTCTAGAAGAAGCAGAAAAGTATAAACTGGAGTTAAGTAAATTAAGGCAAAATAACAAGGTATGGAAAAATTGAATAGCTTTTGTAGTGATCCCTTTTGGTAACTACTTCTTTTATGAACATGTCAAAAATAATACTTAAATTATAATTCTTGATGTCATGCTGAACATTTCTCTTTTCAGAAGAAATATATTCATTAGCAGTATACACATTTCTAACATGTTAGGATGATATGCTTGTCTGTCGCCATTATTGGGTGATGGCACAACTCTTTGGAAGATTGATTTCTTCAACCAGTTTTATCAGGTGCCCATATTATATGTCAGACACTTTTCTAAGCTCTTAGAAAAAGTTGTTTAAAAAAAGTATCTTTTGTATCTCAAGTCTTTTATTCTTCTCTGAACCTCAGTTTTCTAATAGATAAAGTAAGGCTCTATTTTACAGGGCAGTGGTTCTCAAACTTGAGCATGTATCAGAATCTCTGGGAGGGCTTGTTAAATCACATTGCTGGGTCCCATCCCCAGAATTTCTGATTTAATAGGTCTGGAGTGAGGCCTGAGAAATTGCACTTTTAACAAGTTCCCAGGTAAATTATTGTAAGGATCACCGTAACTCCAGTGTCTAGCCAATGCTTGGCATAGAATTAGCATTCGGTGCCTTAAATATCTGTTGAATAAATGAAAGTTCAAATACCAATGTTCATGAAACCCCTTTGTACCTTCTATAAATATTGGTTACTTTTTGGTTCTGTATTGACCTGAAAGGGTAATAAGTGATATTACCTATTTAATAATTTTTAAATTCTATTTAATAATTAAATATTTAATATTTAATAATTAAATAATTTAATTTATTTAATACTTAAATAATTTAATTTATTTAATTAAATAATTTAATAATTAAATAATTTAATAATAAATTATTTAATTTAATAATTTATTATTTAATAATTAAAACAATATTTAATAATTAAAACAATTCTGTTTAATAATTAAACTATTTAATAATTTAAAAATTTTAATTGTGGTAAGCTAACACATAAGATTTACCTTCTTAAACATTTTAAGCATATAGTTCAGTAGTGTAACATAGATTCACACTGTTATACAACCTATCCATGAACTCTTTTCATCTTGCAAAAACTGAAACTCTCTACCAATTAAGCCACTCCCCATTTCCACCTCCCTCTAGACCCTGGCAACCACCATTGTACTTTCTGTCTCTATAAATTTGACTGCTCTAGGAAGTAAACGTCAGTAGAATTATACCATATTTGTTTTTCTTTAACTGGCTTATTTCACTTAACATAATGTTAAGTGACTCTCATAATTAAAACAATATTTAATAATTTAATCATGACTTGGATAATGAAATTAGGAACCACCTTCATTATATACACAGATAATACATTTTGGATTAAGTTAGTAACACTTAACAGGAATAGACTGAAAGTGACCTTGATACATCCTCTAACATGTTTGAGAGGCAAATATGTGCCGTAGTGATTACAGAGTTTTAAGATGTCGTCTGTGAGATAGTTTGTTATATGGTCAGGTCATTTTCATATTCAGGGGCCATCAATGATGGCATAACTGGGATTTATTAATAGAAGTTATTACATGAACAAGTTAGGAAGTCATCTTTATAGACTCACCAGTAATTAGCATGTTATTCGAGTATTATTTCCAATTTGGTGCATTTTACAGGGATTTTGAAGAAAATGAAGAATAACCACCTAGGTATCAGGATTTCCTAATTGTTGTAGATTTGACCTCTATATTGTATTAGTTCACATATTAAGAAAACAGAAGGAAAATGGTTTCATGAAACAGATGACTCTCCATATTCTAGCCAGCCATTTTGTTTTATTTTGTTTTAATTTTTTTTAGGTTTGTGGGTACATGTGAAGGTTGCATAGGTAAACAGGTGTCATGGGGGTTTGTTGCACATATATTTCATCACCTAGGTATTAGGCCCAGTACTCAATAGTTATCTCTTCTGCTCCTCTCCCTTTTTCCACCTTCCCCACTTCAAGTAGACCCCAATGTCTGTTTCCTTCTTTGTGTTCTGTAAGTTCTTATCATTTAGCTCCCACTTATAAGTGAAAACAAGCGGTATTCGGTTTTGTGTTCCTACATTAGTTTGCTAAGGATAACTGCCTCTAGCTCCATCCATGTTCCCACAAAAAACATGATCTCGTTCTTTTTTATGGCTACATAGTATTCCATGGTGTATACGTACCAAATTTTCTTTATCCATTCTGTCATTGATGGGCATTTAGTTGATTCCATGTCCTTGCTATTGTGACTAGTGCTGCAGTGAACATTTGTGTGCATGTGTCTTTATGGTAGAATGATTTATATTCCTCTGGGTATAATACCAATAATGAGATTGCTGGGTCCAATGGTAGTTCTGCTTTTACCTCTTTGAGGAGTCACCGTACTGCTTTGCACAATGGTTGAACTAATTTACACTCCCACCAAGTGTATAAGTGTTCCCTTTTCTCTGCAACCTCACCAGATCTGTTATTTTTTGACTTTTTAGTAATAGCCATTCTGACTGGTGTGAGGTGGTATTTAATTGTGGTTTTGATGTGCATTTCTCTGATGATCAGTGATATTGAGCTTTTTTTTCATACTTGTTGGCCACATGTATGACTTCTTTTGAGACGTGTCTGTTCTTGTTCTTTCCCCACCTTTTAATGGGGTTGTTCTTCTCTTGTAAATTTGTTTAAGTTCCTTATAGAAGCTGGATATCAGACCTTTATCAGATGCATAGTTTGCAAAAATTTTCTCCCATTCTGTAGGTGGTCTTTTTACTCTGCCGATCATTTATTTTTCTGTGCAGAAGCTCTTTAGTTTAAGTAGATCCCACTTGTCAGTTTTTGCTTTTGTTGCAGTTGCTTTTTCTGTCTTTGTCGTGAAATCTTTGCCCGTTCCTATGTCCAAAATGGTATTGCCTAGGTTGTCTTCCAGGGTTTTTATAGTTTTGGGTTTTCCATTTAAGTTTTTAGTTCATCTTGAGTTGGTCTTTGTATAAGGTGGAAGGAAAGGGTCCAGCTTCAGTCTTCTGCAAATGGCTAGCCAGTTATCCCAGCACCATTTATTGAAGAGGGAGCCCTTTCCCATTGCTTTTGTCAGGTTTGAAGATCAGACGGTTGTAGATGTGCGGCCTTATTTATGGGCCCTCTACTCTGTTCCATTGGTCTATGTGCCTGTTTTTGTAACAGTACCTGTTTTTGTACCATGTGCTGTTTTGGTTATTGTAGACTTGTAGTATAGTTTGAAGTCACACAGTGTGCCTCCAACTTTGTTCTTTTTGCTTAGTATTGCCTTGGCTATTCAGGCTCTTTTGTGGTTCCATGTGAATTTTTAAATAGTTTTTTCTAATTCTGTGAAGAATGTCACTGGTAGTTTGATAGGAATAGCATTGAATCTGTAAATCGCTTTGGGCAGTATAGGCATTTTAATAAGTGTTCCTATCAGTGAGCATGGGATGTTTTTTCCCGTTGTGTTTTCTCTGATTTCTTTGAGCAGTGTTTCGTAATTCTCATTGTAGAGATCTTGCACCTCCCTGGTTAGCTGTATTCCTAGGTATTCTTTTTGTGGCAAGTGGGGATGGGATTGCTTTTCTGATTTGGCTCTTGGTTTGGCTGTTGTTAGTATATAGGAATGCTAGTAATTTTTGTACATTGATTTTGTATCCTGCAACTTTGCTGAAGTTGTTTATCTGCCAAAAGGAGCTTTTGGGACAAGACTATGGGGTCTTCTAGATATAGAATTACGCCGTCTGCAAACAGATAGTTTGACTTCCTATTTGGATGCCCTCTCTTTATTTCTCTTGCCTGATTCCTCTGGTTAGGACTTCCAATACTATGTTGAATAGTGTTGAGAGAGGGCATCCTTGTCATGTGACAGTTTTCAAGGGAATGCTTCCAGCTTTTGTCCATTCAGTATAATGTTGGCTGTGGGTTTGCCATAGATGGCTCTTATTATTTTGAGGTCTGTTCCTCCAATATCTATGTTATTTAGAGTTTTTAACATAAAGGGTGTTGAATTTTATTGAAAGCCTGTTCTGCATCTATTGAGGTAATCGTGGTTTTTGTCTTAATTCTGTTTATGTGATAAATTGCATTTATTGATTTATACATGTTGAACCAACCCTGTATCCCAGGAATGAAGTCTACTTGATCATGGTAGATAAGCTTTTTGATTTGCTCCTGGATTTGGTTTGCAAATATTTTGTTGAGGATTTTTGTATCAGTGTTCATCAAGGATATTGGCCTGAAGTTTTCTTTTTTGGTTGTCTGTCTGCCAGGTTTTGGTATCAAGATGATGCTGGCCCCATAGAATGAGTTGGGGAGGAGTCCCTCCTCAGTTTTTTGGAATAGTTTCTGTAAGAATGGTACCAGCTTTTCTTTGTACATCTGGTAGAATTTGGCTGTGAATCCACTGGGTCCCAGGCTTTTTTTGATTGGTAGGCTATTTATTACTGATTCAGTTTTGGAGCTCATTATTGGTCTGTGTAGGGATTCAGTTTCTTCCTGGTTCAGTCCTGGGAGGGTGTACATGTCCAGGAATTTGTCCATCTCTTCTAGGTTTTCTAGTTTGTGTGCATAGAGGTGTTCATAGTAGTTTCTGATGGTTGTTTTTATTTCTGTGGGGTCAGTAGTAACATTCCCTTTGTCATTTCTAATTGTGTTTATTTGAATCTTCACTCTTCTTTACTAGTCTACCTAGTGGCCTATTTTATTAATTTTTTCAAAAAACCAGCTCCTGGATTCATTTATCTTTTGACTGGTTTTTCATGTCTTGATTTCCTTCAGTTCAGCTCTGATTTTTGTTATTTCTCATCTTCTGCTAGCTTTGGGGTTGATTTCTTCTTGCTTCTTGAATTCTTTCAGTTGTGAAGTTACGTTGTTAATTTGAGATCTTTATAACTTTTTGATGTGGGCGTTTAGTGCTATGAATTTCCCTCTTAACTCTCCCTTAGCTGTGTTCTAGAGATTCTGGTATGTTATATCTTTGTTGTTATTTTCAACTTTTTTATTTCTGACATAATTTCATTATTTACCCCAAAGTCATTGAGGAGCGTGTTGTTTAATTTCCATGTAACTGCATGGTTTTGAGTGATTTTCATAGTCTTGACTCCAGTTTATTGTGCTGTGGTCCAAGAGTGTGTTTGGTATGATTTCGTTCTTTTACATTTGTTGAGGATTGTTTTTTGTCCAATTATGTGGTCAGTTTTAGAGTATGTGCCATATGGCACTAAGAAGAATGTATATTGTGTTGTTTTTGGGTGCAGAGTTCTGTAAAGGTATCATATCCATTTGGTCCAGTGCTGAGTTTAGGTTCCAGATATCTTTGTTAATTTTCTACCTCGATGATCTGTCTAATACTATGGAGAGTTGAAGTCTCCCACTATTATTGTGTGAGAGTCTATGTCTCTTTGTAGGTTTCTAAGAACTTGCCTTATGAATCTGGGTGCTTCTGTGTTGTGTGCATGTATATTTAGGCTAATTAGGTCTTACTGAATTCAACACTTTACCATTCTGTAATGCCTTTCTTTGTCTTTTTTGATCTTTGTTGGTTTGAAACGTTTTGTCTGAAATTAGAATTGCAACCCCTGCTTTTTTCTGTTTTCTATTTCCTGGTAGATTTTCCTCTATCCCTTTATTTTGAGCCTATGAGAGTCATTAAATGTCAGATGGGTCTTCTGAAGACAGCATACCATTTGAGTCTTGCTTTTTTATCCAGCTTGTCACTCCATGCCTTTTAAGTGGGGCATTTAGACTGTTTATATTCAAGGTTAGTATTAATATGTGTGGATTTGATCGTGCTGTTGTGCTGTTAGCTGGTTATTAGGTTGACTTGTTTGTGTAATTGCTTTACAGTGACATTGATCTGTGTGGTTAAATGTGTTTTTGTCTTAGCTGGTAGTGGTCTTTGCTTTCTATGTTTAATGCTTCTTTCAAGAGCTTTGGTAAGGCAGGTCTGGTGGTAAAGAGTTCCTTCAACATTCACTTATCTGAAGAGGATCTTATTTCTCCTTCACTTAGGTAGCTTAGTTTGGCTTAATATGAAATTCTTGAGGGCTTTTTTTTTTTCTTTAAGAATATTGAAAAATTAGCTGGGCGTGGTGGTGGGCGCCTGTAGTCCCAGCTACTTGGGAGGCTGAGGCAGGAGAATGGCATGAACCTGGGAAGTGGAGCTTGCAGTGAGCCAAGATTGCACCACTGCACTCCAGCCTGGGTGACAGAGCGAGACTCTGTCTCAAAAAAAACCAAAAAACAAAAAAACAGATGTGATCCTTGTAGCTGTGCACCTATCTTATAATGAAATTGAATGTTTAGATAATCCATGAAGCAACACCTAGATAATTATCGAATTTAGATAATCTATCAAAGCTAAGGTGCAACTGCAATAAATGCTGTGGAAAGTATATGGTGCTTTGAGCAAGTAACCAAGCCAATAAATGCCTTTTTTAAAAACATCCAATGAGCATTTATTATAACACAACTGGCTACTATAGTTCTTTTGCATTTCCATGTAAGTTTTTAGAATCACATTTGGAGTTTTGATAGGCATTGTGTTGAATCTATAGATCAGTTTTGGGAAAATTGACATCTTAATAGCGTCTTTAAAGTCATGAATAGAGAAAATCTGTTTATTTAAGCCTTCTTCAATTTTTCCAAGCAGCTTTTATATATATATAGTTTCCAGAATACAGGTTTTACACACTTTTTTTTCAAACTTATCTCTTAGTGTTTCCGTTTTTTGATGTTATAAATGTTCTTTAAATTCCAGTTTCCCATTGTTTGTTGCTATAATGGAGAAATACAATTTATGTTTGCATATTGAGTCTATATCCTCAACTTTGCTGAACTCACTTATTCTAGAAGCCTTAGGATTTTCTACAGACCTTTTCTGTAAAGGACCAACTAGTAAATGCTTTGGCTTTGTGGGCTACATATGGTCCCTTGTGTATTCTTCACTGGTTTTCTTTTTTAAAATTTATTTAACACCTTCAAAATAAATCATTTTTAGTTCACAAGTTTTAGAAAAACTGACTGCAGTTTCCTGAGAGATCTTACCAGGAATGGATGTTGAATTTTGTCAAATGCTTTTTCCCGTATCTATTGAAATTATATTTTTCTTTTTTTAGTCTTTCAAATGTTAAAACAACCTTGTATTCCTGGGATATATTGCACTTGGTGATGGTGTGTCATTATCTCTTTTATATATTATTGGTTACTTTTTTGTGAATGTCTGTATACATGGGAACATAGTGCTAGTCTGTTTAGTCTGTAGTCTTGATTTAGTTTTCTTATACATTATTTTCATCTTTAGGTTTTTTGGTTTGAATTTGTTTTGGTTTTGGTTTCAGGGTAATGCTGCCTTTATTAAATGAACTTCCAAATCATTCTTCTGGAGAAGCTCAACTTTCAGATAAGTTTTTGTAGGGTTGGTATTATTTTTTCTTTGAATGTCTGGTAGAGTCCACAGGTAAAGCCGTCTGGGCCTGAGGTTTTCTTGTGGAAAGATTTTATACTTCAAATTCAATTTCTTTAATAGATACAGAAGTATTCCTTATAGAGGCTATATTTTATTGTGTTTTGGGTGCTTACATCTGTCAAGGAATCTGTTCATTTCGTTTATGTTGTCAAATTTACTGGCATACAGTTTTTTACACTAGTTCCTTATTGTCCTCTGAATATTCCTCCTACATTCCTGTGGGTCATTCCCCCCTCTCATTCTTGTATTGGTAATTTGTGTCTTTTTTACTTTTTCTGATCAGTCTTACTAGAGGTTTACTAATTCTGGTTTTATTGATTTTCCTCTACTGATTTTTTATTTTTTTTATTGATTTCTGCTCTTCTATTTCTTTCCCTCTCCTTACTTTTGGGTTCAATTTGTTCTTTTTCTCTTTTCTCTTTTTTTTTTCTCCCCTAGACAGAGTCTTGCTCTGTTGCCCAGGGTGGAGTGCAGTGGCGCAAACTTGGCTCACTGCAACCTCCGCCTCCCAGGTTCAAGCGGTTCTCCTGCCTCAGCCTCCTGAGTAGCTGGGATTACAGGCCCCCGCCACCATGCTCGGCTAATTTTTGTATTTTTAGTAGAGATGGGGTTTCACCATGTTGGCCAGACTGGTCTCGAACTACTAACCTCGTGATCTGCCCGCTTTGACCTCCTAAAGTGCTGGGATTAAACAGATGTGAGCCATCACGCCTGGCCTCTTTTTCTAATTTTTAAAATGGAAGTGGAGACTGTTGATTTGTACGCTTTCT
This sequence comes from Homo sapiens, assembly GCF_000001405.40. Taxonomy (NCBI): domain Eukaryota; kingdom Metazoa; phylum Chordata; class Mammalia; order Primates; family Hominidae; genus Homo; species Homo sapiens. The sequence continues at coordinate 56,420,661 of NC_000015.10, forward strand.
TCTTTGCTAATATAAGCATTTAAACACTGTAAATGTTTCTCTATGAATTTCCTTAGCTACTTCCCACCAAATTTGATTTTTTGTATTTTCATTTTTATTCTATTCAGAATACTTTCTAATTTTCTTTTTTATTTCCTCTGAGCCATGACAAACTTTACGAGTTTGTCATTTCATTTTTCAAATACTTAGGGATTTTCCCCAGATACCATTCTTACTGATTTTTAATTCCATTGTGGACAGAGAATGCATTTGGTTTTATTTGAATCACTCTAAATTTATGGATACTTTTTTTTGGCCCAGAATATGGTTTAAATTGGGAAATATTTCATGTGCCCTTGATAGGAATGTGCATTCTGTATTTGTTAGGTGGAGTATTCTATAAATGTCAATTATGTCAAATTGCTTGATAGTGTTGTTCAATACTTCTGTATCTTATGTATTTTCTGTGTCCCTGTTCTATCAATGATCAAGAGAGGGGTACTAAACTCTGAATAGAACTGTGAGTTTGTCTATTTTCCCTTTCAGTCTTAACAATTTTTGCATCATGTATTTTGAGACTTGGTTATTAGCTATATTAATACCCAGTATCTAAGAAGATTGTTAAATCCTCTTGAATGAATTGACCTCTTATTATTTATTTATATTTATTTTTGTTGCTGCATTCTGATACAGGTTGAGTATCCCTTATCAGAAATGCTTGGGACCAGAAGTGTTTTAGAAATGCTACAGTGGACATTTCATCTTTGAGAATCATGTCAGCACTCAAAAAGTTTTAGATTTTAGAGCATTTTGGATTTCAGACTTTTGGATTAGGGATACTCAACCTGTATTACCTTTGTTTGATATTCATGCAACTCAAGCTTTATTTTAGTTCGTGTTAGCATTGTCTTGTCTTTTTCCATTCTTTTATTTGTAACTCCTTTGTGTCTTCTCATTAGCAGCATCTAGTTGACTTTGCTTTTTAAAAAAATCCAGTCTCCAGAGTGTGATGTTCCCCTTCCTGTGTCCATGTGTTCTCATTATTCAATTCCCACCTATGAGTGAGAATATGCGGTGTTTGGTTTTTTGTTCTTGCGATAGTTTGCTGAGAATGATGATTTCCAATTTCATCCATGTCCCTACAAAGGACATGAACTCATCATTTTTTATGGCTGCATAGTATTCCGTGGTGTATATGTACCACATTTTCTTAATTCAGTCTATCATTGTTGGACATTTGGGTTGGTTCCAACTCTTTGCTATTGTGAGTAGAGCCGCAATAAACATACGTGTGCATGTGTCTTTATAGCAGCATGATTTATAGTCCCTTGGGTATATACCCAGTAATGGGATGGCTGGGTCAAATGGTATTTCTAGTTCTAGATCCCTGAGGAATCGCCACACTGACTTCCACAATGGTTGAACTAGTTTACAGTCCCACCAACAGTGTAAAAGTGTTGTGGGGAGGGGGGAGGGGGGAGGGATAGCATTAGGAGATATACCTAATGCTAAATGACGAGTTAATGGGTGCAGCACACCAGCATAGCACATGTATACATATGTAACTAACCTGCACATTGTGCACATGTACCCTAAAACTTAAAGTATAATTAAAAAAATAATAAAATAAAAAAATAAAAAAATCCAATCTGACAGTCTCTTTTTAATTGAGGTGCTTACACCATTATATTTAAAATGATTAATAATATGGTTGGGATTAACTCTATTAGCTAGCTGTTGTTTTAGTTGGCCCGTATGTTTTCTTTCCCTTCTTTTTGAATTGCTTTTTTAAAGATTCCATTTTATCTCCTTTATTAGATCATTATCTGTACTTCTTTGTATGCATTTCAGCATTTGTTATATATATGTTTATCACTGTATACCTCCAAGTAATATAGCATTTTATGAATAATTTAAGAGCCTTTTAGCAGTATACTTCCATTACCCCCCACCCTTTCTGCTATTGTCATATGTTTTATCTATAAACTCTACATTGTTAATTTAAAAATTTTTAATTGTGGTAAGCTACACATAAGATTTACCTTCTTAAACATTTTAAGCATATAGTTCAGTAGTGTAACATAGATTCACACTGTTATACAACCTATCCATGAACTCTTTTCATCTTGCAAAAACTGAAACTCTCTACCAATTAAGCCACTCCCCATTTCCACCTCCCTCTAGACCCTGGCAACCACCATTGTACTTTCTGTCTCTATAAATTTGACTGCTCTAGGAAGTAAACGTCAGTAGAATTATACCATATTTGTTTTTCTTTAACTGGCTTATTTCACTTAACATAATGTTCTCAAGGTTGATCAAAGTTGTAGCATGTGTCAGAATTTCATTCCTTTTTAAGGCTTAATAATCATTGTATTTACATACCACATTTTGTTTATTCATCCATCAGTGGACAGTTGAGCTGCTTCCCAACCTTTTGGCTAGTATGAGTTGCACTGCTTTGAACAAGGGTATACAGATATCAATGTCTCCTAGAGAAAAGTGAAATGCTAGTTCCTTGATGTGTAAAGTCAGGTTGATTTGAAATCTTCTTTCCTAATGTAAGCATTTACAACTACAAATTTCCCTCTTAGCAGTGCTTATACTCTGTCCTATAAGTTTTGGTGTATTGTAGCTTTGTTGTCATTTGCCTCATGATATTTTCCAATTTGCTTTGTGATTTCTTCTTTGACCCCTTGGTAGTTTGAGTGTTTTGTTCAATCCCCACATATTTGTGGATTTTCCAGTTTTCCGTCCGCTGTTGATTTCTAGTTTGAATCAACTGTGATTGGAAAATATACTTTGTATGACTTATAAAATGTGGGGAATGTTCCATGTGCACTTGAGAAAACTGTATTCTCTTATTTTTTTCGTTAACATCTTATTGAGATACAATTCATATACCATGCAACCCACTTAAAATATACAAATAAGTTTGTTTTTAGTAGTCACAAAGTTGTGCAACCATCACCACAATCAATTTTGCAATTTTATCACCCCAAAAAGAACGTCTGTACCCATTCACAGCCACTCTATATTCCCCCAACACCCTGCACCACATTCTAGCCCTAGGCAACCACTAATCTACTTCCTGTCTCTCCATATTTGTCTGTTCTGGTATATGATTATATTTTTTCTTTATTATTTCAATCGTTTTGGGGGAACAGGTGGTGTTGGTTACACAGATAAGTGCTTTAGTGGTGATTTCTGAGATTTTGGTGCACCCATCACCCGAGCAGTCTATACTGAACCCAATGTGTAGTCTTTTATCCCTCTCACCCTTCCCCCACAAGTCCCTAGAGTCCATTATATCCTTCTTATGCCTTTGTGTTAGAGGACTACTCTTTATGTCTCTTAAATCTAATTGGTCTATAATGTTGTTCAAGTCCCTTATTGCTTTATTGGTCTTCCATCCGGTGATTCTATTGATTATTGGAAGTGGGGTATTGAAGTCTACTTTTACTATAGAGTAGTCTTTTCTCCAAGTCTGTCAATGCTTGCTTCATATATTTAGGCACTTTAATGTTTGGTACATATATAATTGTATCTATCTTCTTGCTGAACTGGCCCTTTTGTTTGGCCCATATGTTCTTATATAATGTCCTTCTTGGTATGTTTTAACAGTTTTGACTTAAAGTCTATTTTGTCAGATATTACTGTAGTCACTCCTGTGTTCTTTTGGTTACAAAATTTCAGATTATCTTTTTCCATCTTTTTACCTTAAACCTATGCATATCTCTGGATCTAAAGTTAGTTGCATGTAGACAGCATATAGTTGGATTTTGGTTTTTAAAAATCCATTCTTCCATTCAATTTATTTTGGTTAGGGAGTTTTGTCCATTTACATTTAAAGTTTTTGGGAGGTCTGTTGCTGTTTGTTCACAATTTTATGTATGTCTTGAGGACTTTTACCCTCTCATTTCCTTCCTTATTGCCTTATTGTTTAGTTGATTTTGTGTAATGATGCAACTTCAATCGTATATAAAGACTCTACTCCTTTTCAGCCCCTGCCCTACCTTGTGTTACTGGTGTCACAAATTACATCTTTAGGTTATGTACCCATTAACAAAGATTTATAGTATTTTTTATGCTTTTGTCTTTTAAATTCGAAAAGAATGAAAAGTGAAAGAATGAAAAGTGAGTTGTCAACCAAAATTAAAATAATACAGGCCTTTATATTTGTCCAAATATTTACATTTACTGGGGAATTTCATATTTGCATATAGCTTTGAATTATTGTCTAGTATCCTTTTGTTTCAACTTGAAGGATTTTCTTTAGGATTTTGTAGGGAAAATACAGTGGTAATGAAGTTCCTCAGCTCTTATCTAGGAATGTCTTAATTTCTTTTTCATTTTTGAAGGACACTTTGCTGGATGTAGTATTCTTCTAGGTTTTTTTCTTTCAGCCCTTTAAATATATCATCCTACTGACTTCTGGCCTGTAAAGTTTCTGCTGAAAAATCTGCTGATAATCTTACAGATGCTCCCTTGCATGTGATGAGCCATTTTGTCTTGTTGCTGTCAAGATTTTCTCTTTGTCTGACACTCGACTGATTAAAATGTGTCTTGCTGTGGGTCTCTGGGTTTATCCTACTTGGAGTTCATGGAGCTTTTTGTATTTGTGTATCCATTTCTTTCCTTAAATTTGGCAATTTTTCAGCTATTCTTCAAATAAGTTACTTGTCTCCTTTTCTATCTAAGATTACACTGATATACATATTGGCCCACTTGATGGTCTCCCTTAGCTGCTGTTCACTTTTCTTCATTCTTTTACTTTTGGCTCCTCTGACCTGCTCATTTCAAATGACCTGTCTGAAAGCTCACTCATTCTTTCTTATACCTGTACAGCTCTGCTGTTGAACCCTTCAAGTGAATTTTTCCATTCAGTTACTGTATTTTTCAGCTTTAGAATTTGTTTGGTTCTTTTTTGTAATTTTTGTTGATAGTCTCATTTTATTAATATATAGGTACCCTGATTTCATTTAGTTGTCAATATTCTCCTTCAGCTCATGGAGCATATTTATGGCAGTTATTTTAAAGTCCTTGTCAAATAAGTGAGAAGCCTTTGTTTCTTTAGGATACACTTCTGGATATTAATTTTGTTCCTTTAATATGGTCCATGTTTCCCTGTTTCTTTGAATGTCTTGTGATCTTACATTGAAAAACGGGTGTTTGAAAAAACAGCCACTTCTCCCAGTCTTGCAGACTGGCTGCATGCAAGCAAAGACCTTCACTAATCAGCATGGTGTAAAGTCTTGAGGTCCTCTCAAACCTTTCTGGGGTTGTGTCTTTCCTGGGCCTGTGTGTTTTAATTCCAGTTTTCCATACACACGGCTTCTTTTAAATGTCCTAATTACCTAAAAATCTCACTACTTCTTCTCAGAGATTTAGATGCTGTATTTTATTCCTCTGCCCATAATTTTTTGCCACCAGGTTCCTGCAGTTCTGTGGACTCACTACACCTCTCACATTCAGTGGTACCAACCACCTGTTTCCGCAGCTTCCAACCTGATATCCAAATGATGCAGCTGTTCCCATCAGTACTGAGTCAGGCAAGACAGATAGCAGTCCCTCAGGCAGGCCCCAGAAAAGCCAGAATGTTGCAAGCAAGTCTACTCTTTTCCCTCCATTCCAAGGGAAGAACTGGGAATTGGGTGGCTTCTTCCTGACTGTGCTGTGCCAGGGAGGATGTGGGTAAAGGGTGAGCAAAACACCATGACATTTCCTACTGCTTTGAATATGGCCTTTTCTTAGTTAGGCAGTCTCTTGGTTGCTGCTGCTGACTGACTGATTGGTTTCTAGAGCTCTCCCAAAGCTATTTTGGTCTGTGTATCATATAGTCAGTCTTTTAATGGGGAAGCAAAGGCCTGGAGCTTCCTAATCCACCATTTTGCTGACAACACTCTTATCTTTTAAAGAGGTGTTTTTTTTTTTTTTTTTTGAAAAGGTGTATATATATATATATATATATATATATATATATATATACACACACACAAACACACACACACACACGTATGTATACATAAGATTACACATTACTATTTCTTTTTTCTCCATCTTTTTTATGTGTGTGTACAGAGATTCACATTTCCTTCTGGTATCATTTTCCTTTTGTATGAATGACTTCCTTTAATCTTTCAAGTATAGATCTTCCTAAACGTAATGATTTCTACTGACCCTTTTTCTGCTTTGCCCAAATTGCTAAAGAGCTTATCCAGTCCATTTTTACCAAGATTACAAACTTGGTCTCCCGCTTGTCATGGGAAGTGGGTAAATTCTCTGCTTAGCTAAAGGCCACAGCCATTTCCTTTCACAGGTACCTAGGAGTCTCACCCTCTAAATGGTATTTAGATGTCTGCCAAGCATTTGAGGGAAATACGTATGCATGTTTTGAGGGCTCTGTTTTTCTAGAATTTTGTACCACCTTGGCAGCCCTGCTCTCTGACTCCTCAGTCCAATAAGACTACTACTTTTTGCTTGAGTTCTTACCTCTGTGAACCCACAAACTGGAAAGTGCTTTTAGAAGAAGCTAGTTGAATGTGGATCTCAACCAGTATTTCTGCTCTTTCAAGGATCATATCGCTTCCAGTTTCTACTTATTATTGATTACTCATCTACACCTTCAAATATACTTTTTAAACGTTTTTAAAATGTTTTCAAATATATTATTTTTGAAAATTCATAAATCCAGAGTTTATGTTGGTTCAATACAAGCTACTTTGCCATTACTGGAATTAGAACTGAGTTATTTTAAAAACATTTTTTAAAAATGGGAAATACCTGAGCATGACTAAAAGCTATCAAATTCCAGTAATTCGGTAATGGAAAGCAATTTTTATCTACAAAAATTTTATATTTCAGTTTAAGAAAGTACTTTTTATTACTGTTGTGATGATAGTCTATAATTCTTTCCATTGAGGCTGTATATTAAAAATATATGGCACTTTTTTTTCCTTGTGTAGGACATAGCAAATGAAGAACACAAAAAAATTGAAGTGTTAAAATCAGAAAACAAGAAGCTAGAAAAACAAAAAGGAGAATTAATGATAGGGTTCAAGAAACAGTTAAAATTAATTGATGTTTTAAAAAGGCAAAAGGTGAGTCTATCATTAAAGTTAAATCATCATATTATTTGTAACTTTCTTACTAAAAAATTTAGCATTTTTCACTTTAGGTATGTTTTTGACATCTTTACGCACTGAACTTCATATAAAATGCATCATACATATGAAATCATATGAAATCTAACATTTATAGTGAGATATATGTGTCATCTAAGCAAGTGGATATTTTCACATAAGTAAGTTAGTGTAGAAAATGGGACTGGAAAATACAGTATAGGTACTTCTCAACTACAGAAAGTACCAAATTAAAGAATGACTATTAGGGGACTGTTTGCCTCTTCAAACCTTAGAGCGAACATCACTTCCAAACCACTATTGCTGCTTTCTCTAAAAATTCATAGTTCTGACACTTTCCTTCTTTGCAAAGGTCAGGTATTTAAAATATTATAGAATTATTATTATCTTAAAAGTAAGTTGGTTCAGTACTACTGTTGGACAATACCATTTCAAATATCATGCTTATTGGAATTAAGAGTATACATTCCTACAACAGAACTTATATTCTGACAATATATTATCCACACATTTTTACAAACTTCCTGTTGTTTGGTGGCCTACTCTTAATACTAAATCAGACAATATTGATTTTTTTTTTAACAGATGCATATTGAAGCTGCCAAGATGCTATCTTTCACTGAGGAGGAATTTATGAAAGCACTTGAATGGGGAAATTCATAAGTGATCTACTTCAGTTAGTCTCTATGACAGTATGTGATGGATACCCATTTTACTTATTGTAGTGGTTTGAATTATTTTTATTCTTCATAAGTAATATATTTGATTATGAAAGCAAAATAATTTCAAAGAATTCCCTTTTTAGATTTAGGAGATTAGCTATTAGCTCTTTTTGAGTTGTTTTTTAAGTTCTTAGCGTGACAATTAAGCACATCAGATAATAAAATTCTTGACTCTTTTCATTTATAATTCTCCTCCCTTACAGTAGACCAAAAAAGATGCTTTAAAAGAAAATTCCAAATATTTATTTCCCTGGCTAAATCAAGTAAGTAAAGTTCGTAAACACAGACAGAAGGCAGTTCACTTTGGGGTAGAGTTCTGTATTAGTCAAGGTAAATATACTGTCTTGAGGATGGGGATGCAAACAGTGCTCTGTAGTGTTGTAGAAATCGGATTTTGAAATTATCAGTACAAAAATAACAGCTTGATTAAAATTAATTTGTATCTGATAATTGTTTACAAGTTATGAAATTCAGTGATGATTTACAAAATCCAAACAGACAATGGATACCTAATGCCACTGAACTGTAAAACAAAAGTTATGCTGACATCTAGTGGTAACATGCAAAAAATCTATGCTTTACCCAATTTTGATGATATCATTTCTCTTCACAAATTTCACTCCTTTGTTGATATACTTTCCTGAACTCTTCACCAAGCAGATCAATATCATCCTCTTTTTTAAATACTCCCTACGAGAAAAATACTTTGTGGGTTACTTTTGAATACCAGAATATTTCACTAAATGCTTTTAAGACTGACAGACATAAGATTAGTAAAGTTATCTCCAAGGTAATGAAATCTATTCAACAGATTAATGAAACTTTAAAAAAATCAATACTTTTCAAAAAATAAGACTTTACATATATATTGAATATTCCTAGACTGACCCAATTTTCTGATTTATCAGCTCTAGTGTAGGAGCTTTTCATAGGAATCTGAGCTCTTCTACAAGTTCTACTGCTTGGATTACCTAGATAGGAAGGCACTTCATCTATACTGTACCCTACCCTTTTCTTTAAATAGCTCTATAATATGATATAATGGTGAGCTTCAGTAGATTCATGCATGGGATTAGTTCTTCATGCCTCAGTTCTATGGCTAATCAGCAAACAGTCAATCTTGCAGAAAAGAATCCAGGTTTGGAGTTAAGCCATTTAAGCAAACCCTTTGGAATTCTTCACTGTTCTATTTTTCTTTTCCCCTACAGTATACTGCAAAAGGCTCTTTAAAACAAAATTAAATATTTACTTAAATTGCAATCTAAAGAATAAAGAATTTTAGGGATAACTGAAGTCATTTGGCACCATTAGGACCTAAAGGATAAAGGTCATTTTTGGATATCAAGTTTATTAATCCCTCCTGCTGCCTCCACAATTATTTCCTCTACAAAAATATCAAATCCCAAAGAAAGACATTCCTACAATTTATAATTTAGTTTATGAAATGTATTAATTACATATGGATTTTATCATTAATACATCATTTTGTATTCCTTAATCCTTTCTAACCAATTAGACTATCAAGTCCTGTGGCCAGGCAGTAATTACCTATATATCTTTTTCCTTCCTTAGCACCAGAGTGAATATAATAAAATAAATATGCACTTGATTCTACTGAATAAAATATGAAATGGCATTTCTATAGCTGAAAGATGGCGATCTTATTTATATGAGTCTAGATGTTTATGTGGCCTATGAAACTGTTATTACTTTTTTAAGACAAGACGGGGTCTCACTCTGTTGCCCAGGCTGGAGTGCAGTGGCAAGATCATGGGTCACTGCAGCTTCAACTTTCCAGGCTCAAGCAATCTTCCAACCTCAGCCTCCAGAGTATCTGGGACTACAGGCGTGCATCACCACATCCAGTTAACTTTTTATTTTTTGTAGCAATGGCATCTCCCCATGTTTCCCAGGCTGGTCTTGAACTCCTGGGCTCAGGTGATCCTCCTGCCTCAGCCTCCCAAAGTGCTGGGATTATAGGCATGAGTTGCCATGCCCAGCCAGTTACTATTTTATTTGAAGTCACAGTGTGTCTCAGGTATACATTAAAATTCACTATCTTCTGGAATTTTAAAAATCAAGTTTAACTAGTTATAACTTCCTACTGTAGAGCAGATCTGTCTCAAGCTCAGTTCAACCATGTGCCTATTACTGGTGTTACCAGTGACAATGTTTTCATACACATTCTCATCTTTGGCATGTAAGTACTACAGTTCTAGGGTAGTCTCAAGCTCAGTTCAACCATGTGCCTATTACTGGTGTTACCAGTGACAATGTTTTCATACACATTCTCATCTTTGGCATGTAAGTACTACAGTTGTTCTAGGGTAGCTTTAGATTTCCTACACTAAAAGGGGAGAAAAGAAACTCTAAAATACAAACTCAGGCCAGGTGTGGTGGCCCACCCAGCACTTGGGGAGGCTGAGGCAGATGGATCACCTGAGGCCAAGAGTTCAAGACCAGCCTGGCCAACATAGCAAAATCCTGTCCTTACCAAAAATACAAAAATTAGCTGGGTGTGGTGGCAAACGCCTGTAATCCCAGCTACTCAGGAGGCTGAAGCAGGAGAATCACCGGGAGGCAGAGGTTGCAGTAAGCTGACATCTTGCCACTGCACTCCAGCCTGGGCGATAAATAAGGTACAAATTCAGTAAATCAAGCTCATACATCTAATAATGTGCTAAGACCAATCATTTTAGATATACTGAAATGGGCCCAGAGAGGTTCAGTGCCTGGACAGGAGGATCCCATTGCTGCTTCATAACCGAGCAAGAAGTGAGCAAAACCAAGGCACTCTAAAATCCAAATACCATGTTTTTTTCACTATTACAGGTCATGAAGATTACAACTTGAGATAAATCTCACTTACTTTAGGGAGATAGCCTAGTAAGTTTGTAGCATGCTCTTTAAGAAGTTTTAGCCTTTCTTCTTCAATAATTGCATTAATAAATCCTTGCCGCCTTTGCTGCAACTGCCACTCTTCTAGTTCACGTTGCTGGAAATGCAGATCAAATTTTGTTATCACAAAGTACATTAATCTTATACGAAGTTTTCAAATAAAACTACTCATGCAATGAATTAGATAAAATTGATGAACTATTTATGACACTAAGTTCAAAAGATTCTAGATAATATATATTTTTAAAATATATATTTTATGTCTGTACACATATCTATGTATTTTTTACTGTCATTATTCCTTTAAAATTACAAGGAGGCAAACAAATATTTTCAGGAAAGTGTCTTCATTACCAAGGGAAAAAATATTCAAAGGAGTGACTGCCTAATACAGTAAATATTTACTGAATGCTTACCATATACCAGATGCTGAAGAGTTTACAGTGTAAAACAAAAAATAGTGAATAAAGAAGATCAGAAATATCTAAAGGATATTTTCATATATATATATATAAAGATGATATGAAGCATGAGAATTCCACTAGTATTTCTTAGGAAAGTGCTCACTCTTAAATAATCACATCAAAATTCTGGGCCATATAGAAAAGATGACTTGAACTACGTGAAAGAACAGTAATCTACTAAGCCACTGTTAATTTGAGACTGTACTTGCATTCAAACCTAATTCTATCTTAATTCATCCATTCCTTATAAAGAGGAGATACAGGAAAGTTCTGTAATGTTACAGGGGAAAGCAAACTTGATACATTTTTGTCCAATGGTAGAGTCTACTTTGGGCTAATGCAGATTTTCCTAAGAAGGATCTGGCAGGCCACATTCAATGTTTATCCTAAAAAGAAAAATTTATAGTAAATTAAATTGTTTAGGCAGTTACGAAATCAACTTATCCATTTAGGACAAATTCTGAATAGCTTTGGTGTAGGAAACTACCTCCTGGGAAGTTTCAGATTTTGTCTGACCGTATGATTTTCGTAGAGGTAGACAGAATTACAGATACCTATTTAGGAATGTCTCTGAAATCCAAAAAACATGGTTAGACCTTATAGGATTGTATAATGAGTTTCATCACGAAGATCTGTCCTTGACTTGGGGCCAGAACAAAAATGTTGCCCAATCAAACGGACAAAACTAAGCCGACAGCTTCATATTGGGAACATTTATAAGTCTTTAAAAATTAAGACAAAAATTATTTGTATAAGTATCTATGCATTAGGTGGCTTTATCTGATTTCCATTTAGTTTTTAGTCTGATTTCTAGTTAGTTGTCTTGCTAACTTTTCCAGGAGCTTTCTCCTATCCAAGTACTAACCAGGCCTGATCCTGCTTAGCTTCTGAGAACAGATGAGCTCCAATCTGAAATATAACAGCACTTGTATTCCCATGAGTTTCTCATATTTGAAACATCTGCATTATTTTGACTCCTACTTTGTATAGTTTTAAAAGAAGTCATGTAAGTCTCACTTAGTCTTCCTCTAAATTCTTCTCTTCCTACCGATTTTCAAAACACCTACATATTATCCATTTGGTTCTTAAACCACAAAATCTAGTGAGACAATATAAGTATTTAGTTTTACGGATGAGACATAAATAAGTCAATGTATCCAAAGCCAAAAACTTCATTCCCTCTCCAACACTTAAATCTACATTTCCAACTAGTAATCTTCCCCTGGGCCACCAAATCATTTTGGGTGGACAAAATAGAATTATTTGCACCCTCAAAATCTATTTCTTTTCCTCTATACTCTTTCCTTAGGATGTCACCCAGTCACCCATTAAAGATGGAAGTGACACATGGACACAGGGAGAGGAACATCATCACACACCAGGGCCTGTCGGGGGGTGGGGGGGACAAGGGGAAGGGAGAGCATTAGGACAAATACCTAATGCATGCAGGGCTTAAAACCTAGATGACGGGTTGATAGGTGCAGCAAACCACCATGGCACATGTATACCTGTGTAACAAACCTGCATGTTCTGCACATGCATCCTGGAACTTAAAAATATTAAAAAAATAATTAAAAAGATGGAATGACAGTATTATTTATTAGGGGTAGCCTTAAGTCTTCTCTCACCCTAGATCTCACTGGTCACCAAGCCCCATCAATTCCGTATCCTTAACATCTCTCGGGTGGATCCCTTATCTATTTGCATGGGTTTCACCACTTGTCACTGGGATTATTATAATAACTTACTTACTGATCTCCCTATCTCCGAGCTTACTCATCTCTTATCTACCTTCAATGCTCTCACTTGAATCGTCTTTCAAAGTACAGATCTTAATATACAGCTTTTCAATCTTCAGTGGCTTCCCTTAGAAAAGCCCACCTTCTTAAAATAGCATGCAGGGTGTTCATGATCTGTTTCTCTCTCTGCCATACCAAAACATCCATAGCTCTATAACCTATTATCACATGTACATGACATATTTATAATTACTTTTTATATATTTTTCTTAACCAAGACCATAAATTCATAAGTGACATGGACTTAGTTTTATTTACCTTTTATGTTCTCAATACCAACCAGTGTTTAGCACATAGAAAGCATCAATAAATATTTTCTAGAAGCAAAAATGGTCAGAAAATTTATATATATATTAGTAAACATACTAACATTGTCTGGCATATAAAGCTTCTCAGTAAATGTTTAGTGGATGATAGATGAGCTATTGCTGTTTAATGATAATGACCAAAAAAACCCCACAACTTTTTCTTACTTTGTCTGCAAGGAATTGTTGGCGACGCTCTTCAATAAGTTTTTCCACAGCCCTCCTGTGTTCCAGCTGCTTCATTCTTTGTTTCTGAGCATTCATTAATTCTATTCGATCATCCTCAGCAAATTTAGCTAGCATAGTTTTTCTAAAGTTCTCCTCTTCCTCTTTTGCAGCCTGTAGCACTAATTCCTTCAAGGCCATTTGTTCTTCAAAATCTTGCTTCATCTCTTTTTGCTTTCTCAATTTCTTTTCTGCTTCTTCCTAAACAATACAGCTGAAAGTTAATTTAGTAACTATTTCCTTACACCAGATTTATAAGGAAAGAGTGATAGAGTTTGGTTAAATTTAGTATTACAATATGAAATCATACAAACTGAAAAAGTAAGGCTTTTCATGATAACTTTGTCCATCCCTTTAAAACTAGCTGGATAAAGAATATGCTTACATTTGGATTGTTTTCTGTTACTCATGAACAAATTTTAATTTATATTTACCATCTTGTTTCTCTACTCAGAATTAACACGTAACTGCTTTGGAAAGAGCTGTTACAAAAGCCTTTTTTGCACACCTGAGTTTATTCATCTAAAGTCTATGGTAACTATGAATCATTCTAGAATCTTGCTTACAAAAGCTGTCCAAACCACCCATAAGTATTTTTCAGTTTCCAACCTCCTCCTCAAAATCAAAGCTGCACTTACCCATCTCTAGTCTTCTAATATTCCCTTCATTCTCCAAAATTCTCTAAAATTTAAAAACAATTATCTAGCAATGACAATCAGTACTTCTTTAGGGAAATTCAAATATAGTTGGAACAGTTAAGTCCTTTCCTATAAGCTTTTATTTTCTGAACATTTTATTATGAAAAATTTCATACATACTAAAAAATATAATTTTACAATGGTCACTCACTTCTAAATAATTCATGGGCCAAAGAGGGAATGCCAAGGAAAATAAATACATTGTAGTTAATAAAAGTGAGACAGCAAAATTTGTGAGATGCTGCTAAAGCAGTTCTGAGAAACATTTATAGCACTAAATGGATACATTTAGGAAAATGTATATATATAGCACTAAATGCATGTATGTAGGAAAAGTCTCAAATCGATAATCTAAGCCCCCACTTCAAGAACCTATAAAAAGAACTGTAAAGTAAACCCAAAATATGCAGAAGGAAAAACATAATAAAACTGTAGAAATCAATGGAATTAAAAATAGAAAATAGACAATTATTGGTGAAACAAAAGGCTGGTTCTTAAAAATTATCAGTGAAATGGACAGACCTTTAACAAGGCTGACCTAGAAAAAAAAAATGAATGAATAAACAAATAACTAATATCAGGAATAAAACATAGGATATCACTAGAGACCCTACAGACATCAAAAGGATAATACAGGAATACTACAAATTATTATACACACATAAATTTGGCAACTTAGATGAAATGGATCACTTCCTTGAGAAACACAAGCTACCAAAACTCACCAAATATGAAATAAGGTAATCTGAATAGTCCTATCACTATTAAGGAGACGGAATTAATAACTTAAAATTCCTCCAAAATAAAACCCCAAGTCAGGATGGTTTCACTAGAAAATTCTATCAAATATTTAAAAAATTAACACGAATTCTACACAATCTCTTCCAGAAAACAGAAGAGGAGGAAACATATCCCCATTCATTTTATGAAGATAGTATTACCCCGCTACCAATATAAAAAATTACAGACCAATATTCCTCGTGAATATGGATGCACAAATCCTTAACCCAATATTAGAAAAATAGATCATACATTAAAAGAATTATTCACCATGACCAAGTAGTGTTTATTACAGGGATGCAAGACTGGTTCAATACTCAAAAATCAATGTAATATACTTGGCTAAAGAAGAAAAAGTCATAATCATATCAGTAGAAAAAAGTGTTTAACCAAGGATATCCAGGAATTGAACTCAGTTCTGCACCAAGCAGACCTAATAGACATCTACAGAACTCTCCAGCCCAAATCAACAGAATATACATTCTTCTCAGCACCACACCGCACTTATTCCAAAGTTGACCACATAGTTGGAAGTAAAGCACTCCTCAGCAAATGTAAAAGAACAGAAATTATAACAAACTGTCTCTCAGACCACAGTGCAATCAAACTAGAACTCAGGATTAAGAAACTCACTCAAAACCGCTCAGCTACATGGAAAGTGAACAACCTGCTCCTGAATGACTACTGGATGCATAACGAAATGAAGGCAGAAATAAAGATGTTCTTTGAAACCAATGAGAACAAAGACACAACATACCAGAATCTCTGGGACACATTTAAAGCAGTGTGTAGAGGGAAATTTATAGCACTAAATGCCCACAAGAAAAATCAGGAAAGATCTAAAATTGACACCCTAACATCACAATTAAAAGAACTAGAGAACCAAGAGCAAACACATTCAAAAGCTAGCAGAAGGCAAGAAATAACTAAGATCAGAGCAGAACTGAAGGAGATAGAGACACAAAAAACCCTTCAAAAAATCAGTGAATCCAGGAGCTGGTTTTCTGAGAAGATCAACAAAATTGATAGACCGCTAGCAAGACTCATAACAAAGAAAAGAGAGAAGAATCAAATAGACGCAATAAAAAATGATAAAGGGGATATCACCACAGATCCAACGGAAATACTACCATCAGAGAATACTATAAACACCTCTACGCAAATAAACTAGAAAATCTAGAAGAAATGGATAAATTCCTGGACACATACACCCTCCCAAGACTAAGCTGGGAAGAAGTTGAATCCCTGAATAGACCAATAACAGGCTCTGAAATTGAGGCAATAATTAATAGCCTACCAACCAAAAAAAGTCCAGGACCAGATGGATTCACAGCCGAATTCTACCAGAGGTACAAGGAGGAGCTGGTATCATTCCTTCTGAAACTATTCCAATCAATAGAAAAAGAGGGAATCCTCCCTAACTCATTTTATGAGGCCAGCAGCATCCTGATACTTTGGTCGTCTGTCATCCTGACAGAGACACCACAAAAAAAAGAGAATTTAAGACCAATATCCCTGATGAACATTGATGCAAAACTCCGCAATAAAATACTGGCAAACCAAATCCAGCAGCACATCAAAAAGCTTATCCACCATGATCAAGTGGGCTTCATCCCTGGAAGGCAAGGCTATTTCAACATACACAAATCAATAAATGTAATCCAGCATATAAACAGAACCAATGACAAAAAACACATGATTATCTCAATAGATGCAAAAAAGGCCCTTGACAAAATTCAACAGCCCTTCTTGCTAAAAACTCTCAATAAATTAGGTGTTGATGGGACATATCTCAAAATAATAAGAGCTATTTATGACAAACCCACAGCCAATATCATACTGAATGGGCAAAAACTGGAAGCATTCCCTTTGAAAACTGGCACAAGACAGGGATGCCCTCTCTCACCACTCCTATTCAACATAGTGTTGGAAGTTCTGGCCAGGGCAGTCAGGCAGGAGAAAGAAAGAAAGGGTATTCAATTAGGAAAAGAGGAAGTCAAATTGTCCTTGTTTGCAGATGACATGATTGTATATTTAGAAAACCCCATTGTCTCAGCCCCAAATCTCCTTAAGCTGATAAGCAACTTCAGCAAAGTCTCAGGATACAAAATCAATGTACAAAAATCACAAGCATTCTTATACACCAATAACAGACAGACAGAGAGCCAAATCATGAGTGAACTCGATTCACAATTGCTTCAAAGAGAATAAAATACCTAGGAATCCAACTTACAAGGGATGTGAAGGACCTCTTCAAGGAGAACTGCAAACCACTGCTCAACGAAATAAAAGACGACACAAACAAATGGAAGAACATTCCATGCTCATGGATAGGAAGAATCAATATCGTGAAAATGGCCATACTGCCCAAGGTAATTTACAGATTCAATGCCATCCACATCAAGCTACCAATGACTTTCTTCACAGAATTGGAAAAAACTACTTTAAAATTCATATGGAACCAAAAAAGGGGCCACATTGCCAAGACAATCCTAAGCCAAAAGAACAAAGCTGGAGGCATCATGCTACCTGAATTCAAACTATACTACAAGGCTACAGTAACCAAAACAGCATGGTACTGCTACCAAAACAGAGATATAGACCAATGGAACAGAACAGAGCCCTCAGAAATAGTACCACACATCTACAACCATCTGCTCTTTTTTTTTGTTACAAAAAAGACAGGTTTGTTACAAACCTGACAAAAACAAGCAATAGGGAAAGGAGTCCCTGTTTAATAAATGGTGCTGGAAAAACTGGCTAGCCATAGGTAGAAAGCTGAAACTGGATCCCTTCCTTACACCTTATACAAAAATTAATTCAGGATGGATTAAAGACTTACATGTTAGACCTAAAACCATAAAAACCCTAGAAGAAAACCTAGGCAATACCATTCAGGACATAGGCATGGGCAAGGACTTCATGTCTAAAACACCAAAAGCAATGGCAACAAAAGCCAAAATTGACAAATGGGATCTAATTAAACTAAAGAGCTTCCGCACAGCAAAAGAAACTACCATCAGAGTGAACAGCCAACCTACAGAATGGGAGAAAATTTTTGCAATCTACCCATCTGACCAAGGGGTAATATCCAGAATCTAAAAAGAACTCAAATTTACAAGAAAAAATCAAACAACCCCATCAAAAAGTGGGCGAAGGATATGAATAGACACTTCTCAAAAGAAGACATTTATGCAGCCAACAGACAAGAACAGGAAAGGTGATGTCTACTCTCATCACTCTTCTTCAACATAGCACTAGCCAGTGGTGCTGGAAATTTTAGCCAGCATGTAAGGCAAGGAAAGGAAGTAAAAAGTATACAGATCAGAAAGGAAGAAACAGCCTGTAGCTCTGGGCAGAAGACATGCCTGACTATGTAGGGAAAAAAAATCCTACAGCTAACAAGTGAATTCAGCAAGGTTGTGAGATACAAGATAAACACAAAAATATCAATTCACTAGCAACGAGTACACGGACACCAAAATAAAAGCTAACATTCCATTTACGATTGCTCAAAAAATGAAACACTTAGATGTAACAAAACACGTACAGGATTTGTATGCTGAAACTAGAGAATCCTGATGAAAAAATTCAAAGATCTAAATAAAGGGAGAGCCAAATTGTGTTCATGAACTTAATATAGTGAATTTATCAATTCTCCCCAAACTGATATTCAAATTTAATTCAATACCTATCAAAATCCCAGCAAAAAATATTTATAGAGACAAGATTCTTCAAAAATTCATATGGAAAGGCAAAGGAACTAGAATAGCTAAAAAAAAAATTTTAAGACTTGCCATATAGCTGCAGTATTCAAAACTGTGTAGTATTGGTGGAGGGATGGATACATAGACCAACAGAACAAAATAGAGACCACAGGAATAGACCCATACAAACATGCCAACTGTGTTTTAAGAAAGGTGCAAAAGCAATTCAATGTTGGAGAAACAGCCATTTCAACAAATGGTGTGGAACAACTGAACTAAATCCAATGGCAAAAACTGTATTTAAGTCTCATCGTTTGTACCAAAAATTAACTCAAAACAGATCACAGATTGAAATGTAAAATGGAAAAGCATAAAAAAAAAAAACCCAAAAAAACAAAACACACACACACACACAAACCTTTAGGAAAAAAAAAAGGAGAAATTCTTCAATAACTAGGCGAAGAGTTTCTAGAGTTGACACAGAAAGCATGATCCATAAAAAGAAAAACTGATAAACTGAACTTCATAGAAATGGAGAACATTTGCTCTAAGAAAAATCGTGCTCTAAGATCATGTTAAAAGGATGAGAAGATAAAGCTACAGACTAGAAGAAACTATTTGCTAACCACCCACCTGACAAAGGACTAGTATCTAGAATATATGAAGAACTCTCAAAACCCAACAATAAATGAACAAACAACCCAATTAGAGAATCAGCAAAAGACATGAAGAACTATTTCATCAAAGAGGATCTTACACCAAAGAGGACAGCAAATAAGCACATGAAAAGATGTTCAGCATCATTAGTCATCAGGAAAATGCAAAATAAAACTACAAGGTATCACTACATGGATATTTAAAAGTGGCTAAAATAAAAAATTGTTGAGCTTCTGAGGACAGAGGAGAAAAAAATTAAAAAATAAACTGTGTTAACACCAAATGCTGGTGAGAATGCAGACAGACTGCGTAACTCATATATTTCTGATGGGAATGTTAAATGCTACAGCTGTTCTGGAAATCACTTTGGCAGTCTGTTACACAGCTAACATGCAGTTACCACAAAACCCAGCTAATACAATCTTGAGCATTTATTGCAGAGAAATGAAAATTGATGTTTATACAAAAACCTTTACCTGAATGTTTACATCAGATTTACTCATCAGAGCTAAATATTGGAAGCATTCCAAATGCCCTTTAATGGGCAAATGGTCAAATAAAATGGTATATACATGCCAATGGAATGTTACTCAGCAAAAAAAGGGAACAAATGATCAATACAAGCAACTTGGATGAATTTCCAGGAAATTATGCTGAATAAAAAAAAGCCAACTTGAAAAAGTTACATATTGTTTGATATCATTTATATAACATTCCTGAGGCACATACTTTTAAATTTATAATTAAAGGTTTATCCATGTTTTAGCATGATCAGTCTGTCATTCTTTTAATAGCTGAATAACATTTTATTACATGGATATACTATATTTTGTTTATCCATTAGACATTTGGGTTATTTCTACTTTTGGGTTATTTCTACTTTTAGACTATTGTGAATAATGCTGCATAAACATTTGTGTATGGGTTTGGGTAGACACAGGCTCATTAATTTTTAACCATTCTTTTTTCTAATATATGCATTTAAAGATATAAACTTTCCTCTAAGCACTGCATTAACTGCACGTCACATATTTTGGAATGCTGTTTTTTGAATCATTTAGTTTGAAATATTTTTCTAATTTCCAATATTATTTATTCCCCTTTTCTCATTGCTTATTTAGAAATATATTGTTTAATTATAATATATTTAAGGAGTCTGCAGGTATATTTTCATTACTGATTTTTAATTTAATTCCACTGTAGTCAGAAAACATATCTGGTATTATTTAAAACCTTGAAAATTTATTGAGACTTCCTTTATGTCCTAGAATATGATCTATCTCGGTGAAGGTTCCATGTTTGAATGGAATTTGTGTTCTGCTGTTGTTGGGTGGAGTATTCTCTAAATGTCAGGTCAAGTTTATTGATATTGCTTTCAATACGATATCCTGCGGTTCTGACTACCTAGTCTATAGATTAATGAGAACTGTGCATTGAAATACCATTCTGGACATAGGACCTGGCAAAGATTTCATGATGAAGACTCAAAAAGCAATTGTAACAAAAACAAAAATTGACAAGTGGGACCTAGTTAAACTAAAGAGTTTCTTCACAGGAAATGAAGTTATCAACAGAATAAACAGACAACCTACAGAATGGGAGAAAATATTTGCAAACTATGCATCTGACAAAGGTCTAATATCCATAATATCTAAGGAACGTAAACAAATTAACAACCCTATTTAAAAAATAGACTGGCCAGGCACGGTGGCTCACACCTCTAATCCCAGCACTTTGGGAGGCCAAGGCAGGTGGATCATGAGGTCAGGAGATCGAGACCATCCTGGCTAACACGGTGAAACCCCATCTCTACTAAAAATACAAAAGAAAAAAATTAGCCGGGCATGGTGGCGGGTGCCTGTAGTCCCAGCTACTTGGGAGGCTGAGGCAGGAGAATGGCGTGAACCCGGGAGGCATAGCTTGCAGTGAGCCGAGATCACGCCACTGCACTCCAACCTGGGCGACAGAGCGAGACTCCCATCTCAAAAAATAATAATAAAATAAAATAAATAAATAAAAAGAAAAAATAGGCTAAGTACATGAACAGATACCTCTCAAAAAATGATATATATGTAGCCAACAAGCACATGAAAAAGTGCTCAATATCACTAATCATTAGAGAAATGCAAACCAAAACCACAATGAGATACTATCTCACATCAGTCAGAATGGCTATTAAAGTCACAAAAGAATGGATGCTGACAAGGTTGTGGAGAAAAAGGAATGCTTATACACTGTTGGTGGGAATGTAAACTAGTTCAACCACTGTGAAAAGCACTGTGGCGACTCCCCAAAAAATGAAAACAGAATTACCATTTGATTGCTGGGTTTATACCCAATGGGATTGCTGGGTATATACCCAAAGGAATATAAATCATTTTACCATAATGACACATGCATGTGTGTATTTATAGCAGCACTATTCACAATGGCAAAGATATGGAATCCACCTAGATATCCATCAATGGTGGACTGGATAAATAAAATGTGGTACATGTACACCACGGAATACTACACAGCCATAAAAAAGAACAAAATCATATCCTTTGCGTCAACATGGATGGAGCTGGAGGCCATTAGCCTATGCTAATTAATGCAGGGATAGAAAACCAAATACTACATGTCTTCACATACAAGTAACAGCTAAATATTGAGTACACGTGGACACAAAGAAGGAAAACAGACACTGGGGCCTACTTGAGGGTAGACATAGGAGGAGGGTGAGGATCAATAAACTACCTATCGAGTACTATGCTCATTACTTGGGTGACAAAATAATGTTACACCAAATCCCCATGACCCACAAATTTACCCCTGTAACAAACCAGCACATGTACCTCCTGAACCTAAAGTAAAAGTTGGAAAGAGAAAAAGAAAAAAAAAAAAATCTTGAACTCTGATTGTGGATTTGCCTCTTTCTCCTTTCAGTTTTTGTCAGTTTTGCTTCATGTATTGTGAAGCTTTATTATTTAGGTTCACACGCCTTTAGGACTATGACATCTTCTAGATGAATTTACTGTATTATCATGAATTGCTTGTCCTGAAGTTGACTTTGTCTCATATTAACGTAGCAACTCCAACCTACTTTTGACTAGTGTCTGTATGTTACGTATCTTTCACCATCCTTTTGCTTTTAAAGTATGTATCTTCATTTTTAAATTGTGATTACAGACAACATAGTTGCATCATGCTTTTTATGGTAAGTTTATAAATTGATGCCTGAGTCTATCTTTTTAGCCAGCTTGAAAATTTCTGTCTTTTAACTGTAGTATACCATTTACATATAATGTAATTACCAGTATGGTTGGATTTAAATGTACTATCTCTTTTCTGCTTCATCTCAAAATTATATTCTTCTCTACATTAATCATTCTTTCCATTTCTGAAACTTACTTTTAGCTTGCTCTTATATATTTCAGCTTGTTCTTCCTGGTATAATTCTTGTCGCACTTGTTCCAAATCTTCACGTTGCCGCAGCATTTCTTCTAATTTCTGTGTCAACTATTAAATTTTTTAAAAAACATAAATATTTATAGGATCCAAATTCTGTAACTAATATTTCAGAATTTTACTAGTGTTAAAGAAGTGGTTATTTTAATACCGCATTCTGAAGCTGTAGCCTTTTCTCCTCATTTTCTTGAACTTTTGCCATCCGATCTTCTTCTCTTTGCTGCTGCATGTTAGCAAACTCTATGATTTTTCTGTTTTCTTCTTCCATCTCCTCACGTTTCTTTTTTCTCCAGAGAGCCTGCTCTTTCTGAAACTCTTCTATATACCTTCGCATTGCATTCATTTTTTCTAACTTTTGTTGTTTTTCCCTGAAAAGCAATAACAAGTACAGATTTATAGTAAACAATAAAATATAAAAAAGTAATTTCATTTTGTTCATAATAATGTACAGAAAAACACTATAGTTTTTTCATTCGTGCATGCAACAAACATTTTGAATGCTTACTGTGTGCTAAATATAATGTCAGGTATGAATTTTTCTTTGGGTAGAATACTGTGATAGTCTCCTCTAACCTATTAATGAAGTTTTATGCATCTTATTTCATAAAGGCTACAATCTGTTAACATTAGCTTTGCAGCACTCTATACTTAAGCTGTCTACCAAAAAAATTTATCAGAATACCTGTCCTCTGACATATGATATGGGCATATATAAGAAAAACAAAGGTTTAGGTCATTCAATCACTTCAGCATTTATTAATCATCAGATAATTCATTTATTAATTATGCTAACGGAGATGAGAAGGAGTTGGTCCCAATTTATGTTTTCATAGCTAGTATTTATTGAGCACTTACTATGTATTAGGCACTGTTCTAGGTGCTTCAGTTCCTCACAACAAACCTGTGATATATCTAAAGTAAACATTTAGACATGTAAGAAAGTTAGGATAAACTTACAACTGATCTTCTTCATAGATCTTCCTAACAATTTCATCAATCATGAGTTTCTCTTTTAGCAGCTGCTCATAAGCTTCCTGCTTTTTTTTTTCTTGTTCTTCAAGTTGTTTCTCTAAGTCAAGATAGTACTGTGCTTTCGCTTTGTTTCGTTTGTCTTCTGCAGCATTCTCTTCCTTTATTATTCTCTTGTGTTCTTCCATCATGGTTTTGGCTATTTCAGCATCACGTTTCTGTTATTAAAACAAAATTGATCTTTCCGTTTTCAAATTTGAACATAGTACGATAGTATATTTTACACCAATGTTATTGAATATTATAAAGTCTTTTACATAAAATAAATTTTTTCATCTGTCTAGGTTAAAAAGCAAAAGTAAGTTATTATTACCTGAAGGGTGTGAACAATAAGTCAGACCCTAAAGCAGCTTTCCTATCCCTTCAAGTAGCTCTCTCAGGACAATACCTGATAAGGATTATTAATAACTCCACATTCAAAAAACAATGAATACAATTGTAAGTAGTTTCTTAATAACTATTTAGCTGCTAAAGCAGTCATTATCTTATTATTCTATTTATAAACTGAGCTAGGCAATTTTCATCGTTTTTAGCTTCATTGTTTATCAGCTGCTATTTAAAGATGGTACTGCCTCTTTCTTACAGGTCTGCTATTAAATGGCTTTGAGCAGCTCTTAAGTTTCTCCTAGCCTAAACTTTCTTTCCTGCCATTGGCCCTTGACGTTTCCCCTTTCTGATTTATTAAAGGCCCTTTATCTGAAAAGAATCACAGATGCTACTGTGCCTATTTTCTACAGCTTTTAATTCACTCAAGACCATTCCCATTGTCAAGAGACAATCTTTCTTCTTGGATGGGTTAAACCCCTTATTTCTTTTGAGCATTTTTCAAATCATTTAATAAAATAAGTTTTAAATGAAATATACTGAGGCAATTTTTTAAACTACGCTTTACTTTTATGATCACATCCCGAATGATGGAATGGTCAGCAGCATCAAACATAAAGAGTAAACAGATTAAAATATGAATACTGAATGTCATTCCTGACGTCACTGAAGCCTTTAACATATACTCTGATAATATGACTTGACCAAAAATGTTTCTGATTATCTTCTTTGTACATGCTATACTAAATTCTTTATTAAAAAATGAGATGACAATAACATTTATGTGTAGATTACCACACACTTACCGAAAACAATGTTCTCATTTTACAGATAAGAAAACTAAGGCTCAGAGAAAAAGCCAAAACTAGTACTTGCATGACACCTAGTCAAGTCCTAGTAGTATTCGACTTTCATTTTGTGGATCAATTTTTATTTGGAAAATAGCAGCAATTCTCGTAGGAGTCAGATTAAAACGTCTACAACTACCTTGAATAACTTCAACTATCAGGATAATTAAAACTGCAAACCACTGGACAAACAGGACATTGTTTGTGCTACTTTCTTTTTCAAAGGACAGCGCTATATGGCTTAGCAAATGAAGTCTCTCCACCTTTTCTTATCACCTGCCACACCTAAAGGTATTCCTGTTAACAGCATGCTGTGTACCCGCTAGACATTTTCTATACTAACACAATTGTACACACGCAACACACACATATATGTGTCATTTATGGTATCTATTCTTAATTGATACCCATATTGCACTGCACTGGTTAAGTATTTTGATATCACCCCATAAGAGTGTGTGTGTGTGTACATATGTTTATGTGGACATACACAATAGATATGTATGTGTATATAAACATTCATATATAATTGGCCCTTCTGTTTGATAATGAGAGCTCAAGGGATGATGTGCACCCTTTTAATTAACTGTTAATTCAGTAAACCCTATTATATATTCATACAGCAAAGCACTCCTAGTGAGTATGCCTGAGATTCCTTTGCCCAAGAGTAACTCTTATCTTCAACTTGGTACCATATCAGGAGTTAGAAAAGGGGATAAAAGCAGAGAGAAACATGAGAAAAAGAGATGGCTTTTATAAAACTGGAAAGTTTCCTACATAAAATTATCAAGTAGTTTACTCTTAAAAACATTTAAATAATTAAAAATTTCATAACATTCTAAAATACACTTATCATGGTAACAATTTGTACTGTACTACTTTGTCAGTGAATAATCAGTTAGAGACTATAAAGAATGCTGGGAGTTACTGAATATAGCTGGTCATTCTAAGCAGCAATGTGTTTCTGAAAGGCTCTAATATTAAAAATGAAATCACGCAGGATTTTCTACATCTTAAGGATCTGAAAATTTACAAATATTTAAGAAATCTAGCAGTGTAAATTCTTTATACAATATGACAATTTTTTAAGAAACAAGTCTAATTTTTATTTTCTAAATGAAGCTAAAAACATAATGACCAGAAACATGATTACCATTTGTTCATATTTAATGGCATCCTTTTCAGCAATCTGAGCTGCCCTTTCTTTATTCATGTAAGCTGCTTTTAATTTCTTCTCCAATTCTCTAAGCTCAATGCTGTTTAAAAAAACAAAAACAAATTTAAATGTTAGGACCATAAGAGAATGAAAACCTCACAGAAAACTGAGTAACTGTATTTTTAATTTACTCAAAGAGGGAATACAGCGGGTATTATTTTAGATCCATAGGAGAAATAATTCATTATATTTAATGGATGCCTTTAGGGCATTAGGGCTTACATTTTCTGGTTGAAAAGTACTGCTCTGTTCTATTACATTCATCTGTTTGCTTATCCTGTGTCAATACCACACTATCTCAACTGCTGTAAATTATAATACGTCTACATATCATGGATAAGTCTCCAATTTTGGTCATCTTCTTAGAGACTGTCTTAGCCATTCTTGATACTTTCATTTCCATATACATTTTAGAATCAGCTTGTCAGACTTCACAATAAACAAAACTGGCTGTGATAGTACTGAATTCATAAATCAATTTGGAAAGTACTAATATCTTTACATTACTGAGTCTTCAATAAACATAGTATATCCTTCTAATTATTTGGTTTTTTAAAAGTCTATCGATGTTTATATCTGTGTTTTATTTTGGTAGTTTTATACTTTTCATTAGGTATTTTTCATATCCTTCTGTAGATTATTTTTCAAATCTCACTTTCTAATTGTTGATAATTTACAGAAATACAATTAATGTTTATATACTAAATTTATACCCAACAATATCACTGAATATATTTTTTAGTTTTCAGTTTTACTGATCTACAATATTCAATAAACTGAACATGTTTAAAGGATACAGTTTGATAAGTTTTTACATATGTATGCACCTGTGAAACCATCACCACAATCAAGATCATGAACACGTCCCAATCACTTCCTTATAAACCTGTGGTACCTCTCTTCTACCCCTTTATGTTCGCACTTATCCTGAGGCAAGCTAATTTGCTGTCACCTTAGGCAGTATAAATTTTCTAGAATTCATATAAATGGAATCATAGTGCAGGTACCATTTTTCTCTGGCTTCTTTCACTCAATATTTTCAAATACATCCATTTATTGCATATAGTAATTGCTTACTCCTTTTTATTGCAGGATATTATTTTAAGATTATAGATATCCACTCGCATTGCTTATCTATTCACATGCTGATAGACATTTGAGTTGTTTCAGGTATGTGGATATTGCAAATAAAGCTGCTATGGAAATTTGAGTACCAGTTATTTGTGGTCACAGGCTTTCATTTCTCTTGGATAAATACCTAAGGTGGAATGATCAGGTCATACAGTAGATGCACGTTCAGCGTTTTAAGAAGCTGCCAAACTGTCTACTAAAGTGGTTTTAAGTTTTTATTTCAACTTTTAGATACTGGGGGTACATGTGCAGATTTGTTACATGGGAATATTGTGTGATACTGAGGTTTGGAGTACAGCTCCTGTCACCCAGGCAGTGAGCACAGAATCAAATGGGTTGTTTTTTAACCCACTCCTCCTCCACCCTCTCATAGTTCACAGTGTCTGTTGTTCCCATATATGTCTATGTGTACTCAATGTTTAGCTCCCACCTATAAGTGAGAATATGCAGTATTTGGTTTTCTGTTACTGCGTTAATTTGCTTAGGATAACGGCCTCCAGCTCCATCCATGTTTCTGCAAAGGACATAATTTCATTGTTTTTATGTCTGTAGAGTATTCCGTGGTATATATGTACCACATTTTCTTTACCCAATTTCCCACTGGTGGGCA
This sequence comes from Homo sapiens, assembly GCF_000001405.40. Taxonomy (NCBI): domain Eukaryota; kingdom Metazoa; phylum Chordata; class Mammalia; order Primates; family Hominidae; genus Homo; species Homo sapiens. The sequence goes on from NC_000015.10 coordinate 56,448,645, forward strand.
CCTGGATTAATTCCATGTCTTTGCTATTATGAATAGCACAGCAATAAACATATAAATGCATATGCTTTTTTTGGTAGAATGATTTGCTAATTCTTATTTTTAGATTCTTTTTTTTTTTTTTTTTTTGGAGACGGAGTCTCGCTCTGTCATTCAGGCTGGAGTGCAGTGGTGTGATCTCAGCTCACTGCAAGCTCCGCCACCCAGGTTCACGCGATTCTCCTGTCTCAGCCTCCCAGGTAGCTGGGACTACAGGTGTGTGCCACCATGCCCGGTTAATTTTTTGTATTTTGAGTACAGATGGAGTTACACCATGTTGGCTAGGCTGGTTTCAAACTCCTGACCTCAGGTGATCCACCTGCCTTGGCCTTGCAAAGTGCTGGGATTAGAGGCATGAGCCACCACACCCGGCTATTTGTAGATGCTTTTGGATGTTCTACACATACAATCATATCATCTGTGAATAATTAAATTTTTATTCCTTTAATGCCAATCCTAGCACCTGTCTTTGCTTTTTCTTGCCCTATTGCACTGATTAGTATGTATAATACAAAGATGACTAAAAGCTGTCAGAGCAGGCATCCCTGTCTTCTTCTCAGTGTCAGAGGGGAAGTGTTTAACATTTTGCTATTAAGGATAATGTTGCTGTAAATTCCCTTTTATCCCTAGCTTGCTACACTCTTTTTATTAAATCATAGAGTGATGATTCATATCAATGGGCTTTTTCTAATCATATAATTGTTAATAGGATGAATTACATTTACTGATTTTTAAAATGTTAAACCACCTTTGCATTCCTGGAATAAATTAAATTTGGTCAGGATGATTTATCTTTCTTATACAGCACTGGATTTCGTATTGACTAATATTTCAGATTACAGGAGCTAAATTCATGAGAGAGATTAGTCTACAGGTTTCTCATATCGTATTCAGGTAATGATCTGATTAAAACAAATTGGGAAGGGCTTCCTCTTTTTCTGTTTTACAGAACTACATAAGATTGGTGTTACTTTGTCCTGAATGTTTGGTAAAATTCACCTAGCCCTGTAGGTTTATTTGTGGACAAGGTTAAATTACAGATGCAATATCTTTAAAAGTTATAGGAACATTTAGCTATTTCTTCTTGTGCCAATCAGTTTGGTAAAATGTGCTAAGAATTTATCTATTTCATTTACATTTTCAAATTTATTTTCATAAAATTGTTTGCAATATCCTGCTATGGTCCATTAAGTGTTTGTATGCTCTACAGTGATATCACATTATCCATTCCAAAAACTGGTTATTTGTGCATTCTCTTTTACTCTGTCATCCCTACCAAGGGGTCGTCAATTTTATTCACCTTTTTATGGCACAGTTCTTGGCTTTATTTGTTCTACTTTATGTTTATATTCTAACTTACTCATTTCTGCTCTTATCTTTATTATTGCCTTCCTCCTACCTTCTTTTTGTAATCATTCCAGAAGAGAATTTGCAGTTTGTTTTCTAGTAATTCCAGATGGAGTTTTCCTTTCTAATACAGTTATTTCAGATTAAGACCTACCCTTGAGGAACAGCCTTAACTATATGCCACAAGTTGGTTTCTTTTTTTTCAGTCCTATAACATTTTTTATCATGTGAAAATATATGTAACAAAAATTTGCCATCCTAACCATTTTTAAATGTACAACTCAGTGGTGTTAATTACATTCACAGTGTTCTGCAACCATCAACACTATTTCCAAAACTTTTTCATTCCCCCCAAAGAGAAATGCTGCACCTCTTAAACGATAACTCCCCATTCTTCCCTCTCCCTAACCCCTGGAATTCCTAATCTGCATTTTGTCTATTTGCCTATTCTAGATAGTTCACAAAAGTGGAATTATACAAGGAATTGTCCTTTTGTGTCTCGCTTACTTAACATAATGTTTTCAAGGTTCACTAATATTTTAGCATGTATCAGTGCTTCATTTTTTTTTTATAACTGAAGGATATTGTATAATGTATATATACTACACTTCATTTATCCACCCATCTGATGGACATTCAGGTTGTTTCAACATTTTGGTTATTGGAAATAATGCTGCACCAAAAGTTTGTATACAAGTATCCATTTAAGTCTCACTATTGAATTTTTTGTATATTTATGCCTAGGAGTGGAATTGCTGGCTCATATGGTAATCCTTTGTTTAACTTTTTCCCATAGCACCTGCATCATTTTACATTTCTACCAGCAATTTCTGAGGGTTCCAATTTTCCCACTTTCTTGGCAATACCTATTATTTTCCACTACTTTTATTAAAATTGCCTATTAGATGTGAAACAGTTTCTTCTTATGGTTTTGATTTGCATTTCCCTAATGACAAATAATGTTGAGTATATTTTCATGTACTTATCATTCACTCAACATCTTCTTTAGAGAAACGTCTAAGTTCTTTGTTCATTTTTGAACTGGGTTTTTAAAATTATTGAATTGTAAGAGTTCTTTATATATTTCAGATATTAAATCCTTATCAGAGATACAATTTGTTCTTCTGGCCTAAATGAGTTCTGAGTGAGGTAAAACAGATAAGTGCCTTGTGTTAGTTTTTCACGTAGTCCCAAGGTAGGTTAGAACAGATATACCCAACAATTTGTGAATAAGATCTGCTCTGCTCCTCCTGAACCAGGGACCAGGGTCCTGCATTGGGAACAAGGGCTACCTGCCTCTGAGCTAGGAGGGAATGAGGAAAGGGCAAGTGAAGATACCACAGAACTTTACTACCATTTTTAGGCTTTTTCTTGTTTCAGCATTTGCTTGATTGCAATAAACCTTTGAATGCTACCCAAATTTCTTATAAAATTGGTTCTGAGAGTTTCTGCTTGTTTTCTGATGTTTGTAGTCGGGGGATGGGCTGGGAGGAGAGACAGGAGCTGGGAGCTGCCTACTCTGCTATTTTGCTAATATCAGTCCAATCCTGCAACTTTTAGTATGTGGTATTTTCATTATTATTCAGTTAAAAATACTTTCTAATTTCAATTTTGATTATAGACAGTCTCTGATTAATGATGGTTTGACTTTACAATGGTGAGAAAACCATATGCATTCACAGTAGGTTCCTCAATTCATGATGGGATGCATCCCAATAAACCTGTCGTAAATTGAAAATGTAGTTTATTGGGACATGAACCCATCGTACATCAAGGAGCATCTGTACTTTTTGACCAAAGGGTAATGTGAAGCACATTTTTAAATACCTAAGCATATAAAGATTGCCTAGATTTTTTTTTATTACTTACGTCTAGTTTAATTCCACTATGGACAGAGAAAATACTATGTATAAATTGATTCCTCTGAAAATCTGTTGATATTTTTATTCTGATACAACATTTCATCAATTTTGGCAAATGGTTCAAATATGTTTACTATAACTACTAATATAATTGGGTTTCCATTTACAAGCTTATATCTTCTTTCTACTTGTCTTCCCTGTCCTATGTTCTCTCTTCTCTCCTGTTTGCTTCTGTGTTGGGGGTTCCCAAGACCACCATCAGGTTAGATGATTCACTAGGAGGATACAGGACTCAGCATATAGTTATACTCACGGCTATGACTTACTATAAAGAAACGAAACACAGCAAAATTGGCAAAGGAAAAAGGCACATGGGTGAAATTCAGAGAAAACTAGGTGCAAAAGGCCTCTACCTGTGGAAACACACAGGACACGCTTAATTCCCCGAGCAATGAGTTGTGACGTGTGAAATGCCTGGCAGACAACATTAGAGCTCATCAGAACTCAGTGCTCTGGGTTCTTATTGGGGGTGGTAACTTAGGCACCCTCTACTTAGAACGTACCAATATTCCAGACTCCCAGAAAGAAAATGGGTATTCAGTATAATCCATATTGTTTTGTTTTCTTTTTTTCTTTTTTTTTTTTTTGAGACAGAGTCTCTCTCTGTCGCCCAGGCTGGAGTGCAGTGGCGCGATCTTGGCTCACTGCAAGCTCCGCCTCCCAGGTTCAAGCGATTATCCTGCCTCAGCCTCCCAAGTAGCTGGGACTACAGGCGTGTGCCACCAGGCCCGGCTAATTTTTTGTATTTTTAGTAGAGACGCGGTTTCACCGTGTTAGCCAGGATGGTCTCGATCTCCTGACCCTGCGATCCACTCACCTCGGCCTCCCAAAGTGCTGGGATTACAGGCATGAGCCACCGCACCCGGCCTAATCCATATTGTTTTCACATTTTAGCCACAGTGAATCATCCTCAGCAGTTAAGGTGGTAAGAACCTTCTCAAAAGCCTAGTTTCCAGAAACCAGCCAAAGACCAAACTTGCAAGGAGGACTTTCTAAGATAGCCTCAAGCCTGCTATGTTAACTCTTTTTTACATGAGTTTTTTGGAATAATCAATTCCTATTATCGTATTTTATTCTCTATTAGTCAGTTATATTTTCTTTTCCAAATTTTTATTACAGATATTACAGCATGTTTCTTTGTTTCCAGGTGAATAAATTTATTCATTATTATTTGACAATGCAAGATTCTTGACTTTAACTTCATTTACTTCCTATCTCATTTTGTCATATTTTTAACTCTTTACATATTTTAATTCCCAAAAGACATAATAAATATTTTATACATTCAAATATCAACTAAATTTACTATACATGTACCTCTTGCAGTTCTGAAATTAAGCTTGGGATCATTTTTCTTCTTCTATTAATACCTAATGAAGAACTGCTAGTATTCCCTTTAATGCAGGATTATTGGTGATCAATCTTCTGTTTTTGTTTCTCAGAAAATGTTATTTTGTGCTCTTTTAATCTATCTCATCTATTTTATGAATTAACAGCTTGATTATCAGTCCAGAACATAATTATACTGGTATAAGCTAGGTAATGGTAATAGTATTAAGAAGGAAAAACTGTCTCTGTCTTTTCTTTGAAATGGTTTTTGCTGAACTTAAATATAAATGAGATATGAGGTACTTGCTTTTGCTTTCATAACAGTATGTGTTAACTGTGTAATAAATACATTTAGTTAATTGGGCAATTAATTATAACTACTAATTGTTTAGTGCCATAATTTAAAATAGGATTTCTAAAAATAAACAGTGAGTTTCCCAACTCCAGTTAAAAACAGCAGCAAAGTTAAATTATCTTTTAAGTACTTTCTTGGATTACAAAACCATGTGTTCCAAAATCAATTAACAGGAGTCATGATTTCTGAGCTCAAAGAAATATTTTCAAAATAAACTTCAATGATTTTTTAAATGTGCCGTGCATTTAAAAAATTAATTTCTTTTACATTAAAAAAGCTAAATCTTAATATAGGTGATTTTAAATAAATTAGGACACATTTTAAGCACCAGAGCAGTTCCCTGAATTTAGACATGCCAATTTGAAATACAGTCCATTTCTGCATGACAGTGAAAATTTTAATATGGCTTGTGCACAAAATAAAAACACTCTTAGCAATTCTGACACTGCTGAGAGGAGGCATACTCTGTGAAAGAGTACTCAACTGAATGACTTTTAGTTTGAAAAAATTTTTCACAAGGTATAAAATTCTGGTTGAGTTGTAAATTTTTTTGTATATACTCAAGCACTTTCTTCCTTTTAGTTTTTGTGGGTACACAGTATATATTTGTATATATTTATGGGGTACATGAGACATTTTGATATAGGCATGCAATGCATACTAATCATATCATGGAAAATGGGGTATCCATCCCCTCAAGCATTTATCATTTGTGTTACAAACAATCCAATTATACTCTTTATTTTTAAATGTCCAGTGAAATTATTATTGACTATAGTCACCCTGCTGTGCTATGAAATACTAGGTCCTACTCATTCATTCTATTTTTTTTGTACCCAGGTAAATCTGTTATCTTTTAATTTCTACTGTTTCTATTCAGGATTAAGTCATACTTCTTACTGTTGTCTCTTTGGAGATAATCATCTTTTTTGTTCTGGCTGCTTTTTTATGATTTTCTATTACTGTTGGATTTTAAAAGTTTTATTAGGATGAGTGAAAGTACTGTTTTCATTACTTGCAATGTTCTGAAAATTCCAGGCCAGCATCTCCTCACATAATGCTTCTGTATTATCCTCTTTCACCTCTCTACCAGGACTAAAATTATATTAATACATCTGCTAGAACTTTGTACCATAGCCCGTATCTCTTTTAAATTCTCATCTGTATTTTTCTATCCTTTTGTCTCTCCATGCTTTATTCTGAATATTTTCCAGAACCTTTTCACAGATTATCCCTTAATCTGTGTCTAATAAAATCTAATTCTGTATTATTGAAGTAAAACACACACTAAAGTGCACAAATCTTAAGTGTACAGCTTGTAGAACGCTGTTGAACATACTGCCATATGCTTATTGGCCAAGCTCTGCTTCACTTAACTCTCAGCCATTGTTTGGAATCAGCAGAAACCTCTAGAGGAAATGCCACTACAAATGCCAAGCTTGCATTCTGGTTTCCTTCCTTTCACAGATCTTAATTTTATGCTTTTCCTAGACTTTTTCTCAGGAGGAACATTTATCTGAATAACCTAATCTGCAATTGCTAGAAGTGAAAATCTCTTCTATTTAATTCTTGTTTTCAGGGAATTAGAGATAAGAAATAGTTCATCGTCAGGTGAAAAAAAAAAAAAAAAAAAAAAAACCATGAGTAACAGCTAATGATGGTTGGAGAATTAGGGCCCAAAAAGATAGTTTGAGACTAGAACAATAAGCAGATTTTAACAGTAATTCTAAATTTCTAAGGATCGGTAATCTCTTAGAGAATCTGATTAGAGTTGTGGAGCCAGAAAAATACACATGGATACATTTGCCAAACATATTAATATAATTTAACAAGGTTCAAAATCCATGAAGCTCATCCATGTTTCCTGTAATATTCTACAGACGTCCTGCTCAATTAAGATAAAATGTAACAACTATCGAAGTAAATTTCCAATATATTCAATTACATAAGTATATGATTAGCATTTACTTGGCCCTGAGTTTTGATTAACACTGTGACAAGGCTGTTCCTAAAAAGTAATTCGATCTTAGGCAGGATCAAGAAACATTCTAGAATAGTGTCCTGTCATCTGGAGTATCTGGCAGTCTTTCTTGGAGTATTATACGGAAGTATGGGGGCAATTAAGGAATACTAATAATTTAAACTGTAATCAGAGAAGAAACCAGGATGATGAATAAACTTAAAGCCAGGTTATGTAAGAAACAACTGAAGGAACAAGGGATAGCTAACTTACAGAAGAAAACATTTAGTGCGTTCATATATGTGAAAGGACATCTAAAGAAGACAGATGCATGAAGTCACAGAGAAATTAATTTTAAAACAATGGGGGGGAAGATAATTTAACATTAAGACTAAAGTTCCTACTGCAGTTACTAGAGGTACTGAAACACAGGCTCCACAGTCATTCCAGAAATACTGTAGGAAATTTATGTAGAGGTATAAAATTAAACTAGTTATTACCTAAGGTTTCTCTTAAGATTAGGAATTCATTTTTTATAAGAGGTCATTTTAAAATTTATGTGTAAAGGAAAGAGCAGGGGGACTGATATTTATTTTTCACTGTAAATATTCAGACTTCCATGAATACAACTTCTTTTCTCAAATAAATATTTATAGAACTTAAAGCAATAAGTATTTCCAGGTAAAATATTAACTAAGTGAAATGACATAAACAAAGAAATTTCACTTTCAGGTGCTAAGGATTACATAAGAGTTTAAAGATAAAGACTAAATAAATGAAATTTAGAGAAACCAAGATACCTGTTTTCTCTTACTTGTTGCCTCATCTTTTCGTCCTTTAGACTTTCATGTTTCAGTTTTGCCAATTCCATAGCCAGTTTTTCTTCTTGTTTGAGCTGGAGTTCTTTCAATCTCTTGTTTTCTTCTGCCTGAACGAAAAATTTAACTTCGTTGTTTGTCCTCTAGAATCAGATTTTTTTCATCAAGGTTGAATTTGTTTTATAACAGAAAACTAAATGCCTTAAGGCCAACAATTGATGATGTTTTATTTTAAAATACAAAATGTTGTTTCAATAAATACTTTTTCAAAATATTTTATCATGGAAAATTTCAAGTATTGCCAATAGTAAGAAGAATATTTAAATACACTCTCAGGTACCCATCACACATGTTTTCAAAAATTGTCGACATTCTGCTAATCTTTTTTCTCTACCTTCCATTTCACTCTTTTTTCCCTTATTCTTTTTCTGCTAGGGTGTTTTAAAACAATCCTAGACATCATGTCACTTACCATGTAAATAATTCAGTATGAATATCTACCTGATCAGAATTTTTAAAAATATAACAATCATGTCATCAACACGTCTAATTAACAATAATTCCTTAATGTCTAATACCATGTTCATATTCAAGCTTTCCCAATTGTCTCAACATACTTTTCTAGTTGGTTTGCTTAAATCAAAATCCAAACAAGATCCACATATTGCATCTAATTATTATTTTTCTTAAGTCTCTTATATATTCTGTAACAATCACCTCTACACACATTTTTCCCCCAAGCCACTGACTTGTTATAGAAATTAGGACATACATCCCGTAGAATGTTCCACATTTTGCATTTGACTGATTGCTTCCCCAGGATATATCACTGAACTTTTTTTCTCTTTTATATTTCCTGTAAAAATGGCAGAAAGATCTAGAGGCTTGATTAAATTCAGTATCTAATAAAAACACATGAAAAGATATTCAACATCATTAGCCATCAGGAAATGCAAATTAGAATTGCAAGGAGATATTACTACGTACCTATTGGAATGGCTAAAACAAAAAACAGTGCCAACACCAGATGCTGGCAAGAAACTATCACTCATATATTGCTGTGTGGGAATGTAAAATGGTACAGGCATTCTGAAAATCAGTTTTATAGTTTGATATAAAACTAACATGCAGCTGAGCGCTGTGGCTTACACGTGTAATCCCAGCACTTTGGGAGGCTAAGGTGGGAGGATCCTTAAGGCCAGGAGTTTGAGACCAGCCTGGGCAACATAGAGAGGTGCTGTCCTTACAGAAAATTAGCCAGGTGTGGTGGCACAAATCTGTAGTTCTAGCTGTATCAGGAGGTTGAGGTAGGAGGACCGCCGGAGACCAGGAGTTCAAGGCTGCAGTAAGTCATGATCATGCCACTGCACTCCAGCTGGGCAACAGAGCAAGACCCTGTCTCTTAAAAAAAAAAAAGCCTCCATGCAATTATCACACAACTCAACAATTTTACCTCTTAAGCATTTATCCCAGGGAAATGAAAACTTTTTATTTAAAAACCTGTATACAAATGTTTACAGCAGATTTATTCATAATAGCCAATACCAAAAATACTCCAGACATCCTTCATCATGTGAGTGGTCAAATAAACTGTGGTACATCCATACTATGGGATACTACTCAGCAATAAAAAGAAAAAGAATGCAAGCAAAACTTGGATGAATCTCCATGAATTATGCTAAGTGAAAAAAGCTAATTCCAAAAGATTACATACAGTTTGATGCCATTTATGTAACATTCTTGGTACATGTTATTTTTTAATAATTGAGATATAATTCATATAGCATAAAATTCACCTTTTACAATTCACAATTCAGTGATGTTGTATATTCACAATGTTGTGTATCTATCACCACTATCTAGTTCCAGAGCCTTAAAAAAAATAGACTTTGAAGTTTTGGGTTCACAACAAAATTGAGCAGAAAGTACACAGAGTTCCCATATATTCCCTGTCCCTACACATGCTCAGCTTCCCCTTCTATCAGCCTCCTCCATTAGACTGGTACATTTGTTACACTCAGTAAACCTGTATTTACATTACTTAAACCTATGCATCATTATCACGCAAAGTCCATAGTTTACATTAAGGTTCATTCTTGGTGGTACACATTCTATGGGTTTTGGCAATGCATAATCATATGTATCTACCGTACACAATCATTTCACTACCCTAAAAATCCTCTGTGATCTGTCTATTCAACCCTTCCTCCCTAAAATCCTAAAAACAACTTACATTTTTACTGTTTCCATAGTTTTGCCTTTCCCAGAATGTCACATAGTCGGAATTATACAGAATGGAGCCTTTTTGGACTGGCTTCTTTCACTTAGTAATATGCATTTAAAGTTCCTCCACATCTTTTCATGGCTTCATAGCTCATTTCATTTTGGCACTGAATAATATTCCATTGTCTGGATGTATCACAGTTTATCCATTATCTACTGAAGGACATCTTGGTTGCTTCTAAATTTTGACATTTATAAATAATGCTGCTATATATTATAAACATTTGTGCTATGGCAGCTATAAAGCTGCCATGTTATATTTTTATAAATGCTATAGATATATATAGGTGATTGTATGTACACACTATATATAGCACATCTGTGTGTACATTTGTGTGTGGCATAAAATGTCAACACTCCAGAATGTTTACATCACCCCAAAAGAAACCTGTAACCTATTAGCAGTCACTTACTATTCCTCTCACCTTTTCCCCCAACCCCTGGCACCTACTTATCTATTTTTTGTCTCCATGGATTTGCATATTCTGGATATTTCATATAAATGAATTCACACAATATGTGGCCTTTTGTATCTGGTTTATTTCACTTAGCAAAATGTTTTCAAGGTTCATCCGTGTTGTAGCATGTATCAGTAATTCATTCCTTTTTATGGCTGTGTAATATTCCATTGTATAGATGTAACACATTTTGTTTATCCATTTATCAGCTGACTGGCATCTGGGTTTCTACTTTCTGGGTGTCATGAATAATGCTGTTATAGACACTCGTGTATGAGTTTTTATGTAGATATATGCCTTCAATTATCTCTTGGGAATATATTTAGTACCCAGCTACACCACACCTAGATTTCTGACTTGCAGAAACTGAGATAATAAATGGGTGTTGTTTTAAGCAGCTAAGTTTGTGGTAATTCGTTACTTAGCAATTGAAAACTACTACAGCAACTAACGTGTACTCTTCAAAATTGTCAAGGTCATGAAAGACAGCAAAAAGTGAAGAATTCTTACAAACTAGAGGAGACAAAGATTGGAGAAGAAACAATGACTGGCTGGGCACGGTGGCTCATGCCTGTAATCCACTTTGGGAGCACTTTGGGAGGCCGAAGAGGACAGATCATCTTAGGTTGGGAGTTGGAGACGAGCCTGACCAACGTGGAGAAACCCCATCCCTACTAAAAATACAGAATTAGCTGGGTGTGGTGGTGCATGCCTATAATCCCAGCTACTTGGAAGGCCTCGGCAGGAGAATCACTTGAACCCGGGAGGCAGAGGTTGTGGTGAGCCAAAATTGCGCCATTGCACTCCAGCCTGGGCAACAAGAGCGAAATTCTGTCTCAAAAAAAAAAAAAAAAAAAATACATATATATATATATATATATATGTGACTATAGTTTATTCAAATGCAAAGCTTGAGGACAGCCACTCAGGAAACACAAACTCCAAAATAATGGGTCATTGTTCCAACGTGGGGAAGTTAAGGTTTCACTTATATAGGCAGAGACAGAGAAGCTTAACAGGGTTGCAACATTTTCCATATAAGGTCAGTATACATATTATAGCAATTTAATTAGTTGCATTCCAAGGAACATTCCATGAGAAAGGGTAATGATCTTGAGGGGTCTTATCTCTGGTGTCTTTCCTAATCATTTACAGAACAAGAATAAGGAAGATTTAATCTGTAATTGGAAAAGCAGAAGTTGTAGCAGCATGCTATGTGACTCAGGACACATAGCCACATTCCTCTCAAGGCTAAAAACTAAGGATACATGACAACTAAATGCAATCTATGGTCCTCAAGTAGCAAAAACACATTAGTGGACAAACTGATGAAATCTGAATAAATCTCACAGTTAACAGTATTCCATGAAAGCTAAATTCTCCATTTTGATAACTTTTCCATGATTTTCATCTGTGTAAGATGTTAAGAAGTAGTCAGGTGAAGGGTATATGTGAATTCTCTACACTGTTTTTGCAACTCTCCTATAAATCTAAACTTATCTCAAAATAATAAGTTAAAAATATGCATATTTCCAAGATTTGTTCACTGAAAAAACCTGGAAGCAATGATAACCCAAGAATTATGAGTAAACCTAGCACCCAAGTTTTCTTGAAATATTATTTCCACTAAATGATAACAGCGCTTCCTGGCACAATGGCTGATTCCAGGTGTAGGACAAAAAATATAAGAGAGAAATTTTGTATTTGTCAGGGTTCTCCAGAGTAAGTGATTATGAAGGCAGGCAAGTTCTAAGATCTGCAAGGTGAGCTGGCAAGCTGAGGAACTAATGGTTTTGTTCTAGTTTGAGTCCTAAAGCCTGAGAACCAGCAGGCTCAAGACCCAGAAAGAGCCAATGTTTTAGTTTGAGTTCAATGACTAGAAAAAAAGGAAATGTCCCAGCTGAAAGGCAATCAGGCATGAAGAATTCTGTCTTATTCAAAAGAAGGTCAGTCTTTTTGTTCTATTCAGGCCTTCAACTGATCGGATGAGGCCCACCTATATTAGGGAGGGCAATGTGCTTTATACTCAGTCTATGGATTTAAATGCTAATCTCATCCAAAACAACCTCACAGAAACACCGAGAATGATGTTTTATCAAATACCTAGAAACCCCAAGGCCCAGTCAAGTTGACACATAAAATTATCACAAGCCTAGAACAGTTTGTTTTGACAAAAAGCAAGGAAGGTATCAAAGATTAAGGAAATATTGTCAAAAGGACACAGAGGGCCAGGTGCAGTGGCTGACACATGTAATCCCAGCACTTTGGGAGGCCGAGGCAGGCAGATCACTTGAAGTCAGGAGTTCAAGACCAGCCTGGCCAACATCGTGAAACCCCATCTCTACTAAAAATACAAAAATTAGCCTAGCATGGTGGTGCAGGCCTGTAATCTCAGCTACTTGGGAGGCTGAGGGAGAAGAATCTCTTGAACCCAGAAGGCGGAGGTTGCAGTGAGCCGAGATGGTGCGGCTGCACTCCAGCCTGGGAGACAGATGAAGACTCTGTCTCAAAAAAAAAAAAAAAAAAAAAACGACACAGAGGCAATATAAAAGGGCATCCATTGGCCAAGGATGAGATAATTTGAGCATCAAAAATAATAATAAATGCAATTAAGTACATAAATATCTATGAGTCCATAAAGGTATTTTTAAAAAGAGACAAAGTCAAAAACTAAATAAAACAAAAATTTAAAAACAACCACAACATAGGTAGACACCAATGGAAGAAAATAGGACACCAATTCCTTACTCTGAAAATTAACTGTCTCCTTTTTCAGTAAGAATAAATAACCCTAGTCAATAACAAAGTGTTTTTTTGTTGTTGTTTTTTTTTTTTTTTTTTTTTTTTTTTTTTTTTTTGTGGGGTGGGGGCAGGGGAACAGGGTATCTGTCATTCAGGCTGGAGTGCGGTGGCAAGATCATAGCTCACTGCAGCCTTGAACTCCTGGGCTCAAGAGATCCTTCCATCTTGGCCTCCCAAAGTGCTAGAATTATATGGGTGAGCAATTGTGCTGGCCCAAGGTGAAGTTCTTTACAGAGGAATTTCAGCTAATTAAATGTGAAAGGAATAAAAGAATCAGAAAATCAGTTTTTGTAACCACTAATGAAAGAAAAAATTCTTTTGTGAAACCACAGATGAAAGTTTGATGGGAACCTTTACAGTGGAGAAACCAGACTGTCTTCCTAAACCCACTGATCAATACTGGCATCACTAAAAGTGGAACAACCAGACCTCATGTGTTCCCTGTTGTGACACAATGACAAAGACAGCATCACCTATGGAGTATTCTTGCCAAAAAAGGTGGACCGCAATCTAATTGTGTCTTTATGGCTAGGTTCTATTTAGAGGAAATATAACAGATAGGGAAATAAATTAAAGGAACATGAGGAAGCAAACACGTATATTCAGAATGTGGGCTACTGGATAAAACAACTGGCTTAGTTTAGCAAGCTAAAAACATGAAGTCAAAAAAGAAAAACACGGTGAAGGAGGGGCTGTTTTCAATTAAGAGGGACTTAAACAGACATAACCACCAAATACACCGTATGAATGTTCCTTGGATCTTGGTTAAAACAAACCAACTGTAAAAGCAGATTTTTGACACAATCACAGAAATGTGTTTATGGAATGGGTGAGATAATAGTATTATGGTACTCCATGTAAGAAAACATCCATATTTTGTTAGATGTACACTTAACTATGTAGGAAAGAGTTGGTGTGATACCTGGGATATTCTTTCAAATTAAAGAGAAAATAATAAGAATAGGAAAAATATCCAACCCCTAAGATGTGCTTTCTCAGAGTTAAAAAAAAAAATCATATCTAAGCTTTTGAATTTGGAACACAGAAGGGTGGATATCATTTTTTAAATTTGCTTTTGTTATTCTCCACAAAATCCTCCAAAATGTTTAACATACAGCAGCTACTCAAAAACTACTGACATATCAGAATACCTTTTATATATTTATGAGAATTCACTTCTATCATGTCTCAATTCTTATTAGTTTCCCTTTTCTACCACCTTAATCCCTTAAAATGTTGAGATATACCTAAGGGTTCATTTTCTACCACTTAATAATGTATACATTAATTTCAGTAAATTTTTTAAAGGCACCCCTAAATTTTTGTTTTTAGAAATTTATGAAAGGCAACACAATTGTACTTACATGAACAAAACTGGTAGTAATTACAGAGTTCATATTTATGTTAAAAAAAAATCTGAGTGCTTATTCTGTACCAGGCACTATTCCAAGAGTCTTGCATGTATTAACTCATTATTAAAACAATCCTAAGTAGGAGGTACTATTCTTATTCCCCATTTTATAGAAAAAGCATAAAAAATAAAAGCAGGCTGGGCGCGGTGGCTCACCCCTATAATCCCAGCACTTTGGGAGGCCGAGGCGGGCGGATCACGAGGTTAGGAGTTCGAGATCAGCCTGGTCAATATGGTGAAACCCCGTCTCTACTAAAAATTAAAAAATTAGCCAGGCGTGGTGTTGCGCGCCTATAGTCCCAGCTATTCAGGAGGCTGAGGCAGAAGAATCGCTTGAACCCCGGAGGCAGAGGTTGCAGTGAGCCAAGATCGTGCCACTGCACTGCAACCTGGGCGACAGAGCAAGACTCCATCCAAAAAAAAAAAAAAGTAAAAGCAACTTACTCAAGGGTCCGTAGCTAAGGTATAGCAGTAGTAGGATTCAAAGACAGGCCGGCTCCAGAAACCCAGGTCTTTACGATTACACCGAGCTGAGGCACAATCAGGCATCACTTACCTGCTGCTGTTGTTTATCTACTCATTTCCAGCATTAACAGCTGACTTTCATCGTTTCCAAGGTGCAAAATGAAAAAAAAAGTAACAATGAATAGTAAAACTTACCTTTTGAATGGCCTCTTCCATATCCAACTCAAATTGTTCATTTTGTAATAATCTGAGAAATTGCTTGCGCTGAACACGGTTATCATTTTCATTCTGCACCATTTGATTCCTGATTTGACTGTTGACGTTTTTTAGAGCTTGGACATGTAATTTTTTGCAGTAGTTTTCATCTACTAATTTCTGATGCCTTTCACTACAGCTCAAATTTCTCCTTTTGGAACCCTACGATGGAAGAAAAAAAAAGATGCATATTTTGATATTCCAAAATCTAATTTTAAAAAATGTATTGATATAAACCTTAGTAAGAAAGGATACGAAGAGCCTGGCTTCCTTCCTAAATTCAAAGGAGTATACCGAATAAAAAGTAAACGTGGTAAATATGTTCACATATCGATTAAATAGGTACTGTTATTATTACCTATTTTATAGATGAAACATGAAAAGTAACTTTACCCAAGGTTCTGCAGCTAATAAATAGCTGTGCTAGGATTAATCGCACCCTACAGACCCAGATCTTTACTACCACCAGGGAATTTCTCCTCCCCTCATTCCACCCACCACCACCACCACCACGACTACCACCACAGGGCCATAAAGTGCTGTTCAGAAGCTGGTCAGATTTTCCTAACATAAATGTAATAGGTCAATTCGCCGCTATTTATCAATTCGCTTTCTCCTACACTTTTATATCTACTTATTTCTTCAGAGGTTCTATTGGGCAGATTTAAAGATGTATTTAATACACTATGCGAAAAGTGCCAAAAAAGCTGGAAACCACCGCGAGCGTCCCTTCTAATAGCACCTGAAGCCTCCGAAAGCAAATACAAGTTCCCCAATTAATGACCAGATTAAGCACTTAAAATCCTTTTTTAGAAGCAGATGAGCGCCAAACTAGAATTAAATCAACAATAAACAAGTAGTTTCAAGTCCCCCAACTGGCTCACCATCTTGGCTGACGAAAAATACCCCCTCTCGTGGGACCGCGGCCACCACCTCCCGCCGCAAACGCAGCAGCCAGCAGCCCCAAGGAGCGCACCTGGCTGCGCGCGCTCGGGTGTTTACGCGGCGTCTTGGCAACGGTGGAGCTGCGCGCCCTCCGCTCGACCAAAAGTGACCCACGCAGAACGTGGCCTCCCATTGGACGCGATAAGATACAATCGGCATTGAGCTTCTTAGGACCAGGGCAGGAGGGCTACTTCTATAGGTCTAAACTAGAAAAGCGGGAAGTTCAGACTGTGGCCTGACCCAAGCACTTTGCAGTGGGCTAGGGAAGCTCGATTTCCCTCCAGCGGCCGAACTGTGGTTTCAGTGGGTTTGGGAGCCAAGTTCGGGACTGTGGAGACTGCGCACAGAGAAATACGCAAACTACTGCCTAATGCATGGAGCCGAAGGAAATTTCCACGCATGGAGCATCCCGCACACTAAGTGCCTAGTCAGCCAGGTCTCTGCTAGGGACGATGACTGGTTTAATCCTCAGCAATGGGAGTCCAGGTCGCTGTCCCCTTTGCTGGGTTGTGAGGCACTGAGGGTAGCACGAGCTTCCAGCAGCCTTCACTTCACCCCCCCGCCCCCCCCCCCCCCCCGCAGAAGCTGCTGGTAAATTTTGGGACTAAAATCTATGAGCCACATGAATCTTACTCTGCTATGTGGTCCAGGTACCAAGAGAGAGCACGTTACATGATGGCAGGATGTTGATCTGGTTCATTCCATAGGCAGGTTAGACACTAAAGTCCATTTTAAATGGGAAGTTTAAGAATGATAATGGATCAGAGAAATTAGATATACTGATTTTAGAAATGATACATTCAGAGAAATCTTGTCAACACTAAAATATTTGTATAAGGTGATTAGTGGTATAACTTTGTGTTATTCTAATTTGGAGTCCGTCTTCTGTAGCAATATGTCTGCTTAAAGATTAATAACAAATGGGACTTGCAGTTTCAGTGCTGACGTGTAAAAGCTTGGAAGTTGTCACCCCATCCTTACAACCAGATCAAAACAACTAAAAATCAGCGACTTCTCTTGGTTCCATCATACAACTGAGGTCGCTCGTCTCTCTGTCCT
Source organism: Homo sapiens (assembly GCF_000001405.40). Lineage (NCBI taxonomy): Eukaryota > Metazoa > Chordata > Mammalia > Primates > Hominidae > Homo > Homo sapiens. The sequence continues at coordinate 56,466,090 of NC_000015.10, forward strand.
TTGGTCATTTATCCCGTGGTTGCATATCTATGTTGTCTCTAGTACTCCACTCATTGCCATCACTGTTTGAGAGAAATGGAGAGAAGGCGTAAACCTGCCCTCTGGGTGTTCTGTGTAAATTGATCTGGAATGGAGCAAAGCAGGCAGCCTGCTATAAATTTCTCTTCTTGGCATATCCATCTCCGCAAAGGGTTGGGCACTGTATAGAAGAGACAGGAGACAGGCATGGGTTCAGGGTTGAACAGGGTATAACACATTCAATAGAGTGTGGGGTTTAATTTGTTAATTCCTAATAGTGAAATAGTGACATTGCAAAGTATTTCAGCAAACATGTATGTTTTTTACTGTTTACTTCTCGAAATGAAGACTTTCGTCTCTAAAGGGAACTTCAGTTATAATTCCTCATTTCCAGTATACCCTTGGATATGGTAGAAGGATTCATATAATTTCATAGGTAATCTGAGAAAAAGATTTTTGGCCAGAATATTGACCTAAATCCAAGACAAATTTAATCAATTGTAACAATTAGCTGATTTTAACCTTTAAAAAATTATCCTAACAATTACTACATTTTTAATAGACTTTGCTCCTTTTTCGAAGCAGTTTTAGGTTTACAGAAAAATTGACAGAATACAGAGAATTCCCCGTCTCACCTCTCCTCCCCACCGCACCCATACAATTTCCCCTATTTTTAGCATTACATATTAGTGTAGTACATTTGTTACACTTGACGAACCAATATTAATATGATTAAGTTCGTAATTGACATTAGGGTTCACTCTTTGTTTTGTACAGGTCTATGAGGATTTGTTTTGTTTTTTTTCTGAGATGAAGTCTGGCTATGTTGCCCAGTCTGTAGTGCAGTGACATGATCTCGGCTCACTGCAACCTCTACCTCCCAGGTTCAAGCGATTCTCCTGCCTCAGCCTCCCAAGTAGCTGAGACTACAAGCAAATTTTTGTATTTTTAGTGGAGACGGAGTTTCACCAGTTTGGCCAGGCTGGTCTTGAACTCCTGACCTCAAGTCATACACCCACCTTGGCCTCCCAAAGTGCTGGGAGTATAGGCATGAGCCACTGCTCCCAGGTGGGTTTTGAGAAATACATAATGTCATGTATCTGGCCAGGAGTGGTGGCTTGCACCTGTAATCCCAGTTACTTGGGAGACTGAGGCAAGAAGGTTGCTTGAGGTCAGAAAATTGAGACATATTGTCATATATCTATTATTACAGTATCATACAGAATAGTTTCACTGCCTAAAAAGTCTCTGTGTTCTACCTATTCATTTCTCCCTCACTCCTTCCTCCCAAACCCCTGGGAACCACTAATCTTTCTATTGTTTCTATAGATTTGCCTTTTCCAGAATGTCGTATCTTTGGAATCATACAGTATGTAGCCTTTTCAGACCGGCATCTTTCCCTTAGCAAAACTCATTTAAAGGTTCCTGCAAATCTTTATGTGACTTGATAGCTCATTTATTTTTATCACTAAATAACATTCCATTGCATGTCATTATTAAAAAACAATTATTACATTTAAATATTATTTCTAGTAATAAATTATTACTATCATAAATGATACTTCATTGTTAAGGGAGGACTTATGCCTTCCCAACATTACAAGGAAGTCTTCTCGTTCATTTCCCTCTAGAAAACAACTTTTTACCTACAAGTCTAGACTAAAATGTCTAGAGTACTGAGGGGAAGGAGCTTTTCCTTATAATGGATGATGAATTATACTGATTAATGTCCCCCAGTAGTTACAATATAACAGGGTTGAACTTAACAGAGTTGCTGATCTGAAATAAAGCATGTTAATAGATGTGCACTGTTAAGTGTAGCTATACAGTAAAAATTATTTACGAAATGGTATTGCTTTATAAAATAAAGCAATTAGAACAAAACAATTTTTCTTTCGTTCAGAAAAATGCCCAAATCTAATCTAATTTGCTGCAGCTGGACACCACCTGCAGATGACTGTTGAAATACTCTGAACATTACACACTTATCTTTTAAATATTGATAATGCCATTCTTCATTTTCTCGACATGAAATCCCAGAGGGAACAATTATGCTAATAAACCTTAATGATTCTTGCAAATAAGTGATCAAACCAAATTGCTGCTGTTGATTTATATTAATGGATGCCTTTAGGATGAGATTTGCTAGTATGGTGCTGCCTCTTGAATCTCAATTCATCTTATTTAGCTGAAGAGGGTACATAGTTTGTTAAATAGATGAAGTGTTTAAAATATAATGTGCTTGTGCAGTTTCTGCACTTCATAATGTTCAAGTATTACCATCTTGCCTTGTGGCAAATCTGCATTTAATGGTTTCATTGTATATAACTTCCTTTAGTACTTTTTCTGTCTGTCATATGCAGTTAGGAAGTGACTACTTTCTGGTTGATGCAGAATAGGCTAACTTCCATATATTGAATTTGATTGTTTCATTAAGACAAGAAAATCTGTTTCTGGATATTTTAGCCACCATAATCTGGGAATCATATGGACTGTGTGATGATGTGATCAAGTGCTAAATAATTGTTAGGGGTAAAGAGACATGAAGAAATGGTTGGTGAGCTCACTGAAACCCAGGCTTAGTGGATGTCTTTCGTTCCTCGTCTCTCACTTTCACTTTTGCTCTTGCATCTTCACTATGTCTACAGGAATAGGAGATTGCTGACTTCATGAATTCTAGCATAACACTGAGAAAGAACTACAGAATTGTAATATATTGATTTCTAGGGTTGAGAACACTACACAGAAAGAATGCTTATTCATTGTAGATATGAATAAAAATTTACCTGGGTAATTTTATTGAAAAGCCACTATTTGTAAATGAGTAGTAAAATAGAAGACTGGCATCTACATATTATGTATATAGGAATGGAATACAGAATTTGTGATGTCAAATAACTTGTGATGTCATTAGGAATTTGTTATATGATGCACAGAGACTGTAATTTGGCTAGCGGTGAAGTAAAGATGACCATATTAAATTCATCATGAAGAGTGGAGGAATCCCCTTCTGAATTATATAAGCTCTTATTGGTAAAAAGAAAAGTATACATATATACCTATATTTATATAGAGATATATACATGTGTAAACTATGTTTATATGGATTTTTTTCATTTCTTAACTTTAAAAAGGTACCAAATTTGATGACATTTGATATATTTATGGCAATTTTTCTAGTGAAAACTTAACCAGACCAAAAATTTTAAACGACTAAAGGCACGATTTTATTTATTGCAAAATTTTCTAATTTAGCAAAAAAACAAAAACAAAACACCACAAAAATGGGTGATCTAAACATGCAGTGTTTAGGGAATGGCTAATTAAATTGTGGCATATCAGCTATGTACCTAGAGAAGTGTGTCTGGAGGGCCAGAGGGGCCAGCCCAGAAGAGGCAAACTGTGGAAAACCTGAGCAGCAGCATCTTGGGAAAGGAGAATAACTGGGCACTCAGAAGCTGGGCACTGACTCTAAGGTCCTAGGGAAAAAGAGGAACACAGCTGCCCTCCATGGGGAACAGCAGATAAAGAATGTGGTCACCAAGGAGGGAGAGCCAAAGAGGCTAAGCTTGCTGTGAGCACAGGAAGTAAGGCAGAGGCCCAGGGCTGTCTACATTGTCCTTGGACCCTGCTTGGACTGTTGGACTGCTGACAGATGTCTGGGAGGGAGGGAGAGAGACAGAGAAAGAGAAAGAGACACTGAATCAATTAACTGAAAGACCAAACAGGTAAGAACAGTCTAGCAGTTCTGTAACAACCTTGCCTTCATAATAGACGACAAAGCGCGTAAGGAAATGTAGTGGAAAACACTTGATTAATATTAGAAAACATTATCCTGCTACCTTATCATTTATTGATTTATTGAGTGCCTCTTACGTGCCAATCACTTCACATGTAATTGTCTTTACTTAGTAAAACAACCCCATTCACTTTATAGATGAAGAAAACAAGATTCAAAGGAAAGAATTAACTAGGCAAGCTCGTAGAAAGGGGTAATCATGGGACAGAGATTTGTACGAAGTCTGTCTCCTAGCTCATTTTTCATGAATCCAGCATTTTTCAAACTATGGATCACAAACAGTATTTAAAAAGAAATGGAATAGAATAGCCCAGAAAATATAGAGTGCATCAAATCTAGTTAACTAGGTATTGTTTTGTGACACTTTTTAGTTCTAGATAGATGATTGATTGACCTATCAATAGATAGATAGAATGTATATATTGGGTCACGATGTAAAATATGTATCTTACTAAGGGTGAAGGTCAGAAAGTTTTGAAAATGAGTTAGACCATATTGCCTCTCTTTCTCAATCTTAGGAAGATACCTCTTTGAATTATAGCAAAGTTCACATTTTAAGAATTTTTCCCACAATGTCAATGGCATCACTCCACTCCAAATAATTTTTTCAAAGAATCACTGAATCAGACATATTTGAAGTATTTTCAACTAATTGTACCAATCCTTCCAATAATTATAGAGTAGTAAACCAAAGTGATTCCTCATTTACTCTTTCCTAGGCAAACCCAGCTTTGTTTTATTAAAATTTGTATTACAATTAATTACTCTGACTGTAATAAAAGATATCATGTTAACAGTATCGTAGATGATATAACAATTTATACATAATGAAATGCGATGTGCTCATAGAATATTATACAATATATGTTCTACATAGTATTTATAGAACAATAATGACAATTACTAAATTGTATTAGGTATCCAGTACTTGCTGATTTGTGTCCATATCAGCAATAACAACGATATTTTGTTAGAAGCAGAGACTTCCTAATTTGGAAGTATGGGGAATGCTAGGGAAAACTGATGCAGGCATAAAGGCAGCATCTGGAGAGAAAGGAAACAACACTTTCAATACTAATTTTATAAGCAGGTAGTGCCAAGGAATCCAATTAGATCAACAGGTACATGTGACAGGAATCAAGGAAACAGATCCTTCCATCTGACCCATCCCACTGGAGATGGTGGGTAAACTTAATTAGTTTGCTTGGTCCTCTACTTGTTGATTTCTGTCCACATATCAATGAGGAGTTCAATATATAGAGTGAAAACCTAACCTATCATAGGTCTCTTGTTTTATAAGATATTGCTATGAGGATTACAGAATAACCTGAACAACAAGGTAATAGTGGCCTCTAAGGCAGCATTAGTCATAAAAGTAGCAAAAAAAAAAAAAAAAAAAAAAAAAAGAAAGAAAATGGGAAGAGTAAAAAAGTGAATAGCACCATAAGTGATGAGAGACATTCTTGCTTCCTATTTTTTTTATGCTTCTCTGGCTATTTCTCTACTAATGTATTCAGAGCAACAGTTACCAACTGTGTACCTCTCCACCATATAATTCTGTTCCTTAGGGTTTTTCTTTCCTTTCCTAGTAGATATACCTAAGAAATAGTCAAATAATAATTCACAAAACCTAATCCAGCCCCTTAGTTCTTTAGAATCTGTTATAGTAACTGGCATCTGGTGACCTGAACTGAGCTGATAAATTTGATCAAATCTATGACATCATCAATGATATGCACCATTATTTTATTCATCAGTAAAGAAGAAAACAATCCTACTAATTAAATTGTAGCAAATAATCTATTTAAAGATATCCCAATTTCAGAAAGGTTAAAATGCAAAAAAAAAAAGTCTTAGAATCTGTGAAAACATGGATTTTTTTTCTCTCTGGAAGTAAATTTTACTACAATGCATTTATCCTAATGCCGTGCCATCATGAGAGAGCATAAATGAGGAACTGCGATAATGGTAACTACAACAACCAAAGAGAAACCATTGCTAATCAGTCCCCACCAGCAGAATAAGATCCTAATTCCTACTCAAGTTATGTATATTTTTATCCCTCCTTGGCATCGACCAGGGCAATCGCCACACTCTGCATCAGTTAGCGTCCTCTGAGTTGCAAATGCTGGGATGGAATTGGATGGTCAAGAGGTTTATTTGGAGAAAGTCCTAAGAAAGCTAAAGAGGGAGGGGAAAAAGAGACCATAATATAGATCTAACTCATAAAAGCAGAGAGGAAAAGAAAAAGGAGCCTCAAGCAGCAGCACAATTCTGAGAGAGTTTCTACCAGGCTAATGGGAAGTCTCCAAGCAAAGACTTCCCATTAGATATGTCCCATGTTGTGTCAAAAGCCCTGGCTCTCATATCCTGGCATTGGCCAGGAGTACTTAGGGGATAGCATGGTCTCAGCATGGACGCAGCAGCAAATCTGAATGTGTAGCATCTGGAGGTTCAGGGAGGAGCACCTTCCTTGCAGCAGGTTCCCCTAAGGACAATTCTGAGCAGGGCACTTCCATGGCTGCCACACTGACATATGGCATACCACCATGCTTCCCACACTGATAGTGGCTCTCATTTCCTCTGATCTTCTCATACATCATATTTGTTATTATTGCTGCCTCACTGAGCTCTTCTCTAAAAATACTCTACATGCTAGATTTTCTGCCCACATCTTGGAATCAGACACATAGAATCCTTGAGGGATGGCATGGCCTGCAAGTACCACCTGGATTAGACATCACTCACACGGTCAAACTGCAATCCCTGTTTCCCAACATCCCACTTAAGGCAAAACACCTACTGCATCTCCTTCCCAGAGTTCGCCTGCTAAGTATGCAAATTAGGACACAGTTCTTCCCCACTCCCTTTTTACAACTGTTACTGCATAAAGAGTATGGAAAATGTTTCAAATTTTAAAAACTGAGGCTTGAAAACCCTTACAAGAAAACATTCGTGAGATGAATGTCCAGGTATTTTATAAAAGACTATAACAAAAGAACCATCTGTGTTCAAATAGTATGTCATGATCAGAAACACAGAAACTCATACAAGCTTTAAGGATGCAATACTGAATCAATTTATAGGGTACGGTGGCAAGAATAGACAGTATCTTTGACCTTGAACAAGTCATTTAACCTCCCTGATGTCTATTTCCTCTTCTATAAAATGAAGAGGATAGGGTAGAATATCCTTGAGGCCTCATGTAGCACTAACATTCTGTGAAATAAAAGTCAACTTAGAGATTAATTGGGTTTCTGAGCCTCAAGCAATTAATTACACTGTCGCTGCCCTTTAACAGACCTGTCATAGAAGAAAATTAGATTAAACTGACAGATTTTAATCTTCACCAACTCATGTTGATTTTAAGTCCAACATTATTTTTTAAGATTGCAAATTAATGCTTTCACAAAAGGTTCAAAAGCTTTCAGGCCAAGAAATTTGACCTGATAGACACATTGTAATACTTAAACCATTCTTTTCTATTTAAAAAAAGTTGTACTGACTTCCCCCCACCGCCCCCCTCCCCCCTAGTATTCAGAACCTCAGCAGGCACTCTGCTAGAGTTTTATGAAATGACAGTGGTTTTAGGAAGTTCTTCACCAATTTCTGAAATTCTCAAGGATATCTGTGATCAGGGAATTTAATTCTGCCCACGTCTACTTTATCTAATTCCATTATGTTCTCTTTATTTTTCTTTGGCTTTCTGCCTGCCTTCCCTTCCCTTGCCTTTACCTGTACTTGGGTCAACATTGAATTATTAATAGAAAGACATGTTGGTTTATTTTCTAGCAAATTTTTTAGTAAAAAAAAATCAGTTTGGATTTCCAGTTAATAGAGAAGTATCTCATCATATCCTCCCTTTTTTTTTTCTTTTTTTTTTTGAGATGGAGTTGTTGCCCAGGCTGGAGTGCAGTGGCGTGATCTAGGCTCACTGCAACCTCCACCTCCCAGGTCAAGTGATTCTCCTGCCTCAGCCTCCCGAGTAGCTGGGACTACAGGCACCTGCCACCATGCCCAGCTAATTTTTGTGTTTTTTGGTAGAGATGTGGTTTCACCATGTTGGCCAGGCTGGTCACGACCTCCTTACGACAAGTGATCTGCCTGCCTTGGCCTCCCAAAGTGCTGGGATTACAGGCATGAGCCACCATGCCCAGCCCATGCACTCCTTTTAATGCTTATGTATTTAAGCAGTACTGATATTTTCTATGTTTCTCTTAAATATTATAGTTCATATCTACTTTAGATTTAAAAATTAAATCTCAAAAGTTCTAGTTTATTGAACTTTGATTTCCAATATCCAGTTTCTACTTCTGTGTCATGTTTATTTGCACCAATAATATCTCTGACATACAGAAAGGTGAGAAGAATAATATAAACACCCATGTATCCATAATCTGACACAAGAAAAAATGTGGAACCTGGCTCTGTGCATCAGAGCACCTCTCCTGTCTCATTTCTTCCACCCAGAGATAACATTGTACTGTATTTAATAGTGTTTATCATTCTTGTGCATGCCTTTATACTTTCAACTTGTAAGAGATATGTGATACTATTTTGCATGCTGTAATAAGATGGAGTCATATTTCTGCAAATCTCTTTAGACACCATGTTTGTGAGAATATTCCACTGTAGTACATGTACATCTACTTTGTCTTTGACAAGCTATGACTTATATTTTTACTTTCTCTAAAATGTCTATTAATGCACAGAAACTTTAAATTTAATATAGTCAAATTTATCATTTTATGTTTTCTGCTTTTTGCCTTCAGTAATCATTTACTAATCTCAGATCATAAAGCTTTTCATAATACACCTTTAATTCACCTGGGATTTATTTTGGATAATGTGAGGTAGGTGTCCAATTTTATTACTCTTTTGTCCATATGGATAACAAGGTCCCTGCACCACTATCTCTCCCTATTAATCTATAATGTACTGATTTCATACTGTTTTAATTATGATCTGTTTATAATAATACTTGCTACCTTGTAGAGCAAGACCTTAATTTGTTCTTCTGAACATTTTTGGCTATTCTTTGCCCTCTATTCTTCTATATAAATTTTGATTTTCCTTGTCAAGTTTCATGGAAAAAACTGTTGAGAACTTTATTGGAATTTAATTGAATTTATGTATCAACTTTTAAAAAGCCAAACAATTTAAATTCTATTCATGTACACGGTGCATCTTTATTTTGTCTTTTAAAAATGTCTTTTAAGTTTTATAATTTTCTCTATAAAGATTTCATGCTTTTTTGTTAGATTTATTCCTAGATATTTTAAATTATTTGTTGCTGTCATAAATAATATCTATATTATTATTTGGGGTCGAAACAGGAAACAGTACCCTCAAAGTGAGTCATTTAAAAAGATGCAGACGAGGTTTAAGGAGATCAGCAGGAATTGTACAGTACCCAGGAGCCAGTAACTTTGGGGAAATATCACTACTCCTGAGTCTAAGGGAAAGGGGAGAAGGCACTTTTCTAGAGCCCAAAGATAGAAAGAGCTATGTGAAGAGACCCCTTTGATGGCAGCTGTGAACTTTGGTCAAAGGATGCAGCTCACCAAGAACAACCTCAGAGGGACAGTTGAGGCAACACAAACCTCATCTTCTTTTCTTCCTTCATTGGATCTTCTGATGATGCAACCACAAGCTAAACCCAATGAGAGCTCAAAGAGCAAGACAGACAGTTAGTTGCCAGCCAGTCTTCCAAGGCACCACCAGTGTAGAGAAGGGTGGAGGGAAATCTGGAGGGGCAAGTAGATGTCCACCACTGTATCTTTTTCAAACTTAAGTTTCTGTTTTTGCTGGTGTCTTGAGAATGCAAATGATTTCTGTATGTCAACTTTATATCCGCTAATCTTGCTGAACTTCATTTTAAGTTCTAATCATTTATCTGTAAACTGGCTTGAGTTTTTTTTTTAATATACTTTTAAGTTTTAGGGTACATGTGCACAACATGCAGGTTAGTTACATATGTATACATGTGCCATGTTGGTGTGCTGCACCCATTAACTCGTCATTTAACATTAGGTATATCTCCTAATGCTCTCCCTCCCCCCTCCCCCCACCCCACAACAGGCCCTGGTGTGTGATGTTCCCCTTCCTGTGTCCATGTGTTCTCATTGTTCAATTCTCACCTATGAGTGAGAACATGTGGTGTTTCGTTTTTTGTCCTTGCGATAGTTTCCTGAGAATGATGGTTTCCAGCTTCATCCATGTGCCTACAAAGGACATGAACTCATCATTTTTTATGGCTGCATAGTATTCCATGGTGTATATGTGCCACATTTTCTTAATCCAGTCTATCATTGTTGGACATTTGGGTTGGTTCCAAGTCTTTGCTATTGTGAATAGTGCCACAATAAACATACGTGTGCATGTGTCTTTATAGCAGCATGATTTATAATCCTTTGGGTATATACCCAGTAATGGGATGGCTGGGTCAAATGGTATTTCTAGTTCTAGATCCCTGAGAAATCACCACACTGACTTCCACAATGGTTGAACTAGTTTACAGTCCCACCGACAGTGTAAAAGTGTTCCTGTTTCTCCACATCCTCTCCAGCACCTGTTGTTTCCTGACTTTTTAATGATTGCCATTCTAACTGGTGTGAGATGGTATCTCATTGTGGTTTTGATTTGCATTTCTCTGACGGCCAGTGATGATGAGCATTTTTTCACGTGTCTTTTGTCTGCATCAATGTCTTCTTTTGAGAAGTGTCTGTTCATATCCTTTGCCCACTTGTTGATGGGGTTGTTTGTTTTTTTCTTGTAAATTTGTTTGAGTTCATTGTAGACTCTGGATATTAGCCCTTTGTCAGATGAGTAGATTGCAAAATTTTTCTCCCATTCTGTAGGTTGCCTGGTCACTCTGATGGTAGTTTCTTTTGCTGTGCAGAAGCTCTTTAGTTTAATTAGATCCCATTTGTCAATTTTGGCTTTTGTTGCCATTGCTTTTGGTGTTTTAGACATGAAGTCCTTGCCCATGCCTATGTCCTGAATGGTATTGTCTAGGTTTTCTTCTAGGGTTTTTATGGTTTTAGGTCTAACATTTAAGTCTTTAATCCATCTTGAATTAATTTTTGTATAAGGTGTAAGGAAGGGATCCAGTTTCAGCTTTCTACATACAGTTAGCCAGTTTTCCCAGTACCATTTATTAAATAGGGAATCGTTTCCCCATTTCTTTTTTTTTCAGGTTTGTCAAAGATCAGATGGTTGTAGATATGCGGCATTATTTCTGAGGGCTCTGTTCTGCTTGAGTTTTTTATTATTGTCCTTTTCCTTCCTCTTACTCCATTTTAAGTTTTTTTCTTCCCTCATTGGGCTAGCTGGAACCTATAAGAAAATGATAAATAGAAGAATTAATAGGTGTATTTTTGACTTATATGTTTGACATCTCATTATGAAGTATGATGTTTGCTGTAGTTTTGTTTTTTCTTTTATTATTGAAAAGCAATATATGTGCATTGTGGAAAGTTAGGCTATATAGATACCTAAATATTTTTAAAAATGCTATGTTTCTATCACTCAGAGATTACAGTTAACACCTTAGAGAGTTACAGTATATACATATATATTTACTTTTTAATGAAAGGAGATCATACTGTACATGTAGTAGTATAAAGGTTGCATGCTATAAACTGCTTTTCATGCTGTAGGTGTTTTATTCCCCGTTTCCCCATATTTATGAAGAGTTTTCATCCTAAATGGGAATTCAATTTTTTAATACCTTAAAATGACACAACTTGATTATCTTACAGTTCTGTAGCTCAGGAGTCAAACCTAGACCTTATTAGGCAAAGATTAAGGTATTGGCAGGGTGCGTCTGTTTCTGAAAGCTCTAAGATAGAGCCACTTTCTTGCCTTGGGAATTTAACTTTATCAATTTATTTTATTCAGAGGTCTTACTCATAGGTTTTACTCATTAATAAATTAATCTCCACTGCAATAATTCTAATAATATTCTTAGTTATTTTGGGGGATGGGGAGTAGGCTTGTAATCTGGAAAGAAAGTTTTCTAGCTCAATTTACCTTGAGCATGTTGATTCTAAAATATACTATATTAAAGTAGAAATACATTTATCTTTCTTATAATTTTTATTTTTCCTTAATCAGATTAAACAAAGTGTATTGTATTTGATAAGTTCATTATATAAAACTCTCAAATGTCTAATTTTGCTGTTAGATTTTTCTGCCAACACTCACAGTTGATGGTTATTTCCTCTAGATTTTGTAATTTTAGATTGTGAGCTCATTTTTAGAGAAGCTTTATTTAGAGAGCACTGTGAGGCTATGATGCAGATATAGCCCCCAGGAGGATTTGTTGTTGTTGTTCCAGGACGCAACTATGTAACTAACCCAGGGCCACTTTTCAAATGCCTGTTTATTGGCTTGATCTTTTTCTTGCTGTTTGTTTGAGATATCTGAGACAATTAGTAGATGGAGAAAAAGCAGAAAAAATATGAGAATGTCATCAGTGTGGGCAGCAGTTATTTCACATTTTAAATAAACCTGAAATAGCAAACATAATCTGGTTAGCATATGTGAATTTTGTACAAAAATAGTTTCTGTGCATGGCCCCTTCATCAATTTCTTTTTAAAAAAACACATGCATCATATGATCTTTGGAAGAGGGAACTGGCTGGATATCACTAGCATAACACAGTGGTTCTCAAACCAGAAACATCTGTGGAACTTTAGGTAAAACTACACCTGCCACATGCAAAAGACTGAAGTTGGACCCTTACCTTACAGTACCATATACAAAAATTTACTCAAAATGGATCAAATAGCTAAACATAACAGCTAAAAGTATAAAACTCTTAGAAGAAAATATAGGGTAAAGATTAATGACATTTAGTTCGGCAATGATTTCTTGGATATTACACCAAAATGGAAGTCAACAAAAGAAAAAATAGATCCGTTACATCAAATATTAAAATTTCTGTATACCAAAAGACATAGTCAACAGAGTAAAAGGCAACCTACTGTATGGGAGAAAATATTTACAAATGATATATCTAATAAGGGGTTATCAGAATATATAAAGAACGTTTGCAGCTCAACAACAAAAAGAGAAACAACTGATGGAAAAAAATGGGTAAAAGGCTTCTATAGACATTTTTCCAGAGAAGACACGGTGGTCAAAAAGCACATGGAAAGATGCTCAGAATCATTAGGAAAATGCGAATCAAAAGTACAATGAGATACTATCACTTACTGATTAGAATGACTATTATAAAAAACAAAATAACAAGCATAGATGAGGAAGTGGAGAAATTGGAACACTTTTGCACTGTTAGGAATGTAAAATGGCACAGCCACTGTGGAAAACTACATGATAACTCCTTAAAAACTTAAGCATAATTTTCATATGATCCAGTGATTCTACTTCTGGGTATACACTCAAAAGTACTGAAAGCAGAGATTCAAAGAGATACTTGTATACCTACGTTCATAGTAGCATTATTCACAATAGCCAAAAGGTAGAAACAACCCAAGTGTATATAGACAATAAATAGAAGTACACACACACACACGCACACACAGAGGAATATTATTCTGCTTTTAAAAGAAAGGAAATTCTGACACATGCTATAACATGGATGAACCTTAATGACATGAAAATAAGTGAAATAAGCCAGTCACAAAAAGACAAATACGTCATGATTCCACTTACGTGAGGCACTTATGGCAGCCAAATCCGTAGAGACATAGAGTAAAATGGTGGTTGCCTGAAGCTGTGGTAGAGTAAGGACGGGGGAATTATTTATTTATTTATTTATTTATTTATTTATTTATTTATTTTTATTTTATTTATTTATTTATTTTTGAGACGGAGTCTTGCTCTGTCGCCCAGGCTGGAGTGCAGTGACGCGATCTCGGCTCACTGTAAGCTCCGCCTCCCGGGTTCACACCATTCTCCTGCCTCAGCCTCCCGAGTAGCTGGGACTACAGGCGCTGGCCACCACGCCCGGCTTTTTTTTTTTTTTTTTTTTTTTTAGTAGGGACAGGGTTTCACCATGTTGGCTAAGGTGGTCTCGATCTCCTGACCTCGTGATCCGCACGCCTGGGCCTTCCGAAGTGCTGGGATTTACAGGCGTGAGCCACTGCGCCCGGCCAGGAACCCATTATTGTTTAATGGGTTGCAGAGTTTCAGTTTTTCAAGATGAAAAGAGTTCTGGAGATGGACAATGGTGATGGCTGCACAGCAATGTGAACGTACTTGATGCCACTGAACTGTACACTTAAAATGGTGGTTGAGGCCGGGCATGGTGGCTCACACCTGTAATCCCAGCACTTTGGGAGGCCGAGGTGGGCAAATTACGAGGTCAGGAAATCGAGACCATCCTGGCTAACACGGTGAAACCCCGTCTCTACTAAAAATACAAAAAATTAGCCGGGCATGGTGGTGAGCGCCTGTAGTCCCAGCTACACGGGAGGCTGAGGCAGGAGAATGGCGTGAACCCGGAAGGCAGAGCTTGCCGTGAGCCGAGATCGCGCCACTGCACTCCAACCTGGGCGACAGAACGAGACTCTGTCTCAAAAATGAATAAATAAATAAATAAAATTAAAATTAAAATTAAAAAAGTTGGTTAAAATTTTATGTCTTTATTTTACTTCTTTTTTTTTTTTTGAAATGTGCTCATGATGCAGCCCTACTTACCAGTCTTATTCAGAAAGTGGATCCCTGGCATTTCTCTTTCATGGTAAAAACCACAGTAAATTATCTGAGATTCATTAAGTAAAAGGAAGTAACAAAGTTGGAAGAAAAAAATAGAAGAATGAAATATCAATATATAAAATACCTAAGAAACCTTGATTAGTTTCAGTTTCTACTGGATGCTAAACTTTCCTGATACTTTCAGTAAAACCTTTATTTTATATCTTAGAAATGATTCCCATTTGCAGCAGGCAACTTACCATTGCCTTCACAAGTGTAGTTACGATGTCAGAGCGGCAATCACCTTCATTTTAACTTCCCTCTTCCCTCTGACCATTCTTTGCATCTTGCCTATCTTGTGTTTCTTTTTAGAGAAATAAAGCTTCACTCAAATTTTGTTAAAGCTTGACAGCTGGGGAAAAACATCCACGAGTTATATCATTTGTTCAGGCTGAATTTATAACTATATAAATGTTCTTTCTTCTTACAAGGAAATTATCTTACTGGTAATCACATTGCCCTTGGAGTCATTGTCTCCACCGTATTATGATGATATTTTACCATCAATCAACAAATGTGTCAAGTAGATACATGATACGATATCACAGACCATGGAAATTTTACCAAAACACCATGGAGATGTGGTCCCAAGGCTAAGGTAGCATAGAGTTGAGTTCATGCAGACATATAAATATGAAATAAAAAAAATTTTAATATATTTGCCTATTAGCCTTCTTTTAAAAATCATTTTCCTTTTACCTCCACTCAGAACACCTATCTACTATTAACTGGCACATAGTGGGCATTCAATATTTGTTGAATGAATAAATATGGAGCAAATTCTATTAGGAAAAGCAATATTATGTGTAAGAAACACTTCTCTAAAATAAAAAAAAAAAACCCACAGGAATTTCTAGCATAGAAATCTAATATACCCAAATAAAGCACCTAGAACATGGAAAAGGAGGACTAGAAATGTATTAGGCTTCAGAAAGACCCATTCCTCCTGCCCAGTTAATTATAGCTTAGCAGAATAGGGACTTACGGCTAGCAAATCAAAATTTGAAAGCATGTTTCAGGGTTTAACAAATAAGTAAAATATTATTTATATAATTAATGCTCTCTTATGAGAAAAGCAGGCTATGAGTTTAGTGAGTTGACATTTTGTTCTGCTCAGCTGGGGAAGGCTTTCTGGTGTAGAAAAGCCAAATTTCTTAAGTGATTCGTATGTTCTATGGTTGATAAAAATAACTATCATTGGACTTTTTTTTTTTTTTTTTTTTTTTGAGATGGAGTCTCGCTCTGTCGCCCAGGCTGGAGTGCAGTGGTGCAATATCGGGTCACTGCAACCTCCGCCTCCCGAATTCAAGTGATTCACCTGCCTCAGCCTCCCAAGCAGCTGGAACTATAGGCGTGTGCCACCACGCCAGGCTAATTTTTTGTATTTTCAGTTGAGACAGGGTTTCACAGCGTTAGCCAGGATGGTATTGACCTCCTGAACTCGTGAGCTGCCCACCTCGGCCTCCCAAAGTGCTGAGATTACAGGCGTGAGCCACCGCATCCGGCCGTATCCCTGGACTTTTTTTTTTTTTTTTTTTTTTTTTTTTTTTTTTTTTTGAGACGGAGTCTCTCTCTGTCCCCCAGGCTGGAGTGCAATGGCGCGATCTCGGCTCACTGCAAGCTCCGCCTCCCGGGTTCACGCCATTCTCCTGCCTCAGCCTCCCGAGTAGCTGGGACTACAGGCGCCCGCCACCACGCCCGGTTAATTTTTTTTTGTGTGTATTTTTTAGTAGAGACGGGGTTTCACCGTGTTAGCCAGGATGGTCTCCATCTCTTGACCTCGTGATCCACCCGCCTCGGCCTCCCAAAGTGCTGGGATTACAGGCTTGAGCCACCGCGCCCGGCCTCCCTGGACTTTTATTGACAGCAATAGCTGCCCCCAATTTAACAGTTAATACTGCCTTTGCTACCAATAAGCTGTCTAATCCTGTGCCCTCAGTTACATCTAACTTTAATGAGGGAATTATTTCACCGATTTAAACTCTGCATGAAAACGATTCTTCTTTATTAGTATTTTATTTACTTAATTTTATGCATACAAAATATTTTCAGCTTAACCAGACCAGGGTGCTCTACTCTTTGCCCCAGAAATTGTCCAAGTGATCCTTATACCTGTAAACTGAATCCTAGCAAATAATAATAATAATACCTAATATGTACTTGTTTCATTATGTACTATTAGCACTTCACATCTGTTATCTACTTTAACCCTTTTAACAACTCCAGGAATAAGTACTATGATTACTGCTATTTTAGAGGGGAAAAGAGAAAGACCCTGAGCAGCTAATCTTGGATGCCTAAGATAATTCAGCTATGAAGTGATGAGGCCAGGATTTGAGAATCCACATGCTGAGCCACTGAACCACATTACCATCCAGGCAAATACTGAGAGCCTCCTCAGCAGTAAACTGAAGTTGTGAACAATCAGATAAACTCTCCTCTCACAATTCCCAGATGCTGGGAGTGGTGCAGTGAGAGGGAGTTGGGTATAAGAAATACCTGGTACCAACTACAAGCTCCAGAATTATAATTTCAGACTAGTAGAACATATGTAATAAAAATCTATGATTTGCCAAATGCTTGCTCAGACATATGCAGAATTTGCTAATTATAACATCCTTGCCCTTTCATGGCCATATTTTTGCAGAAAGATGAAGAAGCTAAGGTGTAATTTAGTTTTATTTCAGAGACTAAACTTGCCAGGGTGAAAAAACATACCAGAAAGAGGGTCCTTTTCCTAGTATCCACTGGGCAGGCCTGAGCAATAAAGGCCACAATCATGTGTCCTCATGGCCTCACTTACATGACAAGAATCCACTTTTTCCTCATATGGGCTGCCTCAGTTTTATTTTCCACCTCTGAGCCACAGAACACATTAATTCTCAATTACACTTACTCAGTGCTGCAATCTGTAGTCCCTACATGGACAAAACAGTAATGGGAAACACAAATAATTAGTTCTTCCAACACCATCCAACCTGAGGAGTTTATATGGTTTGTTTATTTTAAAGAAAAGTCCTGGGAATTGGATTCAAATGAATCTGTAGAATTAATGAGAGTCGAATCTTACCTTTCTCATGAAGCAGAATGACCATTGCAGATAGTTAAGACGCAATCCCAGGACCTGGTGCATGATGTAAATCCCTCATAGGATGTTAAATAAGAACAATAATGTCAGTAACAACAAAACAACACTCTTATCTACATATGGTAACACCTATTAGAGGTAGAAAAGTGAAAGTATTTTAGAAGTACAGGCCGGGCACGGTGGCTCACGCCTGTAATCCCAGCACTTTGGGAGGCCAAGGCAGGCGGATCATGAGGTCAGGAGATTGAGACCATCCTGGCTAACACAGTGAAACCCTGTCTCTAGTAAAAATACAAAAAAAATTAGCCGGGCGTGGTGGCGGGCGCGTGTAGTCCCAGCTACTCACGAGGCTGAGGCGGGAGAATGGCGTGAACCCGGAAGGCAGAGGTTGCAGTGAGCCAAGATCGCGCCACTGCACTCCAGCTTGGGGGACAAAGCGAGACTCTACCTCAAAAAAAAAAAAAAAAAGAAGTACACTAACAAGAAAAGAATCCTTTGCAGCAAAGCCAGCTCACTGGAGACTCTTAGTACATAATTTTATCCAACTGCCTTGCAATAGACACCCAGAATAATGTTATTAATAGCAACCAAAAAATGACATCAATTTGAAAACACTAGGTTTAATGGATGCTGTCTTCAGGTCTGAGGACTTATTTTCCTAGATGCTGGGAGTGCTGCCAGTAGACAGCCCTGAGCTGTCAGCCCTCTTCAGAAATTATCCTTGGTCACAGACCACTGTCACCCAGTATCAGCTTGCATCCATAAACGCCTAGCCTTCTCACTGTGAGGAGAGTCAACTCTGAAGGGTCATCTAGCTTTACAGCTCCTGAGGGAATAGCTGAGGCCTTTGCTGAGACTGCAGTAAACTCAGCTTTTCCTTCCATCCAGCCCTGCCTCCTTCCCTTCCACAAATGTTGATCCTACGAGCAGTCTCTGATATGGTTTGGCTGTGCCCTTACCCCAATATCATCTTGAATTGTAATTCCCAAAATCCCCACGTATGGTGGGAGGGAACTTGTGGGAGGTAAGTCAATCATGGGAGCAGTTTCCCTCATGCTATTCTCATGATATGTAATCTTTCATGAGATTACATATCATGATTACATATCATGAGATTACATATCATGATTACATATCATGAGATTACATATCATATTACATGATATCATGAGATTACATATCATGATATTACATATCATGAGAGAGTAATCTGTCATGAGATCTGATGGCTTTATAAGGGGCTTCCCCCTTCTCCTTCCTGCTGCCATGTGAAAGAGTAACTAATACAGCAAGTTGGTACTGTAGAGGGTGGTGTGCTTCTGTGAAGATACCCAAAAATGTGGAAGTGACTTTGGAACTGGGTAGCAGGCAGAGGTGGGAACAGTTTGGAGGGCTCAGAAGACAAGAAAATCTGGGAAAGTTTGGAACTTCCTAGAGATTTGTTGAATGATTTTGACCAAAATGCTGTCAGTGATGTAGATAATGAAGTCCAGGCTGAGGAGGTCTCAGATGGAGATGAGGAACTTCTTGCAAACTGAAATAAAGGCGACTCTTGCTACACAAAGAGACTGGCGGAATTTTGCACTTGCCCTGGAGATCTGTGGAACTTTGAACTTGAAAGAGATGATTTAGGGTAACTGGCAGAAGAAATTTCTAAGTGGCAAAGTGTTCAAGAGGAAGCAGAGCAAAAAAGTTTGGAAAATCTGCAGCCTGACAATGCAAAAGCAAAGAAAACCCCATTTTCCGAGGAGAAATTCAAGCCAGCTGCAGAAATTTGCATAAGTAATGAGGAGCTGAATGTTAATCACCAAGACAATGGGGAAAATGTCTCCAAGGCATGTCAGAGATCTTCACAGCAGCCCCTTGCATCACAGGCCTGAAGGCCTAGGAGGGAAAAATGGTTTTGTGGGCCGGGCCCAGGCACCCCCTGCTCTATGCAGCCTTGGGACATGGTGCTCTGCATCCCAGCGGATTCAGCTCCAGCTGGTGCTAAAAGGGGCCAATGTACAGCTCAGGCCATTGCTTCAGAGGGTGCAAGCCTCAAGCCTTAGAAGCTTACATGTGGTATTGGGCCTGCAGATGTACAGAAGTCAAGAATTAAGGTTTAGGAACCTCCACCTAGATTTCAGAGGATGTATGGAAATGCCTGGATATCCAGAAGTTTGCTGCAGGGGTGTAGCCCTCATGGAAAACCTCTGCTAAGGCAGTGTGAGAGAGAAATGTGGGGTCAGAGCCCCTACACAGAGTCCCCACTGGGGCACTGCCTAGTGGAGCTGTGAGAAGAAGGCTTTTGATTTTAACAGGCTCATAGGTAGAAAGGACTTACATTGTCTCAGAAGAGACTTTGGACTTGGACTTTTTAGTTAATGCTGGAATGAGTTAAGACTTTGGGGGACTGTTAGAAGGGCATGACTGTGTTTTGAAATGTGAGGACATGAGATTTGGAAGGGGCTGGGGTGGATCGATATGGTTTGGCTGTGTTTCCACCGAGATCTCCTCTTGAGTTGTAGTTCCCATAATCCTCACATGTCATGGGAGGGACCCAGTGGGAGGTAATTGAATCAGGGGGGCAGTTACCCTTATGCTGTTCTCATGATAGTGAGCGAGTTCTTATGAGGTCTGATGGTCTTATGAGGAGATTTTCTCCCTTTTGCTAGGCACTTCTCTTTCCTACTACCATGCAAAGAAGGATGTGTTTGCTTCCCCTTCCACTATTATTGTAAGTTTCCTCAGGTCTCCCCAGCCATGTGGAACTGTGAGTCAATTAAACCTCTTTCCTTTATAAATTACCCAGTTGCAGATATTTCTTCATACCAACATGAGAACAGACTAATACAGTCCCTAATATGTATTCTGCATGCTAATCTCTGTCTCTAAGACTGTTTCTCTGGGAACCCAAGATGAAATACCAATGTAATCAAATGTTTTGTTTCTAATGTTATTAAAATGTATTGCTTTACATTAAAGATGTATACATTTTTAATAATCATTTAAAAATATGATATTGTTTGGATATGTTAAAATTACCTGCTACAGAACCACTTTCCTCTGGAAACAAGTAGGGCTGGTTGATTTGCTGTGATGGAAAAACAATCAGGAGTGCAAAGGGCATTTAAAGTAGGCTACAAAATTGTTAAGTCTCCATACTTGAGAAACTATACTGGGAATTGAGAAATGGCATTGGAGTTTACGTAGGGGAGAGAGAAATTAGGGGGTTGCTAGTCCCAGTGGGGATCCACACAAAGTTTTTGTTGTTGTTGTTGTTGTTAAGGCCTCTAGCTATACAGCTTCTTGAAGGCTAGGACTGATTCCCACAAAGAGCTCTGTCAAAGGCATTACAGCATAGTGAAGATGACTTCGTGTGGCCATCATCTGCCTTCTCTCTGTTCTTAGTCCCCTCTGCTCTTGGTCTCTCAGAACATCTTTTCCCCCTAATATTTTATAGCCAATAGAAATATGCTGAGGATATTTGAATTTTAGAAGAGAATTCAAAAGAAGGTACAATCTTTCAACATAGAAGCATGAATCTGAATTGCCAATGAAAGAGTTTCGGATACTATAACTAGAGCAGGAATGGTAATTTAGGGGAGACAGACAGTCTACCCAGCGTTGACCCAGATAATCTTCCTGAATACCTTTAATAGAGTCTTTGATTAATTGTGCCTTGTGCTGTGATTACTCATCCACCCCACACTGACACCTTGGTCGTGCAGTTTGCCTCACTATCAGTTTGAACTTCAATTCTGGATTTGACAATTCATTCAACAAATAATAACTAAGAACCTACCAGGTGCCAGAGACACAGTCGTAAAAAACCAAGACAAGGTCCCTGCCTTCTACTGGAGGAAGACAAAGAAACAAACAGATAAGCAAATATCATTGTTGCAGAAAGCAAGAAGGGCTAAGACAAGAATAAAGCAAGGTTAAGTTAGAGGACAACCAGGTGACCATTTTAGCTGTGATGAGTGAGGCCACTGAAGACCTTTCTGAACAGGTGACATGTGAACAGACACCTGAATGGTGAACATCAAGTCGTGAAGATTTAGGCAGAAGAGCATCCCAGGCAAAGGCTTGTAGTAGGAGCACAGCAAACAAAGGGGAGAATGACAGATGGGTTGGAGCAGTAGGCAGGGGTCAGAGCAAATAATTTGGATTTTGTTCTAAATAGTTACAGAAGGATTTTTTTTAAAGAATGAGAAATACGATGTGATCTAAGTTTGCAGAGATCCCGCCAACTGCTGCTTGAGGAGAGGGCTGTAAGGGAATGACAGTGAAGTCAGGTGAAGCAGTTGGAAAGGTAGAGTTATAGAGCAGGTAAGGTTGAGCATAGTGGTGCTCTGTAGAGGTTATGGGAACTGATTGGGTTCAGAATGAATTTTAGAAATAAAACCAACAGGACTTGGCAATGGATTAGGTGTAAGGAATGACAAAGAGATGACTCAAATATATCTCCCAGGTGTCCTTCCTGGCATAACTGAATGAATGATGGTACCATCAGTTGGGATGGAGAACACTGGAGGAGTAGACTTGGAGGCCAGGGAAAAATAAAGACTTGTGTTTGGACGTGTTAAATCTGAGATGTCTACATCCTACTGAAGATCTTAAATAGGACACTTGTGTATATAAATCTATAGTTCAGAAGAGAAGCTGGGGCTAGAAGTATAGATCTACACATCAACTGATAAAGATGCTTTTGGAACCCATGGGACTAGGGATATCAAGGAGATCAAGGGTATAAGAGATCAAGGACTGAGCCCTGAGGAACTTCAATATTTACAGAAGTGGTTTACAACACTCCATGCCCATTGAAATTACCAGAAGATTTTTTTTTAAATGTTGAACCTCTACCCATCCTTCACATATCTGATTTAATTGGTCTGGGGTTCAGTTTGAGTATCAAGAAATTTTAAAACTCCTCAGTGATTCTAACGTGCAGCTAAGGTGGAAACCACTGATTAAAAACTGTTAATTGTAGCTGTTTGACAGGCTGAGGGGAGAATCACGTAAGCCCAGGAGGTCAAGGCTACAGTGAGCTATGTTCATACCTTACACTCCAGCCTAAGTGACAGAGCAAGACCCCATCTCTTAAAAAAATGGGAAGAGAAAGCTAAGCCAGAATTACTAGAATGAAAAGAGCCATCAGCAAGGTAGGAAGAAAACCAGGACAGTAGTATCCTGGAAGTTAAGTGAAGAGACTGTTCCAAGAATGGCATGATCAACTGTGTCAAATGCTAATGAGACATTAAGTAAAATGAGAGAGAGAGAGAGAGAGAGAGGGGAGAAGGACATGAGGGTGTGGGTGACTCAAATGTGAAAAGCTTTTATAGGATGTAGGGGTGAAGGCCTGCCCAGCACAGGCTAAAGGGAGTGGATAGTGAGAAGGCAGAGATTGCTGCTGTGTGCTGTGTCCCTTCTGCCCTGGGCCAGGGTCACTCAAATGCTAGGCTCACATCCAGCATCTCTGGCTGCTCCTTGTCCCGGGGCTTGGATGGCCAATGCCCCTCAAATAACACTATCTCAATTACTTATTCCAAAAGCCAGTCAACATTTATTCCACAGCTCATTGAATACATACTCAGCACATACATGTGCTAGTTATTGTTAGGTAGTGGGGATACAATGCCAAATAAGTTAGAGTTCTTGCTCTCATGAAACTGTCAATTCATTGAGGAAGAGGGTCACAAATAATCACAACAAAATAGCAATCTTGATTCTACTTCCCCAATGTTACTCTTCGTTCAACTCTTATTTCCACTCACCTAGTTTAGGCCTTGAAAATGAGTAATAATGTCCTAAGCAGCCTTCCTGTATCCAGTCTCTCCCTTCTTGCCAATCTAGTTTAAACCTTGCTGCCAAATTCCTCTTTCTGAAACACAACCCTGTTCATGTAATCTGTTAATTGAGGAAGCCTTCATTGAGCACCTACTAAGTACAAAAAAAATGCAAGGTCTTCCCTCCTATAATGTAGGGTCAATTTATGGCTCAAAAATCCCAATCATGTAATATCGATTAAGAAGTAAACTTAGCAGATATCTAGTCCCCACCAGAATCTCCTATATTAATCTCTCTATAAATGATAAATGGACAGCTGGATGGAGAATCCATTTTTTTAAAAGGAGCCAAATACATATTCAAGAAGCTGGAATTTTTACAATTTCTTCCTCCAGTCCCGCTTCCTGCTCAACAGAATACAAGCTTCTTCATTGCCATTCAAGACCTTCTGTAGGCCAGGCATGGTGGTTCACACCCATAATCTCAGTACTTTGAGAGGCCAAGGTGGGAGGATCGCTTGAGCCCAAGAGTTTGAGACCTGCCTGGACAACACAGTGAGACCTTGTCTCTACAATAAAATAAAATAAAAACTAGCTGGGCATTGTGGCATGCTCCTGTGGTCCCAGCTACTCGGGAGGCTGAGGTTGGAGGATTGCTTGAGCCCAGGAGTCAAGACTCCAGTGACCCACGATCATGGTACTGCACTCCAGCCTGGGTGACACAGCAAGACCCTGTCTCTTAAGAAACTAAAGTAAATGAGAAGCTGAGGCGGGAGAATTGCTTGAGCCCAGGAGTTTGAGAACAGCCTGGGCAACATGGTGACACTTCATCTCTGCAACAAATACAAAAATTAGCCTGTCATGGTGGTGTGCACCTGTAGTCCCAGCTACTCAGGAGGCTGAGGTGGAAGGGTCACCTGAGCCCAGGGAGTTTGAGGCTGCAGTGAGCCATGATCACACCACTGCACTCCAGCCTGGGCAACAGAGTGAGATCTTCTCTTAAATAAAAATAAAATAAAAAGACCTTCTGTAGTTTGACCCTAAGGCACTCATGTCTTAGTTTCTGATATTCTCCCTTTACAGTACCCTCCCTGGATGTGCTTTCACACCACCACACTTTCCCCTTATTCCACATAATCAAATATTACACATCCTTCAAAGCCAAGGTCAAGGTCCACCTTCTCCATAACACCATGCTGAGTCCCTCAGCTGACTCATTACCTCCCTCACCTGAGATCCCTCAGGCTTTACTTTTACCTTCCTTAGGGGTTTCTATCTTTGATGATTGGTGCACCTGTCCTTTTTTTCATGCCTCATTGAAAGGTCCATGAGATTTGGGCTTATCTCCTGAATGTCTCCGTCTCCTCCATGGTACCCAGCATAGTGACTTGGAAGTTTCACTTGACAGACACTCGTGGAATGAACAGAGCAGTGATTCTCGGATCTGTTTCTTATTTTGTGAAAGGAGAAGCTTTCTTAACATACAAACATTTCTACTAACTCTAATATTATAATTCCTAAATTTAAAGTATTAGCTAGTATTGTATGCCTGATACTGTGTTTCCCATTTCGAAGACACAATTGTGACTTTTTGGGGGGAAAGAAAATACACAAGAAACAATTCACTTATAAACTGAATATAAAAAATGCTAGTTGTTAGCAACAGAAAATAACAAAGTTGCTCATACTGGGAGGACATACATGTAGTCAAGAGTCACCAGAGCATTAAAAGGAAGAGGTGCTAGCTGAGCTGAGCTTTGAAATCCCCATACAGTTCTTAAGTCCTGGGCATTTTAAGCCGGGAACGAAGGCTCAGTCAGGGCCACTAGAGGGAGCCAAGGCTTGCAATCTGCAGAACACGCTTTCTGGCTGAATTAGCCTTGGGTTCACAGATTCTAAAACATTTGCTTAGCAGATTGAAAAGGATCATCTTTATCACACATCTACAGGACCATTTCTAAAATGCAAGCTATGTTGAGTTTATTTTCAGTTTTTAGTAATGTTAAACCCCTTTGGAGAAGATAAATATTAAGAACTTAATGTCTGTGCATTTCATGCCATTTTCGCCAGTGAATATATCCTGAGACTTATTGGTGAGCTAATCTGAGATATTTAACAACCCCTGATGGGGTTTCTGGGGATGGAGGTAGAGAAGGACCAGGTGGGATCCTGTTCTATTCCCCTCCCACCTAATCAGACTGGCCGGGAGCTGGGCTGTCCTGGACCCACCAGTTTTCAGAGCTTGAGGTTCTCGCATCATCAGGCCGGGAGTCTAGAGGTTACTACCCACACTTTCAAATACTAAGCCTGTGGGACCAATTATGGCCACCCCCCTAGCCTTTTCAGTCAGTCCAACGCCACAGAAAGCCCTAAGCAAGTAGTGTTTAAAAGTACCTGGATGTTCTGGGGCAGCAGTGTGAGCAGTCTGGCCACCGTCACCAGACCTGGCCCTAGTGCTGGGTCTTGATGGACGGCTCAGGGTGAAGGAGCGAGGCTCCCATTCAAAGTCGGATGATAAGAGTGAGGAGTAGCTGGAAGGTGAGGGAGAGTAAATGGCTAATGTCCTGATTGATTGCCCTGCCTCAAAGAGGGTGACACTAGACAAGGTGAAATCACAAGAAATCACACATTTACTAAATGATTAGCATGGATCATATTTTCTTGCCATGTATATAAATGTTTATTTGTACTAAAATTTGGGACACAGAAACTTAAGAAATAAAAAAAGAATATTGCAACTACAAAGCCATTGTGAATTATCCTCAGTATCCCTGAGAAGAACCCTCACGCTATGAGGAGGACACTCCAGGGGACCCCGGCATGGAGGGGTCTCCCATACTACTTACTCCCAGTGCCACCAGATAGACCAGCTGCTGCAGAGCCTGCAACGTGAGAGTGGAGTACCTGAGAGGCCCCCTTTTCATCCAAAAGCCACTTGCAGAAAGCCTCTTAATGTGGCTGTCATCCAGCTTCCAGCTAAGCTGAGGGCAGGAGACTGAAGACTCATGTCTAGAAAGAAGAAAGAATAGCAAGTTGATTGGGCAGTCTTCTAAGTTGAGTTTGCAAAAAGCAGTGCATTATCCAGTACTCCTCTGTGCCTCCCATACTGCTGTCCTGGCACCCTCATGCTTTTCCTCTCCCTCTAAATCCTAAGGGAATAAGAAAAGGGAGATAAAAGCAAGCAAACAGAAATAAAAAAAAAGGATATTGCGTGGAGACTTTCTTTGGCCACTAGAGATGCCCAGTGAGGGTGAGCCAGATGAGCAGAATCAAGAACAAGGCTGGAGCTGCTACTCCTAGAGGTGGGGCAGGACAGAGTTCCAGGCAGCATCAGGGAGAGAAAACAAGGGTGTCCTGACTTGTCTGGAACCTGCTGTTCAGGCTGGAGGGCTGTGGAAAGCCAACCCCAAGGAAGAGTAAGGAATTAAGAGGAGAGGTCTGAGCTGCAGAGGGCTAGGTTGCTCCTGTCTGTGCTGTCTGAACTGCTCAACCACTGTGGCTTTTCTCAGAAATAGGCTCCACCTGGCATCCCTCCAGATGAAGTGCAAACTCTAGAGGCAGAGTATGGGCTGAATTGAGAGAGAAGTGGCCAGCACTCATGCCCAGACTCCAGGAGCACAGTTTGAACCCTACATAAAATAGAGTGGGGGCCAGGACTGCAGCAGGTAGAGTAAACACACGGTCTAACGTGCTGGGGCGAGACCAGGTGGGGTCAGTGCCCTGTCTCTGCCTGACTCTGCCAAAGGAGAGTGGGACTGGAAGCTTCCCTGCACTTGTGGGGTGTGGATAATAGGGGACTAGTGAAATTTAGAAACAAGAAGAGAGGCAGCTTTCTTTCTATGGGGGAGCTGGGGTTGGCCACATCAAGAAGAGCTCCAATTCAGGCAGATCAAAGTGTTCTTTCAGTAAGCCCTCTGGAGGCTCAGTGTCTTAGTCTGTTTTGCGCTGCTATAACATAGCATACCTGAGAAGACTGGCTAAAAGCAGAAATTTATGTCTCATATTCCTAGATGCTGGCAAGTCCAAGATCAAGGTGTTGACATCTGACCAGGGCCTTCTTGCTGTGTCATAACATGGTAGAAGGACAGAGAGAGAGGGACCAAACTCGTCTTTTTATAAGGAACATGCTCCTGCCATAACCGCATTAATTCATTCATGAGGGCAGAGCCCCCATGATCCAAACACTTCCCATTAGGCCTCATCACCCAACACCATTGCTTTGGGAATCAAGCTTTCAACATGTTAACTTTGGTGGGTCAGGGAGGAACATTCAAACTATAGCACTCAGCATGAATTGTAGCCACAATCACAGTTGGCACATATGACTCTGTGGTCTGGTTTTAAATTGGACTTAAAGCTTGGTAAAGGCCAAAATGCATTCAAACTTGGGTACTCTTCCCCAAACCCCACATATCAAATCCTTCAAGATTGGGTTCAGGTGCCACTGTCTCCATAAAATCATCTGAGTCTCTCAGCTGACCCACTACCTCCCTCACCTGAGATTCCACAGCCTTGTTTTCACCTTCCACATGGGTTTCCATCTTTGATAACTGGTGCACACGTACTCTTTCTCATGCCTCACTGAAAGGTCTGTGAGGCCAGTGCTCCTTTCTTGGGCATCTCTGTCTCCCCCTACAGCACCCAGCACAGTGGCTTGGAAGTTTCACTAGATGCTTGTAGAACAAATAGAGCAGCAGTTCTCTGGATCTGTTTTCTATTGTGTTAAAGGCAGAAGCTATATAAATGTTTCCCCAAAGTCATTTTTCTGATTCTCTAATTTAGGTTAAGTATTAAATACCTACCACATATCTGATCTTGTGTGTTCTGATTTCAAAGAAATGAAAGACACAATTGTGATCTCATTGTGGTAACACAACATAGAAGGAACAATTAGACTATGAGACTAATATAATAAATTGCTTAATTGTACCACATTGTAAGAGGAGATCAGAAGAGGGAGAGCTGCATGTGGTCCAGGGAGGGAAGGGAGAGCTAAAAGGGAGAGTAGTTGGTTACACTAAGCTTTGAAGATGGGTAGGATGTGCACAGGATGGCAGCCCTACTGATGTTGCAGCCCTTGCCCTTGATGCCCTGCCCTGGGCCTGGAGCCTGCAGTGACCCATCTCCTAGAGCTGTCCTGGTTTTCTTGTTGTTGGTTATGCCTCCCAAGCAGAAATTGCAGTAGTTATTGAGAAGGGACAACCATCAGGACACTTCTTGGATTTTTGTTTCTCATAAACTGAGAAAACTGGGCTGGGCTGGCTGAGAGTCCTCCGTGACTACACCCTCCTTCTCAGCTAAGTAGGAACAAGTTTCATTACAATGCTTTCCACTTGTCAAACACAGACCTTCCTTGCCCTGATCAACTGGGATGAAAGCTCCCCACTTCTTATGGGGCCACCCACAATCTGAGGCTTTACCCTTGCCATGACACTTGGGGTATCTTGTTCAGAGTTCCCATCATCCAGCTGTTGGAAAAGTAATTCCAGTACTCAGCTGGTGGTCATAGAAACTTAACTGTCCTCAGTTCAGGGATATAAGATTCCTTTAAGCCCTTCTACCTGAGAGATTAGACTTTCATTCCCCAGAGTCTGGTCGAGGTCTGGTTTAATAGGTAAGACAGAAAGCCATGGATCCTCAGAGGTAAGTTTGTGCTTTATCTGTCAACATGAGACATGGTGAACAGTGCTGCCTGGAAACCAGTCTCAGGCCCCGGTTTTGCCCTTTCATCCAGATAAAGCAATTGCTCTGGAATAACATGATCTGCGAGTCCAACAAACAGGCACACCCTACACTCAGCACACAGGCTGGCATTGTTAATATGGCATGCTTTATGGCTTCCCAAGAGAGCTTTGCTATGTTTCCTACCATGGCCACCATTTTCCCTCCCCATATAAGTCTTTACATCTTCAGTGCCTAGCCCAGAACTGGCATGCAAAGACATTCTATAAATGATGCTGAATCCTGAGGGAGACACTTGGCAGATGAATGACACTAGCTAATACAGCGTTTAAAGGCATGGTGTGACACAAAGATAAACATAAATATCCTCTATTTCTTTCACAACAGTAACTTTGAAACCCCATCTTTTGGAAAAGCATTGTCTCCACTATGATGCACACGTCAATGATTCTGCTTATCAAATTCTGTTGAGCCAGCATGGAAGGAACAACTCTCTGTAGTCTATTTACCTTAAGGAGCTCAGTCACATGTCCAGCTCGCAGCCTGTTTATCAGGATGAAGGATGCTCTCTGGAGAGAGCAGACAGCAGGACAGGCCGGGCTCAGATGACAGTCTGCCCTGTGGAGATTGACTTTAATGAAGCACAGAATAAACAGGAAGATTAAGAGGGTGCAAAAATCAGTGACAAGTTCTAAGTTCACCTCTCTGTTGGAAATGAAATGTTCTCTGTACACCTGAGAGCTGTCTCTGGGCTATAGATGAGGGCATCTGTTTGGTTGCCAATGATTCCATGCTATCCAAATCAGCCTCTATGTGAGCGCAAAAAAGTTTTCTCTTAATTTACAGACGTACTTCTATGCATTTTATTTAAATCTACCCACAAGGAAATTTTATTTAGAATGAGTAAAAATATTGGATTTATTAAAGGGTTTGAGAAAATATTTAATAGGCTAAGATGTTACCCTGACAAGCAGAGATTAAATGTTTTTAATATTGATCTTTTATAAAGTCCTTCCACATTCCTTTGTGCTGAGAAATCACGCTTTCTCAGCCATTCGTGACATAAAGGTGTAGTCAGTCCTGTAGGGATGGCTCACCTTATAAAAGAACTAAGTTCCTGGATTTAAATAAAAACAAAAACTAGTTTTCTTCACAACACAATGCTACTTGTTTAGGAACTTAATGTCATTTAGACATTTCATTGTACATTGTTTCAGTTCCTTATTTCAAATATGATTTTCAATAAATATTTAAAAATCTAAGTTACAAAATAACCAGAGGGAATAGTCCAGAATTCACACCCATCTTTTGGAGATGACAGTTTTGTTTAGAGGATCCAAAT
The DNA here is from genome assembly GCF_000001405.40 of Homo sapiens. Lineage (NCBI taxonomy): Eukaryota > Metazoa > Chordata > Mammalia > Primates > Hominidae > Homo > Homo sapiens. The sequence continues at coordinate 56,496,516 of NC_000015.10, forward strand.
GGAAATATTTTCTCATGTCATCATTGTATGTTTTTCAAAAACATAGATATTACTAAAGGTGATAGCAAAGTATTCATTTTATATATATAGCATATTCCTTATTATTTAATCAAACTGTGAGAACAATTCATGTGTATGTGTGGGTGTAAACATATTGAATGCTTATCGAGCATCATGTAATCCTGCTGATAGTATTGTAGCATTTGTACCAGTAGATGGCACTCTGATTCAAATTGATATTCTAAGCTCCCTGTTGTCCAGCAGTATCGTTTCTTCGGTGGTAAATGGTAAGCACAGTGTACTAATCTGCCGGCATGTACCCAAGTGAAAATGTGTCGTAACACAAAAGTAACTCAAAACAAGATTTGCAGACTATTTTAGGAAAGCTGACATGTACCTGGGTAGAGTGCACAGTCATAATACAGTAATCAGAATGCCTGGATCCAGAAGGGATTCGTTGAGAACTTCTCTACTGAAGGGGCTCGTTAAGTAGACTTCATGGAATGGAATGGAAGGAACATGTGGCAGCGAGAAGCAGATATTCTAGGTAGACGTTGCCTTTAGGAAGGTAACCAGAGAAGTAGTTATGAGGAATGTGATATAGTTTGGGTCTACCTTGAGGAAGTCCTCTGAGACAGGCTTAAAGTCAATATTTAAACTTCATACCATGAGGAGAAAGTGGAGAGGGGGCAAGAGAAACACAAGCTAAGCAAAAAATAAGCAAACAAGACATGGTCAGCCAAAGTTATGCCTGGCATCCAATTTTCACTTTTGATTATTTATCATAGTAAATAAAACTCAAATCAGCCAACTGAGCCGCCATTTTTAATTTGGGGTTGTAAATAAGTGTAAGTTGTTACATTTATATTTTACATTATGTAATTCTGGAGATAATTCAACATATCTTAGTCAAATGGAAACACTGAGTTTTCCACCTAAATGTAGAACTCTGAACCACATGTCTCCGGCACTTCAAAAAGCCATCCACTAGTCTTTAATTTTTCGTTACCTTAATAAGTAATTTCCTAACCTTCTGGCTGTTTCGTCTGCAAATTCTGTGTATTGTTCATTTATTTTGCTTAAACTTACAATAACCGAGAGGTCACAGGGAAAGAAATGTATGTGTGATTAGGATTTCATTTGCAATTATTTTTAGAGCATTTGAGGCAATGGAGGAGTCTTAATTGGTATTATACTTTCTAATGCAAATTCTAAGTTAAAGCAGGAAAGAGATGTTTTAAATAATTCAGCAGCAACTGTACCAAATGAAGAATTAGTTAAATCTCTTTAAGGTCTCAAGTACATAGTAAACCATTAATGAAAACTACGTTGTTTAATCTACAGAAAGTGTTTTCCGTTTGCCATATGTTACCAGGACTATCACTAAAATAGTAATTTACTGTGAGGATGAGGCTTTAAAATGCTGTGCTGAGGCCCTGGGTTCTGGAACCACTGGCTAGGTCAGCACTTTGTGGTTTTAAGCAGCGATGTGCCTTGGGTAAGAACAAGAGAATGAGGTTCATTAATTCTTGAAATGCCTTAAACACAGACATTCTGTACTTTTTTGTTGTTGTTTTCTTTTTTGGAAGGGTGAAAACATCCTTAAATAGGTTTAGTACAGAGATTGGTTAGTTCTCCTCAAGAATAATAACATCTCCCTTTGAATTTCCATGACTGTTCATTGGAACAGGGCTTTGAAATTTGCTGAAGCCAGGGCTTTTATGTGGCCCCCATTCTGACCAACAGAACCAGTCTACAGATGACTAGGTGAAGTTAAGCGTGGAGTGTGGTAGAAAAGCACAGAAGAAATGGAGCTGCCATGGTGCGGATCAAACCCATGACCGAAGTCGTGTGGGCCACTGCTCTTGAGCACAGCCAGTCACTCTGAGTTTGTCACTGCTGCTGCCATTGTATTGCAGGTTTGCTGGCCCTGGTATTTTAAGATAGTTGGTCACATTCCTTAACTATGAAAATACATGTCCTGTTCAGGTAAGTTCATATGACTAGAGGGAGGTGCAGGGTTGTATTAAGTGGGGTGAATGGTAAAAGATTAATCTAGAATAATAGGAAAGAGGGTCACATTATGGAAAATGTTGGACACCCAGGACTTGGGTCTCATAGAAACAGGTCTGAGGCTGAGAACTTAAACACATTCTGACTTAGTCCCAGTAGTTTATTACACATTTGCCAAAGGAGTTGTAACTTAAAATTTTATTTCCAACCATAACCCACAAAAAGAATCGCATAGCCCCTAAAATATTCATGTTATTGCTGCTGCATGTTCATGCTAGAATTTGAGGTTTGCCTTCAGCTACACCTTAGCACAAAAGAAATCATACTAAAAATAATTGCCATAAAGGCATCAACTTGCTCATTTGCTCTCTTTCACTGTAAGACAATAAACAAATTAAATGATATCTCATTTGCCTTTATACATTTGCATATTTAAATGTTTGGAAACTTCCCTGCTAAGGAAATTGGGCCTCATCAGACAGACTAGTAGTGGGTGAATACCTAAAAATTTCAAATGTATTAATTCTTTCTGATTATTATTAGAAATTTTCATCGACTGTTAGACTATATCAATGGCATATTGTTGAATAAATGAAGCAGATTAACACAGCAGTATGCCATTGTGAAAAAAAAGTGATATACATGTTATATATTTATTTTCCAAATACACATAATGTGGTAATACACCCACACATAAAAACCAGTATGTCAGCTTTGGGAGACCGAGGTGGGAGGGTTACTTGAGGCCAGGAGTTTAAGATCAGCCTGGACAACATAGTGAGATCCTGTCTCTACAAAAAAATAAATAAATACAAAAATTGGCTGGGCATGGTGGTGCATGCCTGTAGTCCCAGCTTACTCAGGAAGCTGAGATGGGAGGATCAATTTAGCCCAGGAGTTGAATGCAGCAGTGAGCTATTATTACCACTGTACTCCAGCCTGGGCAACAGAGCAAGAGCTCGTTGCAAACAAAGCAAAAACCAGTAAGTCACCATCCCATGAGTACAACTCAAGTCATATTAACATTTAATAGCCAAACTAGAATGGCCCTGAGTCCCTCTTCTCTTTATCTGGTTTTTTAAAAAGTTCACGTCCCAAAATATTTCTGAGAGCCTCAGGAATGCTCACATGCATTAAAAAATATTAGTCGCAGGCTCAACCACCCATTAATGTGTAGCCTTCGTTTACATTTCTGGTAAATTTTATATTAGTTCACACAAAGCATGAACTATGAAAAAAAGGGGGTTCCAATTTAAATAGCCACTTCTGCCAACCAAAGCACAGAGCTTTCTCATTTTATCTAGGCAGTAGCAGTTTGGAGGTGATAACAAAGTATTCCCTCTCTTTGTGTTTCTCAATGTCCAAGATGTCCCAAAGTAAGGTAGTTTGATGTCCTAGTGTTCCAGTTCACAAAAGGTACACACATGCACACACACACACTTGCACATTCACATATACATATACACATTGCCTTTTTCCAGTCTATATACCACCCATAGAACCTAAATTGAAAGAACTTTCTTTAACTTTCTCATCCACTGTGAAGAAGCCTTCAGCCAAGCCTCACTTGCTTCTTCCTGCACTTCCACTCTTCTCACAACGACTGTAAATAAAACACATGCCTCTATAAAGGATAAGTTCTCAGCATACTTCAAATTGGATACAGAAGGTTAAAAACAACAACAAAAACGACTCCTCCCGACTTCATCCAGCCCTATGTCCAATCTCGATTCATTGACACTCACTCAACTCTGGATCAAGATATTTTAAGTCCGAATGGCCAACTTTTGTTCAGAAAAAAAAAAAATCAAGAGGACTTCTGGTTTCAAATGTAGCATCAAAACAAGCTGGTTTCACTCCATTTCCTTGTCCCCCGGAGAAACCCAAAATCAAATATACAGTGCCAAGATTATCACCAACAAAGTTCCAGAACTCAAATATGAGGATGAGACAGTTCCCAGGGCCACAAAGAAGTGAAAAAACTATGAGAAGATGTTAAGAGAATCAGGCTTCCATATGTACAGCACCTGTTATGCTGCTCCCTGCCCCCCAGCACCAAGTACACAAAAAAATTTCTCCCTGATTCATGGTTTTTTACACTGAAAAAAAAGTCAGAGTGAGGTGAACAATCAGCTTCTCCACCATCTTGGGTTCTCAGGCAGGAGATCTATCCTTGCCTCAACTCACAGGAAGCACTGACAGTACCTGAAGGGAGACTATCCCTCAGGACAGCCAGAGACAAAGGGGGAAGTGGGACTACCATTCCCAGCCCTGGAAACTTCTTTGTAACTCAACCAAAGGAGATGCCAAGTCACAGAGGTTGTTCAGCAGCATCGTGCTGTAGGAGCTCCATTCCACAGGTCCTCTGTGCAAAAGCCAGCCTTCCCACATTACTAGGATATCCCCTTTGGGACCTCCCTTATTTTAGATGGGTGGCATTCTGAATGTTTCCTAGAACCAAAGCAAACCTAGGCTTAAGGCTCAATCTAGTACTAGGTAAGCAGCAGCAACCTAGCAGGAATAAAAATTTAAAAACAAAATCAACAAGAAAATTACAAAGACTCTATAAGCAAACATATCCAATAAAAAAGAAAAAAACAAGCCAGACAGAGAAGATGGCAATAAATAATTCTTCAATGCAAAGACATAGATATACATGCACAAGAAACAATAGCAAAATGGGAATCACAACGTCCTCAGATAGGCAAAGCAAGGAATGAGTGACTGACCCTAACAAGATGGTAATATGTGAACTCTGACCAAGAATTCAGAATAGCCATCTTAAGAAAACTGAGAAAAAAATAAAACTTAACCAAATAACATATAAAGGGGCTTCAATTCATCTGCCAACAGACTTCTCAATAGAAACCATAGAGGCCAGTAAGAAGAGGGATGACATTTTTTAAATGCTGGAATAAAAAATCTGCTATGCAAGAATATTGTATCCAGCAAAGCTATCCTTCAAATATGAAAAAGTGCTAAAGTATTCCCCAAAAGAAAGCTGAGAAAATTCACCAACACTAGATCTGTCTAACAAGAAATGATAAAAGGAGTTCTTCAATCTGGAAGAAGAAAAAAACACTAATGTGCAAAAGAAAACTATTTGAAGGTATAAAACCCACTGGTAAAATTAAGTACATGGACTAACCCAGCAGACTCTAATACTGTAATTATGATGTACAATCCACTCCTAAGTCTAGTGTAAAGTCTAAAAGACAAATCTATCAAAAACAATAATGCCTACAGCAACCTGACAAGAGATAGACAAAATAAAAATATGTAAATTGATAGAAAATAAAGTCAAAATGGTTAGGGGAGAATAAAGTATAGAGGACTTTTTTCATTATTTCTTTTTTTATATTATTTTCTTCATGATCTAAGATAAGTTGGCATCTCTTTCAAATAACTTGTGATATCTATAAGATGTTTTTTGTAAGCCTCATGGAAATCACAAAGCAAGAACCTATTATCACTTTACTAAAAATAAAAAGCAACAAATTAAAACATACTACCATAGAAAATTACTTAACGATGAAGGAAAACAGTAAGGAAGAAAGAAAAAATAGGAGTTACAAAACAACCAGAAACAAACAACAAAATGGCAGTAGTAAGTCCTTGTTTATCAATAATAACATTGAACATAAATGGACTCAGTTCTCCAATTAAAAGCCAAACAATGGTTGAATGGATAAAGAAACAAGACCCACTATATGCTGCCCACAAAAAACTCACTTCATCTATAAAGAGACACATAGACTGAAAGTAAAGGGGTAGAAAAAGATGTTCCATGCAACTGAAAACTATAAAAGAGCAGGTGTAGCTATAATATCTATCAGATGAAATAAACTACAAATCAAAGACTATAAAGAGAGACAAATAAGGTCACTATAAAATGATAAAGGGGTCAATTTAGCAAGAGGATATAACAATTATAAATATCTAGGCACTCAACACCAGAGCTCCTAGGTACATAAAGCAAGCATTAATAGATCTAAAGGGAGAGATAGACTGCAATACAATAATAGTAGGGGACTTCAACACCCTACTCTCAGTAACGAACAGATCATCTGAGAGAAAATGAACAAAGAAACATCAGTTAGGCCTAACTGACATTTTTAGAACATTTCCCCCAACTTCTGCAGAATGCACAATATTATCATCAGCATATGGAATATTTGCTAGACTAGATTATATCTTAGGGCACAAATCTTAAATTCAAAAACAAAGAAATTATAACAAGTATCTTTTCTGAACACAATGGAATAAAACTAGAAATCAATAACAAGAGGAACCTTGGAAAATATACAAACACGTGGAAATTAAACAATATGCTGCTGAACAACCACTGGGTCAATGAAGCAATTAAGAAGGAAATTTAAAAATTTCTTGAAATGAATGGAAATGGACATATAATATACAAAAATCTAGATAAGATTAAGACTAAAAATACACAATATCAGTGAAACAAAAAGTTGGTTTTTTAAAGGTCAACAAACTCAATAAACCTTTACCTAGACTACCAAAGAAAAAAAGGGAGAAGACCCAAATCAATAAAATCAGAAGTGAAGGAGATATAACTGAGATCACAGAAATACAAATAATTGGAGATTATTATGAACAACTATACACCAACAAATTTGAAACCCTAGAGGAAAGAGATAAATCCTTAGACACATACAACCACCAAGATTAAATCATGAAGAAGTAGAAACCTTTAACAAACCAATAACAAGTAATAAGATCAAAGCCATAATAAAAAGTTCTCCATTAAAGAGAAGCCCAGAATCTAATGGCTTCACTGCTGAATTCTGTCAAACATGTAAAGAAGAATTAATACCGATCTACTCAAACTCCTTAAAAAGCATGGAAGAGGAGATAACACTTCCAAACTCATTCTACAAGGCCATCATCACCTTGATACCAAAACCAGACAAACTGAGCACAGTAGCACATGCCTGTGGTCTCAACTACTTAGGAGGCTAAGGTGAGAGGATCTCTTGAGCCCAGGAGTTTGAGTGTATCCTAGGCAACATAGTGAAACGTATCTCTTAAAAAAAAAATCAATGAACTGGACAAAGTCACAACAGAAAAAGAAAACTACAGGCCAATTACACTGATGAACACAGATGCAAAAATTTTCAATGAAATACTAGCAAACTGAATTCAAGAACACGTTAAAAGATCATTAGCCATGATCAAGTGAGACTTCATCACAGAGATGAAGGATGTTTCAACATATGCAAATCAATAAACATGATATATCACATTAACAGAACCAGGAAGAAAAACCACATGATCATTTCAATAGATGCTGAAAAGCATTCAATAAAATTCTATTGTGATAAAACCCACACCAAATTGAGTATAGAAGGAACATACCTCAACATAATAAAAGCCATACATGACAAACCAACAGCTAACATTGTACTGAATGGGGAAAAACTGAAAGCTTTTCCTCTAAGATATGCAACAAGACAAGGATGCCCACTGTCAGCACTTTTATTCAACATAATACTGGAAGCCTTGGAAAGAGCATTTTGTCTAAAGAAATAAAGGACATCCAAAGTTGAAAGGAAGAAGACAAATTAGCCTTGTTAGCAAATGACATAATCTTAAACTTAGAAAAACCTAAAGACTCTACTAAGAAAACTATTAGAACTGATAAATTCTGTAAGTTTGCAGGTTACAAAATCAACATACAAAAATCAATAGTACAATTGGAAAATGAAATAAAAAAAGCAATCCCATTTATAATAGCTACAAAGAACATAAAAAACCTAGAAAGCAATTTAACCAAAGAAGTGAAAGATTTATGCAAGGGAAACTACAAAAAACTTTGATGCAAGAAATTGAAGAGGATATACAAAATATGGAATGATATTTCATGCTCATGAGGTGGTAAAATTAATATTGTTAAAATGACAATTCTATCCAAAGCAATCTATAGATTCAATGCAATTGCTATTAAATACCAATGTCATTCTTCACAGCAGAAAAAACATTCCTAAAATTTGTATGGAATCACTAAAGTTACCAAATTAGCCAAAGCAATCCTGATCAAAAGAATAAACCTGAAGCATCACACTATCTGACCTCAAACTACACTACAAACCTATGGTAACCTAATCAGTGTGGTACTGGCACAAAGACAGATACATAGACCAATGTAATAAAAAAGAGAACCCAGATGTAAATCCATGCATTCACAGCCAACCCAGTTTTGACAAAGGCACCAAGAACATACAGTGGGGTAGGGACAGTCTTTCAGTAAGTGGTGCTGAGAAAACTAGATGACCATATGTAGAAGAATGAAACTAGACCCCCTACTTCTCATCATATATAAAAATCAAATAAAGGGGGAGTGACCAAGATGGCCGACTAGAAGCAGCTAGTGTGTGGCTCTCAGGGAGAGGAATGGAAAAGGTGAGTAAATACAGCACCTTCAACTGAAACATCCAGGTATTAAAAGTAATGGCAAAAACTGCAATTACTTTTGCACCAACCTAACACATGCATTGGGATTAATTAATGAAACAAATTGAACCGTGGAGAACAGAAAAGCAAGGCAGGATGACAGCCCACCTGGGAACGACATGCAGCCAAGGGAACCTCCCTCACCCAAGGAAACAGTGAGTGAATGTGCAATCCCAGGAGCCCATGCTTCTCCAACAGGTCTTTGCAACCCCCAGGTCAGGAAATACACTTGTGAACCCACTCTGCTAGGGCCCTCAGTCTGACACATAGAGGCATGTGGGGTCTTGAGAGAACAGCCTCTCAGGCACATGCAGAGACCTGGGAGCCTTAGCTACTCCAGCTTTCTGGGCTTCCCAGCAAAAGTAGCTGCAACTCCACAAAAGTGGGAGGTTAGACCCCCACACAAATCCCTAGGAAAGAGACTGAATCTAGGGCTGAGCAGCAATGGTCTCTGGGTCCCACTTCCATAGCCCCTCACAGGATAAGACCCGCTGGCTTGGAATTCCAGCCATCCACCAGTAGCAGCATTGTGCCTCCCTGGGATAGAACTCCAAGGGACCTGGGGGAGAGGTGGGCCACCATCCTTGCTGTTTGGCCAACTTAGCTGTTTCAGCCTTCAGGCTTTGGAGTGTCCAAGATGACTAGGGGCTGAAGCAGACCCCCAGCACAGCACAGCTGCTCTACAAAGATGTGGCCAGACTACTTTTTAAAGCAGGCCCCTCATCCCGTTCATCCTCACTGGGCATCTCCAGCCACATCCTACAGATGTGTTCGGGCCGGCCACAGATCCATACCTCCCTGGGACAGAGCTCCCAGGGAGAGAGGCAGGCTTCCATTTTTGCTGTTTGTAGCCTTTACTAGTGATAACTCCAGGTACTGGAAAATCTGAGTCAACTAGGGACTGGAGCGGACCGCCAGCATACCGCAGCAGTCCTATGGAAAAGTGGTCAGTCTATTACATGGGTGCCCATTCCCATATCTCCTCACTGGGAAGGTCCTCCAGGCCTGGGCCTCCACCCACCCCCCGCAGAGCTCTCAAGCCAGTAGCAACTCGTCAACTCCCTGGACAGAGCCTCCAGGGGCAACTGAAAGTCTCTCTGCCACTGTCTCTGCAATAGAACTGTCCTGGTCACCTTTGGACTAATGAAGGAGCAAAGACCCCAAATGCCCTATCCACACCTCCAATGAACTGCAGTCAACCCAGGGAGAGGAGGCCAGTCTGTCTTTCACAGGTCCCACATACCCTCCACTGCTCATCACCACACAGGGAACCTGTGGCTTAGGCCCACAGCACAGATCCTCCATCCTGGGCTGATAGCACTGAGTGATTGCTGACTCACATCTCTCTGGAGTGGAGCCCCCAGAAGACAAGCAAAGTGGTGGGGCAGCAATCCAGCTAATGTGGAGCTCAGAGGCTTTGGTGAAGGAACGTCTGTAGCAGAGCATGGCCAGGGAAGGCCATCCCTCTAGGCTCAAGTTGATCCAGAAGAGACTTTAGCCTTAGGGGAACTGTCAGACCTGATCTCTGCAGGGCAGTTGTATTAGTCCATTTTCATGCTGCTGATAAAGACATACCCAAGACGAGGTAATTTATAAAGAAAAAGAGGTTCAATGGACTAGGGAGGCCTCACAATCATGGCGGAAGGCAAAAGGTACATCTTACATGGTGGCAGGCAAGAAAGAATGAGAACCAAGCAAAAGGGAAAACCCCTTATAAAACCATCAGACCTCATGAGACTTATTCACTACCATGAGAACAGTATGAGGGAAAACGACTCCATGATTCAATTGTCTCCCACAGCATCCCTCCCACAACACATGGGAATTATGGGAACTACAATTCAAGATGAGATTTGGGTGGGGAAACAGCCAAGCCATATCAGCGGTCTTGCACATCAGATAGGGCTGGTCCAACATGAGCACTCCTTGGGTTGCTGGACTCTCCTGGGCCCCCAGCCTGGTTACACTTACAGGGCAGTCCTGAGTGCCCTGGGGCCCCACATCATGGCTTCTGTGCAGGTGGACCATGCCTGACTGATTGGAGAGCTCCAGTGAGGCAGCCACTATGGCTGTACACCAGCCCACACATTCCCTTCTCATACTGCAGCTTCCTCTGGGCCCACAGAAACTCCCCACATCACATTGTTGGCACATGTCTACAAGGGCAGGTTTTGCTTTACTTGCTCCACCAGCACACAGGGGTGCAGTATGCCCTGCCAACCCCGCTGACCACCATTGCAGACGGATCCTTGGTGGGCACAAAGCCAGCAATCCCCTCCCCTGCCAGTGCCTTGCCCTTGCCCTAATAACTATGCAGAGAACAGGGGATCCTCCCACACCTTGAGAAATCACTCCTGCTAGCAGAGCACAGAGAAGGCACCCAGACCTGTGCTGGCTTACACCCCACCCCAATCCAACACCATCTCCAGTACAACAGTGCACACAATATCTAGCAGGGGCCCCCTGCTGTCCACCAGCTACCTTGCCTCTGCCACTGTGGTCAACATCCACAGGCAGGCAGGTACCTTTACATCTGCTAGCACTCTGCTGCAGCTGCCACACCTTGGTCCCCCAAGTACAGTAAACTCCAAATTTTGAGGAGCCAGAGAACAAAGTCAGGGCCCAATACAAGATTCCAGAGACAGAGCAGGTGGTCCAAGAGTTGGGAGCTGAGCATTGGCTGCCTAGAATCTCCCAGAAATGAAGCCAGTTGGCTGAATCCATCTTATACCACAACCAAACCCTGAAAATCATCAAATAGGATAAAAGAAAAGAAAAACCCATCTAAAGGTCAGCAACCTCAAAGACTGAAGGTAGCTAAACCCACAAAGATGAGAAAGCATCAGCATAAGAATGCTGAAAACTCAAAATGCTAGAGTGCCTTTCCTCCAAATGACCACATCACCTCCCCAACAAGGGTTCAGAACCAAGCTGAGGCTGAGATGGCTGAAATGACAGAAGTAGAATTCAGAATATGGATAGGAATGAAGTTCACTGAACTACAGGAGTACATTGTAACCCAATGCAAGGAAGTTAAAAAAATCATAAAACATTGCAGGAGCTGACAGACAAAATAGCCAGTATAAAGGATGTAACTGACCTGACAGAGCTGAAAAACACCCTATAAGAATTTCATAATGCAAACACAAATATTCATAGCAGAATAGATCAAGCAGAGGAAAGAATCTCAGAGCATGAAGACTGCCTTTCTGAAATAAGGCAGGCAGACAAGAATAGACAAAAAAGAATGAAAAGTAATGAAGAAAACCTTGGAGAAATACGGGATTATGTAAAGAGACTGAATCTATGATTGCTTGGTGTACCTGAAAGAGATAGGGAGAATGGAACCAACTTGGAAAATATATTTCAAGATATCATCCATGAGAACTTCTCCAACCTAACTAGAGAGGCCAATATTCAAATTCAGGAAATGCGGATAACTCCAGGAAGGTGCTTCACAAGAAGATCTTTTTCAAGACACATAATCATCAGATTCTTCAAGGCAAAATGAAAGAACAAATGTTAAAGGCAGCTAGAGAGAAAGGGCAGGTCACCAACGAAGGGAAGCCCATCAGACTAACAGCAGACCTCTCAGCTGAAATCCTACAAGCCAGAAGAGATTAGGGGCCAATATTCAACATTCTTAAGGAAAAGAAATTCCAACCCAGAATTTCACGTCTGGCCAAACCAAGCATCCTAAGTGAAGGAGAAATACGACTCTTCTCAGAAAAGCAAATGCTGAGGGAATTTGTTACCACCAGACATGCTTTACAAGAGCTTCCTCAGTGAGGAAGCACTAAATATGGAAAGGAAAGACTGTTACCAGCCACTACAAAAACACACTGAAGTACACAGACCAGTGACACTATAAAGCAACCACATAAACAAGTCTACAAAATAACGAACTAACATCATGATGAAAAGGTCAAATCCACACATCAATACTAACCTTAAATATAAATGGGCTAGATGTCCCAATTAAAAGACATAGAGTGGCAAGCTGGATAAAGAACCAAGACCCATTGGTATGCTGTCTTTAGGAGACCCATCTCACATGCAAAGACACAGATAGGCTAAAATATAAAGGGATGAAGAAAAATCTACCAAGTAAATGGAAAACCAAAAAACGCAGGGATTGCAAACCTAGTTTCTGACAAAACAGACTTTAAACCAACAAAGATTTAAAAAAAGACAAAGGAGGACATTACATAATGGTAATGAGTTCAATTCAACAAGAAGATCTAACTATCCTAAATATATATGCACCCAACACAGGAACACCTAGATTCATAAACCAAGTTCTTAGAAACCTTGAAGAGACTTAGAGTCTCAAATAATAATAGTGGGGGACTTTAACACCCCACTGACAATATTAGACAGAAAATTAACAAAGATATTGAGGACCTGAGCTGAGCACTCGATCAAATGGCCCTGATGTCTACAAAACTCTCCACACAAAATAACAGAATATACATTCTCCTCATTGCCACATAGCACATACTCTAAAGTTTTTTTGTTTTGTTTTTCAATTTTTTTTTATTATATTTTAAGTTTTAGGGTACATGTGCACGACATGCAGGATAGTTACATATGTATACATGTGCCATGTTGGTGTGCTGCACCCATTAACTCATCATTTAACATTAGGTATATCTCCTAATGCTATCCCTCCCCTCTACCCCCACCCCACAACAGGCCCTAGTGTGTGATGTTCCCCTTCCTGTGTCCACGTGTTGTCATTGTTCAATTCCCACCTATGAGTGAGAACATGCGGTGTTTGTTTTTTTTTGTCCCTGCGATAGTTTGCTGAGAATGATGGTTTCCAGCTTCATCCATGTCCCTACAAAGGACATGAACTCATCATTTTTTATGGCTGTATAGTATTCCATGGTGTATATGTGCCACATTTTCTTAATTCAGTCTATCATTGTTGGACATTTGGGTTGGTTCCAAGTCTTTGTTATTGTGAATAGTGCTGCAATAAACATACGTGTGCATGTGTCTTTATAGCAGCATGATTTATAATCCTTTGGGTATATACCCAGTAATGGGATGGCTGGGTCAAATGGTATTTCTAGTTCTAGATCCCTGAGAAATCACCATACTGTTTTCCACAATGGTTAAACTAGTTTACAGTCCCACCAACAGTGTAAAAGTGTTCCTATTTCTCCACATCCTCTCCAGCACCTGTTGTTTCCTGACTTTTTAATGATTGCCATTCTAACTGGTGTGAGATGGTATCTCATTGTGGTTTTGATTTGCATTTCTCTGATGGCCAGTGATGATGAGCATTTTTTCATGTGTCTTTTGGCTGCATAAATGTCTTCTTTTGAGAAGTGTCTGTTCATATCCTTTGCCCACTTGTTGATGGGGTTGTTTGTTTTTTTCTTGTAAATTTGTTTGAATTCATTGTAGATTCTGGATATTAGCCCTTTGTCAGATGAGTAGATTGCAAAAATTTTCTCCCATTCTGTAGGTTCCCTGTTCACTCTGATTGTAGTTTCTTTTGCTGTGCAGAAGCTCTTTAGTATAATTAGATCCCATTTGTCAATTTTGGCTTTTGCTGCCATTGCTTTTGGTGTTTTAGACATGAAGTCCTTGCCCATGCCTATGTCCTGAATGGTATTGCCTAGGTTTTCTTCCAGGGTTTTTATAGTTTTAGGTCTAACCTTTAAGTCTTTACTCCATCTTGAATTAGTTTTTGTATAAGGTGTAAGGAAGGGATCCAGTTTCAGCTTTCTCCATATGGCTAGCCAGTTTTCCCAGCACCATTTATTAAATAGGGAATCATTTCCCCATTTCTTGTTTTTGTCAGGTTTGTCAAAGATCAGATAGTTGTAGATATGCGGCATTATTTCTGAGGGCTTTGTTCTGTTCCATTGGTCTATATCTCTGTTTTGGTACCAGTACCATGCTGTTTTGATTACTGTAGCCTTGTAGTATAGTTTGAAGTCAGGTAGCGTGATGCCTCCAGCTTTGTTCTTTTGGCTTAGGATTGACTTGGCAATGGGGGCTCATTTTTGGTTCCACATGGACTTTAAAGTAGTTTTTCCCAATTCTGTGAAGAAAGTCATTGGTAGCTTGATGGGGATGGCATTGAATCTATAAATTACCTTGGGCAGTATGGCCATTTTCATGATATTGATTCTTCCTACCCATGAGCATGGAATGTTCTTCCATTTCTTTGTATCCTATTTTATTTCATTGAGCAGTTGTTTGTAGTTCTTGAAGAGGTCCTTCACATCCCTTGTAAGTTGGATTCCTAGGTATTTTATTCTCTTTGAAGCAATTGTGAATGGGAGTTCACTCATGATTTGGCTCTCTGTTTGTCTGTTATTGGTATATAGGAATGCTTGTGATTTTTGCACATTGACATTGTATCCGGAGACTGCTGAAGTTGCTTATCAGCTTAAGGAGATTTTGGGCTGAGACAATGGGTTTTCTAGATATACAATCATGTCATCTGCAAACAGGGACAATTTGACTTCCTCTTTTCCTAACTGAATACCCTTTATTTCCTTCTCCTGCCTGATTGCCCTGGCCAGAACTTCCAACACTATGTTGAATAGGAGTGGTGAGAGAGGGCATCCCTGTCTTGTGCCAGTTTCCAGAGGGAATGCTTCCAGTTTTTGCCCATTCAGTAGATGTTGGCTGTGGGTTTGTCATAGATAGCTCTTACTGTTTTGAGATATGTCCCATCAATACATAATTTACTGAGAGTTTTTAGCATGAAGCGTTGTTCAATTTTGTCAAAGGCCTTTTCTGCATCTATTGAGATAATCGTGTGGTTTTTATCATTGGTTCTGTTTATATGCTGGATTATGTTTATTGATTTGCATATGTTGAACCAGCTTTGCATCCCAGGGATGAAGCCCACTTGATCATGGAGGATAAGCTTTTTGATGTGCTGCTGGATTCGGTTTGCCAGTATTTTATTGCGGAGTTTTGCATCAATGTTCATCAGGGATATTGGTCTTAAATTCTCTTCTTTTGTTGTGTCTCTGCCAGGCTTTGGTAACAGGATGATGCTGGCCTCATAAAATGAGTTAGGGAGGATTCCCCCTTTTTCTATTGATTTGAATAGTTTCAGAAGGAATGGTATCAGCTCCTCCTTGGACCTCTGGTAGAATTCGGCTATGAATCCATCTGGTCCTGGACTTTTTTTGGTTGGTAAGCTATTAATTATTGCCTCAATTTCAGAGCCTGTTATTGGTCTATTCAGTGATTCAACTTCTTCCTAGTTTAGTCTTGGGAGGGTGTATGTGTCCAGGAATTTATCTGTTTCTTCTAGATTTTCTAGTTTATTTGCATAGAGGTGTTTATAGTATTCTCTGATGGTAGTTTGTATTTCTGTGGGATCGGTGGTGATACCCCCTTTATCATTTTTTGTTGCGTCTATTTGATTCTTCTCTCTTTTCTTATTATTAGTCTTCCTAGCGGTCTATCAATTTTGTTGATCTTTTCAAAAAACCAGCTGCTGGATTCATTGATTTTTTGAAGGGTTTTTGTGTCTCTATTTCCTTCAGTTCTGCTCTGATCTTAGTTATTTCTTGCCTTCTGCTAGCTTTTGAATGTGTTTGCTCTTGCTTCTCTAGTTCTTTTAATTGTGATGTTAGGGTGTCAATTTTAGATCTTTCCTGCTTTCTCTTGTGGGCATTTAGTGCTATAAATTTCCCTCTACCCACTGCTTTGAATGTGTCCCAGAGATTTTGGTATGCTGTGTCTTTGTTCTCCTTGGTTTCAAAGAACATCTTTATTTCTGCCTTCATTTCGTTATGTACCCAGTAGTCATTCAGGAGCAGGTTGTTCAGTTTCCATGTAGTTGCACAGTTTTGAGTGAGTTTCTTTATTCTGAGTTCTAATTTGATTGCACTGTGGTCTGAAAGACAGTTTGTTATAATTTCTGTTCTTTTACATTTGCTGAGGAGAGCTTTACTTCCAACTATGTGGTCAATTTTGGAATAGGTGTGGTGTGGTGCTGAAAAGAATGTATATTCTGTTGATTTGGGGTGGAGAGTTCTGTAGATGTCTATTAGGTCCGCTTGGTGCAGAGCTGAGTTCAATTCCTGGATATCCTTGTTGACTTTCTGTCTCGTTGATCTGCCTAATGTTGACAGTGGGGTGTAAAAGTCTCCCATTATTATTGTGTGGGAGTCTAAGTCTCTTTGTAGGTCTCTAAGGACTTGCTGTGTGAATCTGGGTGCTCCTGTATTGGGTGCATATATATTTAGGATAGTTAGCTCTTGTTGTTGAATTGATCCCTTTACCATTATGTAATGGCCTTCTTTGTCTCTTTTGATCTTTGTTGGTTTAAAGTCTGTTTTATCAGAGACTAGGATTGCAACCCCTGCCTTTTTTTGTTTTCCATTTGCTTGGTAGATCTTCCTCCATCCCTTGATTTTGAGCCTATGTGTGTCTCTGCACATGAGATGGGTTTCCTGAGTACAGCACATTGATGGATCTTGACTCTTTATCCAATTTGCCATTCTGTGTCTTTTAATTGGAGCATTTAGCCCATTTACATTTAAGGTTAATATTGTTATGTGTGAATTTGATCCTGTCATTATGATGTTAGCTGGTTATTTTGCTTGTTAGTTGATGGGACTATGTGAAAAGACCAAATCTACTTTTGATTGGTGTACCTGAAACTAACGGGGAGAATGGAACCAAATTGGAAAACACTCTGCAGGATATTATCCAGGAGAATTTCCCCAATCTAGCAAGGCAGGCCAACATTCAAATTCAGGAAATACAGAGAATGCCACAAGGATACTCCTTGAGGAGAGCAACTCCAAGACACATATCCTGCAGAGTGTTTTCCAAGTTGGTTCCATTCTCCCCGTTAGTTTCAGGTACACCAATCAAAAGTAGATTTGGTCTTTTCACATAGTCCCATCAACTAACAAGCAAAATAACCAGCTAACATCATAATGACAGGATCAAATTCACACATAACAATATTAACCTTAAATGTAAATGGGCTAAATGCTCCATTGTTGGTTTGCAGTTTCTTCCTAGCCTCGATGGTCTTTACAATTTGGCATGTTTTTGCAGTGGCTGGTACTGGTTGTTCCTTTCCATGTTTAGTGTTTCCTTCAGGAGCTCTTTTAGGGCAGGCCTGGTGGTGAAAAAATCTCTCAGCATTTGCTTGTCTCTAAAGTATTTTATTTCTCCTTCACTTATGAAGCTTAGTTTGTCTGGATATGAAATTCTGGGTTGAAAATTCTTTTCCTTAAGAATGTTGAATATTGGCCCCCACTCTCTTCTGGCTTGTAGAGTTTCTGCTGAGAGATCAGCTGTTAGTCTGATGGGCTTCCCTTTGTAGGTAACCCGACCTTTCTCTCTGGCTGCCCTTAACATTTTTTCCTTCATTTCAACTTTGGTGAATCTGACAATTATGTGTCTTGGAGTTGCTCTCCTTAAGGAGTATCCTTGTGGCATTCTCTGTATTTCCTGAATTTGAATGTTGGCCTGCCTTGCTAGATTGGGGAAATTCTCCTGGATAATATCCTGCAGAGTGTTTTCCAAGTTGGTTCCATTCTCCCCGTTAGTTTCAGGTACACCAATCAAAAGTAGATTTGGTCTTTTCACATAGTCTCATATTTCTTGGTGGCTTTTTTCGTTTCTTTTTATTCTTTTTTCTCTAAACTTCTCACTTCATTTCATTCGATCTTGAATCACTGATACCCTTTCTTCAGTTGATCGAATCGGCTACTGAGGCTTGTGCATTCATCACGTAGTTCTCATGCCATGGTTTTCAGCTCCGTCAGGTCCTTTAAGGACTTCTCTTCACTGGTTATTCTAGTTAGGCATTCGTCTAATTTTCTTCAAGGTTTTTAACTTCTTTGCCATGAGTTCGAACTTATTCCTTTAGCTCAGAGTAGTTTGAACATCTGAAGCCTTCTTCTCTCAACTCGTCAAAGTCATTCTCCATCCAGCTTTGTTCCATTGCTGGTGAGGAGCTGTGTTCCTTTGGAGGAGGAGAGGTGCTCTGATTTTTAGAGTTTCCAGTTTTTCTGCTCTGTTTTTTCCCCATCTTTGTGGTTTTATCTACCTTTGGTTTTTGACGATGACGACGTACAGATGGGGTTTTGGTGTGGATGTCCTTTCTGTTTGTTAGTTTTCCTTCTAACAGCCAGGACCCTCAGCTGCAGGTCTGTTGGAGTTTGCTGGAGGTCCACTCCAAAACTGTTTGCCTGGGTATCAGCAGTGGAGGCTGCAGAACAGCAGATATTGGTGAACAGCAAATGTTCTGCCTGATCGTTCCTCTGGAAGTTTTGTCTCAGAGGAATACCCGGCCGTGTGAGGTACCAGTCTGCCCCTACTGGGGGGTGCCTCCCAGTTAGGCTACTCGGGGGTCAGGGACCCACTTGAGGTGGCAGTCTGTCCATTCTTAGCTCTCCGGCTGCATGCTGGGAGAACCACTACTCTCTTCAAAGCTGTCAGACAGGGACATTTAAGACTGCAGAGGTTTCTGTTGCCTTTTGTTTGGCTATGCCCTGCCCCCAGAGGTGGAGTCTACAGAGGCAGGTAGGCCTCCTTGAGCTGTGGTGGGCTCCACCCAGTTGGAGTTCCCAGCCACTTTGTTTACCTACTCAAGCCTTGGCAATGTCGGGCGCTCCTCCCCCGGCCTCGCTGCCACCTTGCTGTTTGATCTCAGACTGCTGTGCTAGCAATGAGTGAGGCTCCATGGGTGTAGGACCCTCTGAGCCAGGTGCAGGATATAATCTCCTGGTGTGCCGTTTGCTAAGACCGTTGGAAAAGTGCAGTATTAGGGTGGGAGTGACCCGATTTTCCAGGTGCCGTCTGTCACCTCTTTCTTTGACTTGGAAAGGGAATTCCCTGACCCCTTGTGTTTCCTGGGTGAGGCAATGCCTTGCCCTGCTTTGGCTCACACTTGGTGTGTTGCACCCACTGTCCTGCACCCACTTTCCGACACTCCCCAGTGAGATGAACCTGGTACCTCAGTCAGAAATGCAGAAATCACCCACCTTCTGTGTTGCTCATGCTGGGAGGTGTAGACTGGAGCTGTTCCTATTCGGCCATCTTGGCTCCACTCCCTAAATTTGATCATATAATCTAAAGTAAAACACTCCTCAGCAAATGCAAAAGAACTAAAATCATAACAAACAGTCTTTCAGACCACAGCACAATTAAATTAGAAATCAAGACTATGAAATTCATTCAAAACTATAGAATTACATGGAAATTGAATAACCTGCTCCTGAATGATTTTGGGGGTAATAAAATTAAGGCAGAAATCCAGAAGTTCTTTGAAACCAGTGAGAACAAAGATACAACACACCAGAATCTCTGGGACACAGCTTAGGCAGTGTTAAGATGGAAATTTATAGCACTAAATGTCCACATCAGAAAGTTAGAAAGATCTCAAGTTAACAACCAAACATTGCAACTAAAAGAACTAGAGAACCAAGAGCAAATGAATCCCAAAGCTATCAGAAGACAATAAATAGCCAAAACTGGAGCAGAAGTGAAGGAAATTGGGACATGAAAAAAAAAAAAAGGCTGGGTGCGGTGGTTCACGCCTGTAATCCCAGCACTTTGGGAGGCTGAGGTGGACGGATCACGAGGTCAGGAGATCGGGACCATCCTGGCTAACATGGTGAAACCGCGTCTCTACTAAAAATACAAAAAATTAGCTGGGCAAGGTGGTGGGCACCTGTAGTCTCAGCTACTCAGGAGGCTGAGGCAGGAGAATGGCACGAATCCCGGGGGGCGGAGCCTACAGTGAGCCAAAAATCACACCACTGCACTCCAGCCTGGGCAACAGTGAGACTCCGTCTCAAAAAAAAAAAAAAAAGAAAAAAAGAAAGAAAAAAAAATTCAAAAGACCAACAAATCCAGGAGCCGTTTTTTGGAAAAATTAATAAAATAGACTACTAGTTAGACTAACAAAGAAGAAAAGAGAGAATATTAAAATAAACACAATCGGAAATAACAAGGGGCATATTACCACTGACCCTAGAGAAATATAAACAACCATCAGAGAATATTATGAACACCTCTATGCGAACAAAATAGAAAGTCTAGGAGAAATGGATAAATTCCTGGACACATACACCCTCCCAAGACTGAACCAGGAAGAAACTGAATCCCTGAACAAACCAATAATGAGCTCTGAAATTGAGGCACTAATAAATAGCCTAGCAACAAAAAAATCCCAGGACCAGATGGATTCACAGCTGAATTCTACCAGAGGTACAAAGAAGAGCTGGTACCATTCCTACTTAAACTATTCCGAAAATTGAGGAGAGACTCCTCCCTAAATCATTCTATGAGGCCAGCATCATCCTGATAATGAAACCTGGCAGAAATACAACAAAAAAAGAAAACTTCAGGCCAATATCCTTGATGAACATAAATGCAAAAATCCACATCAAAATACTGGCAAACTAAATCCAGCAGCACATCAAAAAGCTTATCCACCATGATCAAGTAGGCTTTATCCCTGGGATGCAAGGTTGGTTCAACATAGGTAAATCAATAAATTCTATTCATCACATTAATGGAATTGAAGACAAAAACCACATGATTATCTCAATAGATGCAGAAAAGGCTTTTGATAAAATTCAACATTGCTTCATGTTAAAAACTCCTAATAAACTAGGTATTGAAGAAACATACCTCAAAATAATAAGAGCCATATATGACAAACCCACAGCCAACATTATACTGAATGGACAAAAGCTGGAAGCATTCCCTTGAAAACCGGCCCAAGACAATTATACCCTCTCTCACCACTCCTGCTCAATATAGTACTTGAAGTCGTGGCCAGGGAAATCAGGCAAGAGAACAAAATAAAGGGCATTCAAATAGAGAGAGAGGAAGTCGAACTATCCCTGTTTGTAGCCAACATGATCCTATAGGTAGAAAGTCCCATGGTCTCAGCCAAAAAGTTTCTTAAGCTGATAAACAACTTCATCAAAGTCTTAGGATGCAAAGTCAATGTGCAAAGATCACTAGTATTCCTAAATACCAGCAACAGTCAAGCCAAGAGCCAAATCAGGAACAAACTCCCATTCATAGTTGACACAAAAAGAATAAAATACCTAGGAATACAGCTAACTAAGGAAGTGAAAGATAGATCTCTACAGTAAGAACTACAAACCACTGCTCAAAAAAATCAGAGATTACACAAACAAATGGAAAAACATTCCACGCTCATGGATAGGAACAATCATTATTGTGAACATGGCCATATTGCCCAAAGTAATTTATAGATTCAATGCTATTCATATTTAACTATCATTGAGATTGTTCACAGAACTAGAAAAAACTATTTTAAAATTCATATGGAACCAAAAAAGAGCCTGAACAGCCACGGCAATCCAGAGCAAAAAGAACAAAGCTGGAGGCATCACACTACCCAACTTCAAACTATACTACAGGGCTACAGTAACCAAAACAGTATGGTACTGGTACAAAAACAGACATGTAGACCAATGAAACAGAATAGAGAACCCAGAAATAAGACCACACATTTACAACTATCTGATCTTTGACAAAGCTGACAAAAACAAACAATGGGGAAAACATTCCCTATTCGATAAATGGTGCTGGGATAACTGGCTAGCCATATGCAGAAGATCAAAACTGGACCCCTTCCTTACACCATATACAAAAATTAAGATGAATTAAAGACTTAAATGTAAAACCCAAAACTAGGCATGCCTCTGGACACTTGGTGGCCACCCCCTGGACCCTCCCTCAAGCGCTGGTGTTTGGGCCTGCCATTGGGTAACCTGTAGGTGGATCTGTTCAGTCTGGTCCCACCCATCTTGGTCCCCCTCTATGAGGTTGAGCAGAGAGCTCAAACCACTGTGTACTTCACAGATTAGCCCACTGCCTGTAGCAACTGAGACCTTCTCTCAGTAAACAAGGATCAAATATATACCCCTGTGTTGGCCACAGCCAGCTCTTACTAGCTATCTACAAGCCTCTAGGTTGAACCACACAGTCCAATATGAAACCAGCTCACAGAAATACACAGGGCTAGAGAAGCAAAGCCAAAAGACTCTACCCAACATTCTCTATAGTCACATTCCCTTGGATGGGGGAAGAAAACAACAAAGGAGAAAAACAATAATAATATTGGAAAGGAAAGGAAAGGAAACAAAAGGAAAGGAAAGGAGAAAGGAGAAAGGGGAGACAGAGGAGAAAGGAGAAAGGAAAGGGGAAAGGAAAGGAAAGGGGAAAGGAAAGGAAAGGGAAAAGGAAAAGGGAAGGGAAAGGAAAAGGGAAAGGATTCTATCCACATGAAAATAATTACAAAACTTAAAAGTGCCAACATCTCCAGATGAGAAGGAACCAGCATAAAAATTCTGGCACCATGAAAAAATCTGAATACTGTGACACTATTTGTTAATTTGAGATCTTTCTAGCTCTCCAGCAATGGTCACTAACCAAAATGGAAATTCAGAAATGACAAATAAAGAATTCACAGCATGGGTATCAAGGAAGCTCGATAAATTTCAAGACAAGGTTGAAAATCTACACAAAGAAACTTCTAAACAATCCAGGAAATGAAGGAAGAGATAAACATCTTTAAAAAATCAATCAGAGCTTCTGAACTTAAAAAATTCACATAAGGAATTTCTCAATACAATTGAAAACTTTATCAATAGAGTAGACCAAGTAGAAGAAAAAATTTCAGAGCTTGAAGATCAATCTGTCAAACTAATCCATTCAGAAAAAAAAAATAAGAATTTTAAAAAATAAACAAGTCTTTGAGAAAGGTAGGATTATATAAAGTGAAAAAATCTACAAATTATTGGCATTCCTGAGAAGGAGAAAAGGTAAACAACCTGGAAAACCTATTTGAGGGAATAATCCAAGAAAATTTCCCTAATCTTGCTAGACGGGTAGACATCCAGGTACAAGAAATACATATAATATCAGCAAGATACTATACAAAACAATCATCACCAAGGCATAAAGTGACAAGACTGCCCCAAGTCAACACTAAGGAAAAAATCCTAAGGGCAGCTAGAGAAAAAGGTTAGATGACCTACAAAGGGAGCCTCATCAGGATAACAACAGACTTCTTAGCAGAAGAAAGCTTACACAAGTCAGAAGAGATTGGGGGCCTACTCAGCATTCTTAAAGAACACAAATTCCAACCAAGAATTTTATATCCCATCAAACTAAGCTCCATAAACAAAGGAAAAATAAAATCTTTTCCAGACTAGCAGCTACTAAGGTAAATTTTTACCACTAGACCACCCTAACAAGAGATCCTCAAGGTTTTAAACATGGAAACTAAAGAACTGTATCTGCTACCACAAAAACACACTTAAGTACATAGTCCACAAACCCTATAAAGCAACTACACAATAGATACTGCAAAGCAACCAGCTAACAACTTCACAATAGGATGAAAACCTCACATAGCAATGCTAACTTTGAATGTAAATGGTCTAACTGCCCCATCAGAAAGGCACACAGTGGCAAGTTAAATTAAAAAAGAAAGCAAGATCCATCCATCTTCTATCTTCAAAAGGCCCATCTTACACTTAATGATATCCATGGGCACAGAGGAAAGGATTGGAGAAAGATCTATTACAACAAACAGGAAAAAAAAAGAACATGGTTTGCTATTCTTGTATCAGATAGACTTGAAATCAACAACAGTAAAAAAGGACAAAGAAAGGCATTACACAGTGATAAAAGGTTTAATTCAACAAAAAGATTTAATTATCCTAAATATATATGCACTTAATATTGGAGTACTCAGATTCATAAAACAAGTACTTCTAGACCTATGAAAAAACTTAGATATCCACACATTAATAGTGAGGGACTTCAACATCCCACTCAAAGTGTTAGATCATCAAGACATAAAATTAACAAAGAAATTCTGGACTTAAATCAATTTGGCCAATTGTACCTAATAGACATCTACAGACTACTTCACCCATCAACCATAGAATATACATTCTTATCTGTATGTGGAACATAATTTAAGATCAACCACATGCTTGGTCATAAACCAAGTCTCAACACATTTTTAAAAATTGAAATCATACCAACTTACCTTGGACCACAGTGGAATAAAAATAGAAATAAATACCAAGAAGATCCCTCAAAAACCACACAATTAAATGGAAATTAAACAACTTGCTCCTGAATGACTTTTGGGTAAACAACAACATTAAGGCAAAAATAGAAATCCTTTTAAGTAACTGAAAACAGAGACACAACATATCAGAATCTCTGGCATGTAGCAAAAGCAGTGTTAAGAGGAAAGCTTTTCACACTAAACACCTACATAAAGAAGTTAGATCTCACATTAACAATCTAACATCACATCTAGAGGAACTAGAAAAACTGGAGCAAACTAAGCCCAAAGCTAGCAGAAAATTTTTTTAAAAAGCTATAATCAGAGCAGAACTGAAGGAAATTGATATCCAAAAATTCATCCAAAGAATTAACAAAACTAAGAGTTTGTCTTTTGAAAGGATAAACGAGATCAATAGAATGCTAGCTAGATTAACAAAGAAAAAAGAGAGAAGATCCAAATAAGCACAATCAGAAACAACAAAGGTGACATTACAACCAATCCCACAGAAATGCAAAAGATCCCAGAGACTATTATTAACACTTCTATGCACATAAACTAGAAAATCTAGAGGAAACGGAAACACACAACCTGCCAAGATTGAATCAGGAAGAAACTGAAACTGCAAACAGATCGATATAGGGTTCCAAAATTGAATCCATCATAAAAAAAAATTGCCAACCAAAAAAAGCCCTGGGCCAGAGGGATTCATATCCAATTCTACCAGATGTACAGAGAACTGGTATCAATTCTACTGAAACTATTCCAATAAATCAAGGAGAAGGGACTCCTCCCTAACTTATTCTACAAAGCTAGCATCACCCTGATACCAAAACCTAGCAAAGACACAATGAAAAAAGAAAACTACAGGCTAGTATCCCTGATGGACATAGATGCAACCTATGTTGAGGAACCTAGTAGTCCTCAACAAAATATTAGCAAATCAATCAAACAGCACATTAAAAAGGTAATTCACCATAATCAAGTAGGCTTAATTCATGGTATGCAAGTTTGGTTCAACATACTCAAATCAATACATTTGATTCACCACATAAAGAGAATTAAAAACAAAGCCCATATGATTTCTCAATAGATGCAGAGAAAGATTTTGATAAAATTCCACATCCCTTAGTGGCTATGAACTTTCAACAAACTAGGCATTGAAGAACATGCCTCAAAATAGTAAGAGCCATCTATGGCAAACTCATATCCAACATCATACTGAATGAGCAAAAGCTGGAACCACTATCCTTGAGAACAAGAACAAGAAAAGGATGCCCAATCCCACTCCACTGCTTCTATTCAACACAGTACTGGAAGTCCTAGTCAGAGTAATCAAGCAAGAGAAAGCAATAAAAGGCATGAAAATAGGAAAAGAAGAATTCAAATTATCTCTCTTCACTGATGGTATGATTCTATACCTAGAAAACCCTAAAGACTGCCAAAAGGCTCCTAAACCTGACAAATAACTTCAGTAAAGTTGCAGGACACAAAAGCAATGTACAAAAACCAGTAGCATTTCTATACAGCAGTAACATTTAAACTGAGAGCCAAGTCAAGGACACAATCCCATTTACAATAGCCATGCACACAAAAAATACCTAGGAATATATCTAACCAAGGAAGTGCAAGATCTCTACAAGGAGAACTACAAAACACTGCTGAAAGAAGTCAGAGATGACACAAACAAATGGAAAAACATTCTATGATCATGAATTAGAACAATCAGTATCATTAAAATGGCCACACTGTCCAAAGTATTCTATAGATTCAACACTATTCCTTTCAAACTACCAACATAATTTTTCACAGAATTATGAGAAACTATTCTAAAATTCATATGGCACCAAAAAAGAGCCCCAAAGCCAAAGCAATCCTAAGCAAAAAAACAAAAAACAAAGCCAGAGGCATCATGTTAGTTGACTTCAAACTACACTACAAGTCTACAGTAACCAAAACAGCATGATGCTGGTACAAAAACAGACACACAGACCAATGGAACACAATTGAGAAACTAGTAATAAAGCTGCACTCCTATAACTATCTAAGCCATCTAAAGTTGGCAAAAATAAGCAATCTTAATAACCATCTAAACTCAGCAAAAATAAGCAATGGGGAAAGAATTCCCTATTTAATAAATGGTGCTGGAATAACTGGCTAGCCATATGCAGAAGAATGAAACTGGACCCCTACCTTTTTACCATAAACAAAAATTAACTCAAGATGGATTAAAGATTTAAATTTATAACCTCAAACTATAAAAATCCTAGAAGAAAACCAAGGAAATAACATTCTGGACGTCAGCCTTGGCAAAGACTTTATGACTAAGTCCTCAAAACCAATTGCAACAAAACCAAAAATTGACAAGTGGGACCTAATTAAACTAAAGAGCTTTTGCACAGCAAAGGAAACTATCAACAGGGTAAACTGACAGTCCACAGAATGGGAGAAAATATTTGCCAACCATCCATCCAACAAAGGTCTATCTGGAATCTGTAAGGAATTTAAATGACTTAAAAAGCCAAAACCAAATAATCCCATTAAAAAGTGCAAGAAGGACACGAACAGACACTTGTCAAAAGAAGACATACATGCAGCCAACACACATATGAAAAAATGCTCAACATCATTAGTCATCAGAGAAATACAAATCAAAACCACAATGAGATACCATTTCACATCACTCAGAATTACTATTTGGAGAAAAACAAATCTGGATCCCCACCTTACACCATACACAAAAGCGAACTTCAGATCAGTGAGTCCTAAGTATATAAAAGAGTAAAATGATACAGCCAGTAGAAGAAAATGAAAAAGAGAGTCTTTGTTCACTCAGGAGTTAGAGGGAACATAAGCAAGAGCTAAAATGTTTACATCATAGAGACAAAAAAATCATATGGATCTGACTTTATCAAAGTTGAGTATTTCTGTTTGATGAAGAACACTACAGATAATATTACCAGGTGACACCCTGGGAAAAGATATGTGCAATGATTAAAGAAGCCAAGAGGTTAATATCTAAATACATGAAGAATACCTGCAAATAAATATGGAATAGAAAGGAAACCCAGCAGAAAAATAGGGACAAATGACAAATGAGAAATTCACATAAAAGGAAATTGGAACAGTTACCAAATCATTGAAGAGATGTTCAACCACATTAGTGGTCAGAAGAATATATAGTAAAAATGAGATGCCACTTGACAAACATAAGTTTGTCAAAAACTACAAAGTTAGAAAATGTAATATGTTGGTGGGGATGAAAGGATATGGTACTCTCGTGTATTTTTAGTGGGAATGTAAACTGGACTAGCTATTCTCCAGAGAGCAATCTGCCAGCAACTGTGGAAACCAATTCTTCATACAGCTTATACCTGCAACCCCAGTCTTGATTCCTGCACAGATCCATAAAGGAATGTATAAGAAGATGTTGATTGTTAAGGTGTTTGTTCTAGAAAGCAGTGAACCTCTTGCTCAACTTTAAGGGAATAAATCAGAGAATGTGAACAGATTCTGTGGGATATTAGACACAAATAGAAAGCAATAAATTAAATAGACATACAGCCATAGGATAGGCCATAAAACACTGTTGAATGAAAAAAAAATTTACGTTACAATATAATTAGTATGTGTTTAAAGCACAAACACATACCAAAGAGCACAGCATAAATTACAAGGATATATAAATATCTGAGGACATCTGCCAAGTCCATCAGAGTAGACGCCTCTATGGGAAGCAAAGAATGGGTGTGGGGATCATGATTGAAGGAAAAACATGAAATGAAAATAAAATATAATGAAATAAATGAAAGCCTATGCACAGACCCCATGGCAACAGGGAGCCATGAGGGAGAAGTGTGTGTGTATGAATTCAGCTTCTGGCACCTGAGGGAAAGGAGACCCATAGAAAGGGAGAAAGTGGAGTGCAGAGCACCATGTTGGCCCAAGACAAACCTCCATGCTTCATAGCACAAGAGTGTTAGGAATTCCACAGACTCATCACCCACAAAATGAAACCCAAGATCCTTGGCATACATTCAGAGTTTTCACCATCTGGCCCCTGCTGTTAACAGTACAGGAAAAATCCAACTTGTGTCATTCACCCTGCCACCTCCCCTCCTTTTTGTTTAATTCTATCTCCACCACTCTATAAACACAGTAGCAGCAGGCACAGTGTTAGAAGTGATGCCTTCTTACACCTCTGACCTCTTGATTTTCCCTTAGTGGGCTCCTCCTGCCACAGCTGTCATCACCTTTGGGCCCTCTTGCTCTGCCATCTTCCCTCAGTCATGCACTTTTATCCTCATCAAACTAAAATGGAATGTTCTGATGTGCATGTCCAGAGCTGGCTCATTCCTTTGATTAAGCAGGTATGACTTGAGGAAATCTGGTCTGTCGGAGCAGCTTCCTGCATTCAATGATCTCCCCAACTATCCTGCTTCCACAATTTATCTTCTGTCCATTAGAGTAGGACAAGTCCCAGGTTACCCAAACCCTCTTTGTAGAATTTAAAGACAGTGCCTTGCAGACACCAACACATTTATATTCAGTATCAGATTATAACAATAGCAATTCCATTACACTGGCCAGGGATGCAATACATTCTAATGAAGATTAAGGAAATGGCAGAAAGGAAGGAGAGGTTTAGAGGAGGCGCCCCTGGGCCAAGTATAGGCAGCAAGAGAGGGCACAGAGCATGAGAGAAAATGCTGAATGGACAAAGGAAAGAGAATAGGCACAGGGTGGACCATGGACCCATTATCTGTTTCTCACGTTCATTTCCAGTTTTCCACAATTCTTCAGTTCTTATTATGGGGTCTTACCTGGGAAGCCTTTGAGGGTGTGTTTTTTTCTCTCTGTTCTACTTCCTCAAGACATCTTTTTACCTCTACACACGAGTTTTCATCACGAAGTTCACTCTTTTCCCCACCTCCACTATCTCCAATAAACTCTCAATGTAAAGTTAAACTGATTGGGCTGTGGGTCAGTTGCATTACATTTAAATAAGCACAGAGAACATCAAAAACTTCAGGAAACACAGTGCAGATATCTGCAGCTACCCTTTGATAAACCCAGCAGCTGCGGCCATTCGAACTCTCTCATGGGAATTAGGAAACTAAAATGTACTTTTAAAAAATCTATAAAACAATCTTCAGGCAATAACATTGAGTCTGCCTCTCCACAGAGAATAGCAATCAGTGGAGTAAGACAGCATCAGTGAGTTTGATACTTAATCTAATTATTTTCTGCTGTGGATTTGTTATGGGCAATGTAACAATTGGTACTAACTTTTAAACAGTTCAGAACTTCTTTGGTTTTTTTTTTTTTGACCTAATTTGACAATGCATTTCTCATTAAGTATTATTGAGAATGAAGCCAAAAGGAAGGGGTGGCGGGTTTCCTGTCTGTTTGTTGGAAATGAGACAAATGGAGTACACTATTAAAAGGATTGAATTGCTTATACAAATCTGAAACCCACTCCCTTCTTGACATGAACTACAGGGTCTACACATCAGTCTAGCCAATTAAAGGAATACGTTCCATTAGTATGTTTGTGCTTTGCCATGAAGAATTATAATTTTAAAAATATAAAGGCAATATATGTGATTCATATCACAAATTATACTTATATCCAGTACCAGCCAACCTATTATTGATTTCTTCTGCTGGAGGTCACCGATAAGGAGTGAAGAAACACAAAGATAGTGAAACTTATCTAGGCACTGTCCAATTCAGTCGAAGTTCAATTCAACTCATGAAAGACCCTTTATACGTGCACAGAATTTACGAAACAGAGTTGTGACTATCCAGTAATGTCACTAAATTAAAGACATTTTAAACTTCTGATAATAATGGCCATAGGTATCAAAGTCCTTTTTTTTTTTTGAGTATCCACTATTTATCAGGTTTTATTCTAGGCAGTTGTATTTAAATTACATATTTTAATGCTAACTTTTAAAATAAGATACACGAGACTAAGAAAGAGTAAAGAACTAGTCCCCCAATTTCATAGCAATTGAGGAACAAAGTAGAGACGGGAAAGTGGTTCTGTAAAACCCTGAGATTAAGTTCTTCCCTGTGCTCCACTCTATCTCTTTCAGAAGTGCCTTAGAGAGCCACCAGCATACGTTTCTGACATCTTTGTGTAGGGAAACTTTGGCTTTTGAAAGTAATACTGGTTAGGGTACAGCCCAGAGTAATTTGGAGCCACCTCTGTTGAGTAAGGTACATGATCAATCCTGATTTGCATAAAAGATAAGGTATAACTGTTTAGAATGAGGATGCTTTTCTGGTGTATCTTATATAGCTGCCTCATTTTGCTTTTCTTTTCACTTGTAATAGGGGTCCTACTTAGAAAAAATATTAATGAGCTTTTCTCATTTGCTTTCCTGAATACAAGACTTTCCCCCTAGTCCACTAGAAGCATTTGTGTGAGTTTAGTGGTGGCAGATGCCAAAAGGCAGGTAGAGAAAGTGAGAGAGTTAATATGCAGCTTTTGATATTCAAAATAGATTTCTGCAGAATAGTGTTAGTCCTAAAATCAGACTATTTTCTCAAAACAGGATTTTCAAAATTCCTTCATTTCCCTTTGAACATATTAAAAACTAAGAGTGCACATATGAAGAACACAAATAGTTCTCTCATATCACAGAGAAGGCACTCAATATATAGATTCCTTCCACATCTAGACCAAGAAGTTTATCATTTTATGGTAAGAGTAAGAATATGTTGGAAGAATAATAAAGGTCAGGAGAGGAAATCTGACCCTTCTGACACTAGGAGATAGAAAAAGGGAACAAGAAACAGTGGCCTCCAGAGTTTTTGTTTTTACTCTCTTCTTGGGGCAAAGCATTAGGACAGAATGGTTATGAAAACATCCGGGTAAACTGAGGGGCATACGCACGAAGCAGGGAGAAGTACATCGGAAAGACTGGAGCTTGCTTTTGTTCCTGTGTGAGCTGGTTCTGAGTTTGGGGTCTTGAAGGCTTAAACCTGGCTTGGAGTGGACTTCTCTGGCCAGGGAGCCAGATGGACCTAGTTGGAGCCCTGCCTGGTAAGGATTGAGGGGCCAGGGTCTACAGGACTCAGAGCCAAGGGAAGTTGAGAAAGCCAAGAAGCATGTAGACCGGGAGTCGGCAAACTATGGCCCATGGGTCAGAACCAACCCGATGGCCTATTTTTATAAAGAAACACTCATTTGTTTACATATTATCTTTGGCTGCATTTCAGCTGCAGAGTTGGGTAGTTGTAACAAAGACCATATGATCCACAAAGCCTAAAACATTTACTGTCTGTGGCCCTTTATGGAAAAAGTTTGCCAATCTTTGCCCTAGACCTTATGAAAGTCTACAGAACACACTGCAAGGAGGCAGACAGGGAATAATGCCTTGGAAATCAGAGGAGCCTGAGGATACAGGCAAGTCAAAGGAGAGAAACTCCTTTCCTTAGGAGGTCACAAAACATAAGTCAGTGCCCACCCTCCAGAGCCGAGACACCATGCTGGAGAGAAGCTGGAGAAGGGACTAAAAACTGAGCTAAGAAGTTCAAGAGACTGGACATTTTTACCTTGTATTATCTAAAGGGATAGTTACATTATTTCATTGCATTGGCTTGAATATAGTCTCCAATGGAGCGGTTGATATTTACGAGGAAGTCCAGATCAGTCAGAAGTAAAGAAATTGTATTTGCTCCAAACATCACACAATGTAAGTTTTATAACCCACCTACCAATTTATAGATTATGAGGCCTGATAGAAACCTTAGAGATACTTTACATTCTTCTATCGTTGTACAGATAAGAAAACAGTGTTCCTGAAAGACCATGTTCCTGTAGATAGGTAGAAAATGAACTGACACCAGAATCCAATCCCCTGACCCAATGGCTCCAAATACCCGGTATTCAGGGGGGATGTTTAGTGTTGTATCCTCAAGGCACTGGTAGGAAAGAGCATGCTCAAACGTCAAAGAAATGGAGAAAGTTTGATAAAGAAACTGCTTATAAAGGTATGGCGAAGGTTTTGGTATACCAGCAGGGAGAGGGCAGTACACCAGGACTAGTGACGTGGGGAGACCTTACCATCCAGGGACTGGGACAAGGGGAGGGGGCCGCTCAGAGAGAGACCAACAAGATGGAGAAAGGCAGCTAATTCAAAGTTCTCCCATAGGGCAAAACTCAGGGAAATACATGTCCTGACTTATTCACTCTCTTTCTACACTTTAGTCTTCCTGTTAGTTTATTTCATTTTTTCATCCATAATACATGGAAGCCCTATAGAGTGGTCTACAAAATTGAGCATCCCAAGACACAGAAGAGTGGAAATAGTATCTAGAGGGGAAAACAGAAAAAAACTGAGCATCATCATATAAAATGATACCTGGAAGCATGCCTATCACGGAGTAGGCACTCAAATCTTTTTAAAAAGAATAAATGAATGGATGAATTTTACTGTCGATCAAGTCATTCTTATGAACTTTTATGGGATCCTTGCCAAGTACAACACTCATCCAACAGACCATCAACCCCAGAAGAAAAGTTCTAGTGAGAGATATCTCTTCCCCACAAATAGAATATGAAGGTCCCTGGCTGTAAGTGTTATCAAAGATAGGCTTTGGATGTGTGATTGTATTCGATTTCTATCGCTGCGTAACAAATCACCACAAACTTAGCAGCGTACAACAACACAAATTTATTATCTCACAGTTTCTATGGGTTAGGAATCCTGGCACAGGTTAACTGGGTCCTCTGCTCAATCTCACTGGACTGAAATCTGGGTATTGGCTGGGTCTAGGGTCTCACCTAGAGCTTGAGGTCTTTTTCCAGGTTCATTCGGGTTGCTGGCAGAGTTCATTTCCTTGCAGCTGTAGGACTGAGGTCCCTGATTCCTGCTGGTGGAGGAACAGCTGGGGTTGCCCTCAGCTCCTAGAGGCTGCCCTCAGGTCTCAGCTATGTGGCTCCCTCACAAGCCCTCTCACACTTCCACTCTCTAGGGCCCACCCACAAAATCTCCCTTTTGATTAATGAAAAGTCCATTGCTTAGTCTCCTGGATGTGTGATATCCCATCATATTCACCGGTTCTGCCTGCACACAAGGGGAAGGATTATACAGGGCATGTGCACCAAAGGGTGGAATCTTCAGGGCCATTTTGGAATTCTGCCTACACAAGTGATGCAAGTTCTCATGCTCTTCTAAATTCCCAGATTTTATTTAAAATAAACAGTTTATTTACATCCTGACTCAGAACCCTTAAACCCTAGGGTTTTAAATTTTTTTTTTTAATCAGGAATATTTCCAGACCACTTTGTCATTTCACAGATGCGTGGAGAGGAGGCTGAGCCATCATTGGCTGTGCTTACATTTTAGAGCCATTTTTCTGATGAGGGAGTGTGGTGGATCTGCTGTCATTCATAAGATAGAAAAGAAGAGAAAATGATTGCTTTGAATTGTGGAAATATGATTATTTAAAACACCAACTTCCTTATATATTCTGATCACTTTTTTATAATTGAACCACATTTGCTTGGCTTTGAAACTTCACAAGCATGGTAGCCAAAAGTGTGTAATAATTTGTAGACAAAACCATGAAGAGTGAAACCAACTACTTGTATTTTTGGTATAAAGCAATCAAACCAAGACAGCATTAATAACCAAATAATGTTTAAACTTAATACTCCCCAACAAAGTATATTTTATGCTTTCTTAAAGGATGTCTGTGAGATAGAAGCAGTCATACAAATGGCCAAATAAAACTATTTTTAAAGATTTTGTTATTTAAAAATGAAGTAAATTTCCTATCTTAAAAATCAACATAGATCTCTTACAAGGTGAGGTCATATTGATTGCAGACTTTTTAGGACCCTAAGGAGGAATTATTTTCCATAGACACTGTGCATATTTTCTTTGGATTTCATGAGAAAAGATTAAGTATTACAACATGCACTTAAAGTTTTCTTTCAGAATCTTTGCTGTTCTACCGAGGCCCAGGGAAGAAAGCAGTAGGGGCAGCAGGGTGGCTTCGGCTGTGTCCCCATTAAAGCTGCTGTTTTGGCCTGGACCAATTTCGTTACTGCAATGATCATATTTTGCAAAAAAATCCATTAATGGATTCAGTTTGAACAGTGTATGATAAAGTGAGGGGCAGAAATTGCACTGATTATTTTATGAAGTCCTCACTCTCCAGCCTTCTCTAATCTCTCACTACGCCCATGCCCTAAAGCATCAAGCACAGGAACTTAGGGGAGAGAAGAAAGAAGAAGAGGGCAGGGAAAAGAGAATTACTGTGGGAAGAACTGTGGAAATCGCACAGAAATGGTTTTTAACTCTTCAGAAATTGAATGAACATAAAGTTTTCATGTTCAGAGCTAGAGAGTATTCACCTGATTCTACCTATTCTCACATCCTAAATACAATCATTTTTACCTAAGTCAAAAGGAGTTATCACCATTACATAAAGCTACTATTGACCACTGAAAATAGCTAATATATTTAAGGAGGTATCTGCCACAAAAGTAGATAACTTTTAGGAAAGAAATTCAGGGAACTTTCTTCTTACAATATAGACAATTTGCATTCAAAGTTTGAATTGTTCATTAAAAATGATTCAAGTGACCATCTAACACTGAAGATAGAAATTTCGTTATAGGACTTGGGGATTTTAATCTTACCTAGAGTGTTTCCACGGAAGTAGGACAGGGAGGGCAGTTTCTTACCTTTTCTGACATCCGTTTGCTGTAACTCACACCATCAAGACCAGCCTAGTTTTCAGTTGGGATTCCATTTGTTTACAATGTATAGAAACCCTTGTAGGTGGGTCAGCCAATGGGCTAATCTTTCTAGGGCTAACCAGTCCAGGACTAAAGCAACTACTCAAGGAAGCCATTAAGAACCCGCATTCCCACTTATGTCCTTGGGATGTTACTTTCATCCTCACAGTCATGAGAAAGCCACCATTTCCACCAGGCACCAGAAGTGGGAACCATGCCCCCAAAAAAGTGTTAGCATAGCCACTCCACAAGAAAGAAAAAGAAAGGAGAAGGGCAGCGGTCAGTGCCGGCTTTATATGGCAAACAGTAGTTTTCCTGGAGGCCTCCCCCAAGTTCACTTTCTATTGCATCTCATTAGGCAGGACTGGATCATGTGGTTACCCCTAGCTACAAGAAAGTGACTTTTAAAAAATTGGCACACAGCTGCCACCATCAAAATGGGGTTCTGTTAATATAAGACAGGGGTCAGCAAACTTGTTCTATAAAAGACCAGATAGTAAATATATTAGGCCTGGCAGAACATACAGCATCTGTTACAACTACTCAATTCTGATCTTGTAGCATAAAAGCAGCCATAGGCAATACATGTGAGGCTGCGTTCCAATTAAACTTTATTTATCAAAGCAGCCAGAAGGCTAGATTTAGCTTGTGGATTGGAGTTTGCCAACTCTTGATATGAGAGAGAAGAAGGATATTAGGTAGGCAACTAGCAGGATCTCCCATCCCACCTCCCTGTTTTTAATCATCATTCTCTACCCTCCTTTCCTACTCTGCAGTGTAGTTCTTGAACACACAAAGAAAATACAAATCAGCAAACATGGCATTCCACGTTTGGAAGGAATACAGCTTCTGGGCTGTCACAACGCTTGGTTTCTAATCCTTTCCCAACATCGGTGTCTGTGATTCTGTGCAAAGTGAAGCATAGCTACTCTGGTATCTCAGTCATGTCATTTACTCAAGTACAGGAAGACCCCACAGCGCCAGAGTCTAGAAGTTACAAGGAAAAGTGAAGAAGTGGCTGTCACAAGATGATGAATTGTTGCCCTCTGAAGTTTTGAATTGGATCTTACAAGACAAAACCGGACAAACCAAGGAAACTTGGTAATTTTCTGTGCTGCAGAGCAGCCACCTGGCAAATATCACATTGCAACCACCAACCCTTGGCAGAGGTTGGAACAGCAGCTATAATTATAAAGAGCAGGGAGGAGACTCTAAAAATCTCTTCTGAGTGGCAAAAATTCTGAAAATCAAGATAATTACAACATTAGCTCATCCTGATTTGCTTGGCTATTTATAGATGAGAAGAAGCTGATGCACTGAGAGCTGTTTCTTTTTTTTTTTTCTTTTCTATTTGCATTAAATCCTGTGTGGCTCCTCTCTGAAATGTGTGCATATGCTGAGTCCATGTGAGATGCCACCACTGGCACTTGTCATAAGAATTAAATCCCTCTCAAGCTTGTTTACAGCTCAGCACTTGTCATACTGCTCCCTTGAGCTTCATGGCTGGTTGGGTTCTTTTTTACCCCAGCTCTGCGGAAGATTTAATTTCTTTTTTGTTTATGTGTGTACTTACCCTTGCAGGTGCAGGATAGAAAAAATTGCTGTGCCCAGATGTTTTGAAGCTGCAGTAGCATATATACAGCTCAGATTAAATAGAAAAATTGCATAAGATAAAGCAGGCACTTCGAGTACAGTATTCTACAGGGTATTTGATAAACCTATCATGTTTTCTTGACAATAAGACTCTTGAATATAACTTTAGAAACAGAGGAATGTTTTAAGGCATCACCAGCTCAACTCATTTGTAGATGATTTTACAATGAGATTTGTCATTTTTGAGCAGGGCCTATTACATTTACCCCATTTTCAACTTAGAAAATATCTTCCCAGAACAGAACAGTCTGGGAATTGGGTGGAAACAACACCTAGCAAACTGTCTCAGCTCATTACTGGATTAGTTAGACCTCAGGGATCTGAGGCCAGATTTTGTCTTAGTTTTGGAACACAGCAAACATAACCCAAGCACAAACAACCCTCTTGCTACTCGTTGAGCTCTGTGCTAATATGCAAAAGCCCTGCCTGAGTCACAGATGGAAAATGCTTCTACACACCCTCAGTTTGGATTTTCATTTACCCAATGCAATGGGTTAACCTGTTTTGCACACAGCAACTGTCAAATAAGACAAGGAGTTCAGCTCAGGAGAAGAGAATAATGCTCAAAATTCTTGACTCCCCTTCAACAGCCTCCAACAATTGTTTCCCAGCACTGCATGGAGGCAGCTCACCACCTTTGGCAAAGCCTAGACTGTGATGCTTGTCATGAAGGCCTATACAATACACCCAGCTCTGCTTTGTGACATAGTCCCCGTGAGGGCCTGGGGAGAATGTTACCATATTTAGCTTTCCCAGGAGGTGTGGAAGAGTTCCCAGCTGTCCTGCTTAAGATGTTGGTTTAAACCAAATCCTTCATCTGCCTTTGCTCATGAAGCTAAACACCCACAGTAGAACTGGGAAAAGAGTACCTTAGGCCTCAGTTTATTTGTAGAGAGGAAAAGGTTCACACAAAAAAGAGAAAAAGAGATGCTCTCCCTTTTTAATTTGAGTGCCAGTCCTGGATCCCCAGTTGGCAAAGCCTTTTATAGTCATTTCTGCCCCAGAATTCTGCATCTGCAAGATCAGAGCTTATTAGTATTATCTCTTACTCTTCCTCCCAACATTGCCACTAGAGACTGTAAAAGGTTCAGACTATACACACTGAAAGGCAAATGGCTCTTGTTTAGCTATCATAGTGCAGGGTTTTGCTTGCACTAAAAGACATATATTCCTCTAGCCATACCAATAATATTAAACACTCACTTCACCCCAAAATCCTCTAGAACCTCAGTAGAACATGGAGAATATATTAGAAATCTGTATCTCTTATAACAGACCATATGTGAGTTACTATTTAGAGTAAGTCAAGAATACAGTTATATCCCACATAACAATGTTTTGGTTCGATGCCAGACTGCATATATGATGGTGGTCCCATAAGATTATAATGGAGCTGAAAAATTCCTATTGCCTAGTGATGTTGTAGCCATGGTAACTTCTTAGTGCAACACATTAATCACACGTTTGTGGTGATGCGAGTGTAAACAAACCTACTGCACTGGCCGGTGAAAAAGAATAACACATACAATTATGTGCAGACATAATACTTGATAATAAACAACTGTGTTACTGATTTATGTGTTTACTATGCTATACTTTTTAAATTATTGTCTTAGAGTATACTCCTACTTATTAAAAAAAAAGGAACTGCAAAACAGCCTCAGGCAGGTCCTTCAGGAGGTATTCCAGAAAAAGACATGATCATAGGAGATGACGGCTCCATGAATGTTAATGTCCCTGAAGACCATAAGATGTGGAGGTGGAAGACAGTAGAACTGATCATCCTGACCCTTTGTAGGCCTAAGATAACGTATGTGTTTGTGTCTTTGTTTTTAACAAAAAAGCTTAGAAAGTGAAACATTAAATAGGAAAAAGCTTATAGAATAGGATATAAAGAAATATTGTTGTACATCTGTACAATGTGTTTGTATTTTAAGTATTACAAAATAATCAAATAGTTAAAAAAAGTTTATAAAATAAAAAAGTTACAGTAAGTTTAGGTTAATTTACTATTGAAGAAAGAAAAAAATTTAGTGTAGCCTATGTGTACAATGTTTATAAAGTCTACAGTAGTGTACAGTAGTGTCCTAGGCCTTCACATTCACTCACCACTCACTCACTCAGAGCAACCTCCAGTCCCACAGCCTCCATTCATGGTAAATGCCCTATACAGGCGTGCCATTTTTAATCCTTTATATTCTGCCTTTACTGTACCTTTCCTATGTTTACATATGTTTAGATAGACAAACATTTACCATTGTGTTACAATTGCCTACAGTATTCAGTACAGTAACATGCTGTACAGATTCGTTGCCTAGGAGCAATTGGCCATATCATATATCCTATGTGTGTAGTAGGCTATACCGTCTAGGTTTGTTTCAGTACTGTACACTCTGTGACGGTTGCACAACGACAAAATCGCCTAACGATGCATTTCTCAGAATGTATCCCCATTGTTAAGTGACTCATGACTGTATTAGGGTCCAGGAGGCACCCTTGGTTTCATAGATCATGACAGTGATATTTATGTTTGTAGGCCATTGATCAATATTGACAACACAACTATCATAAAATGTAGAGCTCTATTTGTGTTTTCTCACTTTAGTTTGTTCAAAGTAGCCCATTGCACACTGATTATTCTCAAAGTAGGAAGCCTATGGATTCTTCAGGATAGAGTGGGACTTCGTGAATGAAATTTTTTGTTTTTTTGGTAGGGTAATTTACATCTTTAATAGGGACTATTATAAAAACTTGAAACATACTGACCTTGTACATCGAAGCCCCATTCAACATCAGACTATGGACACTAGGGCCATGGCCACACTAACTTGTAAGAAGGTGGAGCTCAGAGGTGGTCCGCTCCTCACTCTCAGTGACGTGTGAATCCAGATGATGACATCAGCAGACCAAATAGCATCTGCTCTCCTTTCTCCTCAAAATCTTCACAACCACATATGCAAACACACAGGCACATACTTGCTAGATCTAAAAATTAGTTTATGTGAAATATTGAACACTTCTACTGAGAGTCAGACGTATTGTCTTGAGAAGTAACACAGTGAAGCTACTCTGTTTTTTTTTTTTTTAATGTGTTTATCAGATTCAGTTGAGCCTGGAGTAAAGGCATGAGGAAGGGAGCCTCCAGCTGACAGACTCTGTTAGATCACAGAATAAAAGAAGCTAGAAAGAAGTCTGGAGACAAAGAGTGCTCTTTAGAGGGATGAAGCAGAAAGGGGACAATGGGACATTCTGTATGTACTTTGCCTGCTTCAAAACTATGTCTTAGAAATTCGGCTAGTAAACAACAAGTCAAAGCCAAGCTAAAGTCAACTAGAGGCAACCCCACTGTCTCTGAACCCACAAGTTGGGACGGGCTAAAGCTTTTAAGACAATTGTTTGTTTCTTCTTTTCTATAAGGGTAGTCCGAATCTGCCTTTCCAGCACATCTTCTGTTACTCCAATCCTGACCTAATGCTGGCCCCTTTTCTTGAATACTCCATGCAATTCTGGGCGTTCGTGACTTAGCTCAGGCTGTTTTCTCTCTTTAAAAACTCTCTGGGCCAGGCATGGTGGTTCATGCCTGTAATCCTAGCATTTTGAGAGGCCAAGGCGGGCGAATCACTTGAGTTCAGAACTTTGAGACCAGCCTGGGCAACATGGCAAAGCCCCATCTCTACCAAAAAAAAAATACAAAAAATTACCAAGGTGCCGTGGTATGTGCCTGTAGTCCCAGCTACTTGGGAGGCTGAGGTGGGAGAATCATCTGAGCCTGGGAAGTCAAGGCCGCAGTGAGCCATGATTGTGCCACTGCACTCCAATGTAGATGTTAGAGTGAGACCCTTTCTCCAAAATAAAAATTAAATTAAAAAAAAATCTCTTTGCCATCCTATTTGAAAATCCCTACATATCTTTTACACCCAAGCTCAAAGATATTCTCTCCTATGACATCTTTCTTGGGCAGGTAAATCAGTTCCTCCATCGTGTTTCCAGGATATGTTTTACACATTTATTGCCTTATATTGGGATTGAGTGTTGCCTTCCCATTAAGATGAACTCCCAGAGAGGAGTGATGGCATTTAATCATCTATGAATCATCAAAGTTTAGTCCACAGTAGGTGCTCCATACATACTTAATTAACAAATGAATGAATGAATAAAGCATTGCAATTTTTAAGGGAAGAAGCAGATGAGGACTTAGCAGGTGAGAAAGTTCCAAACAAAGTGCTAATGAATACTCCAGCCACTTTCTTGCAGAAGTTCATCTTTCACTTCCAGGCATTTGATTCTCAACATTTCTGTCCTTTTCCAAATTAGAGCTGTAACCCAGGTAAGTGTCAAAGCTTAGAAAAACCATGGGAAAAACCTTGGGATCCTGATAAATTTGAAGACAAACTTAAACTTCAGTGAAGTGACAACATTGCCTGCTTAGGTTATTTCTTTATGCATTTAAGAGAGGTTTATCTCTCCAAACCCAGCTGTGGTTTGATCTCACACTTCCTTCACACTTGCTTCAACACCTGTTAACCACAACCATGAGGCTGCCGGGCCTGGCTTCATCTTGCTTTCTGGCTGTTGCTACAATGGTGTAACCGCGGCTCCGCAGCTGCTATGTTGGCAGTCACTCCAGGGGCTGGGGCCTGGCTTCTGCCTTTGGGGAGCTTTAACAGTCACACAGGTCTTGGTGCAATAGATGCTTCCCTTCTTCTGGCTCCCACAGCCTTTTGCTCATCTGTCCTTGCAAAGCCTATCATATTTCACTGTAGTTAGCTCATGTGTATCTATTGCCCTCACTGTGAGGAAAGGACCATGTCCTACTCATTTTTCTCTCACACTTACCAGTGCTGGCACTGGAAGGAAAGAATGAAAACTGAGTGACCACATGAATTAATGAAACATTCTCCTTAAAATTATTTGTTGGAACTTTAAATAAAACACTCATCATCCTATCAGTTATTACACCCCCCCCAAAATGATACTTCTGATTTAGTGTAATTGGTTGCTTTTTCCCTCCCCCTTCACCCTGGAAACAAGTAATCTTTCTTGATTATCAACATCTATTCCCTAATACAAAAATAGAAAAGAAAAACATGGACTTGTTATAAACCTACTGATGGCTTCCTCTCCGAGAGCTACCTTTGTACATCTCTAAATAATATTTAACAATATTTGATTTCCTCAACCTCTCAGATTAGTGTGTCTGAGACATTATGTGGACACTGTGCATACTGCTTATGTATCTGAGCATATCTAATTCCATTAATGGCATGAATATAATGATGCTCCATTTAAAAAATATTACATGCAATTTTTTCATTTGGAGAATGGAATGCTTCTGGCTTTTTGGGGTCTTGAGAATTAAGTATCTCTTTGGAATCTTCAGGAAATTAGGTAAAATACTGAAAGTTTATCATGCATTTTAGAAATAAGGATGCCAGGTTATTCTCCACTTGAATGATCTATTTTGACTCACCTAAATTTAACTCTTCATTTCCAAGTCAGATCAGAGAGTGCTCACGGGCATGGTAAGGTGGGAAGTGAGGGCTTCGGCTCAAACCAGACTTAAGCTTGCTGAGCATCTTGACCACATTAGTAAACTCTTTTCTCTTCAGGTCTGTGAAGCAGGGATAATATTACTGACTGCAGAGGGTTACTGTGAAAATTAAAAGACAACATTGCATGCATAACATTCTTAGCTGTATTTTGTGAAACAGCATTCCCTCTACTGAAGTTAGTATCCTTCCTTTCCTCATTTACTGGTCACCAACAATGCTTCTTTTCCCAACAGGGTGCACTGTAGTGTTGATACGCAAGTATCACTTCCTATAGAACGGGGAAGTTGAGGTGTGTGCATTATACAGTTACACAGTTGAAGCAAATGTTAAGAACAATTCCCCGGTATTTTGATATAACGCACTCTGGGACCTTCTGGTTCTTCTCTAGTGGCGGTGCCTTTATTCAGTCCAGAGACTTCTCCTCTTAGCCTCAGTCTCTGAGATTACTACTTCACCCACACTCCTTTTCTCCTCAACCTCCAGACCTCAGGAGCAGGTTCTTGTCTTTGCTTTTCTTCTCCACATTCCCGCCAGCTCAGCCAGCAGCCTCCCTGGGTTCTCCTCACAGAAAAACCTCCGGTTTTCGTAGTCCAGACTCCACTTCTCTGATCTGAGGCTGTTCCCCGGATCACACCCTGAGTGTCATTCTCCTTAGCTCTTCCCGAGCAAACACTCTTGTCCTCAGAATGTCAGGTTCTCCTTGATAGGGTGTTTCTCTACCTTCTCCAGCTGGGTCATTTACTTAATCCTTTTCTGACCTTTGGTTATCCTAAAGGCACATCTCAGCTTGTCACAGTCACTCTTTTTTACCATTTTAATCCTCTTAGAATCACATGGAAAATCCCTGTCCTTGGCAGGAGTAATAGAGATGAACACAGACAAAGGCCCATTTATAGCTGAACAACACCCTTGACTTTGGAAGTGTTTCTCCTCTTCCTTTACAAAAGCGAAGCACTTCAAGCGCACACTTTTCTTATATCCACTATTTCTACCTGTTTCCCTTCAACTAACAGTAAAGGAGATAGAGGACTTTTAAATTTAAAATCGTTCCTTCCTTCCTTCCCTCCCTCCCTCCCTCCCTTTCTTTCTTTCTTTTTCTTTCTTTCCTTCTCTTTCTTTCTCTCTCTTTCTTTCTTTCGTTTTCTTTCTTTTGACGGTCTCCCTCTGTTGCTGAGGCTGGACTGTACTGCCCTGATCTCGGCTGGCTGCAACCTCCCTGCTTCGGGCTCCCGTGATTCTCCTGCCCCCGCCTGCCGAGTGCCTGGGATTGCAGGCAAGCGCCGCCACGCCTGACTGGTTTTTCTATTTTTGGTGGAGACGGGGTTTCGCCGTATTGGCCGGGCTGGTCTCCAGCTCCTGACCTCCAGTGATCTGCCCGCCTCGGCCTCCGGAGGTGCTGGGATTGCAGACGGAGTCTCGCTCACTCAATGCTCAATGTTGCCCAAGCTGGAGTGCAGTGGCGTGATCTCGGCTAGCTACAACCTCCACCTCCCAGCCGCCTGCCTTGGCCTCCCAAAGTGCTAAGATTACAGCCTCTGCCCGGCTGCCACCCCGTCTAGGAAGTGAGGAGCGTCTCTGCCTGGCCGCCCATCGTCTGGGATGTGATGAGCCCCTCTGCCTGGCCGCCCATCGTCTGGGATGTGAGGAGCACCTCTGCCCGGCCGCCCATCGTCTGGGATGTGAGGAGCGCCTCTGCACGGCCGCCCCGTCTGGGATGTGAGGAGCGCCTCTGCCCAGCCGCCACCCTGCCTGGGAAGTGAGGAGCGCCTCTGCCCGGCCACCCTGTCTGGGAAGTGAGGAGTGCCTCTGCCCGGCAGCT
This sequence comes from Homo sapiens, assembly GCF_000001405.40. Classification (NCBI taxonomy): domain Eukaryota; kingdom Metazoa; phylum Chordata; class Mammalia; order Primates; family Hominidae; genus Homo; species Homo sapiens. The sequence goes on from NC_000015.10 coordinate 56,540,867, forward strand.
GTGCAATCTTCCAACTGTGAAGTGACATCCTTTCCGCAGGTGTACCCAACAGCTCCGAAGAGACAGCGACCATCGAGAACGGGCCATGATGACAATGGTGGTTTTGTTGAAAAGAAAAGGGGGAAATGTGGGGAAAAGAAAGAGAGATCAGATTGTTACTGTGTCTGTGTAGAAAGAAGTAGACATAGGAGACTCCATTTTGTTCTTTACTAAGAAAAATTCTTCTGCCTTGGGATGCTGTTAATCTATAACCTTACCCCCAACCCCGTGCTCTCTGAAACATGTGCTGTGTCAACTCAGGGTTAAATGGAATAAGGGCGGTACAAGATGTGCTTTGTCAAACAGATGCTTGAAGGCAGCATGCTCGTTAAGAGTCATCACCACTCCCTAATCTCAAGTACCCAGGGACACAAAAATTGCGGAAGGCCGCAGGGACCTCTGCCTAGGAAAACCAGAGACCTTTGTTCATGTGTTTATCTGCTGACTTTCTCTCCACTATTATCCTATGACCCTGCCACATCCCCCACTCTAAGAAACACCCAAGAATGATAAATTTTAAATATTTATTTTTCCTCTTTTAAAAAAGATCAAAAATGTTCACTCTGATGGTAGTTTCTTCTGCTGTGCAGAAGCTCTGCACAGCAGAAGAAACTACCATCAGAGTGAACAGGCAACCTACAGAATGGGAGAAAATTTTTGCAACCTACTCATCTGACAAAGGGCTAATATCCAGAATCTACAAAGAACTCAAACAAATTTACAAGAAAAAAAAACAAACAACCCCATCAAAAAGTGGGTGAAGGATATGAACAGACACTTCTCAAAAGAAGACATTTATGCAGCCAAAAAACACATTAAAAAGTGCTCATCATCACTGGCCATCAGAGAAATGCAAATCAAAACCACAATGAGATACCATCTCACACCAGTTAGAATGGCAATCATTAAAAAGTCAGGAAACAACAGGTGCTGGAGAGGATGTGGAGAAACAGGAACACTTTTACACTGTTGGTGGGACTATAAACTAGTTAAACCATTGTGGAAGTCAGTGTGGCGATTCCTCAGGGATCTAGAACTAGAAATACCATTTGACCCAGCCATCCCATTACTGGGTATATACCCAAAGGATTATAAATCATGCTGCTATAAAGACACATGCACACGTATGTTTATTGCAGCACTATTCACAATAGCAAAGACTTGGAACCAACCCAAATGTCCGACAATGATAGACTGGATTAAGAAAATGTGGCACACATACACCATGGAATACTATGCAGCCATAAAAAAGGATGAGTTCATGTCCTTTTTAGGCACATGGATGAAGCTGGAAACCATCATTCTCAGCAAACTATCGCAAGGACAGAAAACCAAACACCACATGTTCTCACTCATAGGTGGGAATTGAACGATGAGAACACATGGACACAGGAAGGGGAACATAACACACCGGGGCCTGTTGTGGGGTGGGAGGAGGGGGGAGGGATAGCATTAGGAGATATACCTAATGCTAAATAATGAGTTAATGGGTGTAGCACACCGACATGGCACATATATACATATGTAACAAACCTGCACATTGTGCACATGTACCCTAAAACTTAAAGTATAATAATAATAAAATTAAAAAAATAATAATTTAATAACATGATTTGAACTTAAAAAAAGATCAAAAATGTAAAAAATACAAAAAGAAAATTTATTACCTAATCCCATAAACCAGACCTAAACATTGCTAATGATCTTGTTTCATATATATATATATCTACTTATCTATATCTATATCCATATCCATGCTGCAAAAATCTCCATACAAATTTGTTTTTAAAAATCTTTAAGCAACCCAAATTGTCCTGGCTATGTTTATTAAGTTTGGCACATGATCTCCTTGTCAAAATGATTTTTTAGTTTTCTTTAAATAATGTGACAATGTACTTACAGTAGTTGATTAATACATCTCTTATTCATAATTAAACTAGGATTATTTGACTTAATGGCTTTAATTTTGATAAAAGTGCAACATCGATGCAGGTTTATAATAAATGCAAATTCTACTATTAGAAAGTACTTAACAAGAGTCCATTCTTGCCATTCATACTATTTATTTTTGAAGCATTTATACCTTAACTGACTCAGATTCATCAGTGATTCAGAAAGCAGCAAATTGTGTCCTTTATTGTCTCTTCAAGTTCTCTTCTCTCTCTCTCGTGGCTCTTTTATTGACAACCTACTGATGAGAATGGTGCACCTGAGCTACCTTCATTCTCTGATCCCCCTTTAACCCTGCACACTCGGGATTCCTCTCACACTTCTCTACTGGTACTAGGCTCTTGTATTTGCTAGGTAGAGGCTCAGCTAATTCTAATGGGGACCTTCAAATAATATCTAGAGCTCATATGGTAATCTGTAACATTAGGGACCCAGGTTCCTTCTACTCATCGTTTCATCCCTGTCCACATGATCTAAATGGCTCCTCACCATTTCCCAAGAGGCTCCTCACCATTTCCATGATCTAAATGGCTCCTCACCATTTCCCAAGAGGGAAAGGAAAGAGGAGGGCATCCCATCCCTATAATACAGCTGTCATTCATTTGTCCATAAGCTGTGATCATCAGATATATTGCTTCATTGTTATTTTGAACAATGTATTATATCCGTTAATATGAAAAATAAAATATTTTATGTTACTTACACTTCTTTCCTGATGCTCCCTGTTGCTTATGCAGACCCAAGTTTCTGACCTACACCATTTTCCTCCTCTCTGAAGAACTTCTTGTAATCCTTCTTTGCAAGGTAGGTCTACATCAATTCTTTTTTCTGATAAAGTCTTTATTTTTCCTTCACTTTTGGAGGATAATTTCACTGGGTACAAACTTCTAGGTAGATTTTTTTTTCCTTTCAATTCTTTAAATATTTCACCACATGCTTTTCTTGCTTGCATGGTTTCTGAAAAGAAATCCAATGTCATTTTTATTTTTGTTCCTCTGTAGGTAAAGTGTATTTCCCTCCCCTGGCTTCTTTCTAGATTTTCTCTTTGTCTTTAGTTTTCTGCAGTTTGATTATTATGTGGAGGTGTGCATTTTTGGTATTTACCCTACTCAGTGTTATCCTAGCTTTCTAGATCTGTGGTTTTGAAAATGTTGAAAAATTTTCAGCCATCATTACTTCAAATATTTCTTCTGTTCCTTTCTCTTTCTTCTCCTTTTGGCAACCCTGTTACATATAGTTACACCCTTTGTAATTGTCTTATAGTTCTTGGGTATTCTGTTCCATTTTTAAAAATTCTTTTTTCTCTTTGCTTTTTGGTTTAGAAAATTTTTATTGACATATCTTCAGGCTCAATGATTCTTTCCTCTACTGTATCTAGTCTACTGGCACTCTTCATTTCTGTTACAAGTGGTTTCTTTCCTGGCATTTCCTTTTATTCTTTCTTAGCATTTCCAACTCTCTGCTTATATAACTCATCCATTCTTTCTTGTTGTCCACTTTTTCATTAGACCTCTTAGCACCTTAGCATATTAATCATGGTTATTTTTAATGTTCTGATACTTTCAAAATCTACTGTGTCTGAATATGGTTTGCTTGTCTCTTCAGACTATGGGGGTTTTTTTGTTTGTTTTTTGCCTTTAGCATGCTTTGTAACTTTTTGTTGAAAGCCAAACATACTGTATCAAGTAAATGGTACTGTGGTAAACAGACCTTTCATGTGAGGCTTTATGTTTATCTGATTAGTATATAGACTGTGTTTACTATTGCTATTGTAGTAGGTGTGAAAGAATAAAATTTCCCCTAGTGTCCTTGTTTTTCTCTGTTGTCTTCGGGTTTCCCTAGAGACTCCTTCTCAAATAGTGTCTGAGTCTTATAGTTTCTTTCTCCCACATCAAAGCCTTGAGGAGGCTGAAGTTGGGTATTTTCCTTCTCCAGAGTCAGTTAGAGTCTAGTAAAACTCAAACAAGCTAGATACTATTAAAATAGATCCCTTGAGAACAAGCCTTTGTTAAGGAGAACAGAATGCTCTATGTGTATTTCAAAATGATTATTCCCCGTCTTTATCTCCCCTACCAGAGCATGAGGGGATTTTTCTCTGTTCTTTACCCTGAAAACCTTATGGGACTCCTAGAGGTAAAACTGATGATCCCTAAAGCTGGATCTCCAGGAAGTGTTCTCTCAAACTAGTCCAAGGCTCAATATCCAACAGTTAGTCCATTATCTATAGTATTGTCTCCAGTAGCAACTTCTGTTCCCAGTATGCTGTGATACTCTGTATTTACCTGTCTCTGCCATTTCAGGGGCAGCAGTTTGCCCTGTGGCCTCAATTACCTGATGGATCTAAGAAGAGCTGTTGATTTTCAATTTGTTCAGCTTTCTTCTTATTGTGAGGATGGAAGTGATAACTTCCAAGCTTTACACATGTTGGACCAGAAACCAAAAATCTTGAGCATTTTTCACATGCTTATTAGTCATTTGTATGTCTTCTTTGATAAAATATCTATTAAAATCATTTAGTCATTTTGTGTTGTGTTGTCTTTTTTTTTTTTTTTCAGATGGAGTTTCACTCTGTTGCCCAGGCTGGATTGCAGTGGCGTGATCTTGGCTCACTGCCGCCTCTGCCTCCCAGGTTCAAGAGATTCTCCTGCCTAAGCCTCCCCAAGTAGCTGTGACTATAAGTGTGTGCCACCATGCCCGGCTAATTTTTTTTTGTATTTTTAGTAGAGATGGGGTTTCACCATGTTGGCCAGGCTGGTCTCGAACGCCTGACCTCAGGGGACCCGCCCACCTCAGCCTCCCAAAGTGCTGGGATTACAGACGTGAGCCACCATGCCCAGTGTGTTGTCTTATTGAGTTGTAGGTTTTCTTTATATATTCTGAATATGTGTCAATTTTTAGATACATCATTTGCATGTATTTTTCCCAGCCTGTGGTTTGTCTTACCATTTTTAAAAAGGAAAAGTTTTTAATAGTGGTGAAGTCCAAGTTATTATTTTAAAAATGGATTGTGCTTTTAGTGTCATATCTAATGAATATTTGACTAACCTAAGGTTACAAAATTTTTTACCTATGTTTTCCTCTAAAAGTTTATAGTTGTAGTTTTACACCTAGGTCTATGTTTCATTTAGAGCTAATTTTTGTCTATTGTGTGAGGTAAGGGCCTATGTTCCTTTAGATAAATTGATAGATACATACATAGATGTAATTATTCCAGCTTTTTTTTAAAAAAAAAAAAAAGATTGTTCTTCCCCTACATTGAATTGCTTTGGAATCTTTGTCAAAAATCAACTGACCATATATATATATGTGCATTTATTTCTGAATTCTGTTGTTTTCACATTAATTTATATATCTATCTTTATGCCAAAGCCACACTGTGTTAATTTCTGGAATTTTATAGTAAGTTTTGAAACCAGGTAGTGTAGTCCTCCAGTCTTTTTCTTTGGAATTCTTTTAAACTATTTTAGGTGTTTTTTAATCTAGATTTTAATCTAAATTTTAGGATATGTCTGTCAACATCTACAGAAAACCTACTGGGATTTTGATAAGAATTTTATAGACTTGATTGTTTAATTTGGGGAGTACTGTCATCTTAATATTAACTCTTTCAATCCACGAACACATATATCGCTATTTATTTAGGTCTTTAATTTCTCTCAATAATGTTTTATAGTTTTTAGTATAAAGGTCTTATCCTTGTTTCATTAACTTTATTCCTAAGTATTTTATTCTTTTGAATATTACTACTGTGAAACAATACGTTTTATTAATTTTATTATTGGATTGCTATATTAATCTTGTATTCTGTGACCTTGCTAACCTTACTTCTTAGTTCTTGTAAGTATCTTTGCTTTGCTTTGTTTTTAACTAGATTCCCTGGAGCTCTTGCAGGGTGGAGGGGAAGGAGAATCAGCATTCTCCCTGGGAGAAAGTCCCTATCTATCCCATATCAGCCATACCAGCTCTAGCTTATCTTTTGCATATGTTGAAAAATATCTTAAAAACAGTTTGAATACAAATAATCTACCTTACTCTCCTTTTATTTTGCAAGTGAGGAAACTAGCTGATCGTCAAATCCCTGAGTAAATTTGATGTGTAGTTTAAAATAAAGTGTAAAATTACAAAGGCAAAAACAGGTATGACATGGATATACAACAGAAGTAAGTGAATCAGTAAAATGGCAGTCTTGTTCCTAATGAAACATTCTATTCTGTCATTATAAATATTTATTCACAGATACAACTATTCAGCTTTATGCAAATATCATAGAGGAAAAATATGTAGATTTGTCGTTTTTCTTATCTCAAATTGGAGCTGCATTTGAAAAGGTTAAAAGGCTGTATAATTACACTGTTATTAAATGTCACATGGATCAATATCATTCAGGTTAGGCCAGGTGGTCGTGTAACTCAAGTGTTAGTTATTTGCAAACCTGCTCATGAGTGGCCCCTAAGGTTATTATTAGTGAGGTACCAGCTCTTCTCTTGACTTCATTGCTGTTAGTGTCAGCAAACCAGTGAACCTCTGCCATGTCTTTCCTGTTTATTCATAGAATGTAGTATTAGAACGTTCTTGCTTTTCATGTATGATTGTTTCTACCTTTGAGTATATATCTCATGTAACATTTTAATAATCCTTTTAATATGCATAGCTCATTTAAAATGTATACTAGCCAGCTTGTTATTAATTCTCTTTGGCAGAGATAAGTTAGCTGAATACTAAAAAGCAGAGAAAGAAAGCCACCAGGACTCTCAATTATTAATAGGAGTTATACCCAGGGACTTTTTGACACTGGATACAGGTAGTGAAAGGTCTTATTTTAAAATGGCAAAAGACTGACAGCAAAAGTGCTCTGAAAAATCTCAAGCGAAATGATGGAAACAAGAACAGAGAATAATGTATATATTTTTAAAAGATTTAGAGAAGTCTGACACTTAATCTTGGAAGAAAAACTAATCCAAGTTTTTCACAGTAATTAGAAACCATTGAATTTTTGTCACTTACCTAACCATGTTTATATATTGTAGCGATTGTCTTTAATAGAATAAGAACAGCACAAAATTGTGGCTTATTATAAAGCATAAGGTGATGGTTACTTTTTAAAATCTACATTTTTTATTGTCTGGTATCTCAGGAGGGTGTCAAGGAGCAGCTGAAAGGGACAAATGGGGTATTATTATATAAGATACTAGAAATTTTAATATAGCATTAATATTTTGACTTAGGAAAAAGTTTATAATTGGGTATTTGTGTGCCTGACAAAATATACAACTACTGCCCTCCACTGTATCCTAAAACAGAAAACTTAGACTCCGAGTTCCAAATTAAGTTTTATACATATATTGCTAATACAAAGGATCACAACATATCATAAATTACAAATGTAGCACATTTGGAATAGAAATATAACTAACATTTTAAATTGTCTGCGCAAAATAATTTCACTAGTCACTTTAGAGCTTGGAAGCATTTTGGTGTAGCATTTGGTGTCTCAAGGATCATTTAAAATCTATTAAGATCACGTGCATGGATGCGTTCCTTTTCTTTTGATCGATTTCCCTGCAGCAACAAAAGGCATTCAAGATAGTTACCTTGATCCCAAAGCTGTGTATATAATTTATTTATTTTTGGTGACCGTAGTATTTTTCTTCTTAAGAAGCATGTTTGTAAAGTGTCTATCACCTTTCTGTATCTGTCACGGGGAGAGGGCCACTGCCAAGCATCCTGCCTTAGAATGGGGCTGTCTCTGCAAAGCATCATGCTTCGTGTCAGGAAGGTCAGGTATCTGGGGTCAAATCTTGGCTCTGTTCTTTACTAACATGTGAAGTTTAACCTCCCCTAAACTTAGTTTCATTATCCGTTCACTAGGATAGCAACACCAACCTGGAATTGTTATGAGGGTTAAAATGACTGTATTTAAACATAAGACCCGGCTGGGCATGGTGGCTCATGCCTGTAATCCCAGCACTTTGGGAGGCTGAGGTGGGCAGATCACCTGAGGTTAGGAGTTCCAGACCAGCCTGGCCAATATGGTGAAACCCCATCTCTACTAAAAATACAAAAGTTAGCCTGGCAGGGTGGCGGGTGCCTGTAATCCCAGCTGCTCTGGAGGCTGAGGCAGGAGAATCACTTGAACCTGGGAGTCGGAGGCTGCAGTCAGCCGAGATGGCACCACTGCATTCCAGCCTAGGTGATAGAACGAGACTCCATCTCAAAAAATAAAATAAAATAAAAAACATAAGATCCAGCTCCTAATAAGCACTAATAAATGGTAGCTATGTAATAACAATGCTTCACTCACTACTATTTCAGGACCAGGAGATAATATCTTTGATGAAAAGAGTGAGGAAATAATGATAATCTTCAGCTCTCTTTTTTCCTTGCCTGTTGTCCTCTGTGTATCTCTCCACTGTGACCAGTAGTAGCAAGGAGTGGAGGTGGCTCAGGAAAGTTGGGCAGAGCCACAGCCAGGCTCCAGGACTACCTCAGTGTTGGTTTCAGGATTTCGGTGAACAGGGCAACATGGGTCATTGAGTTAATGTGAAGGCAAGCTCATCAGGATGGTAAAGCAGACAAAGTTTGAAGGAGAAACTTCAGTTTGGAGTGTAGATTATGCGTTGGGCTAGAGTCCTCTGTGTTGCATTTCTGAAGGAGTCTGAGAAAAGCAATATGTGACAAGATGGGCTATAGGTCCAGAATTCTTTTTTTTCCAACCATTTTAATGATGAACGGTTAAGATAAGCTGATGTATTTCTTTCATATATATATATATATATATATAACATAGCACATGTATACATAGGTCCAGAATTCTAAACTTAGATGACCCTCATACGTATTAAATTAGTAAAGGCAATTTAAAAATTCTAAAACCATGTATGTGGGGCAATGGGGATGTCGGTTGACTCATCCCCTGCTAGTGACATTGCAAATGAGTAATCTTTCAGGACAGCAAATTGAGTAAGATTTAGAGAAAAACATCACAAAACCAATCATATTGTTCAAGACTTTCTGAAGTAAGTAAAAATTGCATTCCTCTGTAATTTTGAAGGACCCTAGAGTAGCTCACACCATTGAAGACTGAGCTGTTGACCATCTAAGGCCTGCATCCTATATCTCAAGATCCAAGAGAAACAGAGGACTGAATCTTTCCCTCTCCAACATGGACACTGATTGGACAGACTCAGGTCACATGTCCTTCCCCCAACACTGACAAATCAGTCATTTCCCAGAGGAATACAGGAGAATGAGGAGCCCATCCAGTGAAGGTGAGCACTATAAATGACCACTCCCTGGACCACACTCCTCCTTGTGCATTTCCTGAAGAAAAGGGAGGTGAACAAGAAGACAGGAAATGGGAAAACATCCTAGACAAAATAAAATAGCCACCACGATCCAATATTTTCATCATGCTCTTTCTGATAATAATATTCCTGAGAATATATCCCAAGAAGTAAGTTGAAATGGGGGAAGAGAGGGTTTGTATGATTACTGTGCCAACATATTATAGCTGTGTATGTCTGAACATTAAAAAAACTAACTGAAAATGCTCCAAATGATCAAATGCCAAGGAATGGCTAAATATACTCTGGCAGTTTGCAATAATAAGCCAGTTTAACCTACTCAATTTTTTATTTTTTTAAATGACAAGTAATAATTGTACATATTTGTAGGTACATTGTGATGTTTCAATGATATAATATATAGAGATCAGATTAGGGTAATTACCATATTCATATCTCAAACATTTATCACTTCTTTGTGTTGGGAATATTCAATATTCTCCTTCTAGATATTTTAAACTATATAATATATTATTGTGTGCTACAGTCATCTTATGGTGGTACGGAACACCGGAATTTATTCCTCCTATGTAGCTGTAATTGAGAGTGTACTTTGTTCAACAGTAACATAGTAGGAACATAAGGATGGATAAAACATGGACTCTGTCCTTAAATGGTCACCCTGTGGCATTACTGATCACAGCAATGGATATTTTTGAGCACTCACCAGTTGATAGGCAATGTGCCAAGTTGATACATTCAATCGTCTGAACAATATTCTGAGAGAAGCACTTTAGTTATATCCATTTTATAGATGACAAAACTGATTTTAACTTCCCTAAAGTCACATGCTTAATAATTAATGGAAATGGGACTCCATCCCAGGCCTTCTAACTCTAAAGTTTCTAACTTCAAAGGTAACACTGTAATAGAGATTTAAAACAAAATTCTGTGGAAATACCAAAGAGATAATTCTTTCTAACATTTTTTTGAGTTGTAATTTGACAAGCAATGAGCTGCACATGTTTAAGGCATAGCATTTGATAAGCATTGAAATGCAGCTGTGAAGCCATCTGACCATCTATGACTACAGATTAATGTGCATTTCTAGAATTTTAAGTTTGTCTGAAGTTTGTCAGATTAATTATATTGAGATCCAACCATAATGCTGCATGTATCAAAAGTTTATTTTATTTTATTGCTGGGTAATATTCCATTGTTTGGATATACCACGATATATTTATCCATTCAGCTGTTGAAAGACATTTGGATTGTTTCCAGTTTTAGTCTATTACAAGTAAAGCTGCTGTAACAACAAAAGCACAGGCAAAAAAAGTAAAAATAGACAAACTGTACTACATCAAAATTTAAAACTGCTGTGCATCAAAGGACACAATCAACAATGAAAAGACAACCTACAGAATGGGAGAAAATATTTGCAAAGTATATATCTAATAAGGGGTTAGTATCCAGAATATATAAAGAACTTCTACAACCTAACAACAACTCAAAAAACCCCAGGCAATTAAAAAATGGACAAGGGACTTGAGTAGACATTTCTCAAAGAAATATACAAATGGCAAAGAAACACATAGAAAGACATTCAACATCACGAGTTATTAGAGAAATGCAAATCAAAATCAACTGATAACACCTCTCACCCAAAGGATGACTATTATCAAAAAAATAGAAAATTACTAGTGCTGGAGAGGACTTGGAGAAATTGGAACACTTGTGCCTTGTTGATAAGAATGTAAAATGGTGTGGCTACAGTGGGAAACAATATGATGATTCCTCAGAAACTTAAAAAAATAGAACTACCGTATAATCTAGTAATCTTGCTTCTGTGTATATACCCTCCAATATTGAAAGAAGAGTCTCAGAAAGATATTTGTACACTTATGTTCATAGCACCATTATTTGCAATAGCCAAAAGGTGGAAGCAACTCAAGTGTCCATCAACAGATGAACAAATAAACAAAATATCTTATGTAAATAAAATAGAATATTATTCAGCCTTAAAAAAGAGTAAAATTCTGACACTTGCTACAACATAGATAAACCTTGAGGACATTATGCTAAGTGAAATAAGCCAGTAAAAAAGAGGACAAGTATTCTATGATTCCACGTATGTGAGATATTTAGATTAGTACAATGGTGGTTACCAGGGGCTGGAGGGAAGGATGAATGGGTACTTGCCATTAGTGGGTATAATTTTTCAGTTTTGCAAGTGAAAAGTATTCTGGAGATTGGTTGTACCACAATGTGAATGAACTTACTACTGAACTGTACACTTTAAAATGATAAAGATGGTAAATTTTATGTAACACAATTTTTTGTAAAAGTCAGTATAGCGATTACCTTTGCAGAGGTGGGAAGGGGTTTTGATTAGGAAGGGGCACATCCATCTATTGTCATTTTATCCCTTTACTATAATTTTAATAGAGTTGTGGGAGAAAGTGAGATAAAGGCATGAATTTAAACTGTTGCACAAGTTTTTGGGTTTTGATTTTGTTTTAGATAATACTACCCAGTTACCAATGTGGGAAGCATAGACTGAAATCAGAAAACCCTCATGGCAGTAGATATCTGTAGGGAATGGTTATCATAGTCAAATTTAAACACACTCATGTGATTGGATCCCAGATAAGGAGAATAGGCAGAAAGGATAAATCCAAATCAGGTGATTGGGTCATATGGCCTTTAAGAATATTTGCAAATTAGCTTCAGTTACTTATCAAGGAAATCTTTCTCTCCCAGTACCTCTAGAACTGATGCAATACGCTGACAATCCAATTTGAAGAAGTCATTTTGGTATGCTCACATTACTAGGATTCTAAAGATTTTTCCATTTGACTGGACTCACTGTACACCTCAGGTTCACTTCCATCAAATATTGAAATTTCACTTGGATTATTTTCTTCTTTTCATTTGAGATCTGCCTCAGCCTCAGATTATTACGTTGCATTATCTGAACTAGAGGTTTAGATAGATAAGTGAAGTCCAGGTACATTTTACCAGAAGAAGAGGACAAGTGGTATAGAAAACTAGTAGACACAGGGAACCAGCATCTATTGAATACATCTCTAAAGCTGTGCTATTGATTTTAAACAGGTTGTGTCATTTAATATTTATGACAAGCCTATGAAGTATATATTATCATTTCCTATTAAATAAATTAATATACAGAGGCTCAGAGAGCTTTGATAACATTCCCAATGTTAACAAAGTCACACAGAATAAGGAAATAGAATTCAGAACTCATGGGTTTGTTTCTTCTGAGATTGTTTTCTGTCCTGCCTGGAGTGTTGACTGGGTTTGTGAAACTTGATTGTAACCAGAACAAAGCCAGCAAGGCCCTTGACTGAGATAAGATCATATGCCTTTCTCATTTCTTCATGTGCCTTTTCCCAATTACTGTGGAAAAGATGCTTCCCTAAAGAGAGAATGCAACTACACTTTGCCAAGAGGAAAGGGGATTCATACTCCACAGTTTGGCTTTGACTCCTATATTAATACTGCCAGAGGATAAACAAATTCAAATTCCGTATTGTGAAATTTGGGGTTGTAGAATAAAGTATCACAAATTCAATGATAATTATGTTTAGATGTTAAGATTATCCCTGCTGCCAAATGACAAAACCAAATAGTGATGATCACTGAATTTGCATCAATCCAGACTTTGTACTTACTTATTCATGAATCCTACACTGATTTTTACCCAACTCATAAAAGGTTTATAAGAGCACAAGAGGAGACATACTGAAAAGTTTTTAAATATTTAGTAAATGAATGGCAAGTTTTCTAATTATCATGGAAAATTAAAGTCATCTTTTTAGTTCAATGCAACAAACTTGCATTAGAATGTTAAAGTAGTTTGTTGCTTAAAAGAGATAAAAACTCCTACTTTTGTGTTTAGAATCTGCCCCCTTGTATGGAGAGTTATGGAAAAAGTGAGTATGTTTCTAGATCTATGTAAAACAAACTTTTGCTGAAATACCATTTCCTCCAATTTATCTGTCCCAGTCTGACTTATTTAGCCATTCTTTAACCTTGGATGTCTACTTATTGTGAGAAGCACCTGAACATTTAGATTACTGTTAATTCTTTGAATAAAGTTCCAGGCTTTAAATGCCATTCTTTCCAGTACCCAGAGCAGTGGTTCTCAGTCTTGGCTGCAGGTAAGAACCAGTTATAGTGGTTAATTTTATGTGTGAACTTGACTGGGCCACAAGGTGCCAAGATACTCAGTTAAACCTTATTTCTGGCGTTGTCTGTACGGGTATTTCTGGATGAGAATAATATTTGATCAGTAGACTGAGTAAACTAGATTGTCCTCCCCAATGTGGGTGAGCCTCATCCAATCCATTGAAGTCATAAATAGAATAAAAGGCTGAGTAAGAAAGGAATCTTTCTCTCTGCCAGTTTTCAAGCTGTGACATCAATCTTTGCCTCAGACTTTGAACTTGGACTGTTACTGAAACACCAGGGGTTTGGTCTAGGTCCTGCAGCTCATCGCACAGAAAGCCAATCACTGAGACAACAAGTATTGCCAAAGAAGAAGGCTTTAATCCAGTGCTGTAGCCAAAGAGATAGGAGCTTAGTCTCAAATCCATCTCCCTGACCAACTAAAACCAGGGGTTTATATAGCAGGGAAGAAATGTAACACTGTGTAAGAAAACAGGAACTAGGGAGGGGCAAGGAAGCAATCATGATGAATGAGGGGTCCAAAGTATGATAGTCTGGATGTGGTGATCTGGTTAGTTTCAGTTCTTTGACACTTTTTTTTTTTTTTTTTTTTTTGAGAGGCCTGAAGGTCCTTTCCTGAGGAAGGAACTCAGATAAAACAAAAAGTTTCAAGCTTTAAGACCAGAAAAGTCAGTTTATATGTTTATCTAAAAGAACAGTCCACAGGACTATTATGTTGGTTTCAGGACCCAGATTAAAAATTATACCATCAGCTTTCCTGGTTCTTGTTCCTTTGTAGTTAGACTGGACTGAACTATATCATCAGCTCCTGGGTTTCCAGCTCATAGACTGTAGATTGTTGCCTTCATAATCACATGAGCCAATTGCATATTTAAGATATATAATGTATATATAAATTATATATTTTTTGTTTCTCATATGTGTGTGTGTATATATATACACACAAGTGTGTGTAGTGTATATATATATACACACAAGTGTGTGTGGTGTATATATATACACACACACAATACAAGTGTAATATATTGGTTTTGTTTTATATGTGTGTGTGTACATATATATAAAATACACTTACTCCTATTGGTTTTGTTTTACTAGATCTCTAGGACTTACATCTTGCATAAGTGACGCTTTGTACCCTTTGACCAATACTTCCCCATATTCCTCTTTCCCCAGCCCCCAGAAACCACCATTCTTCTCTGTTTCTATGACTGTTTTAGATTGTTCATATAAGTGGGATCATGTAGTATTTGTCCTCTGTGTCTGGCTTATTTGGTATAATGTCCAGGTTCATCCATTTTGTTTCAAATGGCAGGATTTTACTCTTTTATAAAGGCTGAGTAATATTCCATTGTATGTACATTACCACTTTTTCTTTGTCCTTTATCCATCCATGGACATTTAGGTTGCTTTCATATTTTGGCTGTTATGATAATGCTGCAATGAACATGGGATTGTGGATATTTATTCAGATTCTGACTTCAATTGTTTGGATATACACCCATAAGTGAGATTGCTGGATCAAATAGTAATTCTTTTTTTAATTTTTGAGGAAACTATTGTTTTTCATAATGGCTATACAAGTTTACATTCCCACCGATAGTGTACAATGTTTCCTTTCTCTCCACATTTTTACCAACATTTGTGATCTTTTGTTTCTTTGCTAACAGCCATCATAATAAGTGTAAGATGATATCTCATTGTGGTTTTGATTTGCATTTTTCTGGTAAGTAGTGATGTTGAACACATTTTCATATATTTGCTAGCAATTTGTATATCTTCTTGGAGGAATGTCTGTTCAGTTCCTTTGCCCGTTTTTAAATTGGGTTATTTGTGGGGCTTTTTTTTGCTATTGAGTTATAGGAATTCTATATATATTTTGGATATTAACCATTTATCAAATACATGATTTGCAAATATTTTCCCCCATTTCATAGACTGCCTTTTCCTTTTGTGGATTTTTTTTTCTTTGTTGTGCAGAAGCTCTTTTGTTTGATGTAATCCTGCTTATTTTTTTTATTTTGTTGCCTGTGCTTTTGGTTGTTTTATCCATGAAATCATTACCAAAGCAAACGTCAATAAGTTTTTTTCCCTATGTTTTCTTCTAGCAGTTTTACAGTTTCAGGTCTTACATTTAAGTCTTTACTCCATTATTCGTAAATTTTTCTGTATTGTGTAATATGAAGTTCCAATTTCATTCTTTTGTATGTAGACATCTAGTTTTCTCAGCATAATTTATTGAAAGGACTATCCTTTATCCATTGTATATTTTTGGCATCTTTGTGGGAGATCAGTTGACTGTACATGTAAGGGTTTATTTCTGTTCTATTATGTTCCAATGGCCTAAGACATACGTGCATTTTTATGTCAGTACTATCTTGTTTTGAATACTATAGCTTTACAATGTATTGTGAAATCAGGAAGTGTGATGCCTCCAACTTTGTTCTCTTTGCTCAAAATAGGTTTGACTACTTACTACTTACTGTGGTTCCATAGAATTTTGGAACTTTTTTGTATTTTTGTAAAAAAATGTCATTGGGATTTTGATAGGGATTGCATTATATTGCTTTGAGTAGTATGAATATTTTAACAATATGAATTCCTCCAATCTATGAACAGGTGATATCTTTTCATTTATTTGTTTGCTTTAATTATTTTCCTCAAGGTTTTATGGTTTTCAGTATACAAGTCTTTCGTCTCCTTGAAAGTTTGTTCCTAAGTATTTTAGCTTATTAAATGGGATTGTTTTCTTAATCCTTTTCAGACCATTTATTGTTCATATATAGAAATGCAACTAATTTTTGTATGTTGATTTTGTATCATGGAACTTTTACTAAATTCATTTGTGATTTCTCACAATTTTGGGTTTAGCGTTTGGTATAATCTTAGGCTTTTCTACATAAAAAGTCACGTCTTCCACCAGTTCATAATTTCTTCCTTTCCAATTTGGATGCATTTTATAACTTTCTACTTCCTGATTGCTTTGGCTAGGACTTCTACAACTATGTTGAACATAAGCAGCAAGAGTGGGCATCCTTGCCTTGTTCAGGATCTTAGAAGAAAATGTTCTTAGTTTTTTACCAATGAGTATGATATTAGCTGTGGGATTTTTGTATATGGCCTTCTTTGTTCAGGTAAGTTTCTTTCTGTATCTAATTTGTTGAAACTTTTTAACATGAAGGAGTGTTGAATTTTGTCAAAAAAAATTTTCTGTACCTTCTGAGATGATCATGTGATTTTTTATCTTCTATTTTGTTAATGGTATATCACAATGTGGTATATTACATTGATTGATTTGTGTATGTTAACCATCCTTGCATTCTAGGAATAAATACCACTTAGTCATGCTGTATGATCCTTTCAATGTACTGTTGAATTAGTTTTCTAATATTTTTGGGTCTTTTGCATCTATGTTCATCAGGGAAATTGGCCTGTGGTTTTTTCCTTGTGATGTCTTTGACTGGCTTTAGTATCACATTAATGCTGGCCTCATAAAATTAGTTTGGAAGTGTTTACTCTTCTATTTTTTGGAAGAGTTCACAAAGGATTGGTATTCATTCTTTAAGTATTTGGTAGAATTCAGCTGTGAAGCCATCTGGTGCTGTGCTTGTTTTCATTGGGGGTGTTTTTGATTACTGATTAAATCTCTTTATTTGTTATTGGTCTGTTCTGGTTACCTATTTCTTCCTGATTGCATTTTGGTAGGTATTTTGTTTGTAAGTATTTATTCATAATTTTCTAATTTGTCCAATTTAGTTCTCATATAATGGTTCGTAATAGTCCCTTAAATCTCTTAAATTATTTTGTTTCTGTCACATCCAGAAATATCTTCTCTTTCATTTCTGATTTTATTTTCATCTTTTCTCTTTTTTTTATTTGTTAGTCTAGCTAAGGGCTTGTCAATATTTATCTGTTCAAAATCAATTCTTAGTTTTGACAATTTTTGTATTGTTTGTCTCTTCACTATTATATTCTTTTCTGCTCTAATCTTTATTATTTCCTTCCTTCTTTCCTTTGAACTTGATTAATTTTTTTTTAGTTCCTTGAAATATAATATTAGGTTGTTTATTAGGGATCAACTTTCCTCTTAGTACTGCTTTTGTGTATCTCATAAGTTTGGGTGTGCTGTGTTTTTGTTTTCCTTTGCCTTGAGATATTACTAAATTTTCCTTTTGATTTTTTTCTTTGACCCAGTGGTTGTTCAAGAGTGTGTTGTTTAACGTGCATGAAGTGTGAATTTCCCTTTTTCTTTTGTTATTGTTTCCTAGTTTCAACCTATGATGCTTAGAAAAAATACTTGGAATTATTTCTATCTTCTTACATTAAGACTTATTTTGTGACATATTCTGATTTATCCTGAAGAATGTTCCATATGCACTTGAGAAGAATCTGTACTCTCTTATTAGATGGAATGTTCTGTATGTCTATTAAGAACAGTTGGTCTTTAGTATTGTTAAAGTCGACATCTTCTTTATGATAATCTATCCGGCTCCAACATCCGTTATTGAAAGTGGAGTATTAATGTCTACGCTATTATTGTATTACTGTCTACTTCCCTTTCCAGATCTGTCAGTATTTGCTTTATATATTTAGGCATTCTGATGTCAGACACCTATATTTGTTATATCTTCCTATTGAATTGACCCTTTCATCATTATATAATCTCCTTTTTCCTTTGTTACAGCTTTTGTCTGAAAGTCTATTTTATCGTAAATAATTGTATCCATGCCTGCTCTCTTTTGGTTATCATTTGCATATGTGAAAGTTGCAAGATTAAAAATGGAGTCACTCATGTTTAAAATCCTGACAAATGGAGGCAGAGAAGGCCACAAAGGGAGGGTTCTTACGCACAAATCCCTGATAAGAACTTTTACGAAAGTCTGCAAAAATCACAAACTTGCACAAAAGCCACTGCAACCTTACACACAAAAAATTCTTTTACAAGACATATACCCAGTAACTGACTGTCCAATATGAAACTAGTGTCACCCTTATTATTGGTCCTTGTAGCCAAGAATAATTGATTCCAAAAACTTATGTAATTCTGTCATTTAAAAAAAATACCTTTGCCTTCCTTAACCTCCCTGAATATGTAAATAGTCATTTTTGCATTGTTGAAATTGTCCGTTTGATACTGGAACACATTCTTAAATAAATGTGGTTACGTTATATATCATTTTAATGTGTATTTCTTACTTTACATTTTTGTGCTCATGAGTTACTACTTGCTCTTTATTTTATATTTATTTTAGACTATAGAAGTGATGTTAGACAAAAGGAAATTCAAGTGATTTTTTTATTCAAGTTCAAAATGTGTCATAAAGCAGCAGAGACAACCCACAATATCAACAGCACTGGGCCCAGGAACTGCTAATGAACTGTACAGTGCAGTGGTGGTTCAATAAGTTTTGCAAAGGAGACAAGAGCCTTAAAGATGAGGAGCATAGTGGCCAGCCATCGGAAGTTGACAAGTACCAATTGAGAGCAATTACCAAAGCTGATCCTCTTACAACTACACAAGAAGTTGCCAAAGAAATCGATGTTGACCATTCTATGATCATCTGGCATTAGAAGCAAATTGGAAAGGTGAAAAAGCTTGATAAGTGGGTGCCTCATGAGCTGAGGGAAAATTTTTAAAAATTTGTCATTTTGAAATGTTGTCCTCTCTTATTCTATGCAACAACAATGAATCATTTCTTGATCAGACTGTGATGTGTGACAAAAAGTGTGCTTCCTATGACAACTGATGACAACCAGTTCAGTGGCTGAACTGAGAAGAAGCTCCATATCATTTCCCAAAGCCAAACTTGCACCAAAAAAGGTCATGGTCACTGTTTGGTGGTCTGCTGCCACTCTGTTCAGTTTTCTTTCTCTTTCTTTCTTTCCTTCCTTCCTTCCTTCTTTCTTTCTTCCCATTTCTTTCTTTTTTTTTTCTTTGAGACGGAGTTTTGCTCTTGTTGCCTAGGTTGGAGTGCAATGGCATGATCTCAGCTCATTGCAACCTCCGCCTCCTGGGTTCAAGCGGTTCTCCAGCCTCAGCCTCCTGAGTAGCTGGAATTACAGATGTGTGCCACCATGCCTGGCTAATTTTGTATTTTTAGTGGAGACAGGGTTTCACCATGTTGGTCAGCCTGGTCTGGAACTCCTGACCTCAAGTGATCAACCCGCCATAGCCTCCCAAAGTGCTGGGATTACAGGCATGAGCCACTGTGCCTGGCCCACTACAACTTTCTGAATCCCAGATAAACTATTGTATCTCAGAAATATACTCAACAAATCGATGAACTGTGCCAAAAACTGAAACACCTGCAGCCAGCACTGGTCAACAGAAATGGCACAATTCCTCTCCATGACAATGCCCGACTGCACATCATACAACCAATGCTTCAAAAGTTGAACAAATTGGACTACAAAGTTTTCCCTCATCTGCCATATTCACCTGACTCTCACCAACCAACTGTCACTTCTTCATGCATCTTGACAACTTTTTGCAGAGAAAACGCTTCCACAATCAGCAGGAGGCAGAAAATGCTTTCCAAGAGTTTGTCAAATCCTGAAGCATGGATTTTTATGCTATGGGAATAAACAAACTTATTTCTCATTGGCAAAAAATGTATTGATTATAGTGGTTCCTACTTTGATTAATAAAGATGTGTTCGAGCCTAGTTATAATGATTTAAAATTCATGGCCCAAAACTGCAATTACTTTTGCACCAACCTGTATTTCCATTGCAATGCCCATTCCCAAATAAACTTCATTTGCTTTTAGAAAGTTTCTCTCTGTCTGTTATACAGGTTGATCTAATTTGGTGTCCACTAAGCAGGAAGAAAGCATCCTCATCAGAGACAGATCACTGGCCTGTGGAATCAAGTGCAATACTAACTGAGCCCTTGGCATTCTCCACTTCCATGAGTTACCTTTTCGGCTCTGTGAATCTCTCGAATTCTTAGATTCTTTCCTTTGGTGGGTTCTTTTTTACTTTATTCAGGATCTGATTTGCTTATAAGCTTGCTGTAAAGAAAAAAACTTGTATTCCTCTTAGAACTATAAAATTTTTTTGTTGGGGGTCCATTCCAAGAGGACCAAATAGGAACAGCTCCAGTCTGCATCTACCAGCATAACTGACGCGGAAGACAGGTGATTTTGGCATTTTCAACTGAGGTAGCTGGTTCATCTCATTGGGACTGACTGGACAGTGGGTACAGCTCATGGAGAGTGAGCTGAAGAAGGGCGGGACGTTGCCTCACTTGGGAAGTGCAAGGGGTCAGAAGATTTCCCTTTCCCAGCCAAGGGAAGTCGTGGCAGACTGTACCTGGGAAAACGGGACACTGCCGTCCAAATACTGCACTTTTCCTGTGGTCCCAGCAACCAGCAGACCAGGAGATTCTCTCTCGTGCCTGGCTCAGCAGGTCCCATGCCCACAGAGCCTTGTTCACTGCTAGTGCAGCAGTCTGAGATTGACCTGGAGGCTGAAGCCTGGCCGGGGGAGGGGTGTTCACCATTGCTGAGGCTTGAGTAGGTAAGCTAAGCGGCCAGGAAGCTTGAACTGGGTGGAGCCCACCGCAGCTGAGCGAGGCCTACTGCCTCTATAGAGTCCACCTTTGTGGGCAGGTCATAGCTGAACAAAAGGCAGCAGAAACTCCTGCAGACTTAAACGTCCCTGTCTGACAGCTCTGAAGAGAGCAGTGGTTCTCCCAGCACAGTGATTTAGCTCTGAGAATGGACAGACTGCCTCCTCAACTGGGTCCCTGAACCCTGTGTAGCCTAACTGGGAGACACCTCCCAGTAGCAGCTGACAGACAGTTCATACAGATGGGTGCCCCTCTGGGATGAAGTTTCCAGAGGAAGGATCATGTAGCAATATTTGCTGTTCTGCAATATTTGCTGTTCTGCAGCCTCCACTGGGGATACCCAGGCAAACAGGGTCTGGAGTGGACCTCCAGCAAACTCCAACAGACCTGCAGCTGAGGGATCTGACTGTTAGAAGGAAAACTAACAAACAGAAAGGAATGGTACCAACATCAACAAAAAGGACATCCACACCAAAACCCCATCTGTAGGTCACCAACATCAAAGACCAAAGGTGATAAAACCACAAAGATGTGGAGAAACCAGAGCAGAAAAGCTGAAAATTCTAAAAACCAGACCACCTCTTCTTCTCCAAAGGATCGCAGCTTCTTGCCAGCAATGGAACAAAGCTGGACGGAGAATGACTTTGATGAGTCAACAGAAGTAGGCTTCAGAAGGTTGGTAATAACAAACTTCTCCAAGCTAAAGGAGCATGTTCTAACCCATCACAAGGAAGCTAAAAAACCTTGAAAAAAGGTTAGACAAATGACTAACTAGAATAAACAAAATGACCCGATGGAGCTGAAAATCATGGCATGAGAACTTCATGACACAGGCACAAACTTCAATAGCAGATTCGATCAAGTGGAAGAAAGGATATCAGTGACTGAAGATCAAATTAATGAAATAAAGCAAGAAGACAAGTTTAGAGAAAAAAGAGTAAAAAGAAATGAACAAAGCCTCCAAGAAATGTGGGGCTATGTGAAAAGACCAAATCTACGTCTGATTGGTGTACCTGAAAGTAACGGGGAAAATGGAACCAAGTTGGAAAACACTCTGCAGGATATTATCCAGGAGAACTGCCCCAATCTACCAAGGCAGGCCAACATTCAAATTCAGGAAATACAGAGAACACCACAAAAATACTATTTGAGAAAAGCAACCCCAAGACACATAACTGTCAGATTCACCGAGGTTGAAATGAAGGAAAAAATGTTAAGGGCAGCCAGGGAGAAAGGTCGGGTTACCCACAAAGGGAAGCCCATCAGACTAACAGCAAATCTCTCAGCAGAAACCTTACAAGCCAGAAGAGAGTGGGGGCCAATATTCAACATTTTTAAAGAAAAGAATTTTCAACCCAGAATTTCATATCCAGCGAAACTAAGCTTCACAAGTAAGGAGAAATAAAATCCTTTATAGACAAGCAAATGCTGAGAGATTTTGTCACCACCAGGCCTGCCTTACAAGAGCTCCTGAAGGAAGCACTAAACATGGAAAGGAACAACCAGTACCAGCCACTGCAAAAACATGCCAAGTTGTAAAGACCATTGATGCTATGAAGAAACTGCATCAATTAACCAGCAAAATAACCAGCTAACATCATAATGACAGGATCAAATTCACACATAACAATATTAACTTTAAATGTAAATGGGCTAAATGCCCCCAATTAAAAGACACATATTGGCAAATTGTAGAGTCAAGACCCTTCAGTGTGCTGTATTCAGGAGACCCATCTCACATGCAGAGACACAGATAGGCTCAAAATAAAGGGTTAGAGGAAGATCTACCCAGCAAACGGAAAGCAAAAAAAAAAAAAAAAAAAAAAAGCAGGGGCTGCAATCCTGGTCCCTGATAAAGCAGACTTTAAACCAACAAAGATAAAAAGAGACAAAGAAGGCCACTACATAATGGTAAAGGAATCAATTCAATAAGAATGGCTGACTATCGTAAATATATGTGCACCCTATACAGGAGCACCCAGATTCACAAAGCAAGTCCTTAGAGACCTACAAAGAGACTTAGACTACCACACAATAATAATGGGAGATTTGACACCCCACTGTCAATTTACACAGATCAATGAGACAGAAGGTTAACAAGAATATCCAGGACTTGAACTCAGCTCTGTACCAAGCAGACCTAACAGACATCTACAGAACTCTCCACTCCAACAGAATATACATTGTTCTCAGCACCACATCACGCTTATTCTAAAATTGGCCACATAATTGGAAGTAAAGCACTCCTCAGCAAATGTAAAACAATATAAATCATAACAAACTGTCTTTCAGACCACAGTGCAATCAAAAGACAACTCAGGATTAAGAAACTCATTCAAAACCACATGACTACATGGAAACTGAACAACCTGCTCCTGAATGACTACTGGGTAAATAATGAAATGAAGGCAGAAATAAAGATGTTCTTTGAAACCAATGAGAACAAAGACACAATGTACCAGAATCTCTGGGACACATTTAAAACAGTGTGTAGAGGGAAATTTATAGCACTAAATGCCCACAAGAGAAAGCAGGAAAGATCTCAAATTGACACCCTAACATCACAATTAAAAGAACTAGAGAAGCAAGAGCAAACACATTCAAAAGCTAGCAGAAAGCAAGAAGCTAAGATCAGAGCAGAACTGAAGGAGATAGAGACACAAAGAAACCTTCAAAAAAATCAGTGAATCCAGGAACTGGTTTTTTGAAAAGATCAACAAAATAGATAGACTGCTAGCAAGATTAATAAAGAAGAAAAGAGAGAAGAATCAAATAGATACAATAAAAAATTATTAAGGGGATATCACCATGGATCTAACAGAAATACAAACCACTAACAGAGAATACTGTAAACACCTCTACCCAAATAAACCAGAAAATCTAGAAGAAATGGATAAATTCCTGGACACATACACCCTCCCAATACTAAGCCAGGAAGAACATGAATCTCTGAATAGACCAATAACAGGTTCTGTTATTGAGGCAATGTTTAATAGCATACCAACCAAAAAAAATCCAGGACCAGATGGATTCACTGTCAAATTCTACCAGAGGTACAAAGAGGAGCTGGTACCATTCCTTCTGAAACTATTCCAATCAATAGAAAAAGAAGGAATCCTCTCTAACTCATTTTATGAGGCCAGCATCATTCTGATACCAAAGCCTGGCAGAGACACAACAAAAAAAGAGAATTTTAGGCCAATATCACTGATGAACATCGATGCGAAAATCCTCAATAAAATACTGGCAAACCGAATCCAGCAGCACATCAAAAAGCTTACCCACCACAATCAAGTTGGCTTCATCCCTAGGATGCAAAGCTCGTCCACCATACGCAAATCAATAAACGTAATCCAGCATATAAACAGAACCAACAACAAAAACCACATGATTATCTCAATAGATGCAGAAAAGGCCTTTGACAAAATTCAACAGCCCTTCATGCTAAAAACTCTCAATAAACTAGGTATTGATGGAACGTATCTCAAAATAATAAGAGCTATTTATGACAAACCCACAGACAATATCATACTGAATGGACAAAAACTGGAAGCATTCCTTTTGAAACGGGCACAAGACAAGGATGCTCTCTCTCACCACTCTTATTCAACATAGCGTTGGAAGTTCTGGCCAGGGCAATCAGACAAGGGAAAGAAATAAAGGGTATTCAATTAAGAAAAGTGGAAGTCAAATTGTCTCTGTTTGCAAATGACATGATTGTATATTTAGAAAACCCCATCACCTGAGCCCAAAATCTCCTTAAGCTGATAAGCAATTTCAGCAAAGTCTCAGGATACAAAATCGATGTGCAAAAATCACAAGCATTCCTATACATCAATAACAGACAAGCAGAGAGCCAAATCATGAGGGAACTCCCATTCACAATTGCTACAAAGACAATAAAATACCTAGGAATCCAATTTACAAGGGATGTGAAGAACCTCTTCAAGGAGAACTACAAACCACTGCTCAAGGAAATAAGAGAGGACACAAACAAATTGAAAAACATTCCGTGCTCATGGATAGGAAGAATCAATATCGTGAAAATGGCCATACTCCTCAAGGTAATTTACAGATTCAGTGTTATCCCCATCAAGCTACCATATACTTTCTTTGCAGAATTAGAAAAAAAAAACAAAAAAACTACTTTAAAGTTCATATGGAACCAAAAAAGAGCTTGGATTGCAAAGACAATCCTAAGCAAGAAGAACAAAGCTGGAGGCATCACGCTATCTGACTTCAAACTGTACTACAAGGCTACAGTAACCAAAAGAGCATGGTACTGGTACCAAAACAGAGATATAGACCAATGGACAGAACAGAGGCCTCAGAAATAATACCACACACCTACAACCATCTGATCTTTGAAAAACCTGACAAAAAAAATGAAATGGGGAAACGATACCCTATTTAATAAATGGTGCTGGGAAAACTGGCTAGCCACATGTAGAAAGCCGGAACTGGATCCCTTCCTTACACCTCATACAAAAATTAATTCAAGATGGATTAAAGATTTAAATGTTAGACCTAAAACCATAAAAATCCTAGAAGAAAACCTAGGCAATACTATTCAGGGCATAGGCATGGGCAAGGACTTAATGACTAAAACACCAAAAGCAATGGCAACAAAAGCCAAAATAGACAAATGGGATCTAATTAAACTAAAGTGCTTCTGCATAGCAAAAGAAACTGCCATCAGAGTGAACAGGCAACCTACAGAATGTGAGAAAATTTTTGCAATCTACCCATCTGACAAAGGGCTAATATCCAGAATCTACAAAGAACTTAAACAAATTTACAAGAAGAAAGCAAACAACCCCATCAAAAAGTGGGCAAAGGATATGAACGGGCACTTCTCAAAAGAAGACATTTATGCAGCCAAAAGACACGTGAAAAAATGCTCATCATCACTGGTCATCAGAGAAATGCAAGTCAAAACCACAATGAGATATCATCTCACACCAATTAGAATGGCAATCATTAAAAAGTCAGGAAACAACAGATGCTGGAGAGGTTGTGGAGAAATAGGAATGCTTTTACACTGTTGGTGGGAGTGTAAATTAGTTCAATCACTGTGGAAGACAGTGTGGCAATTCCTCAAGGATCTAGAACTAGAAATACCATTTGATCCAGTGATCCCATTACTGGGTATATACCCAAAGGATTATAAATCATGCTACTATAAAGACACATGCACACGTATGTTTATTGCGGCACTATTCACAATAGCAAAGTCTTGGAACCAACCCAAATGTCCATCAATGATAGCTTGGATTAAGAAAATGTGGCAGATATACACCATTGAACACTATGCAGCCATAAAAAAGGATGAGTTCATGTCCTTTGCAGGGACATGGATGAAGCTGGAAACCATAATCCTCAGCAAACTATCACAAGGACAGAAAACCAAACACTGCACGTTCTCACTCATAGGTGGGAACTGAACTATGAGAACACTCGGACACAGGGCGGGGAACATCACACACTGGGGCTTGTCAGGGGTGGGGGACTGGGGGAGGGATAGCATTGGGAGAAATACCTAATGTAAATGATGAGTTGATGGGTGCAGCAAACCAACATGGCACATGTATACCTATGTAACAAACGTGCACATTGTACACGTGTACCCTAGAACTTAAAAGTATAATAATAAAAATTTTTTTTGTTTGTTTTTGGCAAGCCCTTTCTGGTATAAAGCCATGTGTTCTTCTAGTTTGTGTACTCTTATTTCTACAGAATTTATGTTCTGTGTGTAAGGAATGTCTTTTCTGGTGAATACACTTTCAATTCTTTCTATATGTCTAATTTAATATTTTGTTTGATCTGCATGCCTAGCTTAAAATTTTTGTGAGCACTCTTATTTTGGTTTGGTTATGCATGTTTATAAATAATTTGGCTTTCTAAATTTTTTTCCCCTGGCTTTCTTCTGAATATCTTTTGAGAACAAAAATAACCATTCTAAATGGCGGTTGCAAGATGGCCAATTAAACATGATGAGGGCAGTGGTCACCATCTAAAACACTGGTCCAAACTCCTAACTTTCCTTTATGGGGCTTTCAGGATTGTCATTGCCCTCGAGCAATTAGTAGAAAATGGAATGGGCTTTTTCGGACTGAGCAGTGGCGCCTAAAGTTTCCAAGGAGGAAGTCGCCTCTGTCTTCAATGACGGCAGGAATAAATCAGGAAGCCGGGGAGGACCCACAGACCTTCTGAAGGAAGCAGATTGCTCCTGCTGGACCCAGGAGATGATCCAAATACTGTGAGTGCCCAAACCGTGGAAGTGGGAAAGGGAGATCGTCTGCTCCTGAACACACACCCCACTAAGGAAACTGAAGGTCTAGATTACGGGAGATGATGCTGATCTTACCTGGAGCTGAGTAAATTGAGAGAACCAAGCAAAATACAGGGGTAGAGGAAACAGCAGATTTTCCTTTACCCCTCAAAATACAGGGGTAGAGGAAAAGCCCTGTGAGCTCTCTGGGTCCCCTAGCAAACTATTTCTGCCTGGCCTCACAGTTGTCCTTCGGTAGGGTGGCCAGAGGCACTGGGAAAGGCCACAGGGAGAAGGAAATCTCCAGCTGAACTTGGCAACAATTTGAACTAATCGAGAAGTCTCCTGGCCAGAACTTGGGGGAGGGCCTGAATCCAGTGTGCAGACTCTACAGGCAGGGGAAGAAGGAAAGCCAAACTTGCTTTCACAGCTGGGAGGCAGGTAGCCTGGGGCAAGTTCTCAGCCCTGCTTGTCCACTGCCTAGAAACAGACTCGGTGCTATTGGGGTCGGGGGGCATGGTGGGAGTGAAACCAGCCCTTTGGATTATGTGGGAGCTGGGTGAGGCCTGTGACTGCTGGCTTTCCCCCACTTCCCTGACAACCTGCATGACACAGGAGAGAAAAACATAAACTTCCTAGGAACATAACACCATTGACCTGGGAACCTCACCCCCATCCCCCACAGCAGCCACAGCAAGACCTGCCCAAGGAGAGTCTGAGCTCAGACATGCCTAGCCCTGCCCTGACCCAACAGCCTTCCCTACCTACCCTGGTAACTGAAGACAAAGGGCATATACTCCTGGGAGTTCTAGGGCCCCATCCACCACCTGTTCCTCTCTATACTACCACAGCTGATACTCTCTGGACAGCACCACCTCCCTGCAAGAGACCAACCAGCATAAAAACAGTGCATTAAACCACCAAAGCTAAGAACCCTCACAGAGTCCATTTCACTCTCCTGCCACCTCCACCGAAACAGGTGCTAGTATCCATGGCTAAGAGAGTCATACATGGTTCACATCACAGGACTCTGTGAAGACAACCCCCAGTACCAGCCCAGAGCCTGGTAGACTTGCTGGGTAGCTAGATTCAGAAGAAAGATAACAATTACTACAGCTTGGCTCTCAGGATGCCACACCCATAGGAAAAGAGGGAGAATACTACATCAAGGGAACACCCTGTGGGACAAAAGATTCTGAACAGCAGCCTTCAGCCCTAGACCTTCCCTCTAACACAGCCTACCCAAATGAGAAGGAACTAGAAAACCAACTCTAGTATTATGACAAAACAGGGTTCTTTAATACCCTCCAAAAATCACACTAGCTCACCAGCACCAGATCCAAACCAAGAAATCCCTGATTTACCTGAAACAGAATTCAGGAGGTTAGTTATTAAGCTAATCAGGGAGGCACCAGAGAAGGGTGAAGTCCAATGTAAGGAAATAAAAAAAAATTTGAGAAGTGAAGGGAGAAATATTCAGTGAAATAGCATAAATAGAAAACAATCAAAACTTCAGGAGACAATGAACACACTTATAGAAATGCAAAATGCTCTGAAAAGTCTCAGTAATTGAACCAAACAAGTAGAAGAAAGAAATTCAGAGCTTGAAGACAAGGTCTTTGAATTAACTCAATCCAACAAAGACAAAGAAAAAAATAAGAAAACATGAAGAAAGCCTCCAAGAAATCTGGGATTATGTTAAATGACCAAACATAAGAATAATTGTCATTTCTGAGGAAGAAGAGAAATCTAAAATTTTGGAAAACATATTTGGGGGAATAATTGAGGAAAACTTCCCCAGCCTTGTTAGAGACCTAGACATCCAAATACAAGGAGCACAAAGAACCCCTGGGAAATTTTTCAAAAAAAAGATCATTGCCTAGGCACACTGACATCAGTTTATCTAAAGTTAAGATGAAGGAACAAATCTTAAGAACTGAGACAAAAGCACCAGGCAACCTATAAAGGAAGACCTATCCGATTAACAGCAGATTTCTCAGCAGAAACCTTACAAGCTAGAAGGGATTGGGGCCCTATCTTCAGCCTCCTCAAAACAATTATCAGCCAAGAATTTTGTATCCAGTGAAACAGCTTCATATATGAAGGAAAGATATGGTCTTTTTCAGACAAGCAAATGCTGAAAGAATTCACCACTACCAAGCCACCACTACAAGAACTGCTAAAAGGAACTCTAAAATCTTGAAACAAATCCTGGAAACACATCAAAACAGAACCTTTTTAAAGCATAAATCTCACAGGACCTATAAAACAAAAATACAATTTTGAAAACAAAATAAAAAAAAAAAACCAAGGTATACAGGCAACAAACAGTATGATGAATGGAATGGTACCTCATATCTCAATACTAACACTGAATGTAAATGGCCTGAATGCTCCACTTAAAAGATACGGAATTGCAGAATGGATAAGAATTCACCATCTAACTATCTGCTGCCTTCAAGAGGCTCACCTAACACATAAGGACTCACATAAGCTTAAGGTACAAGGGTGGAAAAAGACAATTCATGCAAATGGACACCAAAAGTGAGCAGTAGCTATTGTTATATCAGACCAAACAAACTTTAAAGCAACAGCAGTTAAAAAGGACAAAGGGGGATGTTACATAATGATAAAAGGCCTTGCCCAACAGGAAAATATCACAGTCCTAAACATATATGCACCTAACACTGGAGCTTCCAAATTTATAAAACAATTACTAATAGACCTAAGAAGAAATGAGATAGCAACACAATAATAGTAGGAGAGGTCAATACTCCACTGACAGCACTAGACAGGTAATCAAGACAGGAAGTCAACAAAGAAACAATGAATGTAAACTATACCCTGGAACAAATGGACTTAACAGATATAAACAGAACATCCCATCCAACCACAGAATATACATTCTGTTCAACAGCACATGGAACTTTATCCAAGATACACCATATGATAGGCCACAAAATGAGCATCAATAAATTTAAGAAAATTGAAATTATATCAAGCACTCTCTCAGACCACAGTGGAATAAAACTGGAAATCAACTCCAAAAGGAACTCGCAACCATGGAAATACATGGAAATTAAATAACCTGCTCCTAAATATCATTGGGTCAAAAATGAAATCAAGATGGAAATTAAAAAATTCTTCCAACTTAACAACAAACTGACAAAACATATCAAAACCTCTGGGATACAGTAAAGGCAGTGCTAAGAGGAAACTTCATAACCCTAAATGCCTACATCAAAAAGCCTGAAAGAGCACAAACAGACAATCTAAGGTCACACCTCAAGGAGCTAGAGAAACAAGAACAAACCAAACCCAAACCCAGCAGAAGAAAGGAAATAACCAAGATGAGAGCAGAATTAAACAACATTGAAACAAACAAACAAAAAAAACAAATGATAAATGAAACAAAACCTGGTTATTTGAAAAGAGAAATAAAATTGAGAGACCATTAGCAAGATTAACCAAGAAAAGAAGAGAGAAAAATCAAAATAAGCTCAGTAAGAAATGAAACAGAAGATATTACAACTCACACTGCAGAAATACAAAAGATGAGCGAAGGCTACTCTTAACACCTTTATGCGCACAAACTAGAAAACCTAGAAGAGATGGATAAATTCCTGGAAAGACACAACGCTCCTAGGTTAAATCAGGAAGAATTAGATACCCTGAACAGACCAGTAACAAGCAGTGAGACTGAAATAATTTAAAAATTACCAAAAAGAGTCCAGGAGCAGATGGATTAACAGCAGAATTCTACCAGATGTTGAAAGAATTGGTACCAGTTCTACTGATACTATTCAACAAGATAGAGAGGGAACCCTCCCTAAATCATTCTATGAAGCCAGTATCACCCTAACACCAAAACCAGGAAAGGACATAAACAAAAAAGGAAACTATAGACCAATATCCCTAATGAACACAGATGCTAAAATCCTTAACAAACATACTAGCTAATCAAATCCAACAGTATATCAAAAAGATAATCCACCATGATCAAATGGTTTCATACCAGGGATGCAGGGATGTTTTAACATACACAAGTCAATGAATGTAATACACCACATAAACAGAATTAAAAACAAAAATCACATGATCATCTCAATAGATGCAGAAAAAGCATTCAACAAAATCCAGCATCCCTTTATGATTAAAACTCTCAACAAAATCAGAATACAAGGGACATACCTCAATGTAATAAAAGCCATCTATGACAAACCCACAACCAACATAATACTGAATGGGGAAAAGTTGAAAGCATTCCCTCTGAGAACTAGAATGAGACAAGGATGCCCACTCTCACCACTCCTCTTCAACATAGTACTGGAAGTCCTAGCCAGAGCAATCAGACAAGAGAAGGAAATAAAGACATCCAAATCAGTAAAGAGGAAGTCAAGCTGTTGTTATTTGCTGATGATCTGACTGTTACCTAGAAAACCCTAAAGACTCCTCCAGAAAACTCTTAGAACTGATACAAGAATTCAGCAACGTTTCCAGATACAAAAATAATGTACACAAATCAGTAGCTCTCATATATACCAACAGCAACTAAGCTGAGAATCAATCACGAACTCAACCCTTTTATAATAGCTGCAAAAAAAATTAAAATACTTAGGAATATACCTAACGTAAAAGACCTCTACAAGGAAAACTACAAAACACTGCTGAAAGAAATCCTAGACAACACAAACAAATGGAAACACATCACATGCTTGTGTATGGGTAGAATTAGTATTGCAAAAATGACCATACTGCCAAAAGCAATCTATAAATTCAATGCAATTCTTATCAAACTACCATCATTCTTCACAGAATTAGAAAAAAAAATTCTAAAGTTCATATGGCACCCAAAGAGAGCCTGCATAGCCAAAGCCAGACTAAGCAAAAAGAACAAATCTGGAGGCATCACATTGCCTGATTTTAAACTGTACTATAAGGCCATAGTCACCAAAACAACATGGTACTGGTATAAAAAGTCACATAGACCAATGGAAC
Source organism: Homo sapiens (assembly GCF_000001405.40). Taxonomy (NCBI): domain Eukaryota; kingdom Metazoa; phylum Chordata; class Mammalia; order Primates; family Hominidae; genus Homo; species Homo sapiens. The sequence goes on from NC_000015.10 coordinate 56,573,189, forward strand.
AGAATAGAGACCCCAGAAATAAACCCAAACACTTATAGCCAACTGATCTTTGACAAAGCAAACAAAAGCGAAGTGGGGAAAGGACACCCTTTTCAACAAATGGTGCTGGGATAATTGGTTAGCCACATGTAGGAGAATGAAACTGGATCCTCATCTCTCACCTTACATAAAAATCAACTCAAAGTGAATTAAAGACTTAAATCTAAGACCTGAAACTATAAAAATTTGTGCAGATTAGTTACATATGTATACATGTGCCATGTTGGTGTGCCACACCCATCAACTCGTCATTTAACATTAGGTATATCTCCTAATGCTATCCCTCCCCACTCTCCCCACCCCACAACAGGCCCCGGTGTGTCATGTTCCCCTTCCTGTGTCCATGTCTTCTTATTGTTCAGTTCCCACCTATGAGTGAGAACATGCGGTGTTTGGTTTTTTTGTCCTTGCGATAGTTTGCTGAGAATGATGGTTTCCAGCTTCATCCATGTCCCTACAAAGGGATGCATTCCCTACTTAGGCAAGCATTTCATGACCAAGAACCTAAAAGCAAATGCGATAAAAACAAAGATAAATAGCGGGGACTTAAACTAAAGAGCTTTTGCAGGGCAAAAGGAACAGTCAGCAGAGTAAACAGACAACCCACATAGTGGGAAAAAATCTTCACAGTCTGTACATCTGTCAGACGACTAATATCCAGAATCTACAACAAACTCAAATCAGCAAGAAAAAAAAAAAACAATCTCATCAAAAAGTGGTTAAAGGACATGAATAGAGAATCCTCAAAAGAAGATATACAAATGGCCAACAAACATATGAAAAAGTGCTCACTAATGATCAGGGAAATGCAAATCAAAACCACAATGCGATACCACCTTACGCCTGCAACAATGGCCATAATCGAAAAATAAAAACATAGTACACGTTAGCATGGATGCAGTGCACAGGGAACACTTCAACACTGCTGGTGGGAATGTAAACTAGTACAATCAATATGGAAAATAGTGTGGAGATTCCTTAAAGAACTAAAAGCGGAACTACCATTTGATCTAGCAATCCCACTACTGGGTATCTACCCAGAGGAAAGGAAGTCACTATACACAAAAGATACTTGCACATGCATGTTTATAGCAGCACAATTCACAATTGCAAAACTGTGGAACCAACCCAAACGCCCATCAATCAATGAGTGGATAAAGAAACTGTGATTGATATATATATATGTGTGTGTATATATATTCTTGTGATATATATATCACAAAATCTTAAATTCATATATATATATGATGGAATACGACTCAGACATAAAAAGGAATAAATTAATGGCATTTGCAGTGACCTGGATGAAAGTGGAGACTATAATTCTTTTTTTTTTATTATTATACTTTAAGTTTTAGGGTACATGTGCACATTGTGCAGGTTAGTTACATATGTATACATGTGCACATTGTGCAGGTTAGTTACATATGTATACATGTGCACATTGTGCAGGTTAGTTACATATGTATACATGTGCCATGCTGGTGCGCTGCACCCACTAACTCGTCATCTAGCATTAGGTATATCTCCCAGTGCTATCCCTCCCCCCTCCCCCCACCCCACAACAGTCCCCAGAGTGTGATATTCCCCTTCCTGTGTCCATGTGATCTCATTGTTCAATTCCACCTATGAGTGAGAATATGCGGTGTTTGGTTTTTTGTTCTTGTGATAGTTTACTGAGAATGATGATTTCCAATTTCATCCATGTCCCTGCAAAGGACATGAACTCATCATTTTTTATGGCTGCATAGTATTCCATGGTGTATATGTGCCACATTTTCTTAATCCAGTCTATCATTGTTGGACATTTGGGGTGGTTCCAAGTCTTTGCTATTGTGAACAGTGCCGCGATAAACATACATGTGCATGTGTCTTTATAGCAGCATGATTTATAGTCCTTTGGGTATATACCCAGTAATGGGATGGCTGGGTCAAATGGTATTTCTAGTTCTAGATCCCTGAGGAATCGCCACACTGACTTCCACAATGGTTGAACTAGTTTACAGTCCCACCAACAGTGTAAAAGTGTTCCTATTTCTCCACATCCTCTCCAGCACCTGTTGTTTCCTGACTTTTTAATGATTGCCATTCTAACTGGTGTGAGATGGTATCTCATTGTGGTTTTCACTTGCATTTCTCTGATGGCCAGTGATGATGAGCATTTTTTCATGTGTTTTTTGGCTGCATAAATGTCTTCTTTTGAGAAGTGTCTGTTCATGTCCTTCGCCCACTTTTTGATGGGATTGTTTGTTTTTTTCTTGTAAATTTGTTTGAGTTCATTGTAGATTCTGGATATTAGCCCTTTGTCAGATGAGTAGGTTGCGAAAATTTTCTCCCATTCTGTAGGTTGCCTGTTCACTCTGATGGTAGTTTCTTTTGCTGTGCAGAAGCTCTTTAGTTTAATTAGATCCCATTTGTCAATTTTGGCTTTTGTTGCCATTGCTTTTGGTGTTTTAGACATGAAGTCCTTGCCCATGCCTATGTCCTGAATGGTAATGCCTAGGTTTTCTTCTAGGGTTTTTATGGTTTTAGGTCTAACATTTAAGTCTTTAATCCATCTTGAATTGATTTTTGTATAAGGTGTAAGGAAGGGATCCAGTTTCAGCTTTCTACATATGGCTAGCCAGTTTTCCCAGTACCATTTATTAAATAGGGAATCCTTTCCCCATTGCTTGTTTTTCTCAGGTTTGTCAAAGATCAGATAGTTGTAGATATGCGGCGTTATTTCTGAGGGCTCTGTTCTGTTCCATTGATCTATATCTCTGTTTTGGTACCAGTACCATGCTGTTTTGGTTACTGTAGCCTTGTAGTATAGTTTGAAGTCAGGTAGTGTGATGCCTCCAGCTTTGTTCTTTTGGCTTAGGATTGACTTGGCGATGCGGGCTCTTTTTTGGTTCCATATGAACTTTAAAGTAGTTTTTTCCAATTCTCTGAAGAAAGGCATTGGTAGCTTGATGGGGATGGCATTGAATCTGTAAATTACCTTGGGCAGTATGGCCATTTTCACGATATTGATTCTTCCTACCCATGAGCATGGAATGTTCTTCCATTTGTTTGTATCCTCTTTTATTTCCTTGAGCAGTGGTTTGTAGTTCAAAAGTGGAGACTACAATTCTAAGAGAAGTAACTCGGGAATGGAAAACCAAACATTGTATGTTCTCACTCATAAGTGGGATCTAAGCAATGAGGATGCAAAGGCATAAGAATGACACAATGGACTCTGGGGACTCAGGGGGAAAGGGTGGGAAGGGGGTGACAGATAAAAGACTACACAAAGGGTGCAGTGTACACTGCTCAGGTGATGGGTGCACCAAAATCTCACAAATTACCACTAAAGAACTTACTCATGTAACCAAACACCACCTGTTCCACCAATAACCTATGGAAATAAAAAAAATAAAAATAAAATAAAGCAAACACAGAACAAAAAGGAATGGAATGGGATCCTTGAAATTCTAAATCATGCCAAACCTCTAGGACTTCAAACAGCTATAAATTCAAGACTTATGGTCCATCCTGGTGTACATTTTAAATCAATGGACAAAAATTACACCAAGGATAATTTATGGCCATTAAAGGAGATCATTCAAACTCCCCAACCTTGTTTTTCTTATAACTAAATTAGAAACTGCAACCAACTGTAGCATTAACATGTACAGCCTTCTAAGTTCTGCGTCTATCACCATTTTTATCTGCCTACTTTGAATCTGCTGACTTTTCTTTTGGTATTAAGATAAGCTCACTGCTTATGGAATTCCAGTCAATATTTTTTTTTAGGTTTAAAGGGCTAGATGTTTTAAGGTGTCAGGGTTTGATACAAAGGTTAAATACAACAGCTCCATGGTAATCAACAATCTAGATACCTTTTGGAAATATGTATTTAGGTTTGCCTGGATGACAATCACTTAAGTTGATAGAAGAATTAATTGAAGGATTGACATTCTAAAAGGAAATAAATAGATAAATGTTTATCAAAGTTAGGCTGTCATATCAAATGGGTCAAAATCTTAAATTCAGAGCAATAATCTAAGATTTCTCTGTCTGGCATGAGAATTTCATTGTCTGCTATGCATGAACCAGAAAAATCTGGGGAAAAAAAAACTGCAAATAACTTTTCCTCCAGGACTTTCCTGCCCAAATTGACTAGTCAAGCAAACAAAACCAACAAACAAAAGACAAATTTGTCACTAAAATTCAAGACTACTTGGAGATTTTGTTTTTCTCACACAATTCGAATCATCCCAGCTAAAATGTAAACATTTTAAAAATGTAACCACTAAACTCATTTGAAACTGAAAAAGGGGAGAGTAAAAGATTTTTTTTTAAAAAAACTGCTTTATCCAAAGTTTTGGCCCACAGCCTTCATTAGACTACCTATCAGGGAAAATAAAATTTAGTCAGGTGAACCAGTCCCATTTTGTCAGAAATATAATTTAGATTCAACTGCCTTTTATAAACTCATGAGTTTATGCTATATATTAATATGTTTTACCGACTCATAACTAAAATTCTAAAATAAAGGTAAAAGATCTTTGTGTGTGTATATATGTTTAGATATGTCTGTATATACGCACATGTATTATGCTGTGTGTTGTATCTACATGGTAGAATTTGGCATAGTTGGCCAAAAATCCCTTAAGGAATTCTATTCAAACTGGCTTAGATAAGTGAGTACTCATATAAACTGTTAAAATATCTAATAATTAACCCAAATGCCTTTAGTTTATATGACGTAAGTAGACCTTTAATAAGTAAGTTGGTTTTGAAATTCTTGGTAAAAAAATAAAAATATAATTCAAAATTGTTAGCATATATTTTTGCTTGGACTTACTAGTCAGTTTTACATTTGTCTTTACTAGATGTTTTAAGGTGTCAGGGTTTGATACAAAGGTTAAATACCTCAAAACCAGCCTGAAAACAGAATGATCTTTGTGTATAATTGCTTTAATAATTATTCTACAATAACTTATAATTACTCTAATAAATAAGAGTAATTTATTACTATTGGTATAATGAAAACAGCTGTATCTTCTGATTTATTGGCAAGATACTCATGTAAGTTTCTTACTTGGGTGAACACCTGATATTCACAGGCTGTAAAAATCATTAACAGAAAAATAATCTGAAATAATAGCTAGCTTTGTCTAATAATTTCAGTTTTCATAAGTAATGTACGTATAATTGATAAAAATGAATTAGGTAAATGTAAATGAGATAAATGTTTATAAACAAACTTTTATATAATTTGAAATCTTAAAGTTATGTTATATTAAATTTACCAATACTCATTAAATGTCTGGATAATTCCCCAAGAAGATAAAATAATGAAACATATATTGCTAAACATAAGATTTTACTTTGCTTCATAAATTTTATAGAAAGACTAAATATAGTTGGGCCTATCAATGTACATAAAAAATTATGTTATAGAAAAACATCTTTTTAAAAATTATAAAATGTTTCTTCTCTACAAAACACTGACATGTGACAGACAGTTTAAAATTTGTTGCTTCCTAGGTTATCACTAGAAATTAAGGTTACTAAGAGTTAAACATTCTAATTAACATATATAATTTTGTATACAAAGTATACAGAAATGAACATATTTCTGATGAGAAAAATAATAAGGCATTAAAAAAGTGTCATTTAAAAAATGTTTGTCTAGGCTGGGCGCAGTGGCTCATGCCTGTAATCCCAGCACTTTGGGAGGCCGAGGTGGGCGGATCACGAGGTCAGGAGATTGAGACCATCCTGGCTAACACGATGAAACCCCATCTCTACTAAAAATACAAAAAGTTAGCCGGGTGTGGTGGCGGGCGCCTGTAGTCCCAGCTACTCGGGAGGCTGAGGCAGGAGAATGGGGTGAACCCGGGTGGCAGAGCTTGCAGTGAGCCGCGAGTGAGCCACTGCACTCCAGCCTGAGGGACAGAGCAAGACTCTGTCTCAACCAAATAAAAAATAAATAAATAAATAAATAAAAAAGTTTGTCTAAATTCAGAGGCTAGTTGTCTCAAAAAGTAAAATTAAGGAAGGAAATAGAAAGATAGAAAAGAACCAGCAAGAAAGAGAGAGAGAGAGATGTAAAGAAAGTTATCAAAACATCTCATAGACACCATAAATGTATACACCTACTGTATATCTCCAAAAATTTTTTAAATAATTTTTAAAAATTTAAGATAATTTTTCTATAAAAAAGAACCTTGTGTGGTAAGTTTTCTGTCCTAAAGTAAAATGGCTGGTTATTTAACAAAGAAGAAATATAGAACAAAACTAATAGTCTAAGCATATCTTGGAAGGTTGGCGTAAGTCATGGAAAGTTTGTGAAGACTGAATTTATGAAAAACATTTGGGCCGGGCGTGGTGGTCACACGCCTGTAATCCCAGCACTTTGGGAAGCTGAGGTGGGAGGATCACCTGAGGTCCGGAATTTGAGACCAGCCTGACCAACATGGAGAAACCATATCTCTACTAAAAATACAAGAAAAGTTAGCTGGGCATGGTGGCGCATGCCTGTAATCCCAGCTACTCTGGAGGCTGAGACAGGAGAATTGCTTGAACCCGAGAGGTGGAGGTTGTGGTGAGCCAAGATCACACCATTGCACTCCAGCCTGAACAGCAAGAGCAAAACTCCATCCCCCCGAAAAAAAAAAGAAAGGAAAAACATTTGTGTGTGCTGGCTATAATTAAAAGGAAATTGTGAGTCTTTCTAAAGATTAGTTTTGATTTATGTGTGCATGCTATAAATACACAGTGATATAAAATTAAAAATTTGGTCTTCTATGGTAGAAAAAGGTTTTCCTGAGGTATTAATCTGCTCTTAGTAAAAAATTAGGAGAGGTTTTGATTTTTAATTCTGAAACGTTTCTTAAAATTTTCAACCATATTCTGAACTGTAGCTTTACATTTTTAGAGCAATGTTTTGCTCCAGTATAACTTGATTCTGTACTCTTGGCTTTTCCAGATATGTCTGAATTATTTCACATACTCAGAAAATTCCCCATGCTTTTACAAGACCCATGTATTTCCATGCTCAAGGTATTAATTTTCTTGTTTACTTTCCTCTGTGATTTGATATACACTCATAACCTTGGGCACACACTCTTCCTGTATCTGATTAAATTTAAGTGTCTTTTATTAGATTTGACTTCTGGGTTACCTAAATTGCTTCCCATAAGGAGAAACAATCACACTGAAAAATATTTTTGTTCACATTTTTGAAAACTGGCCTAAAAAAAGATTTTATGTTTTATCAATAATTCCCTGGGTTTATGTGTCATCTTTAACTAGTTTGTTTTTATTGCTTAGGAAAACTGAGTTTTGAAAGGGTTAAGGCATTTTTTACATCGAAGTGACTTTTCCGTATTGCTTTTGAAGTCTTTTGATCACTGTGCTCAAATGAATGATTATAGGTCACAGTGATGACATGATTATGGGTCACAGTGACCTGTGATTCTGTTTTGATCAGCTGTTTTAAACCTTTCACATCTTTGATGAGCTTCCTTTGTAACAAAATTCTAAATTAAGTATTTTTGACCTAGAATTAACCTAGGCCCCCTGGTGAGCCTCAATAGACAGATGTGTCCTCTTATAATAATTAGGCTTGTTTGGTAAATTGTATGGGAAGCATTGTCAATTGATAAGTGATGCTAGATCTTCTTTCAGTTTTATTTATAGGTATGTTATTTATATGAATGTTCCAAAATTATATAAAACTCTTAGAATTCTAATATGTCATCAGTCATAATTCTGGTTATGTTGTATGCCACAAAAATAACCAAATTTTATTGTCAATTGCTGATTAGAATAAACTTCCATCAGATTTTTAATCGTGGCTATTTTAAATCTCTGTCATCCACAATTTTGTATCTTCTCTAAAAGCATTTGCAATAAGATTCATTGAAAAGACTCTAACAAGTATTCCTAAATACATTTTTCTAATAACTTTAAGATCAATAGACTAAATATAAATTTTCAGAACCGTAATGAAAAAACTGGCAAATTTGTGAAACTGCTAATCAATTCCAAGCCAAATGAAAATTAATTACATGAAATAGAATAACTGATTAAGACAATGTTTTAAGACTTTTATTTGAAAATTTTTGATTCTTTACTTAACTATTTTGCTTTCCAGATTTAAAGGAATGTTTTCTCTTAAATTATCTATAGTTTATAGTAATTTGGTAAAGTATACTTTTATAAACAAAAGTGAAAACATTTACTTTTGCACTCTACTTGATCCCTCCAAAATTCAGAAAGCATTCATGAGTACTCTTCTTTATGGAAGGATAACTATTTGCACAAGTTCAATAAGAATCTACTCTCTTTATAACAGGACACAACTGGAACAAATAGTTGTATTTCCAAGGCTTTGGCTGGAATATCTATTTGAGAATGTGCATAGAATGCCTAGCTCCAAGGGTTTTTAGCTTTATAGTGAGTAAAAATTTTCACTTCCTGGCAGGCCCAGGAACCTTAAGACTGTAGAAGAAATCTAAAGTCTGCCTTAGTTTGGTTTCCAAATCTTGAGAGATTTATAAATCTGAGATTTCTCTGTGGCCAACCACTATTCTTACTGCACTTATGTAAATGACCAGACCTAAATGTGATAAAATTAAATGTACTTTATAAATCATTTTTTTTACTTATTAGCTTTAATAAAAATTGGGATGACTATAGAGAGAAAAGTTATGTCTCTAAAGAAAAAGTATATTACTCCCATTATCAGATTGTAGCTCTATGCATTGCTTTCAAGTTTTATTATCTACCTGTAGACCAGACTAGATCCTGAGTTATTCTAGACTAGATCCTGAGTTATTCTCCAATTCAACTCTTTTCTATAGGACCACTAAAAAATGGGAACTGCTCTGTTCCCGAAGCCCTATGTGCTGAACCTAGGTGAATTTTAGGGGACAAATTTTTGCCTGATGTATGAGCCATGCAGATAAGCTCACCAAACCCATCCATTACCATAACCAAAGACATTAAAGCTGCAAACCAGGATAATAAGTTGATGGCTTCATACTGTAGACAGCTTTTCCCAAGACATCAGAACAGGACTCCATCTTATGAGACTCTTACCCTCTTAATGCCTACCTTTTACACTCAGCAGGAAAATAGTGTAATTAAAATTTCCCAGACAGTACATTGCACTGGTAATTTGATAGAACCTGACCTGAGATCCCTTAGTCCCCTTAGTGGGTAACTTTAGCAACATTCCTAATACAACTGTTGCTCACTTTCTGCTCTAATCCAACCCAATCATGGGCTACTAGATGGTAAAATTGCTCTGTATTATCTGTTGGTTAAATAAGAAAATGTATGTGCTATGGATACTACACGCTTTACCTGGATAAATTCCTCTGAGGAAACTGAGACCCATATATACAAAATAAGAAAACAGGCCACATGGTTATATTAGATCCCACCTAGTTCCCTATGGTCATTTCCTTTATTCAATTGGTTGCCTTTAAGCCTAGGTTCATGGCTAAAAACTACCAATACTTGTTAAATTTCTACAGATGTACAACTTCTGACACAATAATGCTGGCCCTGTACTTTGAGATGGTAGCAATGCCTACGGAACAGACGAAAATTGAACTTAACAATGAACTCCATGTAAACTTAGCCTGAGAGTCCCTTCCTCCAAACCTCCCTTGTTGCTTAAATATGGCTTAAAGAGCATTGACACTGACTCATAGTTGCCAGCTACTACCTAGAACATGGGACCAGAGCAACAAATTGGGAGAAGTCTATCTTGGCATCAAGAGATAACAAAACCTAACCACAGGATGATTAATCAGCAATGCTTTTAGTGAAAGATAATGATAAAAAGCAGGACTGGACATAGTGGCTCACATCTATAATCCCAGCTCTTCAGGAGGCTGAGACAGGAGGATCACTTGAGCCCAGGAGTTTGAGACCAGCCTGGGCAACACAGCAAAATCCCATCTCTACAAAAAAGTAAAACAAATTAGCCAAGTATGGTGGTGCCCATCTGCAGTCCTAGCTACTTAGGGAGCTGAAATGGAGGATCACTAGAGCTCATGAGTTCAAGGTTACAGTGAGCTATGATCACACCACTGTACTCCAGCCTAGGTGACAGAGTGAGATCCTGTCTCTAAAGAAAAGGTGGGGGATTAGGGGGGCACTTTGAAAAGTTGCCAGAATCAAAATGGAGATACTAACATTAAAAGCCCTAACAAGGATGGGCGCAGTGGCTCACGCCTCTAATCCCACAACTTTGGGAGGCCGAGGCGGGTGGATCACCTGAGGTCAGGAGTTTGAGACCAGCTTGGCCAAGAGGGTGAAACCCCATCTCGACTAAAAATACAAAAAATTAGCCGGGCATGGTGGCAGGTGCTACTCTCAGCTACTCAGGAGGCTGAGGCAGGAGAATCAATTGAACCTGAGAGGTGGAGGTTGCAGTGAGCCGAGATTGCACCATTGCACCCCAGTCTGGGCAACGAGAGTGAAACTCTGCCTCAAAAACAAAAACAAAAAAATCCCGACAACTGGAGCCAGGGAAGGCCATAAAAGGAGGGTTCTCATGCATAAATCCCTGATAATAGGAATTGGCATAAAGGACTGCAAAAATTGCAGCCTTGCACAAAAGCCATCACAATCTTATACAAAAAATACTCGTACAAGGACATCTGCCCAGTAACTGCTTGTCCAACATCAAACTGATACCACCCTTATTATTGATCCTTGCAGTCAAAAATAATTGATTCAAAAACTTATGTAATCCTCATCATTTTTCCTTTAAAAACCTTTGTCTTCCGTAACCTCCTAAACATGCATATAGGTTACTATGGCACACATATTTCCATTGCAATGCCCATTCCCAAATAAATATCTTTTTTTTTTTTTTTTTGAGACAGAGTCTCGCTCTGTGCCCAGGCTGGAGTGCAGTGTTGCACGATCTCAGCTCACTGCAAGCTCCGCCTCCCAAGTTCATGACATTCTCCTGCCTCAGACTCCAGAGTAGCTGGGACTACAGGTACCCGCCACCACATCCGGCTAATTTTTTTTGTATTTTTAGTAGAGACAGGGTTTCACCGTGTTAGCCAGGATGGTCTCGATCTCCTGACCTCGTGATCCACCTGCCTTGGCCTCCCAAAGTGCTGGGATTACAGGCATGAGCCACTGCGCCCGGCCAGTAAATATCATTTTTAAAGAAAGTCTCTCTTTCTGTTATTTAGGTTGACACATGAAACAACTTGGTCCACCCCTTCACTTTCAGCCTATGTAGGTCCTTAAAACTAGAGAAAGTTTCTTGCCACAGCATATAGTTGAATCTTGTTTTTTAATCCATTCAGCCACTCTGTCTTTTGATTCAGTTTAGTCCATTTGCATTTAATGTAATTATTAATAGGTAAGGATTTACTGCTGCCATTTTGTTCATTGTTTTCTGTCTGTTTTGTATTTCTTTTATTCCTCTCTTCCTCTCTTGTTGTCCTCCTTATATATTTGATGTTTTTTGATAGTGGTATTCTTTGATTCTTTTATTGTTTACCATTTTTGTATGTACTATAGGTTTGTGGTTACTATACAGCTTGCATAAAACAACTTACAGTTATAGCTGTCTGTTTTACGCTGATAACAACTTAACTTCAATTGCATACAAAAATCTGACGCTCTTCTTTCCCTCCCCTCAACCTTATATTATTGATGTCAGAATTTATTTTATTTTGCATTGTGTATCCATCAATAAATTTGTGGTTGTATTTATTCTTATTACTTTTGTCTTTTAATTTTTATAGTAGGATCAGAAATGATTAATGTGCTATTACATTATTACATTTTTATGTATTTATCTATATATCTTTAGCAGTGAGATTTATATTTTCATATCTGTGTTGCTGCTGAGTACCTTTTCATTTCAACTTGAAGAACTATCTTTCTTTAGCACTTCTCATAAGGTAATCTAGTGATGAAGAACTCCCTAAGCTTTTGTTTATCTGAGAAAGTTTTTCTCACTCCTTCGTTTTGTTATTTTTGAGATGGAGTCTTGCTCTGTCACCCCAGCTGCAGTGCAGTGGCGCAATCTCGGCTAACTGCAACCTCCATCTCCCTAGTTCAAGCAATTCCCTTCTCTCAGCCTACTGAGTAGCTGGGATTACAGGTGGACGCCACCACACCTGGCAATTTTTTTGTATTTTTAGTAGAGACAGGGTTTCATCATGTTGGCCAGACTGGTCTTGAACTCCTGACCCCAGGCAATCTGCCTGCATTGGCCTCCCGCAAGGTGCTGGGATTACAGGCATGAGCCACCATGCCCCACCACTCCTTCATTTTTAAAGGATAGTATTATTGGGTACAGTATTCTTGGTTGAAAGATTTTTTTGTTGTTTTTTCCCCTCCAGCATTTTGAATATATCATCCCACTTTTTTCTGTCTTGCAAGGTTTCTGCTGAGAAATCCTCTCACAGCCTTTTGCAGGGTTACATGTATGCAATGAGTCACCATTTTCTTTCTCTTGCTGCTTTCAAAATTATTTCTTTGTATTTTATGTTTGACAGTTTAATTATATTGTTTTTCTGTGTAAATTCCTTTAGGTTCAACATATTTTGGATCTTTTGGGTTTCATGAACCTGGATGTTCATTTTCTTTCACAGATTTGGGAAATTTTCAATAACTTTTTTTTTTCTTTTAAACAGGGTCTCACTCTTTTGCCCAGACTGGAGTACAGTGATGCGATCATGGCTCATTGCAGCCTTGCCCTCCTGGGATCAAGCAATCTGCCCACCTCAGCCTCCCAAGTAGCTGGGACTACAGATGTACAACATCACAACTGGAAAACTTCTAGTTGGTTTTTGTTTGTTTGTTAAGATGGGGTTTTGCCATGTTTCCATGAACTCCTGGGCTCAAGCAATCCACCTACCTTGGCCTCTCAAAGTGATAGGATTACAGGTGTTAGCCACCACATCTGGCCTTCAGTGAGTACTTCTTTAAATAAGCTTACTTTGTCTTTATCTTCTCCTTTGGAAACTCCCATATGCATATATTGATTTCCTTGCTGGTGTCCCATAAGTCCCATAGGCTCTCTTCACTTTTTTTCATTCTTTTCCTTCTTGCTTTTCTGACTCAATTTCAAATGTCCTAGGCATAGTACAAGCTAACTATGGGAGGAATTTAGTTTATAGTTTAACCTATCTTCAAGTACATTGATTTTTCTGCTTGATCAGGTCTGATGTTAAAGCTCTCTATTGAGTTGTTTAGTTCAGTTGTCATATTCTTCAGCTCAAGAATTTCCATTTGGTTCTTTTTTATGGTTTCTATTTCTTTGTTGAACTTCTAATTTTGTTTATGTATTATTTTCTTTATTTTGTTTAGTTGTCCATCTGTGTTCTCTTGCAACTCAGTGAACTACATTAAGATGATTATTTTGAGTTCTTTTTAAGGAAGTTAGTCAATCTCTATTTCTTTAGGCTCTGCTACTGGAAGTTTATTTTGTTCCTTCAGTGCCATTGTTTCCCCAATTCTTTATGATTCTTGCCTCATGTTGGTATCTGCATATTTGAAAAAGCAGTTACCATATTGCATCTTTACAGACTGGCTTTGGCAGGGAAAGCCTTTTACTAGTCACCCTGATCAGAGATTCTAGATGGGCTGATTGGCAGTGTCTGCTGTCAGGCCAGGTGCCAGGGATTGTGGGCAGACAAGCAGACACACTGCAAGGATTCATGAGCAGGTGGACCTGCTACTGTAGGCCACAGGTTAGCTGTTGAGATCCACAGGTTAGCTGTTGAGATCCCTGTGCTAATTTTGAGACCCCCTGCTCCTTTACTTTGATCTTAGATACTCCTAGGTGATCTAGCCATGCCTATTCTCTCAGTGTTCTGGGTGAAGTGTGAAAGAAACAGGCTTCTTGGGTGGCATCCTAAAAAGCTGGGAAGGTTTGACACTCCCTTTACACTCTTTTTTCCCCTACAGGAGAAAAGCAGGGCTGAGAAGATCTCTCATGCCAACTTGAGGAAGGATAACATGGGTAAAGTTAAGCCACTGTTCTCACTCTTTTTAATGTCTTCTCACTTCTATTATCCACCAGGTGCTGGAACCTATCACCTGATGCATGAGCTCTTGTAAAGGTATTTTCACCATAGGTGGTTATTAAATCAGTGTTTCTATGGGGAGGCAGGGGCTGGGACCTACTATTCTGCCATCTTGCTCACGTCATGCTCACAATTCTTTTCCTGTTATTACATATAGCATATTTTGCTTATCCATTGATCTATTGATGGACACTTTGTTGCTTTCACATTTTAGCAATCATGAATAATGCTGCTGTGAACATGGGTGTATTAATATCTCTTCAAGATTTCAAGACTCTGCTTTTAATTCATTTGAGTATATACCTAGCTATAGGAATCGTTGGATCATAAGATAATTCTATTTTTAGTTTTTTAAGGAACCACCACACTGTTTTCCACAAAAGGTGTACCATTTTGAAACCACTTTTATAAAAATGACAGTGAGAAAAATCTGACATAGAAAAATTATGACAATGAAAAAAATCTGACCTAACTGATTCCATCTCGCTTTTAAACTCTAAGCTGCCCTTGTTCATTCCTAGGCATAGGACGAGCTAACTATGGGAGGTATTTAGTTTATAGTTTAACTGAAACAGAGATGAAAACAGCCCTAAAACAAACAAATTAGCCACAAGATTAGGAATTATGACTCAGGAATCATGAAGCCAGAGGCCACAAGATTCCTAACCTCCCCAGTTGCTCCTAGGATAACCTCATTATTGTAAAACCTAAGACTGCTGCTGCTCAAGATACTTTTTAGACCCTGCATTCTGATGGACAAGCTTGTGCCACTAAAACCAATAAACTGGCTCAACTAGTTTTGTGATCCCACCCAAAAACTAATGACAGCAGTAAGAACCCACTTCAATCCCCTATGATTTCATTGCCAACCCAACCAAACACTATTCTTTATCTCCTAGGCCCCTTTGCACCAAACTATCCTTAAAAAACCCTGGCCTCTGAATTTCTGGAAAGACTGACTTGAATAATAAACTCTGGTCTTCTGCTTAGCTATCTTTGCATTTATTAAACTCTTTCTCTATCACAATTCCACTGTTGGTAAATTGGCTCTAGCTGGGCAGAGGGCAAAAAGAACCTGTCGGACCATTACAATTTTACATTCCCACCAATAGTGCACATATTTCAATTTCCCCAAATTCTCACCAATACTTGTTATTTTTTGGTTATGTTTTTAAATATTTTCTCTGCTAATGTGTGTGAGATAGTACCAGGTGATTTTGATTTGGACTTCCCCAATGATTAGTGATGTTGAGCAAGTTTTTCTGTGCTTGTTGGACATTTGTATATTTTCTTTGGAGAAATGTCTATTCAAGTCCTTTGCCCATTTTGAATCAGGTTGTTTTTGTTGTTGTTGAGTTGTAGGAGTTCATTATATATTCTAGGTATTAATCCTTTATTAGATATATGATTTTCAAGTACTTTCTCCCATTCTTGTTGCCTTTTTATTCTGTTGATACTGTCTTCTGATGCAAAAAATGTTAAATTTTGATGTAGTTCAATTTGCCTTTATATTTCCTTTTTTGCCTGTGCCTGTGGTATCACTCACTGACTGATTTTTGGTAAGGATACCAAGACGATTTAATGAGAAAAGAATAGTGTCTCCAACAAAATATGATGGGACAATAGGATATTGGATCAATGACATAAATATAATATCTAAGACTTTTAAACTATTAGGAGAAAACATAGCAATAAATATTCAGTGCCTTGGATTTGGCAGTATATTCTTAGATATGACATTGAAAACACAAGCAAAAAAGAAAAAATAAGTTGGAATTTATCAAAATTAAAATTTTTTTGTGCATCACAGGACATTATCATAAAGTGAAAAAGCCATCTACAAAGTGGGAGATAATATTTGCAAATCTTACATCTGACAAGAGACTAGGATCCAGGATACGTAAAAGTGCTTACAACTTAACAACAAAAAGGATAAACAATCCAACCTTTTAAATGGCAAAATATTTAAATAGATATTTATTCAAAGAAGATATAGAAATGATAAACAACAACATAAAAAGATGTCCATCATTAGGAAAATGTGAATCAAAACCACACTGAGGTTCCACATCATGTCCTCTATAATGGCCATAATAATAAGGAATATGACCAATGCTGGTAAGGATGTAGAGGAATTAGAAACCTTGCCCATTGCTGATGGTAAAGTAAAATGATCTGGTCACTGTGGAAAATAGTTTGGTGGTGGTTCCTTAACAAATCAAGTATGGAATTACCATACTACTCCACAATTTCAATACGAAGTGTATTTAACTCAGAGTATTTGAAACAGTAATCAAAAATGTAATCTAAAGAGTACACTTACACTCATGCTCGTAGCAGCACTATTCACAACAGCAAAAGGTGGAAACAACCCAAGTGTCCATCAACAAACAAGTAGATAAATAAAAAATGGTATACACACAACAGAATATTATTCAGCCATAAAAAGGAGGAAGTACTGATACATGCTATAAAGTAGGTGAATCTTGAGAATCTTACGTTATGTAAAAGAAGCCAGACACGAAACATCTGACAAACCAGGATTATACACAGACACACACACACACACAGAATATATATATTTTATATATATATATTTTAATGTGTGTGTGTGTGTGTGTGTGTGTGTGTGTGTATATATATATATATATATATATATATATTATATAAAATCCCCAGGAAAGGCAGAGAAAGATGGCCAAATAGAGCCCTCCAACAATTGTTCTACCACAGGAACACTAAATTGAACACTATCGATGCAAAAATGTGCTTTCACAGAAACCAAAAAATAAAGAGAGAAGCAGAGAAAGATGGTGGAACAGAAAGCTTTACTGATTGTCCCTCCTGCAAGGACACCGATTTAACATCTACACACAGGCATTAAAAAAAAAAAAAAACTTTATAAGAACCAAAAAATCAGGTGAACACTCACAGTACCTGTTTTTAATTTCCTATCACCAAGAGGTGCTGAAGAGGTAGAAAAAACAGTCTTGAATCGCTGACACCCCCACCCCCTTGCAGTGGCAGTGGTGTGCTGTGTAGAGCTTCTCTGGGTGCTTGGGAAGGGAGAGCTCACCACTTGTGAGGCAATAAACTCACTGCTGTACTGTTAGAGCAGAAAGAAAAATTTGACCAAACTCAGCTGATGCCTGCCCACATAGGGAACATTTAAACCAGCCCTAGCCAAGGAGGAATTGCTGATCCCAGTGGTCAGAATTTGAGTTCCTGCAAACCTTGCCACCATGGGCTAAAGTGCTATGGGTCTCTAAGTATACTTGAAAGGCAGTCTAGGCCATAAGGACTGCAACTCTCAGGCAAGTCCTAGGGCTGAACTGGGCCCAGAGACAGTGGACGTGGGGGACATACAACCTACTGAAACACCAGCTGCAGGGGCTAAGTGAGTGCTGACATCACCTCTTCCCTAACCCCAGGCTGCACAGTTCATGGCTCCAAAAGATATCCCTTCCTTTGGCTTGAAGAGAAGAGAGGGAAGAGCGGGGAGAATTTTGTCTTGCATCTTAGATACCAGCTGACCAACAGTAGGATAGGGCACCAGTTAGAGTGGTGAGGCCCTCATTCCAGGCCCTAGCTCCCAGATGACATTTCTAGACACACCCTGTGACAGAAGGGAAACCATTGCTTTGAAGAGAAGGACCCAGTCCTAGCAGTATTAATCGCCTACTAACTGAAGAGCCCTTAGGCCCTGATTAACCAGCAGAGATACCTTGAGTGAGCCCTTGAAACTTGCTGGCTTCAGGTACCAGCTTGGCCACAGGGGCACAGAGCACCAAGCAAGTTCTAGGACTTGACTCTTGTACAGCATCTCTGGACCTTCCCTGAGCTAGAGGGGAGCCTATTGCCCTGAAGAGTGAGTCCCAGGCCAGACAGCATTCACCACAATCTGACTTAAGAGCCCTTGGGCCTTAAGGAAACATCAGCAGTAGTCTAGCAGTACTCCCTGCAACCTGTGGTGGTGGTGGCCATGAAGTGAGGCTCCTCTGTTGTTTTAGTCTGTTCTTGCATTGCTGTAAAGAAATGCCTGAGATTGGGTAATTTATAAAGAGAAGAGGTTTAATTGGCTTATAGTTCCACAGGCTCTACAAGAAACATGGCTGTGGAAGCCTCAGGAAACTTTCGATTATGGCAGAAGGCAAAGGGGAAGCAGGCACATCTTACATGGCTGCAGCAGGAGGAAGAGAGTGAGGTGGGAGGTGCCACATTCTTTTAAACAACCAGATTTTGCAATAAGTCACTCACTATCACAAGAATAGCACCAAAGGGGAAATCCACCCCCATGATCCAATCACCTCCCACCAGGCCCCATCTCTAACATTGGGGATTACAGTTTGATATGAGATTTAGGCAGGGACATAGACCCAAACCATATCATCTGCCTTTGTAAAAGGGAAGGAAGAGTGAGAAGGACTGCTTCTTGTGGTTTGAGAGGCAGCTCAGCTGCAGTGCAGTAGAAGACCAGGTAGACTTCTAAGGATTTTTACTCTAGTCCCTGACTCCTGGACTGCACTGCGTGACCCACCTGGGGTCTGGGGGAACTTGCCACTCTGAAGGAAAGGACACCGCCAGGCTGGCTTTGCTACCTGCTGATTGTAGAGCCCCAGGGCCTTGAGAAAACATAGACAGTAGTCAGGGAGTGGTTACAGCAGGGCTTGGGCAAGGCCTAGTCCTGTGCTGGCTTCAAGTCTGACCTAGTGCATCATAGTGGTAATGGTCACAGGGTGTTTTTGTCACTCCACCCAGGTTTAGGTGGCTCAGAACAGAGAGAGACTCCATTTGTTTGGGAGAAAGTAAGGGAAGGGAAAAAGAGTCTATCTGGTAATCCAGAAAATCTTGTCCAAACCATCAAGGTGGGAACCCTATGAGTCTGCAAGAACCGCAGTGTTGCTGGACTTGGGGTGTCCCCTAAAGCAGATATAGCCTAGATCACAACATCCAAGTCCTTTCAAATATCTGGAAAGCCTTCCCAAGAAGGACAGGTATAAACAAGCCCAGACAGTGAAGACTACAATAAATACCGAACTCTTCAATGCCAAGACACTGAAGAACATCTACCAGCATCAACACCATCCATGAAAACATGACCTCACCAAATGAACTAAATAAGGTACCAGGGATCAATCCTGGGGAAACAGAGTAACCTTTCAGACAAAGAATTCAAAATAGCTGTGTTGAGGAAACTCAAAGATATTCAAGATAACACAAAGAAGGAATTCAGAATTCTATCAGATAAATTTAACAAACAGATTGAAATAAAAAGAATCAAGCAGAAATTCTGGAGCTGAGAAATGCAATTGGCACAGTGAAGAATGCATCAGTGTCTTCAATTCATCTAGCAGTATGCTTCTTAGCGAAAACCTTACAGGCAAGGAAGAAGTGGCATGACATATTGAAGTACTGAAGGAAAAAAAAAAACTTTCTACCTAGAATATGTTCAGCAAAATTATCATTCAAACATGAAGAAGAAATAAAGACTTTCCGAAACAAAAAAGAGCTGAGGGATTTTTGTCAACACCAGACCTGTTTTACAAGACACGATAAAAGGAGTTCTTCAATCTGAAAAAGAAAAAAAAGGATGTTAATGAGCAACAAGAAATCACCTGAAGGTTAAAAGGCACTGGTAATAGTTAATACACAGACAAATACGGAATACCCTGACACTGTGATTGCAGTGTGTAAACCACTTATCTTCAGTAGGAAAACATAAAGAGAAATCTATCAAAAATAATAACTACAGAAACTTTTTAAGAGATAGACAATATAAAAAGATACAGAGACAACAAAAAGACAAAAAGCAAAAGAACTGAAGTTACAAGTGTAAAGTTTTTTAGTTTTCTTTTTGTTTGTATTTTTGTGTTTTCTTTCTAATCAGAGTTAAGTTGTCATCAGTTTAAAGTAATTGGTTAAAGATGTTATTTGCAAGCCTCATAATAATGACAAAACAAAAACTTACGATAGATACACAAAAAATTAAAAGCAAGAAATTAAAACATATTACCAGAGAAAATCACTTTTACACAAAGGAAGACAGGAAGGAAGGAAGAAAGGGAGGACCAACAAAACAACCATAAATCATGTAACAAAATGGCAAGAGTAAGTCCTTAACTACCAATAATAACAATGAATAAATGTAAATGAACTAAATCCTCCAATCAAAGGACACAGAGTGGCTGAATAAATCAAAAAAACAACACCCAACCATAAGCTGCCTATAAGAAACTTGCTTCACCTATAAAGATACATATAGGCTGAAAATAAATTGGTGGAAAGAGGTATTCCATGCAAATGGAAGCAAAAAAGACCAGGAGTAGCTATACTTATATCAGATAAAATAAACTAAAATTAAAGAGGTAAAAAGAGACAAAGAAAGTCACTATATAAAGGGGTCAATTCAACAAGAAGATATAACAATTATAAATATATATGCACCCAACACTGGAGCACCAAGATATACAAAGTAAATATTACAGTTAAAAAACAGACCCCCAATACAACAATAGCAGGAGACTTCAAGATCTCACTTTAAGTATTGCACAGATCTTCTAGACAAAAAATCAACAAAGAAACATCAGATATAACCTGCACTTTAGACCAAATGGACCTAATAGAAATTTGCAGAACCTTTCACTCAACTGCTGCAGAATACAAATTCTTTTCAAACATGAATAGACCACGTTAGGCCATAAAAAAAAGTCTTAGAAAACTCAAAATAAGTGAAATTATATCAAATATCTTTTCTAATCACAACGGAATAAAACCAGAAACCAATAACAAAAGGAACTTTAGACACTGTACAAACACATGGAAATTAAACAATATGCTCATAAATGACCATTGGGTCAATGGAGAAATTATGAAAGAAAATGTAAAAATTTGTGAAACAAATGAGAATGGAAAAACAACATACCAAAACCTATGGGATACAGCAAAAGTTAGTACTGAGGGAAGTTTATAACAATAAATGCCCAAATCAAAAAAGTAGAAAGACTTCAAAAATCTAACAATGCATCTTAAAGAACTAGAAAACAAGAGGAAACCAAACCCAACACTAATAGAAGGAAATAAATAATAAAGATCAAAGCAAAAATAAATACAGTTGAGACAGAAAGTCAGCAAAACAAAAAGTTGGGTTTTTTTGGAAAGATAAACAAAATTGACAAACCTTTAACCAAACTAAGAAAAAAAAAAAGGTGAGATGATCCAAATAAATGAAATCAGGTTTGAGAAAGGAGACATGACAACTGGATACCACAGAAGTTCAAAGGATTATTAGAGTCTATTTTGAGCAACTATATGCCAATAAATAGGAAAACCTAGAAGAAATGGATACATTTCTAAACACATACAACCTATAAAGACTGAACCATGAAGAAATCCAAAACCTGAATAGGCCAATAATAAATAACAAGATAGAAGACATAATTTTTTAAAAATCTCATGAAAGAAAAGCCCAGGACCTGATAGCTCCACTGCTTAATTATACAAAACATTTAAAGAGGAGTTAATAACAATTCTACCCAAATTCTTAAAAAATATAAAAAACCAAAAAAGAAGGAATACTTCCAAGCTCATTCTATGAGGCAAACCTCACCCTGATACTAAAACCAGACAAAGAAAACTGTAGGCCAGTATCACTGATCAATGTAGATGCAAAAATACTCAACAAAATACTAGCAAACCAAATTTAACAACACATTAAAACAATCATTCAGTGTAATCAATGAGATTCATTCCAGAAATGCGACAACAGTTTAAAATAGACAAATAACTATAATACATCACATCAAAAGAATAAAGGACAAAACCCACATGATCATTTCAATACATTCCAAAAAAAGCCTTTGATAAAATTTAATATTACTTCATGATAAAAACAACCTGAGTACAGAAGTAACATACCTCAGCATGATAAAGCCATATACTAAAAATCCACAGCTAGTATACTAAAAAGGAATAACTGAAAGCTTTTCCTCTAAGATCTGGAACAAGACAAGGATGCCTACTTTCATCACTTTTGTTCAACATAGTACTAGAAGCCCTAGCCAGAGCAATCAATCAGAGAAAGAAATAAAGGGTATGTAAATTGTAAAGGAAGATGACAAATTAGCCCTGTTTGCAGATGACATCTTAAAAAAGCTTGAAGTCTCCACCAAAGAAAAAAAATCTGTTAGAACTGATAAATTCAGTAAAGTTGCAGTATGCAAAATCAACATAGATATATCAGTCGCATTTCTATTTGCCAGCAGCAAACAATCTGAAAAAGCAACCAAGAGAGTGATCCCATTTACAATAACTACAAAAAAGTAAAATACCTAGGAATAAACTTAAAGAAATGAAAGACCTCTACAATTAAAACTATAAAACATTGCTGTAAGAAATTGAAGAGGACAATGAAAAAATGGAAAGATAATCCATGTTTGTGGGTTGAAAGAAACAGTATTGTTTAAATGTCCAAACTGCCTAAAGCAATTTACATATTCAATGAAATCTCTATCAAAATACCAATGTCATTCTTCACAAAAATAGAAAAAAATAATCCTACAATATATATGGATCCACCAAAGACCCCAAGTAGCCAAAGCAATCCCGATCAAAAAGAACAAAGCTGGAAGCATCGCACTACCTTATCTCAAATATACTAGAGACAAGCAAGGCAAAAATGGACAAATGGGATCACATCAAGCTAACAAGCTTCTGGACAACAAAGATAATAATCAGCAAAGTAAAGAGACAACCTCCAGAGTGGGAGAAAGTATTTGCAAACTACCTGTCTAACAAGGAAATATATAAGGAGCTCAAACAACTCAATAGCAAAACCCCCCGAATAATATGATTAAAATGGGTAAAAGGTCTGACATTTCTCAAAAGAAGACATAAAAATGGCCAATAAGTTTATGAAAAAATGCTCAGCATCACTAATCAGAGAAATGTAAATCAAAACCACAAGGAGCTACCATCTCACCATAGTTAGAATGGCTTTTATCAAAAACACAGGGAATAATCAATGCTAACGAGGATGTGGAAAAAGGGGAACACCTGTACATTGTTGGTGGGACTGTAAATTAGTACCGCCACTATAGAAAACTGTATGAAGCTTCCTCAGAAAACTAAAAATAGAACTATCAGATGTTCTGGCAATTCCACTACTGAGTGTATATCCAAAAGAAAGGAAATCAATAAATCAAATAGATATCTGCACTCCCATGATTACTGCAGCACTATTCACAATAGCCAAAATATGGAATCAACCGAAGTGCCTATCAGTGGATGAATACTTAAAGAAAATGTAGTATATATACACAATGGAATATTATCCAGCCTTAAAATAAAATGAAATCCTGTCATTTGCAGCAACATAGATGGAACTGAAGGTTATTATGTTAAGTGTAATAAGCCAAGCACAGAAACACAAATAGCACATGTTCTCCTTCGTATGTGAGAGCTAAAAAAGATGTCATGACGTAGATTGGTTACCAGAGGCCAGAAAGATGTGGGGGAATGAAAATAGGTTGAATAATGGGTACAAACATACAGTATGATACAGGAAATAAGACCTAGTGTTGATAGATCAGTAGGGTGACTATACTAGGGATGGTTAATTGGTCCAAAAATACAGTTAGACAGAAGGAATAAGATTTGTAGGGCAACTATAATTAACAATAATTTATTGTATGTTTCAAAATAACTAAAAGTGGAATTGGAATGTTACTAACCAAAAGAAATAAATGCTTGAGGTATTGGATAAATCAATTACCCTGATTTGATAATTACACATTGTATGTCTATATCAAAAAATCACATGTACCTCATAAATATGTACAACTATCATATATTTATAATTAAAAATGTGTTTATAATAAAATATCCAGAATAGATAAATCTGTAGAGACAGAATGCATATTGGTGGTTTGCAGGAACTGGGGCGAGTGGACAGTGTGGAAAAACTGCTTCATTGGTAAGAGGGTTTTACTTTGGAGTATTGGAGATGCCATAGAGGAAGCAGTTGAACAACATGTGAGTAGAATCAATTCCACTGAATTCTTCACTTGAAAATAA
The DNA here is from genome assembly GCF_000001405.40 of Homo sapiens. Lineage (NCBI taxonomy): Eukaryota > Metazoa > Chordata > Mammalia > Primates > Hominidae > Homo > Homo sapiens. The sequence continues at coordinate 56,597,353 of NC_000015.10, forward strand.
TTAATTTTATGTAATTTCACCTCAATGATTTTTTTTTTAAAGAATATTCCACGTGGCTCGTGGAATTGCCAGCGAGGCTGGCGAACCGGGCACGGAAAACTGACAGGAAAAAGGGGAGTTCAGCCAGCCAGAATTACATAGAATTCATGCTACAGAATCAGTCTGGAGGGACACTGCTGCTCTGAGACTGAGGACATATTCCACAGATTGCAGGGAAGCATTCCCTATTCAATTGCAGATGGTGGCACAGGCAGTGTTACTCCCTGGAAGAAGAATGCTGTGCCACTGTCAAAAATTTAATTCTTCATTGTACCTGCATCTTGGGTTTATTATCTCAGACTCCTTAGCAGGCACATCTGACTTGCTGACTCTAATTCAATTGCCAATATCCTAGCTCAAAGGGGGTTGGGAAGGTAAAGCATTTGACTTTTTCTGCTCATATAGTGAGAAGCTTAACCGATTCACAGGGCAAAAAAAAATTCCTCAACAAAGAAATGGTTCAGATGTTGAATAGGCTTTTCTCCAGATGGTAAATGTCTACCGTATATTTGACCTTTTTTTTTTTTTTTTTTGGAGGTTCCAGCTAATGAAATAAAAAAACTAAAATACTCAATATAAATATTGAAAAAGGGGGAAATTATCTCCATTTGCAGATGACATGCTTGGAAAACTCAGTGAAGAACTCCAAGAACTACTGACAAAATGTATCAAAATGGCTGAATACTGGATGAATATACAAATACCAATAGGTTTTATGACTCATTGGAAATGGATATTGGAAAAACTTCCATTACCATAGGATTAAAAAGTAGTAAATAACTAAGAAAACATTTAACAAAATTTTAGGACCATATGATAATTCTAAAGTCTTATCTAAGGACATAAAACAAATCTTGAACAAATAGACATACCATATCTATCAATGGGAACAGTTAACATAATTTAATGTTTTCATTGGATTAATATATGATTTTAGGCTCACTCATACATTTTAGTGATCAACTATTTTAACTAATTTTATTCAATTGGTTTTAGATTCCTTGTCATAATCAAGTTATATTTTTAGCCACTGTTTGTTTTATGTATCAGTGAAGTCTTAAAATATATGACATGTCTTCCCTAATAGGTAAGCAAAATTTTTCCAAATTTAGACTTTGGTTTCAACTGCCTGTGAAAGAACATTCATCTCGGACCCCAGCATTAGATGTTTTTGAGTTAACCTATCTAAGGCTTACTTTCTTCATCCCTAAATCATTACAATAGTTTTTCCAAACAAAATTGAGAGATAATACACACAAAATTCTTAGTATAGTTCTTGGTACATAATAAATAGGTTGTGAATATTATATGAGTCTTCTGTCTTCTAATATCTGACAAAATATTTTTTTGGAATCCTCCAAAACAAACAATAATTTGTTTATTGAATGACTAAATGAATTAAATATTAGGTACATAACATACTATGAAGTAAAGACAGTGGGATAAGTTCCAAAATTGCCCTGTGCGAAGAACATTTTTTTTAATTAATTTTTTTGGAGATGGAGTTTAGCTTTTGTTGCCCAGGCTGGAGTGCAATGGCAAAATCTCAGCTCACTGCAACCTTCAGCTCCCAGGTTCAAGTGATTCTCCTGCCTCAGCCTGCTGAGTAGCTGGGATTACAGGCATGCACCACCACACCCGGCTAATTTTTGTATTTTTAGTAAAGATGGGGCTTTACCATGTTGGCCAGGCCGTTCTCGAACTCCTGACCTCAGATGATCCACCCGCCTCAGCCTCCCAAAATGCTATGATTACAGGCCTGAGCCACAGCGCTGGCCAATTTTTAAAAACTCTTTTTAAAATGAAGGATTAGGTTACATGAGAAAAATTGTTATGACTAATACTCTAGTCATCAGATGATTATTTCAGCAATTATATATAAAAGCCATAGAAGAATTTGATTGAGGCACATTAACATCTGTCTGTTGGATTCTATTACTGAATTTGAAATACTAACTTAAAAAATGTATATTCATAGTTTTTATTGACCTAAACTGGCCACATTTAAACTGCTGATGGTTCCTATATTTATCAGATAAAGGATGGAAAAACATCTCACTGTGAAATGTGTCATCCTCCAGGAGTTTCATCAATTGTTTTGCCCACCAGCTACAATAAAGCTAACGCATTTACTAATGTAAAATAGCACACTGGTTTTGTTGAGGTTTATTTACTATTCTAATGATTATTTCAGTGGAGCCAGGGCTCTAAATGACAGCCACATGGATAATTGCATTGTAATGTGTTTTCTTTTCAATTTAATCAGGTTTAATTTTGTATCTAATAGAACTAGTGCCTTTAAAATGTTGTGGTTGGTATAATATGAATGAAAAATGCATAATTTATTTGTAAAATGTTTGAACATCTTAGTTCTAGTACCATCTACTGTGTTCTTTTCAAAGTACTGCTTAATAGCAATAAGAACAAGTCATTGCTCATTTTATAAATTGTTTCATATTTGAGAATTTGTATTCTAGATTTATTATAAATTCTACTAACTAGGAAAGGTAAGATTGTTAGCTCTCTTTTCTGTAAACCTTGAGCTTTGTGATTGCTATCCTTTTGAAATGGAACTTGATACCTACAAGGGCCACTTACTGAAACTTTTGCTGTCACAGATTTGTCAATTTAAATCTAAAGCACTGTGTAGTAGGCTGTTTTCATTGCTGTAAAGGAATACCTAAGAGGGGGTAATTTATAAAGAAAAGTTTATTTTGACTCATGATTCTGTAGGCTGTACAGGAAGTGTGGTGCTGGTGGCTGTTTCTGTTGAAGGCCTCACGAAGCTTACAATCATGCTGGAAGGTAAAGAGCGAGGTGTATCACATGACCAGAAAGAACAGGAAAGAGAAGAGGGAGGTCTTAGATTCTTTTAAACAGCCAGATTCCATGTGAACTAACAGAGTAAGAATGCACTCATTACCACGGGGGAGGACATCAAGCCCTTCATGAGGAATTCTCCCCCATGACCCAAACACCTCCTACTAGGACCCACCTTTAACATTGGGGATCACAATTCAACATGATATTTGGAGGGACAAACATCCAAACTATATCACACTGTCACTTGCCTCTTTATTCTCTTCATGGTATATTTTGATAACTGGATCTTATAATATAGTAAAATTTATCAATTTTCTTTTATATATAATTTCTTATATATAATCGATAATTTATCAATTATATATAAAATTGATAATTTATCAGTTATCAATTATGGTTAATACTTTTTGTATTCTGTTCAAGAAACTTTTCTATATTTCAAAGTCATAAAGACATTCTTTTTATATTATCTGTCAAAGTTTTATTATTTAGTTTTTCACACATAGATTTATAATCCACCCTGAATTGTTTTCATGATGATGTGAGGTAGGGTAAAGTTTATGTTTTTTCATCTGAATAGACTTTTCTTTCCTCTCTAAACTGCAGTACCACCTTTTACTAAATCCAGGTTCATCCATCTATGCATGTTTTTGCTCTGGGCTTCCTATTCTAATTCAATGGTCTGTTTAAGAATTCAGCAAGCCTTTTTTGTAAAGGCTTTTTTATGGGTCAAGAGGTGTGATAGTGGCTAGGTGTGGTGACTCACACCTATAATCCCACACTTTGGGAGGCCAAGATGGGAGGATCACTTGAAGCCAGGAGTTCAAGACCAGCCTGGGCAACAAAGTGAGACCCCCCCAATCTCTACAAAACATAGAAACAATTGCATGTGCCTGTAGTCCCAGCTACTCAGGAGGCTGAGGTGAGAAGGATCACTTAAGCCCAAGAGTTCAAGGCTGCAGCGAGCTATGACCGCACCACTGGACTGAAGTCTCAGTGACAGACAGAGACCTTGTCTCTTAATAAAAAGTTGTGATAGTAAATATTTTGGACTCTGTGGGCCAACAGGCAAAATTGAAGATACTGTACAGATTTTTATGTAACAAGAGGGAAAACAAATTTCCACAAATTTTTAATTGATGAAAATCAAAATATAATAAAAATTGAGTACAAATTTTTGTTATAGTTGTCTACTAGTGAGAAGAACTGAACTTTTTTTTTTAATGGCAGGGATAATATTTTTGCTAAATTGGGATTCATAGTTAGTGTTCCCTATCATAAAAATCATTTGCAACTGTTTATATGTTAATGCTAATTTGTGATGAGCTTTTATGTATTTCATCATTAAAAATATCTTTTTATACACAGTAACTACTATAAAATACTAATATTGAGCCACTCATGTGACTTTTATTGAACATACTCATCATTTGGAAGGCATTTACAGAATCTCATTTTAGCATGTCATTACATTGCAGGTTAATCACTTTCTAGTTAAACGGTTAGGTGGAAGCTCCTCAATTTCACCGTTAAATTAATTTCAAAATATGGAAATTCCCTTTGCACTTGCATCAAAGTCCCAAAAACTCTACTGGAAAGGCAGTTTGAGCTTGGAAAATATATCTACTGCAAATGGTATAGTATTGAAGATCTTGTTTCTTGTTTCAATTTTTGCTAGCATGGGAAGTATATAAAGCTACTTGTCATTTTTTATGATTTAAAAATTAATTGTCAAAATGACTTTAATTCAGTATAAGTTTCACATCCTAAGCATTGTTTTGCTTTGTAATTTTGGGTTGAATTTATTAAACAACTATCAAGTTTGCTGCAAAAGGTAATTTCTAAAGCCATTCAGTGTTTGATATACTGGTTGAGGTGGTTCTTATTGTTCAGAAAAATTGCAATCTCAGCCCTGAGCTCAAAAATCACAGTAAAACTTTACCACTGCTAAGCCATAAAACTACTGTTTGATGGGGAAAATCTAAGTATTCAACTTATACTTCAGACAAAAATTCTTGGAAGTAATGAAGTCCACAAGAGCAAATGAAGTTCATTGTTGTTCTACCGGTTCAATATCACATGATAGATTCAAATATTTTCCTCAAAATACCTACGGATGAGTAATACAATGAAAAACCAAGGCTTTAATCAACTTACACTTTCACAACCTTTATAAATTTGTCAACCAAAGCCTTTGCCTGCTCCAGATGTTTTTACCACCATCCATTATAACACATCTTAGTAGATTCCACTTCAGATTTTACTGAATTAATGTTTTCCCAACTTCTGTGAAAATAAATCTCACCTGTAGTTTCTCTATATAAAGAGTCTAATACTTATTTCACCTCAAATTTGGCATTGTCTTTAGGAATAAACAAATGATCAGCAGCAATATGATCTGTGGACTCATCCAGTCAAGGAAAACAACTTGAAATCATTTGCCCTTATTCTTTAGTTTGTTACTGATGTTTCTTCTCTTCAAGTAACTGTTCTCACCATAAGCCTAATAGTCATAAATAATTTTCTCTAGACACATTTTTTTCTCTCTTGCAATCAAACAATCTAATTAACCTACCAGTGGTAAATGGCTTTCTTCATGTGACTAACAAACGAGCCACTTGGAAACTCACTTTGGTTACAGTCTCCTTCACTGTTTCTTTGTAAATAAGTTATGTTATAATAAAATATTGTTTTAAATTTTTTAATTTTTCTGACCATTGTATTCCTGAGAGTTGGGAATATCATGATAAGTGTTTAGTCCAGCAAGCAGATGTATACTACATTCTTATAGCACAACTCTAATGTTATTCCATGATAAATACAACACTTTGCCATCTAATTTGACAGCAAAATAATCCACACTTCACTGCGTCTTTAAAACATGACATTTAGAGTCTACTATTCCCTTCCTTTGTTTTGACATGATTGGTAAGACTAGTAACAAAAAAAAATATTGTGGTATGGTGGTACACTTGGAATTCTATCCCGTTATACCTACATTACTGTGACTTATAGTGCACTCAGCAGCAGTGTGAATTAATAAGAGTGACACATATGATTTCTGTTGCAACTACTCAACTCTACCATTGTAGTGTAAAAGCAGCCATAGGCAATATGTGAGCAAATGAGCATAGTTGTATGCTAATACATTTGCATTCATCACTGAAATTTAAATTTTATGTAATTTTCAGGTGTCATAAGATATACTGTTTTTTCTGAACCATTAAAAAATGTAAAAACTCCTCTTAGCTTGCAGGCTGTACAAAAACAGGCAGCATATAGATTTGGTCCATGGGCCACAGTTTCCCAGCTCCTAAAAATGCTAATCGTCCAGAATAGTATTTATCAAAATTTGTTTTGAGGAGCTCTACTCTTGAGAAATCTTTCTCAAAAATAAAAAGTCAAATAACCTTATAGGAAGCCATATACTATACATCCCACTTGTAGATTCATGCTGAGAAATTCTGAAATACAGAAACTCACCTATTGTTGCCTAATCCAGATGTAATGATATTTATTTATTTTCCAGGTAATTCTTATTTACACAGAATTTCTGTTTGCATGCCTTAGAACCAAGGTGTGGTACATACTTCAAGAAGAGTTGATATGGTCCAGTAATACTTACTTGACACATTAGTGAAGTGAAGTAACAAAGTTCTGAGAATAAAAAAGTTTTTATTTTTCTAGAAAAGCACTGCCCATAAATTGGCTTTAATAATAATAACCAAAACCAAGTTTTAAACCCATGCTGCTTCATCTTCCTCATCCTGAAAACACTTTTGGCATTTAGGATAAGATAGTGTGTTTAACTACTACAGGAGTTTAATTGTTGGTTGAATCCAGCAATAAATTCATATCTTTTTATTTATTGATGTTGTAATCTGGAAGTAGGTTTAGAAGCCTTGTGTTTAGTCTGAAAATAATGTTTTAGTGGTAAAGGTTCCCACCATCTATCCTAGGAAAGGACTGATTGTTTTCTGCTAGTGGCATCAGGTAGCCTCGAGAATTAGGTTTTAAATTTATCCTAATGTATCAATAATAACTTGGCATCAGTAACCATGCTTCTGAAAGCCACAACATTCATCATCAAGCTGCTACTTTCAGCCTATCCTATTGCCTTTCTCAAGTTAAGTTATTCAATCGGCCCTTCATTGAATGCCTATTATGTGTTAGGATGTTCTAGGTCAATAGCTGTCCTAGTTTTAACCCTTAAAGGCTTAAAATTGGGAAGCCTGGATCCTAACCACAGCAATTCCTCTTTCTAGACTATAGCAAGAGCACTGGGTTTATTTTTATATAGCTTCACTCTTTCTTACACGCAAAAATTAAAACCAGGGTCTTGAAGAGATATTTGTACACTCAAGTTCACAGCAGCATCATTCACAATAGCTAAAATATGGAAACAACCCAAGTGTCCATCAACAGATGAATGGATATACAAAACGGAGTATTATTCAGCTTTGAAAAGGAAGTACATTCTGACATATACTACAACATGAATAAACCTTGAGGACATTATGCTAAGTGAAATAAGCCAGTCACAAAAAAGACAAATACTACATTATTCCACTTTTATGAGGTATTAGAATAGTCAAAATTAAACAGGTAGAAAATAGAATTGTGATTGCCAGGGGATAGGGAAAGTGGGCAATGTACAGTAATTACTTAACGGGTATAGAGTCTCACTTTTACTAGATGCAAGAATTCTGGAGATGAACTGTCACAAGAATAGACATATAGATAAATGGAATAGAACTGAGAATCCAGAAATAAACCTATAGGTATGGCAGATTTTTTTCATTTTTTGTTGCTATATATATGTAAGATAAAATTTACTCTTAACCATTTTCAGTGTACAATTCAGTGGTATTAAGTACATTCATATGTCTATTCTTGTGCCAGCACCACACTGTTTTGATTACTGTAGCTTTATAGTAAGTTTTGAAATCAAGAAGTGTTTGCCCTCCAACTTTGTTATTCTGTTTTGGCTATTTGGGGCCCCTTACAATTCTATAAAGGTTTGAATATTGGCTTTTCCATTCCTGAGAAAAGAAAGGCTATTGGAGTTTTGACAGGGATAGCATTGAATCTGTAGACTGCTTTGGGTATTGCCATCTTAACAATAGTAAGTCTTCTAATCCATGGACTCGGTATGTCTTACCATTTAATTCGTTCCTCTTTAACTTCTGCCAGCAATTTTTTGTAGTTTTCAGTGTCCAGGTCTTTCACCTCTTGGTTAAATTTATTCCCAGGTATTTTATTCTCAGATCTATTGTAAGTAGATTGTTTGTTGTATTAGTCTCTTTTCACGTTGCTATAAAGAACTACCTGAGAATAGGTAATTTACAAAGAAAAGAGGTTTAATTGACCACAGTTTCACAGGCTGTACAGAAGCTTGGCTAGGGAGGCCTCAGGAAACTTACAATGGTGGTGGAAGGTGAAGGGGAAGGACGAACATCCTACATGCCTGGAACAGGAAGAAGAGCACAAGCAGATGGAGGTGCTACACACTTTTAAACAATCAGATCTTGTGAGAACTCTATCATGAGACAGCACTGCGGGAATGATGCTAAACCATTAGAAACCATCCCCATGATCCAAACACCTCCCACCAGGCCCCACCTCCAACATTTGGCATTACAATTCAACATGAGATTTGGGTGGGCACACAGAGCCAAACCATATCAATTATTTTCTTGGTTTCCTTTTTGGGTTATTCATTGGTGGTATACAGAAACTCAAATGATTTTTGCACGTTGATCTTGTATCTTACAAATTACGGAATTTATTAGCTCTAGTAGCTTTCTTGTGGATTATTTGGGATTTTCTACATATAAGATCATATCATCTGTGAATAGTTTTACTTTTTCCTTTTTAATCTGGATGCCATTTTATCTTTCATCTATCTATCTATCTATCTATCTATCTATCTATCTATCTATCTATCCATCCATCCATCTATCTGTTTTGGCTAAAACTTCCAATACAATGTCAAATAGCTGTGGTGAAAGCAGGCATGTTTGTCTTGTTCCTGATCTTGGGGAAAAGGATTTTAGTCTTGCACCACTGAGTATGATTTCTGCTACGAGTTTTTCATAATTGCCCTTTCTCATGTTGAGGAAGTTCCCTCTCATTCCTAGTTTTCTTGGAGTGCAGTGGCACGTTCTTGGCTCACTGCAAGCTCTGCCTCCCGGGTTTACACCATTCTCCTGCCTCAGCCTGCAGAGTAGCTGGGACTACAGGTGCCTGCCACCACGCCTGGCTAATTTTTTGTATTTTTAGTAGAGAAGGGGTTTCACCGTGTTAGCCAGGATGGTCTCAATCTCCTGAACACGTGATCTGCCCGCCTCAGCCTCCCAAAGTGAGTTTTCTAAGTTTTTATCATGAAAAAGTGTTGGATTTTGTCAAGTATTTTTTCTGCATCAACTGAGATGATCATGTGGCGTTTTTACATTCCATTAATATGGTATATTACACTTATTTTCTCATGTCAAAACACCCTTGGATTCCTGGGATAAATCCTATTTGGTCATGGTATATAATCTTTTAATATGTTGTTGGATTTGGCTCGCTAATATTTTGTTGAGAATTTTTACATCTATATTACTTAGGGATATTGCTCTGTGACTTCCTTTTCTTGTGAGGTCTTTATCTGATTTTGGTATCAGGGTAACGCTGGCATCAAAAACAAGTTAGTAAGTGTTCTCTTCTACTTTTTGGAAAATTGAGGATTGGTGCTAATTCTTCTTTAAATGTTTGGTATAATTCACTGATGAAGCCATCTGACCCTGGACTTACCTTCATTGGGAAGTTTTTGGTTAATGTTTCACTCTCTTTACTTGTTATACCTCTATTCAGATTTTCTATTTCTTCTTGAGTCGGTTTTGGTAATTTGTTGCTAGAAATGTGTCCATGCCATCAAGGTTATCTTTTTTTGGGCATACAATTGTTTAGAGTATTCTCTTATAATCCTTTTTACTTCTGAAAGGTCAATAGTTGTGTCCCCACTTTCATTTCTGATTTAGGTATTTGTGTCTTCTTATAATACTTGATTAGTAAGTTATTTTTCTTAAACTAGCCAGAGCAACTATTTTTCTTAAGCTAGCCAGAGCAGCTTTTCTGCATCCTAAAAATAAGAAGCCAGAGTATCATAGAAGGCATTCTTGACTTGCTCTTGGTTTGGTGGAATTATAAAGTTTGCTTCTACCTGAAATTTCTCTACTTAGATTCAATTTCTATGGACAGTTTTAAACAACATGTTGGCCTGGCAGTGAGAGTGCTTACATGTCAAATTTGTTAGGTTTTGTTTATTTGTTTTATGCATAGTCTCCCTTACTATTGATGTTAATTATAAAATTATTTTAAGAGTTGCAGTTCCGGGTAAGGTGGAGTAAGCACACTCCACTTTGACTCTCCCACTGAATGCGGCTACAAAACCTGGACAGAATGCATATAACAATGTGGAAGGACTGTGAATACAAGATAATAGTATGAAGACTAAAGAACAACGAAATTTGAAGTGGAGTAGACCTAACTGGTAGTGAATAGACCCTTTTCACCCCCCTTTAGTATTTCTCAGTGTGGATTTAAGGCAATCTATAATGTGGAGATAGGTATTGGTATAGCTAGAGAAAGCTTCCAGAGAAGCCTTCTACTCAGGATCAAAGAAGAAGATAGAGATCTCCCGATAGCTACAGGAGCACCAAAATTCTGAGAGGGAGAGGGTTACTTTCCAGAGGTGCTATAGTCTCAAGAGAGTGAGGTGAACACCATTTCTTTTTAAATTCTAACTTCCCTCCACTTATCCCTGGATATGAGTGCAGACATGAAAAATGTAGGGCAGGATGGGGGGTAAATAAAGCCACAGTATTACAGATGGAAGATCAAAAAAGAGGCTTAAGGGACTGGAAGTTACTGGGGAAAATACCTAAAGGGAGGATCTTTGGAAAATTACCAGATAATGTTGTTTATGAATTTCTGGTATCACTTCTGAGGGATGCATGTGTGGTTCTGATCATAAACCAACATACCAAAGACTGAACTAAACTAAGAGATAAACCACATGCCAGGTTTCAGAATGGCCACTGAGCAGCATACATGTGTGACAAATTTGAATAAAACTGAAGGCTTTGAAAATGAAACTGACATTGAAACCACAACCCACAGAAGCTGGTTGGAATTTGCAGCCAGAACCCAATAAGGTCAATTGCCTACTAAAACAAATATATCAACATTCTCCATAGGATTTAAATAAACCCAGAGTCCCTTAACATTATATTTGAAATTTCCAGGATACATTCCAAAACTACTTAGTATATGAAGAACTAGGCGAATCTGAGCTCACATGAGAAAAAGATGATCAACACACACCAATGCTGATTTGACACAGGTGTTAGAATTATCTGACCAAAATGCTAAAGCAGCTATTATTAGTATAAAGGTGCTCCAGGAAGTAAGGACATACACTCTTAAAATGAATAAAAAGATATAAAGTCTCAGCAAAGAAACTGAAGACATAAAGAACCAAATGATAATTTGGGAACTGAAAAAAATATGTAATCACTAAATTTTTTTAAAAAAATCTCACTAGATAGTCTTAATAGCAGAATGGAGATGACAAAAAAATGAGTCAGTGAATTCGAAGATAGGTTAATAGAAATTACCTGATCCGAAAATAAAGAAAATATTTCTTAAAAAAGTAAAGAACCTAAGGAGCCTGTGGGACAGTACCAAAGGTCTAATGTTTGTGTTATCAGAGACTGACAAAGAGGAGAAAGGAATAATGTCTAATATCATTTCACATCCACTAGAATGGCTACTCCCAGAATTCCTGAAATTAACATGTGTTGGCAAGGATGTGGGAATTGGAACCTGTGGATTCATAATTAGGGAAAAGGAGTCAGGCTGGCTGGACACCAAGGCAAAGCAAAAAGAGAAAGCAGATAAGCTTCAAGTCTGCCTTTCTTCATGGTCCACTACACATTGCCCTCCTGGGTCCAACTATCATCAGACACCTGCAAGTTAGCTCACTGCAACCTTAGCATTATCAGTATTGCCTGTAGCACTCTTCAGCATAAGAAGCATTCTTGTTCTTATTTCCTTGTTTCCTTGCAGTCAGCTACTCTTCTGCTGATTCCACCTATAGCTCCCTGGCAACGTACTTTTATACTTTCTTTAACCAATCTGCCTTTCTTTACCTACAACTATCTTGGTAAATTCTTTTACCTCTGTGCCACCAGCCCAGACAGTCATCGCGCACCCAAGACGGAACCCTTGTAAATTGCTGGTGGGAAGTTAAAATGGTGCAGCCACTATGGGAAGTTTGGCAGCTCCTCAAAATGTTAAATATAGAATTACCATATGACTCAATAATTCCACTGCTCAATATATACCCCAAAGAATGGAAAACTGGGGCTCAAACAGATACTTGTACACAAATATTCCTGGCACCATTATTCCCAATAGCCAACAGGTGGAAACAACTAAAGTGTCCATCAAAAGATGGACAAACAGAATGCACAAAATTTGATATATATGTACGATGGAATATCACTCAACCACAAAAAAAGAATGAATTCTGATACATGCTACAACATGAAGTTGAAAAACTTATGCTAAGTGAAATAATTCAGACGTGAAGACAAACACATATTTTATAAGGTATCTAGAATACACAAAGTCATAAAGACAGAAAGGATTAATAGAATTGAAATTACTAGGTACTAGGGGCAGGGGGAATGGGGAGTTATCGCTCAATGGGTAGAGAGTTTCTGTTTGGGATGATGAAAAATTTCTCAAAATAGTGGTGATGGTTGCATAAAACATTGTTTATATACTAAATGCCACTGAATTATACACTAGAAATGTCAAAGTGGTAAATTTTATTTTCTGTATATTTTACCACAATAAAAAGGGGGAGGATAAATAACAGCAAAAAACTCCTCCCATATTTTGCAGAAGATATAAACTTACAGATTCAAGAAGTTCAGTGAATCTCAAACAGGAAAAATCCCAAACAAATCCACAACCAAACACTGTGAGAATTGATTATATGAATTGGAGTTATCATGCCCAATTAAATTAGAGTCAGGAGACCAGGGGAAGAAAAGAAAAGAAAAGCACTCAGGGCACAAGTGCCTGCCCAGGGACTGTCTCCTAAGCCAACTGCCAAAATGATCTGCTACAACCTTAAGACTATTTTTACCTAGTAGCTGCTAAGATGAACTGCCATGACTTTAAGCCTAGTTTTACCTACCCATCATTACTCACCAATCAGAGCTTATGAGCTCCCAAAAACTTTCCTAATGCCAATGAGTTTTCTTACAAAACAATACATAACATTTCTCTAATAAAACCCCCAACCTTTTCTCTGCTCTTTGAAGATACCAAAGACCACCCTGGTCTGTGTACATGCCCTGAATGGTAATTCCGTTTTTCCAAATAAAACATTTTCTTTAGAGTTTCATCTCTATCATTTTATTTGACTTTGATAACACCATAATCAAATTGCTGAAAACTAAAGACAAAGAAAAAATTTGAAGGTAGCCAAAGAAAAACAATGCCTTATCATAGAAAAGAACATTGATTCACATGACTACTGATTTATCACCAGAAACCAGAGAGACTCAGATGAAATGGCACATTTTTTAAAGTGCAGAAACAAACAAAGAAAAAAATCTGTCCACCTAAAATTCTATAGACTATTAAAATTATTTAAGAATTAAGATGAAATAGACATCATTAGAAAAAGGAAAACTAAGATCATTTGTTGTCATCAGATCTGCTCTAAAATAATTATAAAGAAATGTCTTCAGCCAAAAGGAAATAGTACCTGAAGGAAACTTGGTATATTATGCATAAAGGATGAGCAACGAAAATGGTGGCTACCTAAGTAACTATAACAGACTATTCTCCTCTTGAGTTCTTTAAAATATATTTGATGGCTGAAAGCAAAACTCGTAACATTATCTAATGGGCTTTTAATGAATATAAATGTAATATGTATGACAACTATAATGTAAAGCATGGAGGATAAAAGAACATACGTGGGTGAGGTTTCTACATTCCAGTTGAAGTAAAATATTGATTCCAAGTAAAAAGTGAATATGCAAATTGTGCAGCTACTCTGGAAAGCAGCTTGCTGGTTTCTTGTAAGTTAAACATACACTTACCATTTGACCCAGCAATCCTACTCCTGGGTATTTACAACAGAAATTAAGACATATGGTCACACAAAAATATGTACATGAATGTTTATACCAACTCTATTCATAATCAAACAGGAAACAACCATATGTCCTTTAATGGTGAATGAATAAACATATTATTTATAGAATGGATTACTACTCAGTAATAAAAAGGAATGAACTATTGATACATGCAACAACTTGTACAAATCTCATAGACCTTATGCTGAATCAAAGTCTCAAAGTGTTACATAATGTATCAGTCTGTCAGAGGTGTTCGAACCAGGGTGACTCCGTCTTGAGTGAGGGCTGGGAAACTGAGGCTGGGACTTGCTGGGCTGCATTCCTAGAAACTAATGTATTCCTAGCCTCTAGATGTTTACGGTTAAGGGAACAGATGGATAATGTTTACTAAACAGATCCAGACTTGGGAGTGTCCTGATATCCTGCTATCTTGAGAAGAGAAGCATTCCTAGTTTTGCTTTAATGGTAATATCGATTATTGTAAAATACAGTAATTAAGAAAATTAATCCTTTATCACAAACCCTTGTAGCAGAGCACATCTCCCAATGATTTTTTTTATCCTATATATATAGACAAGTATCGTACCTAGGGTGGACGTGTTCCTCCTCTTACTTTCGGGAATGCCCTACTCTGTCTATGGAGTAGCTGTACTTTAATCACTTTACTTTCTTAATAAACTTGCTTTTGCCTTGCACTGTGGATTCGCCCTGAATTCTTTCTTGAATGAGATCCAAGAACCCTCCCTTGGGGTCTGGATCGGGATGCCTTTCCTGTAACAATTTCATTTATGTGATATTCTCAAAAAGAAAAACTATCAGTGGTTGAAATATAGCAAAAACTGAAGACCTGAAAAAAGAAATGAATTCAGAGTAGAAGATTTTAACTCACCTTATCCAGTAATTGATAGAACAAGTAGTCAAACAAAATCAGTTAGGATATAAAAGTTCTGAATAACAAAATTAAGAAAATTGACCTACCAGATATATGTAGAATATTGTACCCAACAACTGCAGAATATATATTTGTTTCAAGTGCATATAAAACATTTACCAAAACTGGCCATATACTCAGCCCTAAAGACAATCTTAATATATGTCAAAGGCTAAAATTATGGAAAGCATATTCTCTGATTTACCACTACACACCCATTAGAATGGACAAAATTAAAGAGACTGACCATACCAAGTGTTAGTGACAATTTGGAAACAACTGCAACTCTCATACAATGCTGCTGAGAATATAACAAAAAGCCCCTTCGGAAAACAGTTTAGCAGTTTCCTAAAGAATTAAAAGCATACTTACCATGCCACCCAGTCATCCTATTCCTATTTACCAAAGGTAAATCGGAGCTTATGTCCATACACAGACTTGCATGCGATGTTCAAAGCAACTTATAATAGCTAAAAACCAGAAACAGTTTGTATTTGTTTTCTGTGCTGCATGACAAATTCCTACAAATTTAGTGGCTTAAAATAGGTATTTCATTTAAATTTATTTTTGAATAGATAATTGGGTAACAGTTCAAAATGTGGTGCACTGGCCGGGCGCCGTGGCTCACGCCTGTAATCCCAACATTTTGGGAGGCCGAGGTGGGCGGATCACCTGAGGTCAGGAGTTCGAGAGAGAGCAGCCTTGGCAACACAGTAAAACCCCATCTCTACTAAAAATACAAAAATTAGCTGGGCATGGTGGCAGGCTTCTGTTATCCTAGCTACTCGGGAGGCTGAGGCAGCAAAATCGTTTGAACCCGGGAGGCGGAGGTTGCAGTGAGCCAAGATCACACCGCTGTACTCCAGCCTGGACAACAGAGCAAGACTCCGTCTCAAAAAACAACAAACAAACAAACAAAAAATACATTGCCCTTTAGCTATATTGGGTAGCAGGAAGGAAACTGAGAAATGAAAAACGTCTATTAAGTCTTTCTTTATATATATGTATGCATCACTTAACTGGTTGTGATTGGTACATATCTAATCCTAGTCAAAAGCCCAGGCTTTTGAGAGTCAGACTACCTATTTGGTTACACGTAACTAATTTCTTATTCACTGTGTATCTCAACTTTCTTATTTATAAACTAAGATACTAACAGTTTCTACTTCATAAGGCTTTTGGGAAGATTACAGCAAATAATCAACGTAAAGTACTTTTAGCTTGGTGCCTGCCATATAGCAAACGGTTAGTAAATGTTAGCTATACAAAATATTCACCTTAAACTCATTTTTAGAAAATAAGAATAATTCAAAAGGAACTAAGCATCCAAATGAAGCAGCTAGAAAAAGGACAACAAAATAAACTGAGAAAAATGTGTGAAGAGGACAATTTAGGTCAAGAGTGCTGTAAATTCAACACTGAACTCTCCCCCTTCTCTACAAATGTGAATTATAGATTCAATTAACAAGAAAAAGACAGTTTCATGCATGCCCAGATACAAAATAAGCATTTATTTGGGTCAGAAACAGAAGGCGGCAACCTAGTAAGGTGGGGCTAAAGCGGCAGCCCTGCCGATGTCT
Source organism: Homo sapiens (assembly GCF_000001405.40). Classification (NCBI taxonomy): domain Eukaryota; kingdom Metazoa; phylum Chordata; class Mammalia; order Primates; family Hominidae; genus Homo; species Homo sapiens. The sequence continues at coordinate 56,613,936 of NC_000015.10, forward strand.
AGGTCCAGGAAGCAGCTAGGGGCCACTGGGAGTTTTTACTCCTTTGATGTAACGAAAGCACTATGTATGTGGCATGGAACCATGGTACAGCTGGGGTCTCTGTGTGAAAACAGCTGTGATCACTGCCTGAGGTTACTGCTTCTGTAAACCTGTATAACTTCATGGTTGGGGGTGGCATAAGAGAAAACTGCACAGAAATCTGAGCAAAGCTACATACTGCTTCAGATGCTGAGCCAGCTGCCACTTTGAGACTGGAGTTTCTAGCCACTGAGGCATAATTTTGGAGTAGAGTCCTAGACAACTAGAGGGGAGAAACCACAGAACTACTAGACAGGGAAGAGGGAGCACAGAAAGAGGCAAAGGAAAAAAAATACCACTTAAAATGAATCTGCAGATGAAAACGCCAAACCACCCAATAAAAATTATTAAGGAGAGACAAGAAAAAAATTCACTGAAAATAACCAAAAATATTTTAAAGTTTTCTTAAATAGGTCTTTAATCTGGAAAGAGAGAGAAAAAAACACTCTGGAGAAAAACTAATTGAAGGCAGAACCCAGAGAGATGACTTCTTCCTTGAGACGTTTGCTGAGCTGGATGAACCTGAGCATGGGTTTTCACAGCCTTGTCAACAGAAGATGGAAAATACAGTTTATATCTACGAGTAGAACTTCACACAATGCTGAAATCACAAGGATCTACCCTTTAGTATAAGGGTGAATTAGAAATACTTACACATTTCCCCAACTGAGGCAGGAGAATAGGGTCTGGAGGCAGGGAACTGAAGGCCATTTCGTGCTGAATCAAGGAAAAACACCAAGATTTGGGGGCACGGAATCTGAGGTCAATTTATGCTAACTTTCTAAAAGAGAAAACACCTGGGTCTGGAGGCAGGGAATCTAAGGCCAATTCAGGCCAACTTCCTAAAGCTAAACCAAAAGGTAAAATTCCATCTCCCTACAACCACCTGAGTAGCAAAGGATCAAAGGCTGCTGTCCCTGCCACCCTCCCCTTCCACCATGTCTCAGATGGAAAGGGAGAGTGCCTTGGATTGGCCTTGGGGCCAAGCAGGGACCATCCCTTCATCTGCACAGGGCACCCATTCACCTCAGCCTTTAGCCACAAACCAAATCCTTCATCCAGATAAGGGGTAACAGTAGGAACCTCAACAGGAGTACTTAAAACCTGGAAAACTTTGTAACGGGGCCCATCGGCCGCTTGTTTGAGCCCACTCCCACACTGTGGAGTGCTTTCTCTAATAAATTCCTGCTTTTGATACTTAATTCCTGTGTTTCATTCTTTTGTTACTTTGTGGGTTTTGTCTAATTCTTTGTTCAAAACGCCAAAAACCTGGACAACTTACACTCAAGGCCCTCCTTCTGCTGACACAACCATTAGGACTAAGAAAAATTATCTGTCTCCAATTTCAGCACGCTGGAGATAGGAAGGATTTCTCCTGATAATCTGTATTCACAATGTGGTCTTCAAGCAGGTTTGCAGCCTAATTTTATATCAGTTTTGTAGTCTCCAAAACCTCCAATAATAACTGTAAAGTAGTAGTGGACTAATAGTGCCTCCAGATCTTCAGATGATTGACACAATCTAATCCTCTTTGGAGGAAACTTTCTTTATTCCAGGCCTCTAAGAATTACCATGTGAGGACAATTAAGACATTAGGACACAATACAAATCACCAAACATTAAGGAAATAAGACCCCACAGGTTAGAACAAACAGAAACCACAGCAGAATCAGACGTGAGAAAAGTTTAGACACTGGAATATTCAGACATAAAATAATTTTGCTTAATATGCTTTAATAAATAAAAGACAAGCTTGAAAATGAGTAAATTACAAGTAGAGTTTAAGAAAAAAAAGAGAATGTCTGCAGTGTAAAATGTAATAACTGAAAATTTTAAAATTTTATGGATACAGTTAACAGCAGATTCAATATAAAGAGAGCATATTAAAACAATTAAGTTATGCAGAATATATCCCAGAGTGAATAAGAAAAAAAACGTTAAGAGTCATAGGGGATACAGTCAAAAAGTCTAACATGAACTTAATCAGTTTTAAAAAGAATGGAGCAGAAGCAATATTTGAATAGATAGTGGGAATGTTCCAAAAAGTCACTATTTCACAGATCCAAAAGCTTTAATAAGTCAAACAGAATAATAAACAGAAATCTATACCTAAACACGTCATTATGCATCTACAGAATACAGAAGACCAAAAGATCTTAAATGTAGCCTGAGAGAAAGAAGCACAATTAGATGGACAGCTATCTTCTTAGTAATCGATATAGAAGTGAGAAGAAAATAAATGGTATTTCAATATGCTGAAAGAAAATTACTGTTCAATGCACAGTTCTATATTCAGAAAATTTCTTTCCATGATGAGGACTTAAAGACATTTTCAAACAAGCAAAGGCTGAAAATCTGCAATCTGAAAACTCCCACTAAAAAACATTATAAAGGATGTACTTCAGGTAGGAGAGTCAACTTAGATAGAAGAAATGAAATTTAAGAGGTGGGGAACAAGAAAATGGTAAATATTATGGTAAATCTGAGAGAACCTGACTGTGATATGCTAATTTTCCTCATGGGAAATTCTTTAGGTCCTGGAATGAAGGCAGGTTCCTCTAAAGAGAATTAGTTCTGTCAAGCATTTGGGGGCACTCTTCATCAAGTAGTTAAAACAAAACAAAGGATTACAGCACAATTGTAGGACAGTTGTAGGGGCTCAACAAACATTTACTGAATGAATGAATGAGTAAATAGATGGATATCACAATTAACTCTACGTGTTCCTAGCAAAGGCTAAAAACTGGCTGCTTGCCAGCCATTTCTGGTTTGCAAACAATTTGTTTGGCCAACAATATATTGACCAAGACAAAGGCAAAACAAAACAGGAGATTTTATACCAAGTACTGGGCTTACATTTCTGGTTGTCAATAGTGGACTGAAACTGACTCACCGCTGCCACCTTAGAAGGGACGTCTACTCCTCCATGGAAGATTGGAATTGAAGTGTTTATACCTCCTTGTTTGGGATGAAGTTAAAAATAATTAACTTTAGACATTAATAAGTTAAGGATACATGGTATAATTTTCTGAAGAGGCAAGCTGAGGCTATTACAAGTTTTTACTTCTCTTATTTAACAGGGGAGAAAACACCCCACATGTGACAAGGAGTACAGTTAGCTTTCTGTATGATAACAGTAGCAACCAACCACTACTGAGTAAAGCCATCATGAAATACTCTCTTTCCTAGGCCTAAAAGAGGCTTATAACTGGTGAACTGTCAACATATTTTTGTTTTGCTCACACATTTCTGGACAACACTTAAAAATCAAAAGATGTAATATCCCATTCTGAGCCTGCATTTTTGATGGGCAGTCTTGGGCTAGAACTGAGTAGCAGAGGCCACCTTTTAGAAAGGAGTATATGGTCTCAAGTGGAATTTAAGTATTTTGGGGTTCCTGTTTGGGAAAAGGGTAAATATGATTAACTATAGACTTTAATAAATTTAGGATACATGGTGTAAATTCCTGGAGAGTACCCACTAAAAGATTAAAATAAAAATTTTAAAAAACAGTATAAAGTACAGATGCTCCTGGACTTATGATGGGGTTGTGTCATAATAGACCCATTGAAAGTTTACAATATCATAATTTGAAAATGCATTTAATATACCTAACCTACCGAACATCATAGCTTAGCTTAGCCTACTTTAAACATGCTCAAAATGCTTATATGAGCCTAAAGTTGGGAAAAATCATCTAACATTTGTTTTATAATAAAGTGTTAAATATCTCATGTAATTTATTGAATACTGTATTGAAAATGAAAAACAGAATGGTTGTATGGGTACTCACAAGTATGGTTTATGCTGAATGTGTATTTTTTTGCACCATTGTAAAGTTGAAAAATACTAAGTCAAACCATCATAAGTCGAGTACTGTCTGTATATAACTCCAAAACCAGTAGAATATTAAAATAAGATGAGAAAAATGATACTTTGAAAGAGAGCAAGAAAGAAAATAAAAATAGAATGCAGAATAAACAGAATGTTCACAATTTATCATTACCATAAACATAGTGGACTAAATACTGTAATTAAAAGACAAAGATTATCTGATTGTATTTTTAAATTGTATGTATATACTACAGAAAGGTTGAAAGTATAGTAGTGGAAAATATATATCATGCAAATACTAACCAAAGAAAGCTTGTATGGCTGTCTCAAACAACATAAACGTTATGCATGGTCACTATTAATAAGGCTCAATTCACCAGAAAAATAACTTTTCTGCATACAATGTAATCTCAAATTAAAACAAAAGTTCATGAAATCACAGCTATAAATGGACAAATCTACCACCACAGTGAGGAATTTTAAAACATTTCTCTCAGTAACTGATAGATCAAGGAGAGAAAGAAAAATCTGTAAGGCCATAGAAAATTTAAATACAGGTAAATAATTTGTTCTCAGATATATACCTTCTGTCCACACGGCTTCTTTTGGCATTTCTTGTAGTGCAGGTCTGTGCCAAAAAATTCTGAAAAAGTATTTGACTTTTTTAAATTAAAAAAAAAAGTTTTTTTAAGGGGCAAGATATTGCTGTGTTACCCATCCTGGAGTGCAGTGGCTCTCCACAGACATGATCATAGCTCTTTACAGCTTCGAACTGATTGCTTTAAGCAATCATCCCACCTCAGCCTCCCGAGTAACTGCACCTTTGTTTTTGAAAGACATTTTTGCTGGGAATACAATTCTAGGTTAACAGTTTTTTTCTCTCAGTACTTTTAAGGAAATCTGATGACATCCTTAACTTTTTTCCTCAAAATGTACACGTCTTTTTTTATCTGATTGCTTTTAAGATTTTATTACTTGTTTTGAGCAATTTATGTTGCCTTTGTATAGTTTTCTTCATGTGTCTTGTGCTTGGGGTTCATTGAGCTTCTTGGATCTGTGAGTTGATCGTTTTCAGGTTTGGAAAATATCATAATTCTTGAAGGTGTCCACTGATGCTTTTTTCTTTTCCTTTTTTAAATAAATTTTTAAATTTCTTTTTTCCTCTGTGTTTCATCTTGGATAATTTCTATTTCTATGTCTTCAAATTCACTGATCTTTTCTTCTGCTATATCTAATCTGCCATTAATCTCATCAGCATAATTTTTATCCCAGACATTGTAGTTCTCATCCCTGAAAGTTCAATTTGGGTCTTCTAAAAATAATTTCTTACCTTTTTTTTTTTTTTTTTTTTGGAGACAGGGTCTTACTCTATCAGCCAACCTGGAATGCAGCAGTACGATCATGGCTCACTGCAACCTTGACCTCTCAGGCTCAAGCAATCCTCCCACCTCAGCCTCCCAAATAGCTGAGACTACAGGTGCACACCACCAAGCCAGGCTTTTTCTTTTTTTTTTTTTTTTTTTTTTTTTTTTGGAGCGATGGGGTCTCACCATGGTGGGCAGGCTCGTCTTGAACTCCTGGGCTCAAGTGATCCTCCCTCACTGGCTTCCCAAAGTGCTGGGATTATGGGTGTGAGCCACTGTGCCTGGCCAGCTTCTTAACTTTTGGAAGATACAGCAGTTATATTAATTATTCTAATGTTCCCCCCTGCTAATTCTGATATCTGTTCGTTCTGACTGGCGATTTTCCTCATTATGGTAATGTTTTCCTGCCTCTGTGTAGGCCTGCTAATCTTTGATTGGATGCCAGATATGGTTAATTTTACCTTTGTGGATATTCAATATTTTTATATTTCTGTATACCTTGAGTTTTATTCTGGGACACAGTACATTTACTTAGAAATTACTTGATCTTTGCAGATTTGTTTTTAGCATTTGTTTTCTGGGTACAGGGCAGTACTCAGTCTAGGGTTAATTATTCCCATACTACTGAGGCAAACCTTCTTCAGTTCTCCACCCATGCCCCATAAATTATAAGGTTTTCATTCTGGCTTGTGGGAATGCACTGTTTCTCGTCCTGTTTAAAGTGCCAAGCATTGTTCCTCCTACACCTCTGATTATTCTTTTCCCAGCCTTTGGTAGTTTCCTGACACACAACATAGTACTCTGCTGAATACTGCAAATCTCTCCATGCAGCTCTCTCCTCTCTGTAACTTGGTCCTAAGAACTCTCACTTCCTGAGTCTCTCTGTGCCCTCAGTTCTTCCTCCTCAACTCAAGGTCTCTCTTCACTTTGCCTCAGTTCCTATTTCCTGTGCTATGACTCGGAAACTCAAAGCAGTAAGCTAAGGTAATCATAGAGCTCACTTCATTTGTTTTCTGTCTCTCATGGATCACTGTCCTTCATTCCTGCTGTTACTAACTTTAACACCATTGTTTCATGTTGTTTTTTGTTTCAAGTGGGAGGGTAAATCCAGCCCTTATTACTCCAAATTGGCGAGAAGTGAAAGTCCTAAAACTATTTTTAAAGTTATGCAATAAGATGATTTTTGAAAAATCTCTACAGGGACTAATGGTAAAATTACTATGCCAGAGGATAGCTTGCATTAGTAAAAGATAGGAACTGCTGAGATAGATCAAAAAGGTTAGAAAATCTGAGATGGGTCCTTAGGCACTGGCATGAAAAATTTTAGAATGAATGAGAAATACATTTTTCTTGCTTTTACTTACTGAGATTTGGAGGATTATTACAATGTCATTCTAACCTATCCTGACTGATAGACTTAATCTGCTATCAATCTAAGGCTCAATTCACCGGAAAAAAATAAGGTTCAATTCACCAGAAAAATAAACTAAACTTGTCTGTGTATAATCTCAAAACAAAAGTTCTTGAAATCGCAGCTATAAACATTTGAATCTGTTGACAAGGTTCTCATTCATTCTAAAAGTCCAGTGATTTTTCTGTTCATTATAGTAACTCAGATGACAGAGCAACCATCTCAAACATCACCAGCAAACAAATCAGAGGAGAGACAAAAATCTAGAGGGTCTCAAATCAGTAATTTAACGCTTCAGTTTAGAAGTGACATGTCGTATTTGCCCACAGGTCACAATCCAAAACCAGACAGATGGTCCCACTCAACCATGAGGAAAGTGTAATCCTGCTCTGTCTGGTTCTCTAGGGAGAACCACTATATGGCAGATAACCCTATGACTACAGCCAAAACATTATCTCTTCTAAAGAGAGATAACTCCAAAGTCCCATTGCCATCAAATGGCATCAAAAGTGGCACTGAAAGTCCTATTGTCATCGATGGCATCAAACTCAAAATCCACTATCTCCTTCTAGTCTCTAAATCAGTAGATGGTGTGCCCTAGTCTCCTCTTGATCTGTTAATCAATGATCTAAAAAGTTGTTCATACCCTACACATACAAGATTGAAAAAGAGATAGAAAAACTGTAATAAACACTTCTATTCAGAAAGGGAAAGATGGGAGACATAAAAGCAGTTAGTGGGCCAAAGCAATTCTCTGCTATGATTTCCTCTACAATGGGGGTGCACAAATTCCTGATTCAAGCCTGATTCTGTTCCTCGGGAGGTGATCCCCAATTTATTGGTGTCCAAGGCTCTTGATCCTATCATCCAGGAGGTCCTATCTCTTACCTTTATCCTTCTTGGCCACCTTTGAGGCAGGCATTAAGGAATATGTCCTATTTGGGGCCCAGGGAGCTTTCTCACTCTGCCGCTTCCTATAGAAAGTTGGGGGCCCACAGGTCTCAAACAGTCATAAACTTTTAATCCAGGCCCATGGTTCCTTTAATGGTACAATTCTCTCAAAAAGTTTGTTTTTTGTTTATATGATTTGAGTCAGCAATGAGCCAAGAGGCACACCACAATTTTTAAAGATAGGTCTCCCCCAGCTCCTCCCACACTTGACTGGAGTACCTTGAGACCATCAGGCATTGGTGGAAGTCTGACCCTTTAGTACCTGCTTCCTAAGCCATTTTGTCTAACTGAAAAGATATATGGGTCATTAGCATTTCCCAATTCCTGACATACTAATATTTGGGATATAAGAATGAGGAATCAAAATTTCTGAAAATTCTCAGGAATTCCTAAATTATACAGAATCAGCATTCTGTAGTTTTCATAACATTATACTTAATGTATTTTTAAATAATTGTAACCTTAATAAATATGGAATAATTTTTCTGTAGTAGTTATACTAAATGTTTCAGAAATTTTTTGCTGAAAAAATTAAAATGTGGTTTATTACTATGAGCCAATATCCTGTGACAAGATGATATATTTTAATATCATTATTTCTACCTGATATATTGACAACAGAAATGAAGGAAACAGTAACATAAATGTGAAATAAAAAATCATTTTAAAAACTGGAAGACTACAAATATTTGTTTAAAAGTTATTCCCAAAAGAAAAATTTAAAGCACATAAAGCATTAATTGTCCTACACAATAGTCTTTATCTTTATTTGGTTATGAATGTTTCAGATATAAAAATTTATTTTATTTCGCATTGATATGAGTCAAGTTCAAAAACCATGACTGGCCTCTTACTTTTTTTAATGATGAAAGTACTTTGTCTGCCCTGATTTTGATCTTGCTGTTGAAACTGATACTGCTTTTGTTAATTTAGAGTTTAGATCCATTTCTGATTTCTTTTTAAAATGTTCCATAACATTCACGTCTTCTTTTCTTTGCATTTCTTGTTGAAAGTATTTGCAAAGAACAGTAGAACACTGGGAAGTGCCAACAAATTGATTTGGTAGTATTTGAAATACGTAACATTTGGCTCTTTTGGCAAGGTTAAAGCATTACACAGAAGCACTGTCAAAATTGCCAATTTAAGGGCTTATTTTGCTCCTACATTGTGCTATTTCTTGGAACACCATTGATAGGATTCGTATAAAGTATACTATCTACATAAACCTATAGATATTTATTATATTTACAAGAATGACTAACTCTCAGCAGCAGATGGGGCATGAACACATACTTACAACATGGCAATGGCTACAAGTAAGACCAAGTGATTCGATTGTGACCACTTTCCTTCTAAGTGCTCCTGTTCTGGTTCCGGGAAATGTTGACCTTACCCTTGAACTCCACATGTCAGCATTCCCTGCTCTTGCTTTTGAGCTTGACTTCAATGAATTCCTTCAAAGGATAATGGCTCTAAGTTGATTACTAAGCTTTAATTCTAACAGGAGAGTTACAATACTTTTCTCTGTCTCAACAATTTCTTGACTGATTTGTCTTGAAATTCAGAAAATACATAAATTTCCCAAAATATGCTGTTAGGAGTTCTCATATAGAAACACTATGGGACCTCTCTTTAATCTAGTTAAAAGTTTTAGTCCGGGTGCGGTGGCTCACGCCTGTAATTCCAGCACTTTGGGAGGCCGAGGTGGGATCACGAGGTCAGGAGATTGAGACCATCCTGGCGAACACTGCAAAACCCCGTCTCTACTAAAAATACAAAAACGTTAGCTGGGCGTGGTGGCGCGCCTGTAGTCCCAGCTACTCGGGAGGCTGAGGCAGGAGAATGGCACGAACCCGGGTGGCGGAGCTTGCAGTGAGTGGAGATTGCGCCACTGCACTCCAGCCTGGGCAACAGAGTGAGACTCCGTCTCAAAAAACAAAAAAATAAAAGTTTTAACAAGTACTGTAATGACCATATTCTTTATTTAATTAAATTCTGTTGCTTAAAGGCCTTCTTTTAATGGTTGGAGGTAAGAAGTTGTTGCCTCTCCAGCCTTGCATATATCTGAATTTCTAGAGTTCCTGTGTTCTCTTTTGTTCTCATTTGCAATCCTACCTTTTCTCGTTTCTCAGCTGAGTTAATTTCTTTCTTAAAATACATTGTCAGGCCGGGCATGGTGGCTCATACCTGCAATCCCAGCACTTTGGGAGGCCAAGGCGAGTGGATCACCTGAGGTCAGGAGTTTGAGAGCAGCCTGGCTAACATGGTGAAACCCCATCTCTACTAAAAATACAAAAAAAAAAAAAAAATGAGCTGGGCATGGTAATGGATACCTGTAGTCCCAGCTACTCAGGAGGCTGGGGCAGGAGAATCACTTGAACCTAGGAGGCAGAGGTTGCAGTGAGCCGAGATCACGCCACTGCACTCCAGCCTGAGCGACAGAGCAAGACTCCATCTAAAAAAAAAAAAAATCTTGTCAAATGCAGCTAATACAGTAATCAAAACATGCTGTTAACATTCTGTTATCCGAAGTCTTCTGATAGAGATACAAGTTTATTAAGAATATTGTATGTCTTCCAAGTATTACAGGCAATAGTTTACCAAATCTCGCACATCAGAATATGGATCACCTCATGGAGCCACACCATCTGTCACCTAAGCCACTGTAATAGTTTAAGTTTGTTTTTTTTTCATGGTAGCACTCCACTTCCACGATTCATGACTGTATTGATCAAGATAGGCCAGGTTATGTTGCAGAAACAGAAATTCCCTAACTATAGAGGCTTAAAACAAAAATACTCATTCTCTCTCATGTGCCCATCTGAATAAACAGGGAGGCTCTGTTCATAGTAGTCCCTCAGTAACCCAGCCTGATGGAGCAATCACCATCTCAAATATGACAAAGCACTACGACAAACGAAAAAAATTCTAAAAAGTTTCACATCAACAATTATATGCTCCAAACCAGAAGCCACTTTCACTCACAATGCACTGGCCAGGAACTAGTTACATGGCCACACATACTAGAAATATTTGGTGAACTGTAGGAATGAAAATCACATTAGGTTTTTAAAAATTAATAAATAAAACTGACTTTGAAGAGGTGAAGAAAAAAAATCTAGATGAAAACATCAAGTCTTAGAAGTTTATGCCAGGACAAGAAGCTTTCCGCTAGTATTGTGGTAAGAGAATTTTCCATTTTTACCTACAAATACTTAAGTATTGTTTTACTATTTTTCTATAAAGAGTATGTTAATATAATAATGGATATTTTGGCTGGGCGTGGTGGCTCACGCCTGTAATCCCAGCACTTTGGAAGCCCAAGGTGGGTGCATTACCTGAGGTCAGGAGTTCAGGACCAGTCTGGCCAATATGGTGAAACCCCATCTCTACTAAAAAATACAAAAATTAGCCAGGCATGGTGGCCGGCACCTGTAATCCCAGCTACTCAGGAGGCTGAGACAGGAGAATTGCTTGAACCTGGGAGGCGGAGGTTGCAGTGAGCCGAGATCGTGCCATTGCACTCTAGCCTGGACGACAAGAGTGAAACTCTGTCTCAAAAAAAAAAAAAAAAAAAAAAAGGCCGGGTGCGGTGGCTCACGCCTGTAATCCTAGCACTTTGGGAGGCCAAGGTGGGTGGATTGCCAGAGCTCAGGAGTTCGAGACCAGCCTGGGCAACACAGTGAAACCCTGTCTCTACTAAAATACAAAAAAATAGCAAGGTGTGGCAGCGTGCACCTGTAGTCCCAGCTACTCAGGAGGCTGAGGCAGAATTGCTATAACCCGGGAGGCAGAAGTTGCAGTGAGCCGAGATCATGCCACTGAACTCTAGCCTGGGCAACAAAGAGAGTCTCTTAAAAAAAATAATATTTTTTGATTAAAAAACTGAATAATCTTCAAAAAATTGCAAATTTGTAATTCTAGAACACGAAATAGTAAGAAATGTGGACCAAGTTTATAAACTAAGTTCCACTGTAATGGTTACAATAATGAAAATTAAAGAATGGTTATAAAGGTATGATATGGACTATATGAAAATATAAAGTAAAAGCTGGCAAACTTTTTCTTAAAGGGCCAGATTGTACATAACTTAGGCTTGTGAGCTACATGGTCTCTGTCTTATATAACTGTGCTGTTGTAGTGCAAAAGTAACAAGAGACAATATGTAATTAAATGGTATGGCTGTTCTAATATTTTGTTTATAAAAATAGGTGGTCAACTGTGGGTCATAGTCTGCTAACCCCTAATATAGAGAATCAAAATTTTTTTAAGGAAGTGGAGGCCGGGCGTGGTGGCTCACGCCTGTAATCCCAGCACTTTGGGAGGCCGAGGCAGGTGGATCACTTGAGATCAGGAGTTCAAAACCAGCCTGGCCAACATGGCAAAACCCCCGTCTCTACCAAAAATACAAAAATTAGCCAGGCGTGGTGGCAGGCACCTGTAATCCCAGCTACTTGGGAGGCTGAGACATGAGAATTGCTTGAACCTGAGGGGCAGAGGTTGCAGTGAGCTGAGATTGCACCACTGCACCCCAGCCTGAGTAAGAGCGAGACTCCATCTCAAGAAAAAAAAAATGTTTTTATGGCACCAGATAAAGATGAAATATTTTAAAAGTTTAAAACTGGCCCAGCATGGTGGCTCATGCCTGTAATCCCAGCACTTTGGGAAGCCGAGGCAGGTGGGTCACCTGAGGTTGGGAGTTTGAGACCAGCCTGACCAACATAGAGAAACCCAGTCTCTACTAAAACTACAAAATTAGCCAGGCATGGTGGCACATGCCTGTAATCCCAGCTACTCAGGAGGCTGAGGCAGGAGAATTGCTTGAACCTGGGAGGCGGGGGTTGCGGTGAGCCGAGATCATGCCATTGCACTCCAGTCTGGGCAACAAGAGCAAAAACTCAATCTCAAAAAATAAAAAAGTTTAACAGCATACTTTATACTTCTCCAAATCTCCACAAACAGCATGCTTTACTTTAATATTTCGGGGAGAAAAGTCATTTTAAGAAAGATGTTGGAGTGAATCAGCAATACAGTCAATTTTTCTATTCTGTTTTTGGTAAAGTCTAATGATCCTAGATGTACCTGGGGCATTTTCCAGAAACCAAAATCCAAGGTAACTTCTGTGATCAACTATCTTTCAAGCCATTAACTTCTGCAGCTACAGCATCCCTTAAAGTGTGGCCCAATAATCTTCATAATAATGGCACACTGTGCCATCAATGAAGACCAAATTATGTGTAATATATTTTTTAAAAATAAAGGCAATTTTACGGTACTTTTAACAAGCAATTAAAAGTTAGCAAGAGCTAATTATAAAAGTAATTTCACCCAACATATCTCATTTCTTAAAGATGTTATAGTTGTTGCTACAGATGTGTTTAGTTCCTCACAAATGATCTGAGTGTATCTTTTAATTTGAAGCTTTCAAGTTGAAAATTAAATATTGTCATGGCTTTCAAAAATCTATTCATTTTGTCTACGTTGATCTGCAGATGTGCATCAGTCAAAAAATAGTTATGCATCGCTTAATGACAGGGATCTATTCTGAGAAGTGCATTGTTAGGCGATTTCAGCGTTGTGTGAACATCATGGAGTGGTCTTACACAAACCTAGATGGTATTGCCTACTATACACCTAGACTATATGTCATAGTCTGTTGCTCCTAGGTTGCGAACCTGGGCAGCATGTTACTGTACTAAATACTGTAAGCAAGTATAACACGATGGTGTTTATCTAAACATAGAAAATGCACAATAAAAACATAGTATAAAGATAAAAATTGTACACCTATGAGTACTTACTATCAATGGAGCTTTCAGGTCTGGAAGTTGCTCTGGATGAGTCAGTGAATGGTGACTGTGAAGGCCTAGGACATTACTGTACACTTGGGCTAAATTTAAAAATGTTTTTCTTCAATAATAAACCCTAGCATACAATAACTTTTTTACTTTATATATTTAAAATTTTTTTACTTGACTCCTGACACAGGGTCTTGCTCTGTCCTTCAGGCTGGAGTACAGTGGCTTGATCATGGCTCACTGCAGCCTTGAACTCCCAGGCTCAAGTGATCCTCCCACCTCAGCCTCCTGGATAGCTGGGACCACAGGCAAGTGCTACCATGCCTAACTAATTTTTTTTTATTATTTTTTGCAGAGACGCAGTTTCACCACATTTTCCTGGCTGGTCTCAAACTCCTGGGCTTAAGCGATCTGCCCATCTCGGCCTCCCAAAGTGCTAGGACCACAAGCGTGAGCCACTATGCCCGGCCTTTTACTTGACTCTTTTGTAGTAACGTTTCGCTAACAACACAAACATTTTACAGCTGCACGAAAGTACCTTCTTTATATCCTATTCTATAACCTTTTTTTACTATTAAACAAAATTTTTTTTACTTCTTAAACTTTTTTTAAAAAAACTAAGACACACACACATTAGCCTAGGCCTACATGGGGTCAGCATTATCAAGATGTCACCAGGCAAGAGTAATTTTTCAGCTTCATTATAGTCTTATTGGACCACCATCATACATGGGGTACGTCATTATGTGGCGCATAACTGTACTTAAAAGATAATTGTTTTTCCTCTTAAGTTTAGAAATAGGTAAATCAACTGTTTCACTTCTTAGCTGAGTAAACAAGTCTTACTGTTGTAATAGTCTAGTAAAAATAAAACACTTGCAATCCTCTTCTAGTGCATACAAACTTCCTATTTCATTATAGTATAAAAAGTAGTCTTGTCAACCATGAAGTCAAACAATGACCTAACAGAAGCCTACAAAAATGTAACGATATTAAAACTTCAATAATTATTTTATAAAGTGTATCTTTACATGATATACTATCTTGCCTATTAATAAAAATGATTCACAACTCCTTGAGGAAAAATCCCCTTTCTTCAGGTTAAGAAGTCTTTGATTCCATATGCATTTAACAAGCAATTAAAAGTTAGCTAGAGCTAACTATAAAAGTAATTTCACCCAACATATCTCATTTCTTGAAGATGTTATAATTACAATTAGTATCATCCATAGGAGGATTATTTGCAAAAAAAGAAATATTTTAAAAGGAAATGTTTAATATAAATGCTAGTAACTAGATGTAATGGAAAAACAATAACTTAAGAATCAGATCAAACTGGGTTCAAATCTAGGCTTTGTAACCCTAGCCAAATAATTGCCCAGATATTTGGTTTCCTTATCTTTTTACTTCTAACCAAAATAAAGTGACTCACCTCTTGTTAGTTTCTTTCAACAAATGTTTAGAATAGTTCTTTAAAAATTCATGGGGTAAAAAAAATTTATAGTTTCTTCCTTAAAACACTGAAGAGATGGAAAGGGGAAGAAATAACAAATAAATATGGTATTCAGATTTTCAATATAAATTAGCAGTGCATCCTACAAAATAAATATAATGATTCTTGATGTTATTAAACTGCACTTATAATCCACCATAATCCCGTTGTTTTAACAGGGAACTATAACATACTAAGGTGTCTTGATAGTTCTTAGGCAGTCACTAGAGTGCATCACTGGCTTTCATATTCTTATCAAAGGAGTTTAAGCACTACAAAGCAGGAGTAGGCAAACTATAGTCCATGGGCCAAATCCAGCCAACATCCTATTTTTGTAAATAAAGTTTTACTGGAACACAAATAGGTTCATAATTTACATATCATCTACAGTGGCTTTCATGATACAAGGCAGAGTTGGGTAATTGTAGCACATGGCCCACAATTATTTACTGTCTGGCCCTGTAGAGAAGGTTTCCTAACCGCTGCTCTAAAGCACTGCTACCAAAGGTTTGGTTTGCATACCTGGATTGGTTGTTCCTGATTGGAGATAAGGAGATTGAAAGAGAATGTAAACCAGCTATGGTACCAAATACAATTCTTAATTCAGCTATTTTTTTTTTCATTGCCAGACTTTCTCAATGAAGCACTTACAGTCCAGTATAGGTTCCTTTTCTCATAGTATATAGGTACAAACAGTTCATTGACCTGCTACTTTGAATACCACTACTCAAAAGGTATATGGGGGCTGATGTAGCAAAGCTCCAAAGGGATTATGGTGTCATAATGTGATAATGTGGCAACAGACTGAATGAGACTCACAAGTGGTCCTTATAGAGACAGGCGTTTTTCCTAACCCTGCTCTTCTAAGGTTTATATTATTCCAAAAATCTTCCATGATACAGAATTACATTTTAACAAGGTGAAGGATGAGAGCTAATGGCTCCCTCTCTCCCTATCTTTTCTTGGGAGCAGGAAAGATAAAAATATTAGCTCTCCTCCCCAAAATACTCCAAATAATTCATAATATATTTTGCCTATTTAGCCTCTTTAAATTGTTGGGCAGATAGAAAAGTATAATATTAAATTCTATTTCTCTTGAAGTAAAAGAATTTATAAAGCAAATCTATTCTCATAAATATTAGCAATATTGTCCCCTGTACTTTAAGTCCTAATTTAAAATAATGTATCAGCAGTTAAAGAATGTAGAATGGAATCCTCACCACTAACACTGATATTAAATTTCTTGAACAAGTATATAATTTCTAAAGGCACCAAAGGTAATCTGAATCAAGCAGTGATTGGAAAAATAGAATTATTCGGGGGCAGATTTTTATTGCAAATATTTACTCAAAAACTACTATATACAGCAGAGTATTTTAATCGCCATTTAAAACATTGAACATTCAGTGAAACAAAATTTAAGAATCCAAAGCACATTTTAAGAAGTAAAAATGAAGCATTTTAAATAAAAGTTTATTAGTATTTCAAAGCAAACTACTGTTCTTCATATTATTCATTTCTATATCTATTATATTCTAGATGATAAAAAGAACTGAAAAATCAATTTAGCAGCCATCTTATAGATAAATTAGGCTAAATTTCCAAAACCAGTTCTTTTACATCACTGTTTTAGGTCCCATTTGAAGTTTTTATTTTACAATTACAGAAAAGTCACTTAAACATGGCTGAATACATGCCAGGACATGTTTTCAGTTTACTGCTTTACAATATCTACATTATACCATACTTTGGTTTGGCTTCCAGACCATTTTTATGGGCCTATTTCTAAGGAAGATCATTAAAACAATATTAAAAGCATAATAGCTACAGGAGTTTCAACAATGGGTTTCTACTTTACATTAATACAACTAATACATCAAAGAATTTCTACACAGCTTACACACTGACAAAAAGCACAAATATAAATTTATATCTTAATAATTCCACTTTCACTGAAAGTTTAATTAAGGTAAGCTTACAGCCTGGCAGGCTAACACTTGTATGGAGGTACAAAGATTCAAATATTCTGTTTACATGCGTCTGACTGGAATGTTATATTAAATCCAAAATTAAGTTTATGTTCATCCAAATTCTCATTAGATCAATTTAGTACTCTAAGCATGCTCCATTTACCAGCATCATCCTCACAAATAAAGCCTTCATTAACAATGCCAATCAGCCATTGTTTTTAATCAATTACTCCCCAAAAGTACATGGTTTCCAAATCCCTTCCTCTCAGTTAACTGAAAAGGATATACAGGTAATAAAGATTTTTAGCTTAGGATTGATGGAAGTTTGAAAGGCTTTATAAATATTACTAATATCATCAATTCATGTCAGCAACCAAATCCCATTTCCTTGAAAACCATTAAATGAGACCTTTCCACTGCAAATTTAATTATCATTAAAATCCTGTTCGTGTTTTTAAAAACTTTTTGGGAATCCCTACTAATCATGCTATTATTGGTGAATTGATTTGTTTGATAACATAGGTTGAACATACAGGTAAAGTGTATGTGTGACCTCCCTTACATATTTCCATTTCTGAACCTACAACAGCACCACTGAGCTCACCTGATAGCACTGTTCCAAATGCCCTTATCGTTGGTACACTGAAACTTAAAATGACTAATTTCAACTTCTTTCTTTTTCGTCTTCCAGGTCTACTGTTGCCTCTGTTGTGCTAGGGTTATTTCCTCCAGGAATGTCATCTGTTTGATCAGACACTACTTCATCAGTCTTGGCTGAAGGATCACCACTACCTTTCTGAAGAATCTCTGTGGCTTCATACTCAAGTACCTCGGATGGAGTCAGAGGTTCCAAATGAATACTGCCTTGCTCGCTAACATCAGAACTAACAGATTCAGGTTCATGTCTTTTTCTCAAAAACTGATCAATGCTTACATTATCTGATGCTAATCGCAAATCCTTAATATTCTTTGAAGAAAATCTGGCTTCACTGGAGTTGTGATCTTTAATCTGATCAGATAAGATTATGTTTTCTGAACTTTGGCACATCTTCAACTCCATTTCCTGACAAACGTGTTGTATTTGTTTTTTCTTTTCCACTTTATCTGCACCAATATTTGAATCACAACTGACGATGTTTTTTGAGCCAGTTTCCTGGTCTGCAAGACAGGTTTCATTTTCCTTATCTGAAACTGTTATGCTTTCTTCACTTTTTGTTGTTGATGAGCCTTCAAATGAATTTGCATTACATCCATTTTTTTCTTTTGAAGAAGCAGCTTTATCTTGTTTACTGAAAAATAAAGTCATTTATTATGTATTTCTTCATAAAGCAATGTTTTTGAACACTGTCAAAATAAAGACGTGTTCTAAAAAATAAAAAGTCAAGGTACATTTGCCCACCAAAAAGGAAAACAGTCCAAGTTCCCAATCCTCGCTATGGCAGTAAAATTTAGGAGGAGGCCATTTTCTTAGGCAAGATTCTGAGAAACTCTGGAATCACATACTAAAAGATATCTATCAACTAGTTTTAGTCCTGGCTGTCATTATTTTCATCTGTTCATATCTCTTGCCTGTTTCTAGTTTAAATTTAAGTATTTTTATTAACTTGTAAAAGTACCTAAAATAAAAAAATATATTTGGAAAAAAATCTATATTTTTTTATGATTTTTTTTTTTTTTTTTTTGAGACAGGGTCTTGCTCTGTCACCCAGACAGGAACACAGTGGTGCAAATATCTCACTGCAGCTTTGACCTCCTGGGCTCAAGTGATCCTCCCACCTCAGCCTCCCAAGTAGCTAGGAATATAGGTGCACACCACCAAGCCCAGCTATTTTTTTTATATTTCATAGAGACAAGGTTTTGCCATGTTGCCCAGGCTGGTCTCCTGGGCTCAAGCAATCCTCTTGCCTTGGCTCCCAAAGGGCTGGGATTACAGGTATGAGCCACCATGCCCAGTCTCCTTTATGATTTAAATAGCTTCTTATGTTTAGAATGTCTTTCCATACATAAAATCAGATAAGCATTCAAACATATTTTTCTAATTTTTAATAGCCCAATTTAAAAAAAAAACACATGCCTGAAAAAGTATATGTAAATATATAACATACATACACATCTAAGTGTGTGTGCATGTTTGTACACATATATATATGTGTGCTTCTGTGTGTTTCTTCTGGCCCTGAAGTGTTAACAGAAACTATCTAGTGAATCACAAAATATGAGAAACAAGATTTCTAAGAAGATCATCAGTCCATTATCTAGATCTAAGGATGCTTATTTTATGAAAATAAATTTAATGATTACATATACCTTATTTCTTACATTTAATCTGACATTTAGACGTATTCCCAATGAATTGCACAAATATCCTAGCAACATTTCCAAAAGGTAATTTATTATTTACTAAATTACTATTTATATAAGGCTATTTCTCTGCTATTTGTTTTGTTCTACTGATTTGTCTTTAGACTATTCCTAAACCAGTAGCACCCAGTTTTAACAATTATTGATTAACAATATACTTTAGAACTAAACAAATCACCTACAATCTACAACTCTTCCCCATAAATTTCATACTTTTAATATGTAAAAGATATTTATCAAGGATGCTCATTAAAACAATGTTTAAAATAGTAAATATAAAAAATCTAATATCTTTTTATCTTTTTTTTTTTGAGGGGGGACAGTCTCACTGTGACGTCCAGGGTGGGGTGCAGTGGCATGATCTCGGCTCATTGCAACCTCTGCCTCCCGGGTTCAGGTGATTCTCCTGCCTCAGCCTCCCGAATAGCTGGGATTACAGGCACGTGCCACCAAGCCCGGCTAATTTTTATATTTTTAGTAGAGACGGGGTTTCACCATGTTGGTCAGGCTGGTCTTGAACTCCTGACCTCGTGATCCACCCACCTCGGCCTCCCAAAGTGCTGGGATTACAGGCATGAGCCACAGCGCCCAGCCAAAAACCTAGTATGTTATCCAGCAAGAAAGGAATGATTAAATACATTATGGTATTAATAGTGAGAAAAATATAAATCTTTTTTTAAGTTTGTCAGTTTCCAAAACAAATCCCATGTTTATTAAATTCATAATTTAATTTGTAAAATAGTCTATCATGTAGTTAATATATTATTTTTTATCATGGAAAATTTTGCTTTTCTTCATCTGGATCCTGGCCATTTCTCTCTCTATATATAGATATAGATATTTTTAAGGCTAGTCAAGTGAATCAGTGGGAATGGAGAAGGAACAAAGAACTCTGCAACTGGCTGTGATCAATTATTTGTATCATTTTTGTTACATTATGATTGAGTGAGTCTGTCCACTATATTTTGTAATCATATGTTAGTGGTAGAAAGATTCTGATTTTTACACCAGGCTACTTTAATCAATACTCTCATTAATTTCAATCACTTAACTCATTTTTTGGATCTTAACTGGTCAATTACATATGGAAAAAATTATTTTTTCCTCATTTCAAATTTGTATAATTCTTAGTTTTGTTCAGATCATAATGGACTAACTACAATTTACGTAAAATGTTAAATAATACAGAGATGACCAGTCCGCATTTTCTAACTCCTTAGTTGATTTTTTGTTAACATTCCCCCAAGAACTTACAAAAAATTCAAGGTGAAGAAAGGGCGAGATAACTTTACTATTGAAGTATAAGAAACACCTTCATAGGAACTTAATCCATAACTTGCTTTTAGGGACAAAAGATTAATCTCAACAGACTAACAGGCAACCTACAGTAAAATATATAGCATACAGATATAAATGGGTCAAATTACTTAAAAGACAAAATAAAATTACCCTTCTTTGGAATAAAGTTCTAATTGGAATGTTCAGATTCTCTTCTGCTAAAAGACTGTGAAACATCTTGTGTTCTTTAACATTCTACCAAAGTATGAAAATTTTAAAAGCCAAACCCTGAGTTTTGAAACTATTGTGATCCTACCATATAAGTAGTCTTATAGCTTTTTGAAAATACTTTAAAAAATCTTAAGATTACCTATGTGCAACAACTGTTCCTGTCCAGTAACATGCAGCATCTTGTAAATGTTTTCATTTAATAGGGGCAAAGAAAATCTGCCAACATTTTACTTGCTAGTAAGTAGTTTCTCAAAAATTTAACAACATAAAATATGCTCTATATGTTTAAAAGATTTAAAAACAAAGGATATAGAGAATATTTTTCTTGGATTAAAGTTTTTAAGTTTTATTTTAATTAAGAGCCATTACAGAAAATAGCACTATATACAAACATTTAAATAGTCCTTTGCCAGTTAACTGTGAAATAATGCAGCTCAAGTGTTATTTTGTATACTTGAATTTTATGAAATTCAGTTTTTCCTTATATTTACCTTTCAGAATTTGATGTTTCTGTTTCTCTTTCAGCCATGTTAGGTCTTGCAATTTCCTGAAATAATTAATAATACTTTTCTTTTACATTCACAGTTAATCTTAAAACTATTTTTATTATACTAAACTTTCTGGATAAAAGAAACAAGTGTGCAACTTAATATAACAAAGAAATAGAAAAATAATTTATTAAATATAAAATATAATTAGAATACTCCATAATTATATGCAGGTTTTGAAAATGTTTTTAAACCTATAAAAGTTTCAGTGTACCAAAAGTTTCTGATTCAAGGTAAA
This sequence comes from Homo sapiens, assembly GCF_000001405.40. Lineage (NCBI taxonomy): Eukaryota > Metazoa > Chordata > Mammalia > Primates > Hominidae > Homo > Homo sapiens. The sequence goes on from NC_000015.10 coordinate 56,635,490, forward strand.
AAAGCAGTTACCCACTCATGTCAATATCTGCTTTTCGTAACCTCTATTTCAAATGTGGATCATAATTACAATTACTTAAATAGAAAACTAGTAAAACACAACTTGAATTTGAATAACAAGATGCATCCACAGTATTTTATATAAATATATTAGGCACAGGTATTTAGATAAAACATTTCTGAATTTATGATTTCATATTGAGTCATGGTAACCCTTCCACTGTCAAACCAAAAACATGAAACAGTACACAAAGTAAGAAACATTCTACTTATTTCAAATGTTTTACAGGGAAGCAAGAAAAGTGTAAAACCTCAGTAAGCCATAGGCCAACCTAACAGCTTGTAACAATTACCAGCTATGGAGTACATATGATGCATGAAGCAGTATATTAAGAACTTTACATGCACTATCTCATTTAATCTACATATTAGATTTTATAAACACTATTTCAATATATGAGAAATAAGACTTGAGTGGGAACCCAAGGCAATACCACAATAAGTAGTAAAGATTCAAATCTATATCTACCTCTTAACCACTATGGTAGATCGACTCAAGCCTGTAAAATTGATAATGGTGTATTAATCACACACACTTATCTACTCACCGTCTCAAAACTCTGCTAAAACAAGGGCAAAGAAATAAAATATTTTTACTCATAAAGATGAAGAAAACACCAAAGTATACTAATTGCTAAACAGATTTCACCAAATGTTTAGAAACAGGAAAGTCATTGGAAGAGTGGTTACTGATTTAGCAGTATGGAGGAAGTTACAATGAATGTCTGCAGTGGAGGAGTGCAAGGAAAAGAGATCAATTTGCCCAGAGAACCAAAAACACCTGGTATTTGCAGGTGGTCAGTCTACTATTTAGTACATAAAAAGTAAAAACAAAGCATTGCTGGGAAATCTAAATGCTCCTTCCCCGCAACTTACACAACAGGCACCTATCCCTTCCCTTACCAAAGAGGCTAAAACTTAACTTCCTTCCTTCCTATTTTTTTTTTTTTTTTTTGACAGAGTCTAGCTCTGTCACCTAGGATGGAGTGCAGTGGTATGATCTCAGCTCACTACAACCTCCACCTCTCAGGTTCAAGCGATTCTCCTGTCTCAGCCCCCTGAGTAGCTGGGATTACAGGTACCCACCACCATGCCCGACTAATTTTTGTATTTTTAGTACAGACGGGGTTTCACCATGTTAGCCAGGCTGGTCTCAGACTCCTGACCTCAGGTGATCCACCCACCTCGGCCTCCCAAAGTGCTGGGATTACAGGCATGTTCCACCATGCCCAACTAATTTTTTTTATTTTTAGTAGAGATGGGGTTTCACTATGTTTGTCAGCCTGGTTGTGAATTCCTGACCTCAAATGATCCACCCACCTCGGCCTCCCAAAGTGCTGGGATTACAGGAGTGAGCCACCGTGCCCAGCCTAAAAGTTAACTTTCTGAAGTGGAGATAGTCTAGACTTATGAACACCAGGAAAAGTAAAAGGCAGGCATGAGATACTGAGAAAACAAAGTTTTAGTAAAAGTCCACGTACTTAACAATCCTTCTCCCTGCCTGGCTTCCAGAATGCCAACAGCCAGAGAACTCACTCCCCAACCTAGCACTCTCAGCTAGAAGCTAGATTTCTCTCTGGAGAAAATGATCAACCCCAAAGAAAAAATTTTCCAGAATGAATTTTTTTTTTTTTTTTTTAAGAGACAAGATCTCACTCTGTCACCAAGGCTGGAACGTAGTGGCATGATCATAGCTCAACTGCAACCTCGAACTCCTAAGCTCAAGCAATCCTCTCACCTCAGTCTCCTGAGTAGCTAGGACTACACAGTATGTGCTCAACATGACTGGCTAGTTAAAAACATTTTTTTTTTTTGTAGAGACGAAGTCTCCAGTGTTGCCCAGGCTGGTCTCAAACTCCCAGCCTCAAGGGATCCTCCTGCATTAGCTTCCCAAAGTGTTGGGATTACAGGCATGAGCCACCACACCTGGCCTCTCCATAATGATGTTGAGACCATCCTCCTCAACAAAGAATCAGTCAGTTCAGCACCTAATTTTCCCACACTGAAGTCTACGCAATTTTCATGCAGATTGTGCACACAGTACAGTGCACAAATCCAGAGGGCAACACATTGTAATTCATATCATCCGTTTCCAAAGTATGACATATGGACACCTGGAGAATCCAAGCCACTTTCAGGAGGCATCTGAAGTCACAACTCTTGGCATAAAAACAGAAGTGTGTAAAAATGGTGGCAAATTAATATAAATCAAGGCAGTAGCAACCTGTACTAGTAGTCATTGTATTCTTCACCACCATACACATTGTATTCTTCACACCACACCGAGACAAGTTAAAAAAAAAAACTTTATTAAATCTCAATCTTTGAGCTCATATCTTTTTAATATTTTGTGTGACAAAATGCAAAGAAAGTATGCATAAGTCACAACCATTGCCTACTGAAAATATTTGGGTCTGTGATTGAGTTGTGAGTTGTACTTAACCACATTTTTTTCATAGAACAGGATCATTTTTATTTTAAAGAATGACTGTCAAACTATGAATATCTAGACTAGAGTTTCAGTAGACTTTTTCTTTTTGAAAAATTAACAAAGTGAGCCTGTCATATCAAGGAAAACAACTGACAGTATTCGTTTCCAGTAATAAAATCAAGCAAAAACTCCTACCCACCACTGATTAGATTAATGCTAATATTTACTGTGAGTGCTTGATATTATATAATGAAATATTTCAACATTTGGAAGATCCAGGGCACTTAAGGGGCCAATAAGTTCCAAATGACCAATGCATGATATTACAAAATTAGGCATGGATAAAAGATCCATTCAAAATATAAAACAGACAAACAGATTTTGATGTAACAAAGCAAAAAAAGTCAGTGATACGGAGCTAGATTCCACAGTGCAACAAGCAAGAAAACTTCCACTTTTGGTGCAGTATCAAAGGAGAATAATCACAATTATTGGAAAAGATTATTGAAGTACTGGGTGAGGCTGGGTATTCTTCATACATTTCAACCAAAAGAATGTATCACAACAGATTGGATTCAGAAACATGAGAATCCAATTTTTTTCTACTAAGCTTGACATTAAAGAAATATGCAAAAGTGTAAAATCAAGCCATTCTTTCTCACTAAATTTCTGTTGCTTTGGAAAATAGTTATTTTTCAGAAAAAAAATGTGATTTATGTTAACATATATTTATTATTTTTATTTTTGACAATAGTTTTAAAATATCATTATTTCAATTTCTAATATGGTAAACATTAGTAATTTTTGAGACTACAAAGGATATATTTAAATAGTATCCGCAGGAGTTCTGCAGTGTTCAACCTGAATGGCTATGCAAGACAGCCCTGTCTCCATTCAAACACATACGGTTTTCAATGATTATTTTAGCCTCATTCTTTAATTATGTATGGGCGGGTAAGGATCACCACATAACAAAAGACATACCTTAACATGAAAAATACCAAAAAAAACAAAAAGGAATAAAGAAAGGGGCTTGGAGACATCAGATACATTGCTGGGAACAAAAGAAAAAAGTATATATACAATATTTAATATCTCCAAAGAGGTATATGTTATTATATCCATTAAACAGTAACAAAAACTGTAAAAAAGAGAATTAAAGAACAAATAAAAAGTTACAGAGCTCTTCAAAATTACAAATATGGCAACTAAAATAAGTAATTAAGTTTAGAAAATTATTTAAAAAGATTGAAACAAAAAAACAAAAAGATGAAAGGCCAGAAAGAAAATAACATACAATTAAATGAGCTAAAAAAAAAAAAGGAGTTGATGCAGGAGGCTCAGTGTCAGAACAATGTCAGAACAATAGGAGTTTCTTAAAAAAAGGAGAACACAGAAAATAAAAGTGAGCATTTACCACAGAAATGAAACAAGAAAACTTCTCCCAAACAGAAATCTCCAAACTCCAAAGGTTTGTCAGATGCCTAATACAATGAATGAAAAAAGGATGGGTGAACATATCATGCGATTTCAAAACACCAGTGACAGAGATAATCACTAAAGTTTCCAAAAAGAAAAAAAGTAACCTAAATACCAAGAAACTGGAGCAAGACATGCATCAGACTTAATACAAATACTGGATATAAGAAGATAGTAAAAACAACATTTTAAAAACTGCATGGGAATTATTTTTATGTACTTCAGCCAAACTATCATTCGCATAAATATATTTTTAGATATGCAAAAACTGAAAAAAGATGCACACCTTCTCAGGAAGCTAGTAGAGGACACAATTCATCAAAATGATGAGTAAGCCAAGAAATGAGGAATAATTCATGGTTCAGCAAACAGGACATCCAATACAAGGGAGTGGCAAAGGATAATCTTGACATAACAAAACTAAGCACAGGCTTAGGGAGCAACTAGTTTAAGTTGAGGCGGGGAGTCTGGGAGGAGATCTTCAGACCCCTTCACTCCCCAGCGATTTTTTTTTTATGTGTGTGAACACTGGAAAAACTATTTCCAAATATTTGAGAGAGAAATTGCAACGTTAGAAAAAAATACAGCATTAGGTGCACAGAAAACTAAACAAACGAGTAAAAAAGATACATATTTTTAACTCCAGAAAAATAACATAAGGTACAGAAAAGGAAAAGAAATCATGGGGTACTTTCTGGCTCAGCATAACAGTCTCAAAAATTTTGATGTAACTATTCTGCAATCAGTGCTATACCAAGCCATATTGAAGCCTGAGGCAAAAGAAAAAATGAATGCCCCTATAAGTTTTGCTTTGTGTGTGGTGTGTTTTTGTTTTGTTTTTTGTTTTTAGCAACAGGGTCTCACTTTGTTTCCCAGGCTGGTCTCTAACTCCTAGACTTAAGCAATCCTCCCAGCTCTGTCTCCAAAGTGATGGGATTACAGGTGTGTGCCATTGTGCCCAGCCTGTTTCTGTGTATTTAAAAAATTTTTTTTCTAGAATGTTAGTCAGAAAAATATTGAAAAATTTAAAAGTAGGAGAATTAAACTCACATTAGCTTAAACTTAAAGATTTTATTTATGCCAAAAACAGTATTATTTTATTCTCCTGGCTAATGGAAGCAAATGCATCAACAGTACATTTTCAAATCTAATTCTTTTCTTATTTTGTTTTCAAATGAGCAAACTGTCATGTACAATTTCTCTTGAACAAGTGACAATCATAAAAAAATGTTATATTAACTTCAGTTTACAGTAAGCTTCATTTGCAGGATTCCACTGTGGCTGGAATTGTTTAAAATTTTTGAATACCATTTCCAAATCTGTTTAAGACTGCACTAAGCAAAATATGTTAAGAAGGTTTAGAAGACCCAAACACAAACTTGATTGTATGTTATTGATATCAAATGCTGCTTTAAACTATTTCATATAGAATTTCTATAGAATTTAAATCGTCAGAATATTTAAGTGCAAACTTAGTGGCTCGTCTTTGTAAATCAGATGTATTTATACAAAACAATTTTTCTCCAGTTTAGAAATTCAAAATCTGAAAACATTTCACTGAATTTTTTATATCTCTATACAAAATATGAAATTAGGGCATTTATAATCTTAATTTCTATTTAATAAGCACTGCCCTCATAATTATCAATACTCTTCACCCAGTGACTCATGCATTTCTCATTTGTTTACTTTTTTCATTTATTTTAAAATTTGAGAAGAATATGCATATCTCTTGCTCAAGTTTTATGTTCATCAAATACACTTTCAAAATTACCTTCAATTGTTGTAAGCAAAGGGATAGGCCTTTTATTAAGTGTGTAGCTTTATATTAGTCATGTTTACTGACTGTAAAGCTTTAGCTTCTTCCACTTGGCTCAAAATATCCATACAGATAATCTGCATAACACTTTGTAATCTATTCATACCAATATGCTTTCAATTTCAGCATAATGTATTTTGTCATTTGATATTATATCTTTTAATATTTGATAATCATCTTTAATTTGTGTGCAAAGTGTCTCAACTGCATTTATCTTGATGCCCATAATGTAACTATATGTGATTTTAATGTCGTTTTTAGACCAGACAAGAATATCCTGTTTGCTCACTGAATTCCCCTACCCCTAAACTATATATCCTTTGTACAATACTAAAAAAGTTGATCATATTTAAATTCACAGAATGCAGCATTTTCTTCTGTTAAATTATGATGAGTTAAACAAGGAACAAATTAGGCATAATTATTTTAGGGGCAAACAGTGGCTTGTATACCCCTGTATAAACCGGAAACATTTGCTCCATTATATCCCTGGCCAGAATTTTTAATGTAAATGCGATAAACAGAAATGAAGACTACATAAAGAAATGAAGAGTATAGGAAATGGTAAAAATAAAGGTAAATATAAAGCTAATTTTAAAGTTTTTAATTGCCCTAAAAAAACTGTCTAAAGTAAAAACTGTAATACTGCATTCTGTGTATTTACAACATGTTTAAAATTAAAATATATAATAAGAATAGAAAAAGCACACAAACTGTCAATATCATGAATGAGAGGGGATATCACTGCAGATTCCAAAGATTACAAAGACAATAAGGGATACTATAAGCAACTTTCTCAATATACATAAGATTCGAGTTCAACATATTAGGTAAAATGAACCCATTCCTCAAAAAAACTACAAACTACCAAAACTCCCTCAAGAAGAAATAGATTAAAAAATTTAAAAACCTGCATCTGTTAAAGAAATTTGTAGTTGAAAAACTTTTAAACAAAAGAAAACTTTCTATGGTACAAAAGAAAGCTGCTTGGAAGAAGGCTGATACTTCTGCCTGGATTTCACTTATATTATGCGCCATTCAAGACAAAGTATTCAAAAGATAAATGTCAAATCTACCTCACTTCATTACACTCAAAAAGAGGCAAACAATCATTAAGTAATATCAACATAAATTGACATCAAGAAAGCAAGTAGTTGAGCAAAACTATTTCTACAGTCATCTATTAGACTGTCCGGTAAATAACATTTATATGATAATTCTGAGTTCTGCATTCAGAGTACTTGTTTAAAACATATTTAAGATACATCCAAAATATTTCTATTTTAAAAATTAGTTTAACCTTTTGACAGTTAAAATATCCCAGAAAATTAAACCTGGAAAGATTAATTTTTCCAGTGTGCCAAATGATTGAGGTTTTACTGATTTGGGGATTTTTAATTCATAAATTTATCTCCATTACTCACTAGTTGAACTAAATAACAGGCAAGTGAAATATAAGATGTCTTTGTCAAAACAAGAATACCTTAAAATTTTACTTAGGGCTAGATATTTTTATATGTAATGAAAAATTTTAAATCTCGATTTTTTTTCTTCCTCACAACATCCCAAATATTGTTGATGTATGCATGCTGAAATTGAAAAAAAATTTTATATCATACCAATAATACTTTCAAATGTATAAACCTTTAAGGTATAAAGTAAAACAAACTTTACCTTAGACACAGGTTCTTGTTCCTTTGCGGGAGCTTCTTTTTTTAATCTTGAAAACAAGATAAGTATTGAATATTTTATTTTATATGTACGATGGTAAAATATGAAACAGTTCTTTCTCTGCCAGCCTAAAATAATTAAAATGTAGATCGAAACTAATGTACATTTTATACTTTAATAGTAAATTGACCTCTGTAAATGTTTTAAGGTAAAAGTTAAACGTATGAGACTAAATAGTAGATTCGATAAATGTGCTAAATCAATAAAGACATTTATTTCCTTGTTCTCTAAAAACAAGGACACTTAAGAAATGTTCTCTTTGCTAAGTACAATTTAAAATAAAAGACATACACATTAGTAAAACAGTTTCAAAACAAGAATTACTCTTTAAAAATTAAAAGCAGGTTATATGCTTACATAAGTAATATGCATCAGTATTTACGATTACAGGACTTAAGTGAAAAAAGATAAATATTTTATCTATTGTGAAATTCAACTAAATATAACAATATTATAGTTAACTTACTCTGGAGGCAGTAAAATCACAGAAGTAATTAGAATTTTGAGGAATATATTCTCTTTAAAACCTCCATAAGCACTGCTCAAATATTAAAACTTCTTGATTTCTAAAAATATTAATTATAACTTATTAAAACATTAACAAAGGTATATGCCATCCAGAAAATCTTGTAAAATAATCAATTTAATCTAAGAACTAGCTTATCCAAAGGATCTTTGTTTTAGAAGCTGCAGAAATGACTAAATATTATTTGTGATATTATACATTAAACTCAATTTTAATCTGTGTAAGTAGGGTACCTACCTGATCTGAAATGTCATTAATCAAGAGTTAAGTGATACATAATTTTATGAAGGCTTAATAGCTATACCTAAGGAATAACATATTTAACATAAGCAGCAACTATATTATCTTAAATTTCATTGACAAAAAAAAAGATATCTAATAGGATAGAAACGTCAACCATCCTAAAAGCTACTCTCATGGCTAATCAATGAAACAGAGTTGGCAAAACCCTCCTTCTTCATCCATCCTTTGAGGGCATATTTGAAAAATTAGGGCTATAAATGTTTATACTTTGTTAAACATTAATAATTAACTGTATGAAATTACTTATCTGTATTTTAGCTATTAGGCAAAACTGCTACTTAATATAGATTATGTCCTTTGTAAAACCACTATATTGGCAGTGCACTACAATAATTTACAACCAACTTGTTAAGCCAATTAAAATGAATAAAACTTGCAGAAAAAATTGACAAAAGACACAAATGTCAATCATTTTGGGGGTTAAAGATTTTGTAATTGTCTCAAGTATTTAATTGTGCACAATACTTATAAAGATGAGATCACATCAAGTATACAGTATAACTTCACTGCTTTAATGCAGTATAAAGGAAAATAAGTTTTAAGAATAAAATTAGTTATGAAGTACTAAGAAAACATGAAACATTAGTCTAAAAAAGCAAAAAGCATGAAAAAGCAAATTAATGAAGTTTTGAAATAAATGTGTATATTACAACTCATTTTTATTTCTAAGCATTTAGTCATTTTAAATTCAGTTTGAAAAACAAATTGGTCACAGAACAATTTAAATATTTCATGAAAGATTTTTCTCCCTCAACTTATCGTAGTAAATGTTATCAAAGTAAGACCTATTATATTCTTATAAAAGAAATATCACCATGCTAATCATTTTAGCATATGCCTATTATAATAAATTAATTGTATGCAGCTATTAAAATGAGCCCCGTTAAGTATGTTCATTATTGCTGGCATTTCAACAGAGGAAACACAGTCCTCTTGCTATCTCTGTGATGGAGGTTGGTGACAGAGGTTTTTATCACTCTTTATTGTACTGGCAAGAAACTGGTAGGTGAGAACAAAGTAAGTTATTGAAATAACTTGCATTAAGAGGCCTATGATTTCAATCTTGTTTTGTGCCTTTTACCATATTAGTACTCTCTTTAAGGAACAGAATCGTAATAACTAGTGAACACATTTAGAAAAATAAATCTTAAAAATATTTAGAAAAGCACACAATAAATTTTAAATTATAAAATGCATCACTAAAATGTACACTCAAACTTTGAACTACAAAAGTATACTTTAAGATTAATACTACTAACACATCATTAACACTTTTAGAAAAGAAAAATTTTCTTACCTATAATTCTTATTTACTAAAGATACCTGCTGAAATAGTCATTATTTTAGACATTCAATTACTTTGGTAGAAGACAGAAATTTGCTAAGCTCAAAGTTCTGAGCTAATGACCCACCATTAGGTAATTATACTTTCCACCTGTGAATGTTACAATACTTCTTAATAGAAAAATATAGTGTAGTATTTATAGCAAACACTATTTAAAATTTCAATGCAAAGAGAACAGGACTGACTGGTGATCAATTTCAACATCATTAGTGATCAAGATTGCAAGAAATAACTTTTCCCCTCTATGAAAATCTGCTGAAATAGATCTTTCTGATGTATTTCTACAGGACAAGCTTTTCCCTCTAAAGACTAAAATGACCCTATTTGCATTTTTCTGCAGGTCTTAGGAGCAATCCATACAAAATTTTTGTTTTGTTTTTGCAGACGGAGTTTCGTTCTTGTTGCCCAGGCTGGAGTGCAATGGCATGATCTCGGCTCACTGCAACCTCCACCTCCCAGGTTCAAGCGATTCTCCTGTCTCAGCCTCCCAAGTAGCTGGGATTACAGGCACATGCCACCATGCCTGGCTAATTTTTGTATTTTTAGTAGACACGGGGTTTCATCATATTGGTCAGGCTGGTCTCGAACTCCTGACCTCAGGTGATCCACCTGCCTCGGCCTTCCAAAGTGCTGGGATTACAGGTATGAGCCACCGTGCCCAGCCAATCCATACAAAATTTAACATTCTGGCTCACTTATAGTAGTATGTTCCTTTGAGGTTTCATTCACACTATAAACATACCATGGGGTGAGGGGAAGAACTATAAGGGGAAAAATATTCAGATTCATTTCAGCTAGGCCACATTCTTTCTTTCTGATGACATTTAAAAGCCAAAATTTTCAATGCTGATGTTAGAAATGTAATCTTTAAGAATATTTGTAAGCATACTAAAAAAGTTGAAAAGAGGCTGTAAAGCAACCAGTAGTAAAGTCAGCCAGTAATCATGACCTTCAACTTAGCCCAGGCGTGGTGCCACATGCCTGTAATCCCAATGCTTTGGGAGGCCAAAATGGGAGGATAGCTTGAGACCAGGAGTTTGAGACCAGCCTGGGCAACATAGTGAGACCTCATCTCTACAAAAAAATTTTTAAAAAATTAGCCAGACATGGTTGTACATACCTGAGTCCCAGCTCAGTCTCAGGAGGCTGAGGCAGGAGAATTGCTTGAGCCCAGGACTTTGAGGCTGCAGTGAGCCATGACTGCACACTGCAATCCAGCCCTCTGGCTTGAGCAAAACAGCAAGACCCTGTCTCAAAAAAACAAACAAAAAACAGCAAAATAAAATAAAAAGACCATTCACTGAGACATTCAGGGACTAAATTTAATATAGTAATCATCAGACTAAGACATAACAGTAAAACATCTACTCTACCATTTCTGATCATTTGTTCTGAGAATTATCAATATATTTATATGTGGAAAGGATGCCTGAGCAAAACATTTACCAGGTTGTACATATTTCAGGGATTGTACTAAGTGTTCCAGTCCAAAGTTAAAAAAGACTGTCTCTCCTCTCAAGGAGTTCACTGTGAAGAAAACACAATGAAGCAAATGTTTACATTATGAAAAGGTTTAGAAAAGACATCTTTGTTCAGAGACCTAAGCCACTATGAAAGGGAAAGAGGCAAGGAAGCAATGAAGATACTACAGTGAACTTGGTTTTGCAAAAAGAGCAAGAATTAGCAAAGCAGAGTAAGGAGATCCAAGGCAGAGAAAAAGCAAAGAAGTATGAAACAGAGAAAGTATGAAAAAGCAAAGAAGTATGAAACAAGATGACAATATGAGAATTGGTGGTCTCATATCACTGAAATGTCAGGCACAAAGCAAAGTAGTCCAAGATGAAACTGAAAACATACAAGAGCCTCTTCAGGGAAGGTCTTGATTGCCATGCTAAAGTGTTCATGCTAAGAACTTTAATGCTAATAGGAAAGTATGACCAAATTTGTGCATCAGAAAGACAAAGGTCTGTATTGGTAGAAGACAAGCTGAGAGTCCAGTTAAGAGACAGTTAATGACTTTCTCAATTAAAACAGTAACAGTGTCAATGGAGAAAAGGTTGGTTTAGGGAGATGAGAACAAGTTAAAACCAAAAGAATGTAAGTATACACTGGATAAAGGTAAATGTGGAGAACAAATATGACCCCCTCAAATGCCTGCCCTGGCTGGTAAGAGATTATTCATGATATGGAATTCGAAGAAGGGAGAAAGCATTCTTTGAGGGAAAAATAAATTCAGTTTTGGACATATTGGATTTGTGGTGCTTACAGAACATTCATATGGAAATATTTACCACTCAGACCTGCCTCTTGTGTATCTCATCCTTATACACAATTCCAACCACAACTTCTATTTATTTATTTATTTTTTAAACAAGGTCTCACTCTGTTGCCCAAGCTGGAGTGCAGTGGTATGATCACGGCTCACTGTAACCTCCACATCCCAGGCTCCAGTGATCCTCTCATCACCATCTCCTGAGTAACTGGGATTACAGTCACACCACAACACTTGGCTAATTTTTATACTTTTTTGTAGAGATGGGGTTTCACCATGTTGCGCAGGCTGGTCTCGAACTCTTGAGCCCAAGTGACCCACCTGTCTTGGCCTCCCAAAGTGCTGGGGTTACAGGTGTGAGCTACCACACCTGGCCACCAACCATCACTTCTCTTCATATAACTTCAAAATCAACATCCAGAGAATGACTCCTCCATTTTTAATACACTTTGTTATTTTTCAAACAGTTGACAATTCAGTTCAGAAACATCACAGTGTATTAGACTTGGGTCCTAAGAGATTATATTATTCAACTACCCCCATCTTGCAGATGAGAAAATCTGAGGCCTAAAAATGCTAAAGTTATAAAGCCATTAAGCAATAGAAGGAGGATTAAATGTGTGGGTTCTACTTCAAATTTCCACTGCACTGCCTCAAGCCAATTCCTCTCCTGTGAACCAGGCTCCCTTATGATCATGCCAGGGAAACTGAAAACCTTAACTGATCTCTCTGCCTCTATATGTTTTCCACTCTAAAACATGCTGAGTATCACTGCTAAATTAATCCTACTAAAAGACCAGTTTATACCATTCTTTGCTCAAATGTTATATTGCCCAAACATCATTAGGGCAGTATTTCTATGAAGTTTGAGCAATAGAACATAGGATTGGGACAGTAAACTGGTATGCTAGATTACTGTCCCAATCGTATGATTGTGTCAGTTGCTGCCTACCCTTCTGCAGAAAGAGGGCCTTAACACTGAAGCTTAGTCCTATCCAGTTTCTTGGCCAATCACAAACAAGGCAGGATGTACACCTGGAACTACAAGCAGAAGCAGAGAAGCAATAGAGGATACTACTGAGTAGTTTAGTCTCTGAAGACAGACTGACAGAATTTAAATTGAGGCTCTCCACTTAACAGGTATGTGCGACCTTGGGCAAATTATTTAACATATCTGTATCTCAGTTGTCTCATCCATAAAATCAGACAGTAACAGCTCATATCTCACAAATATGTGAGAATTAAATGAGTAAATAAATGCAAAACACTTAGAAAAGTGTCTGCCACACTGTATGTGCTCAGTAAATGTTAGTTATTATTGTCATGGGTATGGGTAGAGTATAGAATCAATCTTCTTGCTCAGAATCTGCTTGAGAGTATACAACAAATTTAGTATACCATGTTTCCACCTCACCCTCAACCCAACAGACATTAATTTTGATTGCTGGTCTATTCTCCTTAGGACCAGTTCTATTTTTTCTAGTATGAAATGATCTGCTAATCTTAGAACACCAGGGTATGATTTGGCCATCTAAAGCTATTATAACAAAGAGCAGAATAATCATTTTAGATAGACAGAAGAAAGAACTAGGTAAAGACAGAGAGACAAGAAATAAAAAAGACCAAAATATTCATGTGTAAAAACGTGAAGAAAAAAAATAAGACCATCAATGTAGGCAGAAGATTTTAATGACAGTCTAGGACTCTATTTTATTATTTTGGTTTGTTGGTAATATTGAATTATACCCTGGATATTTAATTTATAATCTATAAGCAACAACCCTCAGGAACCAGAGACTGAAAAAAATGGTAGTAACCTCAGAATCACTGGTAGAGATTGGTACAGTTTGTCCTAAATGAAAGACTACACTAAAGTTTCATTTATTTTTCCATCTCACTGGGTCTCAAATTCTCCCTGCTTACCAGATATCAAAGGCAGAAGTCCAAATTGCCAGAAACCACTTGCAATTACATACCAGGAGCAAATATATTAAGTCTATTTTGAAAAGGAAGAACTATTTTACAGTTCCTAAAGATCGGTTTGAGATATTAATGTCTATGGTAGGATGAGAGAATCTAGGGGCTAAAATCCCGGTCACATTTCAAAAGTTTAAAGAAGGAAACAAGCCCAAAATGAACTCAATAGATCAGTTTGTTTTTTTTTTTTAATCTTGCTAAATTAATGAAATGAAGTCTCCCAACAATTTTGAACACATAAGAGCTACAGAGTTATAATTTAGGATTATGACCAGAGCCAATAATTCCTCCAAGTAAGTTCAAAATTTCACAGGAAAATAATGGAATGAACCCTTATATATCTTCAATGGTCACAGGTTCAATGACAGTAAGTATCTCTTAACAGAAATAATATTTTAAAATATAAGATTTATAGAAAAAGGCTGCCATTCTGTTCCTAAGAGTTTACTTACTGCTTACATTTATGAAAGATAATTAATGACTTACTGGTTTGAGAATAGCAGAATAAAGTGCTATTTCACCTTGAGAATAGGTCCAGATTCTCTTCTGATACAGCATTTCACAAAAAAAATCCCATAATGCAATATATACATGATATTAGTGGTTTAATTGATTATGAAATCAGTTGACTATAGTCCCTGTAAAAAATGTGGATTCAGTGTCTACATTTCTAATTCCCTTATTCTGTAATTGCTTTGGTGCTATAAACCATGTTTTATTCATGTTTCCAACACCTGACACAGAATCTTGCACACATAAAAAGTAGGGTGTCAATGTTCAGTGACAAAGAATATATGGGAAGGTTGTCTATATCATACTGTGAATGAGCCATGTAGTTACTACTGGTGCTAAGTATAAAGCTCATTAAATTAGGGGGATTTAATAAAGTATAATACACACATTAACATCTGTAAAACACATTTTACATATTTCTAACATCTTCAAAACAAAGATATTTTCAACTCGATTTCACAGAAAAAGAAACTGAAGTAACTGTACCTTAAATAAAGTTAGTGAGGCAGCTGGGTCCTTTAACTCTAATATTTTGACTGTCAATGTCTTTCCCATTGTACTTTGCTTAGAACAAACATGGATGTCACTCAGAGAACTAAATCAACTTTTAAAATCTCTTGAAATTGTGGCTTTTAGGATATTTGATTCAACAATAAAATAGGCAACCAGTTAAGTAGCCTAGTTTAGCAAACTTGAGTTATTATGTATTTACCACAGATTCTTACACTCTCAAGATCTGTTAGAGGAAATTATCATTCTATTCTCAACTTTTTGTCAAGAAAAAGAAACTTACAAAACTCAAACCTTTACTTCTATTTTGTTATAATTCATCCATCCAGGTAGATATACAAGAAAACAGAGGAGGGGAGAAATGGAGGTAAGGGAGAAACAGAAAAGAACAATTTCATGACTGAGTTTGACTTTGCCTGTTTCATGTCTTCACTCAAATGTCATCTCTCAGTGAGGCCTCACTAAATTAAAAATGGCAGCCTTCCAACACCTACCCCATACTCCTTTATCACCCTTCTCTGATTCATATTTCTCCATAGTATTGATCATCATCTAACATATTATATGTTTTATTTACTTTTATTGTCTTTCACAAATATAATGTAAGTTCCATAAGAGCAGAGATTAGTCTATATTTCTAGAAACTAGGACAATGCCAGGCACAAAGTAGATGCTCAATAAATATTCGCTGAATAAATACATGATGCCCAAAGAGGCAAAGTGTTTTGCCAAAATGTGACAAAAACAGGGCAAGAATCTGAGCCTCTGTAGTTTAATAATTATTTTTCTAAGAATGATGATGGACTCAAACTGAACCAATCACATATTTTATTCAACAGTAACCAAAAAGCACATATGCATGAAATGGCTATCTGACCAGATGAATAAACTAGAATAAAATGATGGTAAGGAGGGATTAGACTCAAACTAAAACTCATTAGCACTAAACTGAAAATTCAACTAATTGCTTACAATAAGCAAACTTTGTACTGACTGCCAAGTGTTTTATTTGAACCTTTTTTTAAAAATGAATTTACTGGGAAAGAACTTTAAGAATTCATACTTTAAGAAAATGAATTTGATACATACTATAAAAAAAAAGTCTATGTAAGACCACAAAGCAGTACAGTCATTCCCTGGTATTGGTAGGGGATTGGTTACAGAACCTGCCCCCACCCCACAGGTCGCCCCTACCTCCCCAAACCTCCACCAGGAATAACAAAATCCTCAGATGCTCAGATCACTTATACAATGTAAATGCTATGTAAATAGTTGTTATATTGTATTGTTTTTTATTTGTATTTTTTATTGTTATATTGTTATTTGTTATTGTTTTTCCCCCCAAATATTTTCAATCCATGGTTGGCTGAATCTGCAGACACAAAACCCAAGGATATGAAGGATTGACTGTACTCCTACATTACTATATTAACAATGTGGTTTATCCTGCTTTTGACCTATGACCAAGGTAAGGTGAATATCTGTAAATGAACTAATGTTAAAAATGGAAAAAGTTATTGTTTCTGGATAAACTTTTAAAAACTGGGTAGAGAGAGGAGATAACAAAAATTCCTAGAGACAAATAAGAAAAAAAAAAAAACAACTAGTATATCACTAAGTCCACTACTAAGAAACAAACTACTTGCGGAGATTTTGGAAAACCTTTCACTTAAAATATAAATTAGTTTGGAAATTCAGAACTATTAGATTCAACTCTTTTGATAATTAATTGCAAGAAACACGTCATATAATAGGTGGTCATCTAAACCGGCTTTAACTGGTCATCTAAACCGGCCTGCCTATCCTTATGGCTATTAAGATCACAAAAGGCATTTTGCTAGTCTTTAAAATTTAAGAAATTAGTATAGTAACCTTTTCATTGTGCTGCAAGAAAAAAATGCAAGGTATACTAACTAGATATAGCACTGTCTGCAGCCAAGTAACAAGGCTTCCATATAACAATGAGAGCAATGTTCCTATTTATAAGATAAAATCTACACCCTTTATTCATTAGCAAATAATTCCTGAGGCACTTAAACAATATAATTTTTATTAAAAGGATAATAGTATAAAAAGTTTAGATCTATATTCAATGTAACTAAAATAAACACATGACAAATTTAAAATATATAAAGGAAAGAAATACATGCATTACTGGTCACCATATGTATGTTTTTTAACATGTTACCTTTACCCAAAGGAGCTACATTAATGGCTAAGTAGACATTACATCTTAGACGCACAAATACGTAACTTTAAAACTGGCTCTTAAGGTCTGCAAGTAGTATTGCCAATTCTTTACACCTAAGAACTCACAATTAAGGTAATATTAATAATAATCCCAATAGGACAGAGTATCTAATAATGTTTAATGGGCTTAGTAACAGCCAAATTTAAAATCTACAAATAGGCAGCTACACAAAATCTGTAGAGAATTCTAAGAAATCTCTTGGAGTTCTTAAAACAAACACTAAACAAATTTTAAATAATATAATATAAAAATAGACATCATAAAATAGACATTAATAAATTTTGAGAACATAAAACCAAGCTATTAAATTAATTTTTAAAAAATCAAAATGCAAGAATCGGTATTGTTAAAAAATTACAGAATTAATACTGGTTAATAGATTTTATATGTCAGTAAAAATAACTGCAATTTTGGAACTTAATTGTGGAGACCTGTTGTTCCAAGGATATGAAAGTAGCCATGGTTTCCTAACAACTAGAGTTTTTATATTCCTTGGACTGCATTCATGCTAGAGAAAGATTTAAAGGCAGCAGCCAAAATGACTAAACTTCAACTTGGATGCTGAAGCAGTGGTTTGATGGGCTTTTCTTGGTCATAACTGACTCATAAGCTTAAGATCATAAGCCAAAGCCCCCAGTGGGAAGTATGCTCAATTTGGTGGGCCTTAAAGCCATCTCTGGCCAAACAACATCAGCCTTATGGGAGGCCAGCCATGTAGAAAGGGAGTCTCCCCAAGATCTGATTTCTTGAGGCCACAACCTAAGAGCAGGTCCCACAGTCAAATTATTCACATTCCTTGGAAAGAGAGAACAGGCATCAGTTGTGTCCATCGAAGGGGGACACTGTCCAGGTATACCCTGGATATTTTTTGAAATCTCTGGGCTGCTTCTGCATCTGAAAAATAAGAAAAATAGCACAATGACAGACAACGAATGAGAAAAAGACAATTATCTGGCCTAAAACTTAAGACGTATAAGAAATTAAGAAAGCAGACAAACAGACAAAAGACAAACAGCCATATAATTTGGAATCTATTATTCTGAAGGCAAGTACAGCAGAGAAAAACAAAAATTATTGTAAGCAAAGAAAAGACCATAGCAACAAATGTTATTTTTAGACAGCGCAAACTGGAGAAAAAAAAATATGTTAAGATATGTCAACCTGACACAAAGATAAGGTGGAATAAGAATCTAGTCCCATTTGAAAGCTGAAAAGAGCTGAATAATGAGAGCTAGTGTCATGAACTTGGCTGCTCAACTGCCTTTGTGTAAGAAAACATCTCAGAACTTTGAACTTAGGAAATTCCAACTTGTCTTGCACCAGGTCACGAGCTCCATAGAGCAGGAACCTATTTCAACAAGCAGCTTTAAAAAAAAAACAAAAAAACAACAACATACTTTAATACTTTTCATTCGTATTAATGATACATTTAAAAATGCAATAGTGCTAAAATCCATCAAAGT
The DNA here is from genome assembly GCF_000001405.40 of Homo sapiens. Taxonomy (NCBI): domain Eukaryota; kingdom Metazoa; phylum Chordata; class Mammalia; order Primates; family Hominidae; genus Homo; species Homo sapiens. The sequence continues at coordinate 56,654,169 of NC_000015.10, forward strand.
AAAATGCACTGAATAAAAATTAAACTTACTCAGAAAGGTGCTCAGAAGTTGGGATACAAACAGAAACTGAAATTAGAAGAAAAGTTTTACATTTACAACAGCATATGAAATATGATGAGTGAGAATAATGATTTAGTAAAGAGACCATATTGTGGATGACCAAAAATACTGGAATAAAAGTCAAAAATCTAAAGTAGCACAGTTACATATACGTACCTTTCTGCATTACAACTTGGCAAGTATGAGTTTTATGTTGACTTAAGTGTGTAGCCATATTATCTAAGCCAGAAACATCACTTAGGAAATCACAATTAAGGCACACTAGAGTAATGCCCCTAAAAAAAAAAGCATTAAAAAAAGATTTTTATCTTTTATGAAAATCCACTTATAAGTTTGATGATTATTTTTCCATAATTTGCTTTTTGTGCCATACATAACTATAACTTCCCATTTTTGTTATATAAATTTGACATAAACTGACATTATTCTCTGGTAAATGACATAGCCATGTCCAAATTATGCTACCATTTATTTACAGAAAGTATTTATTTTACACTTTTACCTGTCATACCAATTGTTAAAAGTTAGGAGTCAGAAGACCTAGAGTCAGTCTTGGCTCCACAACCAACTTGTGTAACTTAGGCAAGTCACATTCTATTTGTCCTCCCACGCATCTGCAAAGTGAACATAGCGTATTCATTCACTTGATATTTACTGGAGCTATTTTTATATATACTGTACTACTAGGTATTGTGAATATAATGGTGAACAAGAAATAGTACTGTCTATGCTCGAATGGAGCTTACTTAGAATCTGGTGTTTTATTCAGTTGGAGATAAAATCAGAAGAAAAATGGGAAGGCTTTAAAAACAGATCACGTTTTAGCCACCATCGATTGTACATTATGTGTCAAGAGTTTTCCCATTTATTATTTCATCTGATTCTCACTACAACCATCAAGGTTGGTATTATTCTTACTTAACACTGAACTAGCTAAAGTAGTTAATAAAATACTAAAATCTGCAAACTTGAGTTCCTCATCATCTCAGCACTGTGAACTAGGGAGTCTCACTCTGTCACCCAGGCGGGAGTGCAGTGGCGTGATCTCAGCTCACTGCAACCTCCACCTCCTGGGTTCAAGCGATTCTCCTGCCTCAGGCCCCTGAGTAGCTGGGACTACAGGCTCATGCTACCACACCTGGCTAATTTTTGTATTTTTACTAGAGACGGGGTTTCACCATGTTGGTCAGGCTGGTCTCGAACTCCTGACCTTGTGATCAGCCCCACCTCGGCCTCCCAGTGCTGGGATTACAGGCGTGAGCCACTGCGCCCGGCCTGAGTGCTGTAGTTCTTAAATGAAATGTGTAATTATTATAAATGTTTAAAGAGGTTAGGAAACAATTCCCTAGTTATCAATACTTTATTTTTGAGTACAGGAAGAGTTTTTGTCCTCACTGGATCTAACTGTTTAGCATTTGCTATTTGAAGTATTTGAATACACTTGACATAAAGTACATTAAGATTCTAACTTAAAATGCATTTAGACTTGTGTGATTTTTAGCTGAAAGGTGTTTTAAAATATTAAGCCTGTAAAAATACTAAAATGCTTCAGATAACTTAGCCACTATATATTTAATTTCTTATAAGAGTTAAGCACTTGGGAGTTGGTTACACCAAGCATTTGAAGTGCTATTTAAAAGAAAATCAATTATATTAAATGTACAAATGATGTTAAGTTGCCTAAAGTAATTTGAATTGTAAACAGAACTCTTGAAAAAAATTTAGTCTATTGAACTAGAATGCCCCGTGCCTCTTCTACCAGTAGAAACAATACCCATCCTTTAAAGCCAAGTAGGCCTAATACCTATCCAGATCACTACAAGAACTGTAATATTTTTCCTCTCTGAAATAAGTCTCATTGCACTTATTAAAACGCATAGTTATTTATGTTCACACCTTAACTCCCACCCAATAAACTGTACTGTACATTCCCTGAAGGCTGGTTCCAACACTGCTTCATCACTGTCATCTTTACAGGACCTGCTACTTTATGTGCAAGACAGATACGTAATAAATAGTTACGGAATGAATAGTCTATTTCAATAAGAATAATTACATTAATCATTGTCATATAGAATTATAACTATGCTAAGCTCTATTCACAGAAATTGAACAATTTTCAATTTGAGACTAGCCAGGTTTAGTGAAAAAACATCCCAGATCTTTAAAACCACATAGTTCATTGAGAAACTAAACACACAACTGAGCTTGACCACAATGAGGTAAAAATTGAATTAAACTCTCATTCTTAGAATGCAATAAAACCATATTCACTCTTGTAACTGTTTTTAGTAAAGGTAACATCTAATGTAGCTTAATTATTTCCCTAGATTCAGTAAATATTTTAAAAGTAGTACTAACATTTTAAAAATTGAATGATATTTTCTCTCCCTGTGAGCTACTAGTCTAACATCACAGATGGGACCTATTTTCCACGTACATCATTTTCAATATATACATTAATTTATTCAACAAATATTTACTGAGTGCCTACTATGTGCCAGGCACAGACAAAAAAACCAAACCACACACAATATAGTGAGAGAACATAGGCAATAAGCAAGTAAAATAAAAGTATGTTAGATGATCTAGAGAAAAGTAAAACATAAACAGGAGATAGGGAATGCTGGGATAAAGCAAAGGGAAGAGGATACAGTTTTAAATTTTGTAGTCAAGGAAAGACTCACTCAATCAAAGTAGAGGCCTAAAGGAGACAAAAGAGCTAACCATACAATATCTGGGGGAAAGCAAACTAGGCATAGGAAATAATAAATGCAAAGGTCTTGAGACATACCATCCCCTCTTCTACATTTTCCACTAATCAAAAGCATCAAAATAAGTATTCGCTAAACTTATCTCTACAGATCAGCTTGGTGGAACAAAGACACTGACATTTCAAGGAGCAATGGCAACATAAAATAAACAAAGAAAGTTCAAGAAATCAGAAGAATATGAAACAATAGCGCTCAGTGGATTCTAAGTGTGTGGTATAACCAAAGATAACTATCAATGCCTTTAGAAAATTTTATCAACAGTTCTTTCAGTATAGTAAAATTGTATAATTCTCTTTATTTTCAAAAGAAAATATTAGAATTATAAAAATCATATACTGATTTCAAGAATTCCAGTGGTTAAAGGAAATTTACTTCAAAACTAAAAAAGTGTTCATTCCTTTAAGAGATAGCTTAGCTATCTTTTTAATATTCAAATATTGTTGGCGAGCCTTATTTTTGTTCTCATTTTACAATGCAAACGCATCAAGGTTTCCTCTGGACACCACCTTTCCACTGAAATAAATTCAGCAAGAGAACAATGGCTAATCATACTTCTGGTCTAAGAATACAATGAACACAACTCTCTAATGTCCAGTAGCAATCATTTATATTTTCAAATTAGGTACCCTAATATCAGGTTTAAAAAAAGTTATAGCAAACCACAATGAGATACCACTTTATACCCATTAGGGTGACTATAATCAAAAAGAGATAATAAAAAGTGTTGGCAAATATGTGGAGAAATTGGAACCCTCAAACACTGCTGGTGGGAATGTAAAATAGTGGAGCTACTTTGGAAAACAGTCTGGTGCTTCCTCAAACGCTCAGCATGGAGTTATCAAACAGACCAGCAATTCCAATCATAAGTATATACTAAAGAGAAATAAAAATACATGTCCATACAAAAACATGCACACACATGTTCACAGTAGTATTATTCATAAGGGCCTCAAAATGAAAACAATCTAAATAAATAAACTATGATGTACCTTTACAATGGGTTTTGCAGCAATTTTTAACAATGAAATATTGATACATGCTACAACATAGATGAATTTTGAAAACATTATGCTAAATGAAAGAAGCCACAGAGGACCACATCATGTATCATTTTTTATATGAAATGTCCAGAATGGGCAAATATTACACAGACAGAAAGTAGACTAGTTGTTGTTCAGGGATGGGAAGAGCTGGAGAGAAATGGGAATGACCACTAATGGGTACAGGGTTTCTTTCTGGAGTGATAAAAATGTACCAAAACTAACTGGTGATTGCTGCACAACTCTGTGAATATCCTAAAACCTATAAACACATAAATTGTATGGTATGCTAATTCTACCTCAATAAAGCTGTTGTGTTAAAAAAAATTTAAGTCATTACAATTTTTCAATAGAAAGAGTAAAAAAAGATCAACTAGTTACCGGAGATTTTCTGAATGCTTCTTAAAAATACAAAACCTTTTGCTTGGACGGTTACTATGAAAGCTGGAGAAACAAAAGAGATAGTAAAAATTTTATTATACAATAAGTCACATTAATTTATAACTATATTTCAAGTCCATACTTAAGTTTCTAGTTTGTAATAAAAGATTATAATGTAAATAATAAAATAATGCCTGTCACTTCCATTTAATTCAATATTTTATCTGATATTCCATTTTACCTATTATATTCTAATGACACTATTTTCCTAGGCATATTCTTAGATGGTTAGCACTGTACCTTACCATTATATTAAAAAAGGAAATACTGAGAATTAAGAAAATGTAAAGAACATCAAATTACATATTTTGATTTACTGAGTTGAAAACAATTCTAAATTTTTGTTAATAACACGTGTGCTACAATATGAAGTTATTAATAGTAATTCTTTTTTATTACTCTCCAATTTTAACATGTTTGTGTAGGGGGAGTGGGGTAGGATCCAAATGATCTGGGAAGTAAACAGAACTTGAGCTAAATGCCACTGTTTACCATCTGTAAATTCAAACATTTACAGTGTTCCTTGTAATTACTAGTAGACTTTTTTTCTTCTTAAGAGATGGATCTCACTATGTTGCCCAGTTGGAATCAAACTCCTGGGCTCAAGTGATCTTTCTGCCTCAGTCTCCTGGGTAGCTGAAACTACAGAGGGAGGCCACCGAGCCTGGCTTTCTAGTAGAGTGTTTTTTATTAAAAAAAAAAAAAAAAAAAAAAAGGAACTCATGAGTTAAAACAATGTTTCCTCTAAGCACAGAAAAGAAAACTAACCCAATTTTGTAGCCCATGATAATAGCTTCTATATACCCTTTTTAATTCCAGTAAGGAAAGTTTCCTGTACTAGAAAGCCAGTATTAGACCAAAAGTGTAAATATCACCTAACAGCTTACAGTTGTCCCTCCTCACCACCGTTAACCACATTTCACTTTCTGTGGCTTCTGTTACACACATACAGCACAATAACATATTTTAAGAGAGACAGACTACGTTCATATAATTTTTATTACAGTATATTGTTATTATAATTGTTCTATTGTTAATTATCTTACTGTGTGTAATTTATAAATAAACCTTTATTATACATAGTATGTATAGGAAAAAAAAAGTATAGTACACATAGAGCGTAATACTATCCACAGTTTCAGGCGTTCACTGGGGGGTCTTGGAATATATACCCCAGCAGATAAGGGGGACTACTGTATTTCAAAATGTAGTCTTCCCCCACCAACAACCCCATCCCCCGTGACAACCCCTCAACCTACAAAGGGCAGAGGAGCTCAGGAATTTGCTTTAACAAGCATTTTCAGTGATTCACACACACGCTAAAGTTTAAGAAACAGCAGCCAACACACCTGGGTCAATGCTTACTCTCAGATACAAGGTAATTGTCCCCAGCACCACATGTATGTATAGGGAAAAAAAGGAAAAAAAAAATATATATATATACATATATTCCTACCCAACTATCTGCAGCTTTCCTTCATGCAATCACAGACTCTGTATGTGTCACTAGCTATAATCCCCAGAAAATATCCTCAGATTTCTAATAGTCATTTCTTCAACCTAGGAGTAATTACTATTAGAGTTTACAAATTTAAGATGGTATCACAAAAACAAAGTTTTGTTAGAAGAGTACATTGGGAAGTTGGGAAGCCCTGAAATTATATGCAAAAACTTGTATACACAACTATATTTCCTCAGAGAAATAAGTCCAAGATTTTGTTTGATTACTAAAACATGTGAACCAAAATAAGTTATTTTTAAACGAGATTTAAAAGCTCTTTATTCTTTCTCTTCAAACAAGCAGGCTATTTATGGTTTATTTATCTATTAAATATAAGAGGAGAGAAAATCTTATAGTATAGGGTCTTTTGATAGCCTCTGCATTTGTCTACAACTTATACCATATCATAATGTTGACCATTTTAAATTTTTGGTTACCTGAATTGTTTTAGAGTTTCTCATCTATAAAAAGGGATTTCTACCACCTGCTTGATTTCTCTGTATTTAATTCCATACTTATAGTTTTGTGTATCACAGGAAGGGAAAAGTGAATTCACAGCTCACACATAAAAAGGAAAAAAAAATACTACCCTTCTTCCTATTAGCTCTCCATAAAGGTAATAGCAATATAGAAATAAATCTAAGAAAGGTTTTTTATTACAATATAGTAAAAATATAATGTTAAAACCTAATTTTTTAAAAAAATCCCTTACTTGATTAGCTGACAGTATATAATTATCAAAACTCATTAAGCAATTCTCTAAAAATAGGTGAATTTTATTGTGTATAAATTATACCTCAAGAAAACTGAGGTCAAAAACCTCCTCTAATCATATTTTCTTCATAATCTTGATTCCACATAAGTAACAACCTTACTTTCTAAGAAACATAAAAGGAACAATTTCCTTAAAAATTTTAAGACATTAGACTAGAGGCCGATGATACAACAACAAAGGCAAGCTGCCTGCCCTAGAGTTTATGGTTGCTTGGGGGGAGTGTTTGGGGGAGAAAGGGGATGGCACAGAATGAATGCCCAAAAAATATTTGCTAAATCAATGAATACATATTCATAAATAATTAACACAAGATAAAAGTCAATAGTGACACATACAGAGTTTGTGGTTGCATGAAGGAAAGCTGCAAGACAGATGGGGTAGAAGCCAGCTAACAATTAGGAGTTCACTGCAGTTAGAAGACTCTTACTGCTTCACTTCCAGGCAAAGCAAAGAGTAACTGTGAAGATATAGAAGAATTTTCAAGAGAATAAAAGGAGTTGAAGGAGTTGAAAAGTAGTTAGGAATCTGATATGGAAAGGTGTTATATTTTCCAGAAAATCTGAAGTTCATTCTATCAATGTTAGGAAAGGATTTTAGGCCAAAGAATGACCTGACCAGATTTGCCTACAGCAAAAGAAAGGATGAACTGGAAAAAAGGGGGAAAACTGTAGGCAGAAGACATAATAGTCTAACTAGTCCTATGATTATCATTTAGTGTCAATAAATTTCTGTAAAATTTATAATGAAGTCAAGCAGACCTTTTTAAAATTCAGTACTCTGTCGTACCTACTGTGTAAGAAACAAATTTTTATACTAGCTTTCTTTTTCCTTGGAAATTTTAAAAATCATCCCTCAAAGCCTAAGTGAAATTTACAGAAAATCTTCCCTTATTTCTTGTTTAAAGATTTCATCTTTACCTCCTCCGTACTTTCATAGTCATTTGTTTATCACAATAACCTAGGTAAATTTATTTCCCCTTCTAAATTGTGAAAATTACAGTCAGGAACTCCCCCAATCCTAATAATGACAACTTAGAAATTAATAGCTATCATTACTTGAATATCTCTTAAGTGCAAATTGTTATTAAGCACTTTAATACAGTTTTTCTAAAAGTCACAATAACTTTCTTTTCAAGAAATGCAATCTGAGAGTCAGATTAAGTAATTTGTTCAAAGTTCCACATGTATACAGTGAAGGTTGGATTCAAATCCAGACTTGTTTGATTCTTCACCCCCAGCTTGCCATACTTCTTAGCAAATTGTATTAAATACCTTCCTAGTAGGTACATAATAAAATACATGAACCTGGTTGAAATAATAAAACTCTGCTACAAAAAAGAGATACTGCTTATGTATGTTAACTTAATTCTCTTTTATGTAAAGAAAAATGCTTCTTATACATCATTTTGAGGAATAATAGCAAGATTATAGAGCAATTTATGTGCATTTTTTTCAGATAATTTCTATTACTACCTAAAAGCTATAAGCCAATAAGGTACAATAATTTAAAGAACTGAACCTAAAAAATGCTGCTTAAAAAAAATTAAAAATTACACATTTAATGATGCTTTTCTTTGAAAAGATCTTACTCCAACAATACTCCAACTGCTTCAAGATTTTTGAACACCTTCTTCTGAGATTTTATTTAGGACCTTTTATAATTAAAACAAATAATGACTATCACCTGCAGTTTGTAATGTGCTAGGTGATATGATAAATACAAAGACCCCCTTCTTCTCAAGAAGATAATACAAACACAAATAAATACAATAAAAGGCAAAATAGGGCCAGGCACGGTGGCTCATGCCTGTAATCCAGCACTTTGGGAGGCCAAGGCGGGTGGATCAACTGAGGTCAGGAGTTTGAGACCAGCCTGGACAACATGGTGAAAGCCCATCTCTACTAAAAATACAAAAATTAGCTGGGCATGTTGGCGGCACCTGTAATCACAGCTACTTGGGAGGCTGAGGCAGGAGAATTGCGTGAACCTGGGAGGTGGAGGTTGCAGTGAGCCAAGATCTTGCCACTGCACTCTAGCCTGGGTGACAGGTGACAGAGCAAGACTCTGTCTCAAAAAAAAAAAAAAAAAAGGCAAAATAGATGAATAGTACACAATTCAAAGAAAGTAACGGCTGTGGTGATCAGACACTTGAAAAAAGAAGGTAAACTGAGAGGAAGGAACAGGGTATTCTGGGAACTAACAAGGAATACCGAATAGTCACTGTAGAAAACAAACATGGGGCCAGGTGCAGAGGGGGTGCTCAGCTATAATCATTGCACTTTAAGAGGCTAGAGTAGGCAGATCACTTAAGCCCAGGAGCCCATGACCAGCCTGGGCAAAATGGAAAAAATCCCATCCCTACAAAAAAAAAAAATTATCTGAGCATGGTAGTGCATGCCTGTAAGTCCCAGCTACTCAAGACGCTGAGGTGGGAGGATCACCTGAGCCCAGAAGGTTGAGGCTGTAGTGAACTGTGATGGAGCCACTGCACTCCAGCCTGGGTTGGAGTGAGACCCTTTCTCAAAAAAAAAAAAAAAAAAGGAAAAAAGAAAGAAAATTAATATGGAAGAAACTATACTCTGTGGAAGATTAACCAACTTACAGGGATGGATTGGGGCAGGTATGAGACCAAAGGGAAAAAGACCAATTGAGAGGCTACAGAGTTAGTACGGGATAGGAATTAAAGGTTCTCATGCTTTGGAGAAAATCAGGCTTCTGTATATATAAACCTCAAACTTCTAACAAGAATCAACACTGCAGAGAAGAGTTCGCCATTCAGTGGGATGCACCTAATGCAATGAGGGAAGCAAGGGTACCACTGAGGTTGAGAAAAAGACAAAAAGACCTACCCAACCCTAAGAGTGGCAATGGAAGCTTTTAGTTCCATATGACACTAAGAGCTGTGTGTGATGACAATGAACAAGAATTTCTTGTATATTGCAAACTAATTAGAAGAGTATATTTTGAATGTTCCCATCACAAAGAAATGATAAATGTAGCTGGGCATGGTGGCACACACCTATATGGCTACTCAGGAGGCTAACACAGGAGGATCACTTCAGCCTAGGAGTTTGAGGTTGCAGTGAGCTTTGACTGCAAGACCTAGCACTCTGGGGTGACAGAGTGAGACCCCATCTCACAAAAAAAGAAAAAGAAGAAGAAATGAAGAAATGATAAAATTGGAAGTGATGGATATCCCTGGGTTTATTACATATTGTATGCTTGTAACAAAATATCACATGTACTCCACAAATATGAAGTAGTCTCTATAAAAATTTTTAAATTAATTAATTTCACATGGCTGTCAGGAACATTAAACAAATTAAGTTTTAAAAAGTGAGTGACAACAATGTCAAATACTCTAAAGAAGTCACAGAGGAGTAAGAATGAAAAATAGGGAGTAAATATGGTGATATGTTCATAACAGATAATCTTTAAAAGAGGAATGTTAGTTGGTAGGTGGGGGCAATACTCAAAAGGTAAAGAAATGAATCACAATAAAGCTGGTAGCAAACACTTTTTACAAATGTTAATGGTAAAAAGGAAGACAAGAAATAAGGAAAACAGGCAGTTGGGACAAACTGTCCTCTTCCAAAAAATTTTTTAAATACCTGAAAATGTTTGTAAGCAGAAGGAACCATATAGAGAGAAAGAGATGAAGATCCAAGTTAACTGAATATGGTCATGGTGAACTGGGGGAGAAAGGACAGTTAATGGGGAAGTGAGACATGTTAGATTTTTAAGATTAATGTCTGATTGAAGGTAACAGGAAAAATACGTGGGGTTGAAAAGAGTTAATTTTAGGAAAAATAAAAAGGATGACCTACAATTGACTAATTAATAGGCCAAGTTAACAACTGAGAAACTAAAATAAAATCTTTAGGGTACTGAAGAAGGATTAAACAAATGTTGCAGGTAAAAATAAAGAGATCTTTTTTAAAAAAATAAGACCTAATCAGAATTAAAGTTTTTGAAATCAGAGTTGACTAAATCAAGGACCATTTGATAGTCTAGAAGTGAGCACAGAGGAAGTTCAAAAGAGAAGAGGTTCAAATCTTACCTTGGCCTTTATGCCAGTGAGCATGACTAAAGATGTAAAGGATTCTAGGACAAAAAGCCACAATCAAAACAGATGATCCTGAGAGTAAGGTTGACTACAAAATTAAGATGGGTGCTACTAGGCTGGAAAAAGGAGTCAAAGCTCTGAACATCATGGGGTAATGGAAATCCAAAAGGAATGAACAGTTTATAGGAAGAGATTTAAATAGTACTGTAGTTTCAAGAAAAAAAAAGACAATATATGAACTTAAAAGTTGATGTGAAATGCTGGCACTAAAGAAGCAAGATACCATGAGGTCAGGCCAACCATGAAGACATGGGAAAACCGAGAGAAGTGCTGAAGCCACCAAAAAAGGTAGAAGAATCCTTGAAAGCAGTAGTTGATAATGACCAGCAAGTAACAGAGAAGTCATGTGTAATCTGCAAGAAAGTCACTTATAATACATTAATTCTAATTTTAAACAAAAACTGAACAAACTTACTTTGAAAAAGCAAACTCTCAGGTTTATATCTAAACAACTTTTGCCTACTTAAAAAAAATACAAACCCATTCTGAAGGAATAAAGTATTCCCCTAATGAGATCTAAAAATGAAAATAATGCAGACTCTGAAGGCTTTTCCTAACATAGTGTAAATAGTAAGTACTCAAATAATCTAAGTTGAATGAATTAATGAAAAAGAATTCCAAAAGTGGCATCATGGTGGAATGGTGTCTCATTTTCACTGAATGGATGCAAGTATAGATGGCCTGACAGATGGATAAAAAGACAGTTGGAATACAGAAAGAGAAACAGACTCCACTGAAAATCTTAAAGTCTCTCAAAGTGACTGCTTTAAAGAGGATGACGCCACTACAGCCTGGGCGACACAGCGAGACTCCGTCTCAAAAAAAAAAAAAAAAAAGGAGGATGACGCTCATGAGATTACAAGTATTTATTTAGTAAATATATTTAAAAATTTAAAATTCTGTTGGAAAGTAACCATTATTGAAACACCAATGGGGCAATAAAAAGTTCCATGGAAAAACTATTTCCCAGCCGGGTGCAATGGCTCATGCCTGTAATCCCAGCACTTTGGGAGGCCAAGGCGGGCAGATCACTTGAGGTCAGCAGTTTGAGACCAGCCTGGCCAACATGGTGAAACCCTGTCTCTACTAAAAATCCAAAAACTAGCCAGGCATGGTGGCTCACACCTGTTGTCCCAGCTACTCAGGAGGCGAAGGCAGGGGAATTGCTTGATCCTGGGAGGCAGAGGTTTCAGTGAGCTGATGCCACTGCACTCCAGCCTGGGCAACAGAGCGAGACTCCATCTCAAAAAAATAAAAAAGAAAAACTATTACCCTAACAAACCTATTCTAATTTCATTAGCTTAATTTTTCTTACAATTTTAGTCCCATAATTTCTAGTTACTATGCTGAGAAATAGGACCAGGCAATATCCTAAAAGTTCCTTATTGTTAGATCCTTTTAGCTCCTTGAAGAGAAAAACTGGCTTCTAATAGGATAACTTTGTTTTTGAAACAGAAACTTGCTGAACTATAATTTTAATTGGCAATTTACACATTTAATTCATCTTACCTCATCATATGATTTACATAGGCTTTGCTACAGCTAGTGTTGTATCTGCAAAAACTACAGTGGACGTACGTAGGAAAGTGGTTTGCAAAATCTTTTATTTCGGAACAACACTCAATGCATTTGTGAATGCCCCGACGATACCTTAGGGAGACATTAAAAAAATGATAAAAATATATTTTAAAACAAAAATAATAAGGAAGAGCCTTAATAATGTTCTCTTAACTAAAGTATAAGTTTTTATACTTAAGTTTAAATTATATTGTATATCAGGAATAAAAGATTACCTTAAATTCCTCAATGCTGTATTGACTTTACTTTTTTTATTGCTACTAGCCAATGTGCTTTGTTTCTTTTGCATATTAGAGATTTTTGGTTTGTATTTAGATTTACTTCCATTAGGCTTACTTGTATTAGGTTTACTTGCGTTGGATTTGACTGTATTAGGTTTACTTGTATTAGATTTTGCAGGATTTTTAGCAGTTATATTTTTAGTCCTTGGAGGTGAGAGCTGAAGGGTAGAAGCACTTGCACTAATGGAAGGTGTAGGTGAAGCTCCTGATTGCAGAGGTCCAACTGAAGCTCGAATAGTAACCTACAAAAATAAAGAGAAGATTTGCTTTAAGAGATTAATCAGTACATTAATATTAAAATATCATGGTACAAAAATAGTTAAAAATCAAGAATTTTGAAAAAAGCACATATAAACTACAATCAGGTAAGTCTCCCATTTATTCTAAATGTTCAAACTATTAAATGATATTAAACTTGATATTAAGTTGTAATATTACATTTTTGTATTGATATCAGTTATATGTTAACACAGTTATCAGTGAATAATTAGGAGTTAATACAAATTATATGAATATACAAAGAGCACATTCCATAGCTATTTTTATGCCCTGACTTAACTTTAAGAAATTCACAAGCATAGAGCTCAAAATTTAAATCTCAAGCCTGAAAAATAATTCTAGAAAGGCCTAAATTACCCTTTAACAACTATAAAAGAAACAGATCTACAGTAAATGTGATCTCCTCTTTCCAGGGGCTCAGTGCCCAAGATTTATGCTTACAAATGTTATGGGAGGAGTTACATCAATTTATTATACTGCATAGAGGGCTAAATAATATTCAGAAATTTCTTAAAGTAAACTAATACAAAGTTCATCATTTAGTATTCAGAATGAGAAAATGTTTAATTTCATCTGTTGGTTGACAATGAAAAACACAAGTGCCTACCAACATTCTGGTTAATCATTTGACTATACCCTCCTCCGGTATTTGAGGAACAGTCAATAAGGAAGTCCTATGACATACATGTGCTTGGGTAACATACAATGGCACTGGACCAGGAATCAAAAGGCCTTCCTAGCCATGTGACCTTGAACAAGGAACTTATCCTCTCTATGCTTCTTCACATCTATAACATGGGGCAATACCTGCCTTATTAACCTCAGTGGATTGTGGTATGAATTAGACAACAGAATGTATGAAAAAGTACACTGAAAGTCTAATTCTAAGGTGCTATAAAAACATTTAGTATCATTATCATTAATATTATTATTATTAATAAGGGAAAAAATGAGAGAGGACTGCACTGCTTACATTAGTGTTCTGCATGTCTAGTCCCAACATGGAATGAATGGATTGCAGGGAAGGATGCTGGATAGCTTCTCTTGCTATCATGTCTTCAGAGCATGGCTTTATATTGTTTTAGTTAATTCAAATAACAGACATACCCACATTCAAAGGAAAGTACCCAAAGCCAAAAATAAATGTTTTGGGGATTATTCACTTTGGATTATCCATGCCTCTGTTTCCCTCCACTGGAGCAAATATTCAAGAGCTGACTGTATATAAAGAAGTCAGAGAAAACAGATGTACATAAGGCAAAAAGGGAAAAGTAAATTACAATCATCAGTATGCAGTCAGACATGTGTTTGCTCACTTAAAACACAATGCTATCCAGCAGTAGAACTTGCTTCTCAGAGTAAACTCAGTAATAACAACTGCAACAAACATCTGAGAACTTATGGAACTCAAGGCACTGTACCAGATGCTGGGGACACAAAGATAAATAAAACATGATTCCTGATCTCAAGCATCTTATAGTTTAGCAACTAAAGTCAACATATACACTTTCAACTGAAAGCTCAAAAATAGCCTATAAAATATTGAAACAACCCATTGACCCAGGAAAAGTTAATTGAGTTGTACTTTTTAAAAAGGACTACTACTCTAACCTAACAGCTATCACTGAACTCAAAACAATGGTTAGAAGTTTTTCCTTCTACACATAAAATTAAAACCTAAAATTAGAGTCTGAGCAAAAATCTGAAGTCATTTAAAAATACATTCAATATATAAAGCCGGGCAGGAGTTAATTTCTATTATCATACAAAATGTTAAAATACAATATATTTTAACTCACTTTTGTTCCAGGAGGCAATCCTTCTAGTTGTTTAGGTTTTATAAATGTTCGATGGTGTTGAGTCTTATGATCCATTTTCTCCTTGCATGTCAAAAACTGCAGCCTGCATTTTGTACAACGATGTATTCCTTTTTTCTGTTTAGAAAAAAACAGAAAAAGGGGGAAAAATAATTTCAAAAACTACAAATCCTGTGTCCTGAAACTGCTGACTTAATTTTAATGATACCTAAATAATGTAAAAACTTGCGGTTTAACATCTCCTATCATAATAATATAAAATGCCTCATTTTTTAAAAGTCATTACATTAGTATTTGGGTTTCAAAAGTGTTCGCTACTATGTAAGAACTGTACATGAAAGTTCTATCAATAGGTTCTAATAAAACTTCTATTAATTGTGGTGAGAAATCTCTTTCGATTATAAACTTGAAGTAAACACATACTTTGAAAATGAGATGTACTACGTTTTTATCCTAGAAAAAGGAAATTATTTCTAATTTTTGCTATTTCTAGTTGGTTGAAAAGTTGGTAAAATAAATTAAACTCTCTAAAACCAAATAAATCTAACCAGACATTTCAAAGAAGGTTATTTTATAGAAGTGGTTACATAAACCAATGCTGTCCAATAATATCTCCTATGATAATGAAATATTTGAGAGCTGTATTGTCCAACACAGTAGCCACTAGCCACATGTGGTTATTGAGCACCTGAAATGTGGCCACTGTGACTAAGGAACTACATTTTTAATACTGTTTAACTTTAATTAATTTAAATCTAAAAAGCCATATGTGGCTAGTAGCTACTACATCAGACAATGTGGATGAAGAGGCATAAAACAGAACAACTGAACTTACTGAGAACCCCTTGACTGAGTCCCTCCTCAAACCCAGTCCTGTCATTATTCTACAGATGGGAAATGGGACCCAAAAAAATGCTAAGGCACTTCCCCATAGCTAGTTACTGACATTACCAGGGCCCTGATCCAGTGTTCTTTCTACTACAGATTATCAACTGCAATTTTTACCCTCATTATTTTATATATATATATATTTTATATATATATATATTATATATATATATAATATATATATATTATATATATATTATATATATATTATATATATATATTATATATATATATTATATATATATAATATATATATTATATATATATATTATATATATATAATATATATATATAGTGGTTTTAGAGAAACCACTCTTTTGTAGTTATATGTTGTTTTACATATATATATATATATACACATGCACACACACATAATTATACAACATATAATTATAAAGGAATGCCTTATCTAAAGCTGTATCTCTGCCAGATACATCACTATGTCCATTGAAATACAACTGTTTATTTATTTATTTATTAACTTTTAAGCTCAGGGAACATGTGCAGGATGTGCAGGTTTGATACACAGGTAAACGTGTATCCCGGAGGTTTTTTGTACAGATTATTTCATCACCCAGGCATTCATTAGTTATTTTTCCTGATCCTCTCTCTCCTCCCACCCTCTGCCCTCTGGCAGGCCTAAGTATGTGTTGTTCCCCTCTATGTGTCTTGTGTTCTCATCATTTAGCTCCCACTTATAAATGAGAAAACACGGTATTTTTCTGTTCCTGCATTAGTTTGCTAAGGATAATGGCCTCCAGCTCCATCCATGTCCCTGCAAAGGACATGATCTCATTCCTTTCTTTGGCTGCATAGTATTCCATGGTGTATATGTACCACATTTTTTTCATCCAGTCCACCACTGATGGGCATCTAGGCTGATTGCATGTCTTTGCTATTGTGAATAGTGCTACAAAGAACATATGTGTGCATATGTCTTAACAGAACGATTTATATTCTTTTGGGTATATACCCAGCAATGGGATTGCTGGGTGGAATGCTATTTCTGTCTCTAGGTCTTCAAGGAATTGCCACACTCTCTTCCACAATGGTTAATTTACACTCCCACCAACAGTATAAAAGCACTCCTTTGCTCCATAACCTTGCTAGCATCTATTATTTTTTTATCTTTTAATAATAGCCATTCTGACAGGTGTGAGATGGTATCTCACTGTAGTTTTGATTTGCATTCCCTAATGATCAGTGATGTTGAGTTTTTTTTCATATCATTGTTGGCCGCATGTATGTCTTCTTTTGAGACGTGTCCATATCCTTTGCCCGCTTTCTAATGGGGTTGGTTTCTTTCTTGTAAATCTGCTTAAATTCCTTATAGATGTAGATATTAGACCTTTGTCAGATGCATAGTTTGCAAAAATTTTCTCCCATTCTGTAAGTTGTCTGCTTACTTTGTTGACAGTTTCTTTTGCTGTGCAGAAGCTCTTTAATTAGATCTCATGTGTCAATTTTTGCTTTTGTTGCAATTGCTTTTGGTGTCTTCATCATGAAATCTTTGCCTTTGCCTATGCCTATGTCCTGAATGGTATTGCCTAGGTTTCTTCTAGGGTTTTTATAGTTTTAGGTTTTACATTTAAGTCTTTAATCCATCTTGGGTTAATTTTGGTGTATGATGTAAGGAAGGGGTCCAGTTTCAGTTTTCTGCCTATGGCCAGCCAGTTTCCCAATGACCATTTATTGAATAGGGGAATCCTTTCCCCATAGCTTGTTTTTGTCAGGTTTGTCGAAGATCAGATGGTTGTAGGTGTGCGGTTTTATTTCTGGGTTCTCTATACTATTCCATTGTTCTATGCATCTGTTCTTGTTCCAGTACCAAGCTGTTTTGGTTACTATAGCCCTGTAGTATAGTTTGAAATCAGGTAGTGTGATTCCTCCAGCTTTGTTCTTTTTGCTTAGGATTGACTTGGCTATTCGGGCTATTTTTCGTTCCATATGAATTTTAAAATGGCTTTTCCTAGTTTTGTGAAGAATGTCCATGGTAGTTTAATGGGAATAGCACTGAATCTATAAATTACTTTGGGCAGTATGGCCATTTTCATGATATTGATTCTTCCTATCCATGAGCATGGAATGTTTTTCCATTTGTTTGTGTCATCTCTGATTTCTCTGAGCAGTGATCTGTTTAATAGTTCTCACTGCAGAGATCATTCACTTCCCTTGTTAATTGTATTCCTAGGTATTTCATTCTTTTTCTGGCCATTGTGAAGGGGAGTTCATTCATGATTTGGTTCTTGGCTTGCCTGTTATTGGTATATAGAAAAGCTAGTGATTTTTGCACATTGACTTTGTACCTTGGGACTTTGCTGAAGTTGCTTATCAGCTTAAGAAGCTTTTGGGCTGAGATGATGGGGTTTCTAGATATAGGATCATGTCATCAGCAAACAAAGATAGTTTGACTTCCTCTCTTCCTATTTGAATGTGCATTGTTTCTTTCTTTTGCCTGATTGCCCTGGCCAGAACTTCCAGTACTATGTTGAATAGGAGTGGTGAGAGAGGGCATCCTTGTCTTGTGCTGGTTTTCAAGGGGAATGCTTCCAGCTTTTGCCCATTCAGTATGATACTGGCTGTGGGTTTGTCATATATGGCTCTTATTATTTTGAGGTATGTTCCCTCAGTACCTAGTTTATTGAGAGTTTTTAACATGAAGAGATACTGACTTTTATCAAAAGCCTTTTCTGCATCTATTGAGATAATCATGCGATTTTTGTCTTTAGTTCTGTTTGTGATGAGTCACATTTATTGATTTGCATATGTCGAACCAACCTTCCAACCTAGGGATAAAGCCTACTTGATCATGGTGAATAAACTTTTTGATGTGCTGCTGGATTCAGTTTGCCAGTATTTTGGTGAAGATTTTTGCATCGAGGTTCATCAAGGATATTGGCCTGAAGTTTTGTGTGTGTGGTTTTTTTTGTGTGTGTTTGTTTGTTTGTTTGTTTTTGGCACAACCAATTATTTATAAAAATCAAGTGAAGTAATATATAAGGAAGTACCTAGCACAGTTACTGGCATACAGCAAGCACTTCATAAATGAAAGTTCTTTATAAAATTCAAAGCAATATATAAATATGTGTTACAATTCTATTAATAGCTGGATCTTAAGTTTTTTTTTTCTTAACACAAGGTCTCACTCTGTCATCCAGGCTGGAATGCTGTGGTGCAGTCTTGGCTCACTACAGCCTTGACCTCCTAGGCTCTTAAGACTATTTTACAAGTGTGATACATTGGATTACATCACAGGTACAGGCAATTTAAACAAATTCACTTATATGTGCTCAAGGAAGAAGAGAAAAACCAAAAAATAGATACCAAAACAATACAGCAGGTAAAAAGTTCACCAGAGTTGAGTTCCCAGAAATCTTTTCTCTATCTATAACCACTCAGTAGGTTACATCATCCAGTTTCATGGTTTTTAAATACCATCTATCCAAATGCCTACGTAACATTACTGCTTGATGTCTAATACGCTTCTCAAATCAACCTGAACAAAATTGAACTCGAGATTTCCTTCCTATATCCCTGTCCCCCTCCTACAAAAAAAAATCTGTTCCTTATTCAGTCTTCCCCATATCTCAGTATATGAAAACTCCATTCTTGCAACTGCTCAAGACAAAAAATTTAATCTCTTTCTCTTACATCTACTGTCAAACACATTAGTAAAACCTCTCAGCTCTAACTTCAAAACCATTCATAATCTTTCCACTTCTCATTACCTCGTTCAACGATTGCTACCATACTGGCCCAAGCCACTTACCTGGACTACTATAAAAACTTTCTATCTTCTCCCCCTAATATCCTTTCTTCTCTATGGACTTTTCTTTCCATAGCTGCCAGTAATAAAAACATGGCACATCTTTTTATATGCTTAAAAATGTCTAGTGCCTTTCCAAAGTCTTGGCTGTGGCTTACAAAGCTCCACATGAATTGGCCTGCATTCTATTGCTATAACCTCATCTCCTATTATTCTTCCTCCTATTAATTTACTCTGCTCCAGCCACACTGGCCTCCTTGCTATTCTTTGAGCATCCCAGGTATACACTCACCTCACTGCCTATATAATGTCACCTCTCCGAGGTAATTCACATGGCTTACTCCTTTATATCCTTCAGAGAGGCCCATGTTTGAACATTCTTTATACAACGTCCTTTTTTGACCACTCCTGTACTCCTACCACCTCCCCAATCTTTAGCACTCCTCATCTTCCACATTTTCTCCCACAGTACTTATTGCCAGCATATACATTCTAACACACACATACACAAATATATTATCTTTCTCTACTATAATGTAAATTCCAGAGGGCACAAACTTGGTTTTGTTCAATGCTATATGATACCTAAAGCAGCCCCTAGCACATACTAAGGCACTCAGTAAATATTTCTTAAATGAATAGTGAGGCAGAAAGCAAGAGATTAACAGAGAAAATGCATGTGAGTAGCATGTACAATTTAGTTCAAAATATCTGCCTTTTCATTCAATGAACATTTGCCCAGAGTCCTAAGGTAGAATACATTAATCTACCAGTTCCTTAGTTGGACTCAAGTCTTACACATCTCTTTTATGTATGCATGCATCTCAATGCACTAAGGGTGATGAAGATACTTTTTTTTTATAACATTATGTTCAACAAAAGAAACAGTGATCTATTCCAAGAATAAATAAATATCTGTATTAAATTTTTTATAAGTATACTATATTGTTTGGGAGACTTGAGAGATTTACAGGTAATTCTTACTATATGTAATTTCTACCTTTAGACCCAATGCCAATGTGAAATCCAACTCTGGTAGAGCAGTAAAAGCTTGGATGCTAAGTCAAATTTTGACTCTGCCTTTATTAGACAATGTGACATTAGGCAAGTTACTTTCTCTAAAGCTCTGTTTCCTCATCTATAAAACTGAAATAATAATATACATCTAGTGGTTGAGAGGATTAAACAAGAAAATGCATGTAAAGTACCAGCTGCTGCCATAAGGTAAGTAATTAGTGTATGTTAACTGCTTGTTTTATTAAAGCTCTAATGAGCATATTTAACACATCTGGAATTTCTATCAATATTTCTTAAAAGTCACACAAACTGGGTTATTAACTCTAAAATCACTAAAGACATAATAATATAATCTTTAAAAAAAGTTACAACTGAGTTCTTCAAAGACAATAAAATGAGGCATGGAGTCAACTATTCTGATTGTCTAATACTTTGGTAATAATGTTATCTCAACTACAAGTTTATAATCCCACTCAGCTATGGTTTTCCAGTCTTGTAAATCATTACACAAATTGTAAATACCTTCAAAGATGCCCAATGATCCTTACTAATAGACTGCCCCCTCTTTACTGCTGGCTATCTACCTCCCAGGCACTCCAAACAAAAAAGAAAATTGGCAGCCATGGCAAGTTAAAACATACAACTCAGGGCATGACAACTTGCTTATAAATCACACAGGCACATAGCAGGTCCCCAAATCTCTACCATAGTTACTATTCTTCCCACATCTCTATCTCACTCTATAGTTTGACAAAGCACCTGGGAAAGATTATGTTTAAAAACCCCATCGTGAACTAGAGCTACTGCTTTATACCTCATTCTCCCTTTCAAAATTAAAGTCCAAAGATGAAATACGGGGTATCAAGAATAGTGTTTCCCAAATTCTGTTCATAAAGAAATGCACTAAGGGTGATGAAGATACTTTTTTTTTTTTATAACACTATGTTCAACAAAACAAACAGTGATCTATTCCAAGAATAAATAAATATCTGTATTAAATTTTTTATAAGTATACTACATTGTTTGGGAGACTTGAGAGATTTACAGGTAATTCTTACTATATGTAATTTACTATATGTAATTGGGGAAACCTTAGAATAGATCTTGCCAGAAACTCTCAAGGATGTGTGGCATCCTAGTCACAACACATATGATCCCAAATTGATCTGGAAATTCTACTTTCATGATCTTCTCCAATTAAAAACAGCAAGTCAATTTCATGACTTAACTAACAACTGAAAATGACAGCAAAGTGAGCACCAATGCTGAATAAATTGGCATGTCAATTTAATCAATAATAAGAGAATGTATTGAGCTTTGTAGTGAGTTGACAAAATTTGATTACATGATCAGATTCGGTAAATCCATTGGTTTCTAATTTTGGCAAAGGCACTGTTGTTCTTTCAAGCACGCAAGAACAGGATTAGTATTGCATCAAAATTTTTAGCCCAAATAAAAGATGGTTTAATTGCTTCAGGAAAAGAGCCAATAAGCATAATATCAGAATTCAAGGGAGGGGTACAAGCACTAATATTGAGTTCCAAAATTATATAGCAAAACTGGTGGAAGCCATCCAGGGAACAAGTGATGATCTAAATATAGTTCTCTGCCAGAGTTCATATACTGATCAGTAAGTGTCATTACTATTCCCATGGTCACACAACTATAAAAGACAACTCCAGGTCAATGACAACATGTCTTCTCATAATGATAAGGGGTTAGAAAGTTGAAATAAAGTTTGAAGAGCAAAACGAAAAATAAGATTATAAATCCTCAGTCTTTTCTTCCTCAGTTCAAACTCATTATTCCCTTTGTCCTGATAACTCCCTTCAAAATCATTCTCATATCTACCTTTAGACCCTGAAATATTCAATCTTTTGGATATTCCACTCAACTTTTTCTTTTTCTGTCAATCCTCAGCTTCCTATTTCTAGCTATCTTTCAGAATTTTCATTATTTATGACCCACACCATCACCAGAAAGGAAGTAAGGAAAAGAAGTGGAATTTTCACAAGCAATTCAACTTGAAGTGTAAATTAATAGTGTCATTTGGAACAACTCTGCTTCTCTTGCAGAACAAATCTAAAGATTCTCCAAGTCATAATCAGTTTTTTCACTAAGACAACATAATAAACAAATAAGAACTGGTAAATCTCACCTGATGCTTCATATAATGATGCATATATGGTGTTGCAATTTTAATAACTTTGAGGCAAAACGGGCATAGCAAGTTCTTAGTGTTTTCATGGGATGTTCTAAAATGAGTTTCTACATCAGAAAATGATGATGATCTATAATTACAAACCTAAAAAAAGAAAGAAGGCTTAGTTTAACTTGAAAATTTAAAACTGATATGCAATTACAAAGGAACAATGATGGATAATTTGTCAGGAGAACATTATGTACTACTAATCTAGCTCTGATGCCTTTGCAACCAAGAATCTCACTAAGGCAACACCAAAAGACCATCTTTGAGACATTAAACGTAGCTTTCAAAGTTAAGGGATACATCCCAAAACAAAACTAGATCTCCTTCTCTTTATCAGATCTTTTTATCTATCACCTTCTGTCTTGACTTGAAGTTTCAAGCTTTAGCACCTCTTGCTCTATAAAATGTTTTTCTGCTACATGAAACAGCATTCTCCTTTAGATTGTTAATGGCCTCCAGGTTTATGGCAATGGCAATTTATCTTTTCCTTGCTTTCCTCTTCCTTCAAATTCTTCTTCTTTGGAAAAATACTTTTGCCAAAGCATTTGGTAGGGTTCTTTGTATCTAACAGCACTTTGTATTTCCCTTGTATGACTACATTCTTCCCTATGTAGCACAGTAAGTCCATATGTTTGTTTTTCTACATACAACAGGACTCATCTTTGTCCAGTACAGAGATAAGCAAACAAAAGCCTGTGGACCAAACCCAGCTTGCTGCCTATCCCTCATATAATGCATAAGTTATGCCAAGTTATGCATAAGTTTGCTGACCGCTGGTCTAATAGGCTTAAATTTTATAACCAAAACAACAAACAAACCAAACACTTAAAAAAACAATAAAATGTATGTGTACCTGGCAGACATATGGCATTTCACCAGGTTTATGATTGTCCTTCATATGTTGTAAAAGAACATGTTCTGTTTCAAATGACAATTCACAGATTTTACAAATAGCTAAATGTGGGAGAGAAACAGTATAATAATATTTAAGATATTAATATAAAAATTAATTTTATACATCTATATCAACAACAATAACAGTAGCAGTAGGGACAGTTGTGAAGAGTTAAACAGCTTGTTAACTATGTGCAAAGAACAGTTCTAAGCACTCACATTACCTCACCTACATTAACTCAACTCCTATTAACAACCCTATAAGAAAGGTATTTCTGTTATCCGCATTATTCAAGTATTAAGTAACGTGGCTAAAATCTTGTAGCTATATTAAGAGGCAGATCTGAGATTTAAAACCAAGCTATCTTGCTCCAACATCTGTAATTTTCTTTCTTTTTTTTTTTTTTTTTGGAGACAGTATCTTGCTCTGTCACCCAGGCTGGAGTGCAATGGCGCAATCTCGGCTTACTGCAACCTCCGTTTCCTGGGTTCAAGTGATTCTCCTGCCTCAGCTTCCCAAGGAGCTGGGATTACAGGCATGCACCACCATGCCCGGCTAATTTTTGTATTTTTAGTAGAGACGGGGTTTTGCCATGTTGGCCAGGCTGGTCTCAAACTCCTGGCCTCAAGTGATCTGCCCACATTGGCCTCCCAAAGTGCTGACTGGGATTACAGGCATGAGCCACTGCACCCCGCCTGTGATTTTTAACTAAAACAGTAGTTCTTTTTCCTATTAAAGTTTAAATGAAGAGCAATGATTTAATATTTTAAAACTAGGATACTAGGCTCCTAATTTAGTCCCCAACATATAATGCATAGTTTATGTCAAGGCAATTACCATACTGAATTATTTGCAAGAGGCACTTTAATATTAGTAACTAATTTTATTTAAAAGTTTATCACAGTTAAAACTTGGCCTTTCAATTTTGCCCTCAAATTCCAAAGTCTAGTTCTCATTCTCATTTTTCTAACAGGCTTCTTAAGGTTTTCTCACAATTTATATTAGCGAAATCAATAATATGGAATATTTAAATGTATTGGTAACTTACTAGAAAATTCATGGGGCGTATGTGTACTTTCGATGTGACACTGCAACTGAAATGGTGTGGGAAACTGACGGTAGCAGTGCTGGCAGGTGGTATGGTTTTCCCAGCTCTCACTGCTCTGCTTCTCAAGTTCCAAATGGTGTTTCATGTGGTTCATAAACCTATAAATGGTTGTCAACAGGTGCAAAACTTGAGATTTAAAAACAAAAAGGAAATCTCACAAACAAGAATCTGAACCTAAATCTTAAAAATATAGATGTATTACTCAAACTCTCAAAAGTCTTAAAGTTGCCTAGGAAAGTATGCACTTTTAAATAATCACTTTCTTTAAGTGGCTAAGTAAACATCTTTTTACCTTTGCTTTAAAATAATTCATTCATGTAATTAATCTGAAAGATCAACAATTTGATATAACTCTTAATCATTATTTCAGATTATTTAAAAAATTTTTTTAGATAAAAGAACAGGCTTCTGATCCATACTTGAAATCCTATTTACATTTTAAAATTAAATACTAAAAGAAAGGAAACTCTATATCCATACTTGGAATCCTATTTACATTTTAAAATAAAACACTAAAATAAAGGAAACCCTATCACCAAAGGCAGCTACAGAGTCAGGAGGAAATCTTTTAAGGCCTTGAAAATATACAATAGATTCCAGCTACTTAAATGACAAATTACTAGTATTTTTACTTGTATCTTGGTTTCTAAATGCATGTAATAGCAGTTTTGATGCCTACAATTACAAGAACCTTTTGTTTTATTTAATGATACTGGTTTACTGTTAGCACAGACTGTTCATCTTAACTTGCAGACAGTGCCCTTTGTAGGCAACATACATTTTTCAGTTTTACATTCTGCTACTTCAGCTTCCCTAATAGGCTTCTATGAGCAGGAATTATGACCTTCAATGGCAGAGGGTGCAATATAAATGGTAATACATTTAAAAGAGCTTACTAAAGCTTTTTGCTGAATTTGAGAGTAAAGTTATTCAACAAAAACAATAATTTTTAGACTAGGTCAACTGTTAACAATTATTCACTTTGAATCCCTAAAAGAAATTATCTTGAAACTAAGTGATAATGTCATCAATCTAGATAGCAATCATCATGAAGATTATAATATATACCTCTTTTCACAAATTTACAGCACTATTCTCTTTAGAGTGGGCTATGGTACACCTTGAAATATCTTTTCCTCCTTTGGTTTTAACAACAGCTCTACAAATGCTTACAAAAAATCCTGGTCGTTGTTAAATATTTACGTTTAGAGTAAAGATCATGAGCCATTAAACTTTCAGCTCACAGCTTTCAGCACTTAAAGTCTATTAACATAAAATGTTCCCTTAACCAATTCGCTTTTTCCCAATTATTATATGAGTTCCCATCAACTCATACTTCTCAAACCAATAGAAATGAGGGAAACAGCAAAACCTCTTGCAAGGATGTTCACAGAACAAGATAAATCTAACTATTTTTAGTGACACTCAATGTAGGAAAGAAACTCCATACCACAATATATTGACATGGCAGAGAAGAGAAATGAAATGTTGAGCTATCAATTTCTTATTATTCTCTATAAATATCAAGTTGCCTTCCCAGTTTTTACTGTTGAAGTAAAATATTATATAATACATTTAACTTCTTTGTTCACGAGGTGTTTACCATTAAGGTTACATTTAATAAATGATCAGTATTTTTAAAAATACTCAATTCCTGGATATTATCAGATATAATTTTCTTAAAATCTGTAAATATTATGAAAGCCTAAACATACGTAGCTAGTCTTCATAAACATAACCAAAAAAATGAATTTTTCATTTTCTTTTTATTTTGAGACCATCTCGTTCTGTTGCCCAGGCTGGAGTGCAGACGCATGATTACAGCTCACTGCTGCCTCAATCTCCCAGACTCAAGCGATCCTCCCACCTCAGCCCCACAAGTAGCTGGGACTACAGGTGCACGTCACCACGCCCGGCAAACTTTTGTATTTTTTGTAGAGATGAGGTTTCACTGTGTTCTCCAGGCTGGTCTGGAACTCCTTTGCTAAAGCGATCATCCTGCCTCAGCCTCCCAAAGTGCTGGGATTACAGGCGTGAACCACCATGCCCAGCCCCATTTTCATGTTTGCTATTAAATGGGCTAATCTTAAAGGAAAGGCCAAAAAAATACTGCTGAAATAACATAACCTCATATTTCAGTACAAGACATTAAGTCAATGAACCACACTGCTCTGCATTTTACCATATTTACTAACATGATTTCCCGATGTTGGCATGACATCAGAAATAGGTGGTAGAGTTCTACTGCAACACTGTTTCAACGTTTTATCTCAAAATACACTTTCCCTTTTGTTAAACTACTGCAACCATTAGCTATTGATGGCCCTTAAAGTTTGATAAGAGGAGGTAAAGAAATAAGAAAATTCATATAAAATAAGTGAAAAAACTTTGAAAATTATAAAGCACTATCATAAAGAAACCATTAATAACTGTTATAGGTGTATATCACAGTGTATTTCAGGATTTTTATGTATGCTTCTTTTTGGACCCAAGGACTCACAGGAAAACAAATAAATGCTGAACTCAGAAGTAACTACAGCTGCTTTGAAATGCTAATTACAGATGACAGTTACCAAGAATAAACACAAAAGGCATACATATATGTATATGCTGTACACACATGCACAAACACAATGCAGATTACCTTGAAATGCACCAAAAATCAGATAGTTCTAAGAAGGATGAAGAGATACATAATAAAGCAAGTATAGTAAAATGTTAATGGTAGAATCAAGGTGGTTAAGTGTACAAGGGTCCAATGTGAAATTTTCAAAACTCTGCTTAATATCTGAAAATTTTTATAGTAAAGTGATAGGAAAAAACCTTATCTAATATAAATATCAGGCTACATAATCAACAAATAATTTCACTCAATTTCTTATTACTTTTCTCTTGTTACTAATTTATACAGAATAGTTTCAAAGATTACAACTGAACGATTATGAAGTACAAATTTCTAATATTTAAAGCATTCATATATTCCACTGGGAATTAAATCCCCAAATTTCTAAAGCTGTTAAATTTTAAAATCAAAACAGACATGCTTCCTAGAACTGATACATCTCTAAAACTGATAATTTTTCCTGCAAGATTAATGTTCTAAAAACTATAAATATAAATTGAAAAATTTGAGCATTACATAGAGGAGCTCAACCTGAACAAACACAGAGTGGTTCTTCTTGTAATGTGAAGAAATATAAAATTCAAAGGCAATTAGAAAATAAAAAATGTCTAATAAAAATTCAAAAATCACGACTAAAACAGAAAAAAGAAGTTCATTTTGTCTTAAGTTAAAATAAACAGTCTTTTCTTAAGCTATGTGAAAGAAATATAACTAACTGGATCCAAGAGTCAAACTCCACAACACAAGAAAGGACAGAGCTTTTCAACAAGAGAATCCGCCTTTATTCTCAGTAGAAAGTGTTAAAATCACTTACCTAGAATGGCATAGAAAACACAAAATAAAAGTATAACATTTTTATTTGCAGCATTTCAATTTTCAATAGAAATAAAAACAAGTATTTACATACCTAATGTTATTTTTTAGAATTTTCAAGCAACTGAAGCATTTAAAGGTTGTGTGAGTCTTCTGTTCCTCCTGGACATCTCCTTCATGTTTTCCATAATAAAAGTCATTAACTAACATGATCAATTTTCCTTTCTCTGAATCAATAGTTGTGTTTTTATTTACTGTACTTGAAAATTCTGTTTTAGCCAGTCCCAAAAAGTTATTTATCATGTCTGGACAACAATACTGAAAGAGAAAAAAAAAAAAAAAAAACAAGCCTTACTTATTCTTTAAAAAAACCACATACCAAAAAGTGATTGTGTGTTTACACCTAAGGCCAGACCATTAAAACTATGCTTGTAATATATCTAGAAAAATAGTCACCAAAAATTTGTGGTGCATGTACATAGTCTAAAAATTCAAATAATAAACACCTATTATCTTCATGTAAAAATTCAAAAAGATTTGAGAAACCCTAAAACCAAGACATGGCCATAGCTCTAACAGCTTTACCCTTGCAATTTGCCTTTTTAGATGTAAATATTTAATAATAATCTGTTCCTTAACTAAAAATCATTCATCTCATGTCCACGTCAAGATGTATAGAAAGGAAATGTTTATATGCCTTGATGTATATATTTAATTATCAAGTGATATATAAAATTTCATAAAGCCTGGTTGAGGAAAAATTAAAATATACAAAAATTATATAATATAGAATAGGCTCCTTAATTAGAAATGTGGATAATCTTCTGTCCCAAATGTAAAATTATCAAATAACATTGCAAAGTTAGTCTATGAACATTAAAGATTACCCTAAAATAGCTATAAATTATGATACCCATAATAGATGATAAATTACTTGCTGTTTTTCTATTTTTTTAACAGAAAAGTAGGATAGGATCAGATTTTTTAAATAAACATATAAACTTTGTTCACAGAGTACCTTTTAAACAATGTTTCATATCTCTATAAAAGAGCTGAATAATAAACCATTGACAACCAAAAATGGACAACAACTTGTAGTGAATTAGGGTGAAGGATTTAGTCATTGAGAACGGCAAAGTATCCTTGCTTATCCAAAAAAACAAATAAGCACCTTAAGAGATGAGAACCAAGCTTAGATTTAAGGTTTTATAGGAGGATAGAGCAAGCTACGGAGGGGCATAGCTGAGCTGTGGTACAATATCAACTGGTCATCTTTTATTCAGCCCTGGTACCTTTTAGTTTTATTAATAGATCTTCACTGCAACTCCTTATTTATCCCTTATTTTTGTGGGTTAAAGATTCTGCAAATATTAAATATGTACTTTAATGCCATATACTATAGTTTGACAAATATCAGGCACCATCTATCTATCATTCTTATCTTTACTCCTCCCAGTACACAGACCATGTTCTGTTGCTTTGTTAGTGCCCTAAAAATTTAGGTGGGTTTTTCAGAGCAAAGGAGGTGAGATCCTATTTTTATAGTTAAATAGGGCTTCTCATGTGAACATCCAACATCAGTCAACATTTTCCTCTTTTCCTCCTGAGAGTCATCCAAAAGCTACACAACCAAATTCCACAAATTGGTTTATCATTGAAACTAAGGGTCAGATAAAAGCCACAGACTCCATAATATACGAAAGCACTATTCAAAGAAGCCAACATCGGGCAGATGGCATTTAGCTAGAAGTAAACCAGAGAAGTAAAGGGGACCCAGTGGTAACAGATCTTAAAGGGTCAGTAAAAATACACATCTTAAAGGTGAAACACATATTCTGAATCACAAGGGTATATCCTCTGTTTGCAAAAACAGGTGCAGAAGCTGAGGCAAGAAGGATGGCAGCAGAAGTACCCCAGACCTGATTCAGTACAGAGAAGCAGAAAGGCGGTGCTACATAAAGAATCAGACACACAAGTCACAATTGCAGGAAGCCTTCTGCCCAGCAAAAAGCTGTTTAAACCAGCTAGCAAGCTGTGAGACTATCCTGGCAACCTATGCTTCCTCCTAAAAGGAACTTGTATAAAACAGCTGGCCCAAGAAAATCCAACTTGTTAAACACTATAGGCACTCACATCTAAACAAAAATACCATGTAATAAAAGAAGGCAAATAACAGAAAAATGTAAAATTCTAACAAAAACATCAGAATTATGCTGCCGTGGAGCAGTTGCAGATGAAAACAGTAGCCACAAATTTTAAAAACATAATGAAGCAACTGCCTCTATTTGGAAGACCACAAAGCAAGAAAAGATGCCAAGACAACAAGATATTTAGAAGGAAAAAAAAGAGTGGCAAAATCAAGGGTGAAAGTATAGGAAAAAAATAAAATCAGAGACATGAAGACAAATTAGGAAGGAATACAGTGGTGAGTAGACATTGCAAGGGTGAAAGTATTGGAAAAAAATAAAATCAGAGACATGAAGACAAATTAGGAAGGAATACAGTGGTGAGTAGACATTGCAAATAAAATAAAGGAAACATATTAGTAGGAGAAAAGTCCATTTAAAAAAATTAAGGATTAGAAAAAAAAAGACATATGTCAGGGAAAGAAGATAAAACAAATTCATATTGGAGATGAAATTGTATGGAATAAATATTTTAAAATACAATTCAAATAAACTGTGCTAAATCCAAATATACAGGTTGAAAGAACAAGGTGTATGCCAGAGAGGACTCACCCAAAATTCCCAACACCAAGTTATATCATTATAAAATTATCAGTCTTCAAAACATAAAGAATGTAGACAACCAAAAAGCTACAGACTGCCAAACAAGAAGATCAAACCACTTATAAAAGGCAAAATAATTCAGCTTGTCCCAGATTCCTCAAAAGCAACACTGAATACTAGAAAACGGGAGCTATACCAACAAAATCCTGATAGTGGGATTCAATTTACTTTATATTAGATCAAACTGTCTTTACAGAATGGACTACAGTCAAATTGCTTTGAACATGAACGACCTCACAGAAAGATGTTTTCAGACTCCTCCTAAATGAAATTACTACAGAATGAACTTCAGCCAAACAGAAAACGAAATAAACCATGACAAAAACACTGATGATGAACAGTGGATTATATTTACTGTAGAAAAAGATCAAAACAAATATGACATAAGGTAAAAAAACAAAACAAAACAAAACAAAACAAACAAAAATGTAATGTCATATGCCCTGACAATGGAAAAACAATACAATGAACAAATAAAAATTGGGAGAGGATAAAAGGACAAAGAGTACAAGGTGAAGAGTTCATAGATTGCCTCACAGTTCATAAAGGAATATCAGTTAGAGCCACCAAATAAAGTAATATAGGTATAGACATTTTGACAGCAAAGGTAAACAAATGCTCAGACAATATTGACTAAAATCAAGTAGCAAAAAAGAAGGGAAAGATGGGTGGGTTAAAAACAGGAAGTTTCATGCTACTTTAATCCTTCCTCATAGAAAAGAACAGTAGAGAATTGCTAAAGGAATAGAAGACTAGTGGAGTTATACATTAAAATTAGAAACATAATCAGGAGAACAAAACTACAACTCTCTTAGAAACCTAAGCTACACACACATAAAGCAACCACATTGTGAAAGGCTTTTAAAAAAGAGAGAAAGAAAAATTTTAACAGAACTAAGACCAAATAAATCTATCATATTGGTAAATCTAAACCCACTATTAAAAGAAGAGATTTTCATATAGGATCACAAAAGAAAAATCAACTTTGCTAAAAGCAAAAGGCACACCTAAAACAAAGTAATTCAGAAGAGTTGAAAATAAAAGACTAAACAAAGAATACACCAGGTAAATGGAAACCATAACAGGGGTTGTGAGTCTAACATCAAAGTAGAATTTGGGCTAAAAGGCACTAACCATTAAAACCAAGAAAAGGATATTTTATTAAAATGCTAAAGGATACATTCACAATACAGTTATTTATTTTATTTTTGAGACAGTCTCACTCTGTTACCCAGGCTGGAGGGCAGTGGTGCCATCTCGGCTCACTGCAACCTCCGCCTCCCAGGTTCAAGCGATTCTCTCGCCTCAGCCTCCCAAGCAGTGGGACTACAGGCGTGTGTCACCATGCCTGGCTAAGTTCTTGTATTTTTAGTAGAGATGGGGTTTCACTATGTTGGCCAGGCTGGTCTCGAACTCCTGACCTCAGGTGATCTGCTGGCCTCGGCCTCCCAAAGTGCTGGGATTACAGGTGTGAGCCATGACTCCCGGCCTCATAATATAGTTATAAAAGCTAGATTCTTCTATATCATAAACAACAGCAACAACTTTGAAACAAAATTGCAATATATGAAAGAAAATACTGGTAATGAAAGCTGTGGACTGAAATGTGGTGTTTCCCAATCCAGGACAGATCAAGTGGACTAAATGGAAGTGAAGACACAGAAATATAAATATAATTAATAAGCTATATTTGGTTGATAAATATCGAATTCCATACCCCAAAGGAGAAGTAATATACCTATTTTCAATCTTCCACATAATATTGAATACCCCCTATACTTTACAAAACAAAAAGGATTTGTGAAAACTTGGGCTTTACCATTAAAGAAACTGAGTTTTGAAAGCTAGTTACGCCAGTTAATTGGTTATACAACAATGAGAAAAAATAATCTTAAAGAATTTTCTAAGGATTAATGAAATAATGTATTTAAAGCTTAGTACTGTGTCTGACACATAGTCTCAGATAAGTATATTTTTCTAATTATTGTAGAATATTTGATATTTTAAATATTTTTCCATTGAAAGAAAACATTATATGCTAGTTGGCAAAAAAATCATTCACAAATAATGTAAAAATCACATTCTTTTCAAAATGAAAGTTATTATAACACTAAAACTTTAGCTGATACATAAAAATATATAAACTAGAAAATAAAAAGTCCCCACAGATTTAAACTTTCCCTTCCTAGATTTGGAGACTATTCTTTCAAGATTTCCTTATGATATAAACACATACACTGTTCATATTATCTTCAACTTAGTTCAGTTGTAAGAAATACAATTTCTTACAATGACAGAGATACTTTCCTTATTTAAAATGTCATAATGTTCTATTATATTAATATGAAAATTCTATGAAGTTCTGGTTGTTTCTACTGTAAGTAATTACAAACCATGAAGTAACACATAAAAGCCACATTTTGGAGAATGTTGCCATTCTCTCCAGATGCAGAGATATATATAACATGCCACAATTTCTGTACAAAATAGAAAATAAGAACACTCATGTTTACTTGTACATCCAGAAAGAAACCCAGGGAGCATTCAAAACAAACTAATAAAAAATTATTTTCTTTGAGTCATACTAGGAACCAGGTAAAAAAAGACACAGAGATAAGATTCTTCACATGTATATCTTTGCAGGCTTTTTAATTTTGAATCATGTGACTGTATTGCTACCTACTTAAAAAATTAAACAGATAAAGAATGTAGTCTTTGTTTTCTTCATCTATAATGCAAAACACAAAAAACATCAGAAATCTCATCAAAACATTACACAGAAGAGGAAAATTGAAAGTACTTCTACAGGATAATTCTCCTATAAGACCAAAACACAACGTGCAGTTATCCAGGGCTATACTCTGAGAGTAAGGACAGACCAAATATGGCTCTGTACGTATATAAGAAGACTGTATTTATAACTTTTTTAAGTTCCCTTATTTTTTCTACCTTTTTTGTAAAATGCTGAATTTCAATAAAAATATGTCAATCTCTGAAACAGCAAAAACTTTTCCTAAGTTACTTCTTTGCCATTGCACCCCTCTCCTTCCTTCTTTTCCTTATATAATCTACACTGCCTTTTTTCTGATCTCTTTTCTCCCTTCCTGTCATTTATACTGGGCATGCAAGGGGAGTACAGACCATCTCTACACAAACACAGCAGGATACTATAATATCTACTAAAATACTTTAAATGTTACCTAAATCTCATACTTCACTAGTACTTTGAACATTTCTTAAAACCTAAATTCAGGGGCTTCTTGTACCAATAAAAAGCTCAAATTCTGTAATCCCAGCACTTTAGGAGGTTGAGGCGGGCGGATCACGAGGTCAGGAGATCGAGACCATCCTGGCTAACACGATGAAACCCCATCTCTACTAAAAATACAAAAATTAGCCGGGCGTGGTGGCGGGCGCCTGTAGTCCCAGCTACTTGGGAGGCTGAGGCAGGAGAATGGCGTGAACCTGGGAGGTGGAGCTTGCAGTCCCCAGAGATCTGCCACTGCACTCCAGCATGGGTGACAGAGCGAGACTCCGTCTCAAAAAAAAAAAAAAAAAAAAAGCTCAAATTAATTTACACAATTATATGAACTATATTCTGGACTGAGTTAAAACAATTATTTCATATGAAATGCTTCAACATTTGGAGTTTATACCTGAGTGTTAAAAACTAAAATGTAAAACTCAGATTTTCATTGTGTAATGTGACATGTACATGTTAACATGGACACAAAAATAAGGTAACGGAATTTTTAACTTATATGCAAAAGTAAATACGTAATAAAATGCCTGTTTTATAAGACATTTGAAGAGTATGACCTAATAAATAAAATAATCGGATTAATACATTATTTTTATTTAAAATTAAAATACAATAAGCATACATTATAATATATACAAATTTAAGTTTTAAAATTTGAGGATTTAGAAGGAATTTGAGAATCTATATAATCATTATGAATGTAAATTTTTATTTAAATTAAATGGAAATACCAATGAGATTATTTCTGGACAAACCATTAATTACTGTAATCATCAGTATTTTTAGAAATGTGCAAACTTTTTACAAATTAAATTTTGAAAGAGTTTTACCTTCATGTGATTTTTCAAAGGATCCAAAAGATTGAAATGAATGTTGCACTTTGGACAAGCTCTTGGAAAAGGTGTTCCATTTTTAGACTGATTTGATGAGGTATTTGTACCTAAAATAAATTCAGAACATTTATGACTCAAAATTCATCACTTTTTAACCTTAAATAACCACTAATAATACTTTTAAAATTTATAGCCACTTCAAAAATGTATGTATAAATACTATAACTTCTTTTTATGTACCACATTTCATATTTACCTTTTGCTAGCATAGCCTGGGAAGAAGTCACTGAAGGAGATTTAACTGAAGGTAATACAGCTGAGGAATTTGCTCCAGAAACACTTTCGCTGGGTTTAGGCTTCTTTGGATTAACATTATTTACTTCAGAAGTAGAAGGACGTTTTGATAAAAATGAACTTTCACTCATACCTACAATAATTTAAATAGTGAGAAAAATATTTTTTAAAATTAGAATATTATTTACATCTGAGTAAAAATATTTTGGAGCTAAATTAAAGGTAATATAATTGAATTATCATATCATGACAATAATGATAAAACTTGATATGATCCAAACTCAAGGGTGTAAAGAAATTGCACATATATTTATCATGGACTACATACATTTAAATAATTAAAAAAATAATCCCTCTATGAAAGAAAATTCTAAATATGGCTTCAAATAAAGAAATATATAAATAGCTATCACAAAGGGAGCCAGACCAATATTCCAAGCCAAAAAAAAAAGTATACTATGAATAAGTTCTGACAAATGAATTATCTTTAGATGCTTAAGTGCATTGAGTACACTAGAGTTTGTAAAAAAACAACAATTACCTGTTTCAAAAATTTAGAGATACTCTTAAGATGCTTTTTTCAATTTAACAACTTAAAATGTCTAATGGAAATTTAGTTCTTTCCTACCTAACAAACTGAAGAGTAGGTAAGAGCGGTCTACTCATGGCTTTGAGTGGTATTACCCATTCATCGCTACGCAGAAAGTGGAAATAACTAATCTTGAATGATAACACTTCATTCATTTATATGAAAGGACACATAGGCCAGGCACGGTGGCTCACGCCTGTAATCCCAGCACTTTGGGAGGCTGAGGCAGACAGATCACGAGGTCAGGAGATAGAGACCAGCCTGGCAAACATGGTGAAACCCCATCTCTACTAAAAATACAAAAAATTAGCCTGGCGTGGTGACGGGCACCTGTAGTCCCAGCTACTCGGGAGGCTGAGGCAGGAGAATGGCATGAACCTGGGAGGCGGTGCTTGCAGTGAGCCGAGATCGCGCCACTGCACTCCAGCCTGGGCAACAGAGCAAGACTCTGTCTCAAAAAAAATAAAAAAACAAAGGACACATAATGGAAGTAGTGAGTATAATGATTTTCACACATAATGGAAGTAGTAAGTATAATGATTTTCACACTATGTTCCCCAGAAATTAATGGGTTTGTTTTAGAGAATATATTGAGCATGTTTAACAGAGGAACTCTTTTTTCTTTTATTTAAATTTTGCATAAAATTTTTATATAAGGATTTCATTCCTAAAAATACTTTCCCATTTGAAAACCATTTTGTTAAGGCTGAAGGATTTTAGTTTTATTTAATGCATTCTCAAGAGAAATGAGGATATCCAGGCTATAAAAAGGCTCGGAAAAGTTTTTTTTTGAAAATAACATACAACTGTACTTTGTAAAAGAGATTCTAAATCTGTACATCATATTTTAATCCTCACAATTGTACATTAAAAGTAGAAATGGTACGGTAACTATATTAGAAGTATTCCAGGTTTTAAAGTCAGATAAGTTCAAATCCACACCTTGTCACTCTCTAGTTATGTTAATGTTACTCTCTAGTTATGTTAACTAGTTAACTTGTCACTCTCTAGTTATGTTAACTTGTCACTCTCTAGTCTAGTTATGTTAGCTTAATTTCTCTAAGCCTCAGTTTGCTTTTTTATAAAATAAGTTACAAGTTTACAGAGCTGCTTTAAGGACCAAATAAGATAATGTACTTAAGGCACCCAACAAAACATTTGGTACACAGAAAGCACTCAGTAATAAATTACAGATATTATCATTACTAACAAAATATTTTATATTTAACTTACCTCAGAGGGGAAAAATATAATAATAGATTAACCTGTCAGCTTTTTAATAAGGGCAAACATTACAGCAAAATAAGAGTATTATACTACTTGGCTTCTCTCTTTCATCCTTTTCAGATAACATAAAAATGATTTTTTTCCATCTTCAAAATACTCGATTACTGATAGATATACTGTAGGTACATTGGAAAAATTCTGTATAATCACATTCACATTCTTGTGAGATGTTTAAGTTACCTGAAAAACCAATGAATGCTGGAATTCTGAATTAAGCATCTGATTATATAGGAGGCTGGACAGTAGAAACAGACTGCTTTAAGAATTTTTAAAACAAGAAATCTCAAGATTAAATAAAATCACTCTGTATTTGTTTTAAATTTTGATGCTTTAACTTATTTCTCTGCTGTGTTTGGCTTGTGTTGCTCCCTACCCTCAACAGCTCTCTCTCTGCTGGTAAAAATCCTATTCTCATTCAAGATTTAGCTCAAATCCAGTTTTCTCCAAACCCCCATAATCTCCCTAGATGGTAGTGTGTTAATCATGTTACTGAACATGTGGCACATATCATTCATAATTATCATTCAGAATAACTGTATTGTCAAGTCTTTTAAAGCTTATAATGTATTCTCACATTTCACTTGGATTTGGACATAAAAAATCCCTAAGTAGAGCAAGAATTAAAGTTACATGTCCAAATGAATGGTTCCAGATGTGAAGAATGAATGCATTCTACAAAAAAAATTAAAATCTCCCTTTTAACAATATGAGAAAACCAAAGTGGTTAGGTAACTTAATAGAGACTACAAAAATCTTAAGAATAGAGGATCAAATCATCCCACTTACTGCTCAGGCTAAAGTCCCACTCACTGAAGTAGAACACTTATACAGAAAGAATAGGAGTCATTATTTCTCTTTATTCCCAAGAAGTTTCAAGAATTTAGACTTTTTCTATGAATAAATCTACATGCTTTATGAAACCAGACTTAAGACAACTATTTTTTTCTCCCTGTTTCTTTTGGTTCTTACCTATTTCACAAACCAGATTGTTACTAAATACGTAAGTGACACCCAGAGAGGTGAATATCAAATCAAGTATTAAAAAATTGGAAAAACAGTTTAAGTTTATAATAAAAGTATTACTATTAAAAAAAAACTGGGAGAGGGTTTGGTAAATTCTCCGCACTGATTTGCTAGTAAATCTAAAAATTCCAAAAAATCATGTATACGTCTGTTTAGTCAAATATTTGAATAGATACAAATTGCTAAGATACAAAGAGTAACTGCCTTGATTACAGGGAATTTTCAATTAGATAAAATTATTTTATAGTACACTAATTTATTTTAGATTAATGAAGAACTTTGTTACAGTATACAATCAAAGAACTTTAAATGTTCCTCAACAGGGAAAGTTCACTAATCCTTCAATGTACATTTCATGAGTACTTACTATGTACAAATCACTATTTATTTATTGTTGGGAGTTTATAATAGCACTTTATAATCATATTGAACTATCACGCTGAAACAATTAGAATAGAAAGACATTAAACTAATTAAGAAATCAACTATAGCCATATATTTTTCACACTAGTGTCCATAGAAACTAATTAATACTTTTTTAAACAGAGTATTCAGGCTACCTGAGAAGTTCTCTAACTCACAGAAATTATTTTAATATTTCTCAGCTATGGTTAGCTCCAAGTGAGAATTAGTTCAAAGTTGGTTAGCTTACTTAATAGGAAGAAATAAAATATTCTGTCATTAAATAGGATTTTACAGAAAATTACCCACATAAGGTATTCAAGTACTAGTGACGTTCCACCTTACAATATATGAAAAACTTCACACAAGGGTAGGGACTTCAAAACAGAAAGTCAATCTCATATGCATATTCATCAAGTTTCTTTCTATAACCTTTATGAAAAAAATACTAAAACCAACCTGCCATAGAAAGTGTTGGTCCCCCTTGGTAATGTGATAATCCTGTATCCTGGGTCAAGTCAAACAGTAACTCTGATGACTTATTAGACACAACTCGTGATGAGTTTGTTATATAACCCTGTTAAATAGTTCAAAGGAAAAATAATACATTTATTCAACAGTTATAATTATTTCAATATAATTATATATTATGTAATTTTATATAATTATATAAGAATTTTATTTCATAGACATTTATAAAAGTAAATTGTATGCCCAATATTCTAAGGAAACCCTTTGATAACTCAATTATTAATAAGTTAAAAACACAAAGATAATTGCTACTTTGCCAAAATTATCATCTACTGAAACTGAAAGCAAGCTATTACTTAGAGCTGGTTTACTGCTGACTAGAAAACTAAAATGGGGGGCATATTCTTAGTTCAACTTCTTCAAGGTAAAAGAAACATAAATCAACTTATATATCAGTAAGATTGATACACTTTAGATGACTTCTAAAGATTCAGTATCCCCATTAAAGGACAAAAAATAGAACTTAGCAAAATCTTTGGGCAAAAGCAAGGAGAAAAAAAAAACCATATTTACATGACCAAAAAAATTAAAAGCTTCTATGCTTCTAAAAACCTCACATCTGAGATATCAGGGCAAACAAACGGAATCAATCTGCAGTATTGTGCATCAGTGTTAAGGATGAATATATCACATAATGTGAATTTTGAAATCATCTTTATTGGAGAAATGTATAAGCTATGTGTCAGAAAGAGAAAAAATGGGCCCCACACACTTTCCATCATCCCATAGAAAGCCACGCTAGGCCAGGAATCTTCTGTCTTATCAGGCAAATATGAAAGCAAACCGGTCAGTAGAGTGAACAAATAAGAATGCCAGGCAGACAGGGTTTAGAACAGAAGTTGTTTATGGGAATAATTGGGGCCAGCTGTCCTGCTCCTGGAGGCCTCGGGACTCAAAGGAAGTTTTAGCCCTTCCATCAGGAGAAAGGGTGGTCCAAACTAAAAGGAAGATCTTAAGAAGAGAGGAGTGAAAAGTATGAGATGAATGATAATGGGCTCAAGTATAAAGCAGTATAAAGTTATATATGAGCATACATACATGGTGTACATAATTATGAAAAATATGGTCAATATAATTTAGGGACATACACTCCGATATTATTATACATTAAATATAATGACACATACACACACACACACACACACACACACACACACACACACACACACAAGTATACTCCAATACCATTAATACTTCTAAAAGATACTCATTGTGGACGGTAAGCTCTCAGAGTGACTTTTGGACCATTCTACATGTCATAATACATAACAAGCGGATTAACAATGATTAAAAATTAAAGGAAAAAAGG
This sequence comes from Homo sapiens, assembly GCF_000001405.40. Lineage (NCBI taxonomy): Eukaryota > Metazoa > Chordata > Mammalia > Primates > Hominidae > Homo > Homo sapiens. The sequence continues at coordinate 56,694,479 of NC_000015.10, forward strand.
CTATCACTTTAGGAAAAATATGGGCAAAGGACATAAACTGAGAGAATTCAGAAGTCAAATACTAATGAACAACATATACGAAATACCTTTTTTCCAAATTACCAGCCAAAGAAATGCAAATAAAAACAACAGCAACATTTAACTAATGAATTGGCATGTTACCATAATATCTACTACAAAATAAATTAATTAGCCACTACTCTTAAAAGTGTCAAGTTCATGGAAGACAAAGAAAGAATGAATAACTAGAAAATACGAGGAAATTAAAAAGAAGTAACTGCAAGTATCCTGAATAGGATACTGGGCAGGAAAAAGAACATTAATGGGAAAACTGATGAAATTCCAGTAAAGTCTATAGTTGGGTTAATGTTAATTACCCAGTTGTGATAAGATGTTAAAATAAAGGGAAACTGGGTAAGGGGTATATGGGAACTGTTTGTACTATTTTTTCTGTGTCTAATATTAGTTTGAGTTAAAAAGCAATGATAACATTCATTATTGGCAAAGTAGAGCTTATATTTTAGTATAATTTTTCTGCATAAAAGCTTTGGCAGTAGCTACTGAAGGCTTTAAAAGGTTCACTTCCTTTGTGTGTGTGTGTGTGTGTGTGTGAAATGGAGTTTCACTTTTGTTGCCCAGGCTGGAGTGTGATGGCCTGATCTCCGCTCACTGCAACCTCTGCCTCCTGGGTTCAACTGACTCTCCTGTCTCAGCCTCCTGAGTAGCTGGGACTACAGGCTCATGCCACCACACCCAGGTAATTTTCATATTTTTAGTAGAGACAGGGTTTCATCAGATTGGTCAGGCTGGTCTTGAACTTCTGACCTCAGGTGATCCACCTGCCTTGGCCTCCCAAAGTGCTGGGATTACAGGGGTAAGCCACTATGCCCAGCCGGTTCACCCCCTTTTATCTAATTATTCCATTTTTAAGAATTTATGGTAATGAAATAAAAATGTTTAAGGGAAAATTAGTTATAACAGAAAAACAATTATAACCTGTATGTCTAACAATGGAGAAATGATTAAACTGATAAAACTATTGTGCAAAAATTAACTTTTTTTTTTTTTTTGAGACGGAGTCTCACTCTGTCACCAGGCTGGAGTGCAGTGGTGTGATCTTGGCTCACTGCAACCTCCACCTCCTGGGTTCAAGCAATTCTCCTGCCTCAGCCTCCCGAGTAGCCGGGACTACAGGTGCACACCACCATGCCCAGCTAATTTTCGTATTTTTAATAGAGACAGGGTTTTACCATGTTGGCCAGGATGGTCTACATCTCTTGACCTTGTGATCTGCCCACTTTAGCCTCCCAAAGTGCTGGGATTACAGGTGTGAGGCACTGCACCCGGCCAAATTAACATTTTTTTAGGAAATGTTCCAAGTAGAATGTTCAGTGAAAAAAGAGAAATATGTATTTGCAAATACTATAGGGTCCTGATACACTCTTCTCACTTTTCTAAACTCTGTCCCCAAATACATATTACTTCATAAGAGAAACATAAAAGTTTTATTATTATAAATTAAGGAATATTCAAGTTTTAAGAATTTTGCTTTATTACTAACTTTTCTATTGACATGGGTTTGTTAAGAAGTTACGGAAACAAGCTATTGATGTAACTCAAACTAATCCTAGAATTTGAGGCCTAGTAGGCAGATGTAGGTATTTGGGCCTCAACATGTAGTATTTTCTTTTTATCATGCCCTATGATTTAACAGTAATAAAACATAATCTTACTTCAAAGTAAACATTTTCTCCAAATATTTGTGAAAAAATGGAAAAGTTACTTCTGAGTTTCAAGTTACTCACCTTTCAAACTGAAATAATAATCACAATTGTTTGTTTTAAACGTACTTGCTCTTCATGGTACACGTATCATATCATGCAGCTATCACAACAATACTAATAAGGACCTAATATTATTCCTCATTTTATAAATAGGTAAACTAAGGTTAGGTGGGGTCGAGTAAGGCTCCCAGTACAGCCCCACTTGTTGCTGATGGAGCTGGAAATAGAATCCAGGTCTGACTGATTACAAAGCCCATGCACTTAAGCTATATCACATTGACTTTCTGGGTCATAATAATATATCCCATCCCTGCCAACCTGAAAGCGATGTTGAGATACCACATTCCATGAAAAAGTAAAAACACACACACAAAATATGACATAAAATAAAAAACTACTATAGTTTATTAAAATGACTTCCAAAATTCAGAGAAAAGTCACTTAAACAGGATTCTCAATTCATTCCAGAATACTCCTCTGTCATTCTTAACTTTGACTGCACAGTAGAATCACACTTGAAGAGTTTTTAAGCAGCTATCATTTCTGGGTTCCACCCAGACCAACTGGCAAAACCTCTCATTTTTTAAAAGAACCCAAGTACTGGGAACCATCAGCTGAGGTGCTTTGATTTAAAAACTATGCCCAAAACATTCTGAGTCAGAAAGGAATCTAATTCCTAACTCTTATAACACCAAACGTACAAACTCTTGCTTTTATTTTTTTTCCCCATCCTCGGTCAAACGTTGGAAAGATTTTTACCTAACGAACTATTAAATAATGTTTTGTTTTTCTATTTTTTTCCCTCAAATGCCAAACAGCTTATAATAAGCATAAAAGAAACCACTAAGTTAATTTGATTCCAACTAATAGCAAAGAATTTTTACATTCTGGGTACCTTTCCCGCTATACCTTCAGGAACACCTATTACTTTTTTTTTTTTGAGATGGAGTCTCACTCTGTCACCCAGGCTGGAGTGCAGTGGCAGGATCTTAGCTCACTGCAACCTCCGCCTCCCAGGTTCAAGTGATTCTCCTGCCTCAGCCTCCCAAGTAGCTGGGATTACAGGCGCCCACCACCATGCCCAGCTAACTTTTTTATTTTTAGTAGAGACAGGGTTTTGCCCTGTTGGCCAGGCTGGTCTCAAACTCCTGACCTCAGGTGATCCACTCGCCTCGGCCTCCCAAAGTGCTGGGACTACAGGCGTGAGCCACCACGCCCAGCCACCTGTTACATTTTTTAAAACATTAGAAATAGCCTGTAGAACCTTAGATGATTGAAGATAGAGACTCAGCAGTCTCCCTTATTGTTCTTATTATTTAAACAATATACATTTTTAGGAAAATGTACTACTATTTTTCTGAGACAGTGGTGCCCTAACTCTTTGGCTTCAGAATCATCTTATGCACTTAAAAATTGTTGAACCCAAAAAGACTTTTTGTTCACATTGGTTATATCTATCAATATTTTCCATATTAGAAATTAAAACAGAGAATATTTTATAATATTTATTTATTCATTTTAAAATAACAAACTCATTACAAATTAACATAAATAACATTTTAATGAAAAATGACTTGCAAACGCAAAAAAAACTAGTGAAAAGTGGCATTGTTTCACATCTTTGCAAAGCTCTTAAATATCTAGCTTAATCAAAAATTGTTTTAGTCTCTTATCTGCTTCTGCCTTCAGTCTACTATGACATGTTGTTTTGGTTGAGGAGTATTATTAAATTCTGCCTCACAGGAATATATAACTGGAAAAGGGAGTGTTTTAATAGGGTTTTAATTAACTGTGGATATACTACTTTGATACTATACCAAAACTGAACAGTTGGTACTTTCTTAAAGGTTTGTTGCAGTGTGAAATCTGAAACCGTATCCCAGAACACCCGTTCCATTAAAATCATTGGTCTATCTTAGCTTTTAAATGTATGTTTTACCCATGCATACTTTTGTAGTATATATACTAGTTATGTGGAAAATACTAGTTTCACTGAATTACACAGGTCTTCCAAATGGTGACATAGTTCATTACACAATATTTTAAAAATCATTATTTATGAACACCACCACCCATCAGAAAACTCTTATTCAAAAGCTGCCAAGATCACGGTGGCAAATGAGTTTTCCAAAATTCTAATTTTTGCTTAAAAGTTCAAATTTTACCATTGGTAAGAAATATTACTATCAATTATTTTTGCTGAAGTGACAGATTTGAGGAAATGTTTGCCAAACAATCAAGATTGACTAAGCGTGTGTGGCAGACAGACTCTAAAGTGGCCTCCATGTAAATGTCATTACCCATAATCCCCAGGTCCTGGTATTCAGGTCCTGTGTAATTCCCTCCCATTGAGTGTGGGCAGGACCTCTGACTTGCTTTTAACCAATAGAACACAACAAAGGTGACAGGATATATATGATTTTTGTGTACGTGATTATGTTACCTAAGACTGTAAGGGCATCTTGCTAAGGACTCACTCTCACCTGCTAGCTTTGAGGAAGCAAGCAGCCTTATTGGGAAGACCTACGTGGCAAGGAGCCAGCCAAAAGCCAACAAGATACAGAGATTCTCAGTCCAACATCCCTTAAGGAACTGAATGCTACCAACAACCATGTGAACTTGGAAGCAAATACTTCCCCAACAGAATTTCAGATGAAACTGCAACTTCAGGCACCACATCTTGAATGCAGCCTTGTGAGATCCTTAAGCAGAAAACCCACCTAAGCCATGACCTGATTCCTGACCCACAGAAATTGTGAGATCATGAGATAAAGAGTGTATGTTGTTTTAAGCTGTGTAAGTTTGTGGTAATATTGATACACAGAAATAAATATCATTTCAAATGCTGGCAAAATCTTATTTAAACTATTAATTTATAAAATAAATCTATCCTTCAAATATCGTACAAAAGTAACATTTACTTCAGGCCAACACAAATAAATAAATAACAAATATCTAAATAGTGATATGTAAAATAACAAGGCTGTGGGCTCTCCTATAGTTATTTAATAGAAATGAGATTGGAAACAATGTATGTATATCATACAGGAAAGAAGCAAATATAGCTCACACCTCTCACTCAATCAAAATCACTAAATTCTTTAATAACTAACTTTATTATTCCTAAAATATAAATAAAAAATAATGCACATTTTTCAGCATCACTATACACATGTTCATTTTTTGGTTTTAGATATTAATCTATACCCAGTTCAAACTGTGGAAACTGAACTAACATGACTGAAATAAAATAGTGTTATATTTTGTTCTTTAGACTCTTTTTTCCCTTCCTGAGATTTTGATATGTACTTGGAGAGTTTTGAGTCAATATTTATTTGATTTGTTTTCTTTTCTGGAGTGATATTGTAAATACTTTAAAGATTTGTCACTCATTCTTTCATGTAACAACAAAAAAAAATCAGGTAGTTTACCTCACAATTCAATCACACAAGTGCTTTTCCTCAAGACAACTATCATACTTCAGACACAGAGGTACTTTATGCACACTACCCATGTCATCACACAGAATATTTTAAAAAACACACATTCAAGTGTAGAGAGTTAATAAAACTAATAACATTTTAATACTTCATCAGGGATTGGGTATAACTGGGTAATACTCAGTTGAGTAATGTAGTTTACTGTGAGTGCACGGCAGGTGACTAATACAGAAACTACAAGTACACTTTGGTGGCACTACCTTGATTCACACTAAGGCACCAGCAGCTTATCCACCATTACTTTAGCATCACCAGTGCAAATGCCAACACAGTGGAAAAGGAAAACAGTCTTTGATTATAATGACAACACTGTTGACCCTCAAACCTCTGAAAGGGTCTTGGGGAACCCCAGGGGATTGCAAACTACAATCTGAGAACTGTTCAACTAAGGCAATTCTTTCATGTCTAAAAAAGTGTACATTTATACACAACATATATGTATGTATGTGTGCATATACATATAAACTATGGGTTAGGCTGGATTGAAATCCCAGATCCATCAACTGCCAGCTTTGGGATCTTGAATAAATCTTTCAACCTCTATGAGCCTCAGTTTCCTCAACTAAAAAATGAGGATAATAATAGTGTTTACTTCATGGGGATGTTTAAGAACTAAATGAAATGAATTTACCTATAGCATTTAGCACAAACACTTATACATATTAACAGCTCAATGAATGTTAACTATTACCATTTTCTATTACTTTTTGTAACAAAAAAAGTGGGAGTTTTTTGTAATAGGAAAAAATGTTTGTTTTTTTTTAACTAACTGAACTATGAAGGAATGTTTTCAGAATAAAAAGCTATGATGGTCACTTGACTGTTTTCCCAATTAAGAATACCTGGTCCCGTCTGCAATCTTAAATATTTGTCATTATGCAATATTTATGGCTGACTATAATTTTATTCACATTTTGATAGTATAGTTTTCATTACTGTACCTATTTAGGCATACTGCCTGTTATTAACAGGTTGGGTAGTTAGCTCCTTCAGTTATTACTTGGGGTACTGCTTGAGCTAGCGAAAATATGGTGACATTTTCTGATGCTAACTATGCTTCTACTGGATGACTACTTATGACAGTCCAGAATTGTAACTGGGTACTGTTGATATTGATAAACAACATCCAATGGATCCCTGAGCTGGCCGTATAGTTTTAGAAACACTTACAGGTTTAGAAAAAGGCTGAACAATAACAGAACTATCTGAAGATCTAGACTCAGGATGAAAATTTATTGGTGAGGCAGGCACTGGATTTGATGTTGGATTCGTGTAGTGTTGACTTGTAGGCTTGAATGCAGCAGTAATACCTGTATTTTAAAGTAACACAATATATGGAAATTATTTGTACATAATCAATTTTGTCAAAATACTTCACTTTAAAATTAAAATAGTATAATAATACTGTACCTCGACTGAGTGCACCATTCTTTAGTCCCCTTGAATATGAGCTGGGGTTAACTCTGTTCAAAATATCTATAAAAGATTATATTTATTTTAAAATACATTGTTTGAATGAAATACATATTAAGATAATAGAAATCATGAATTGAAAACATTTAAACAGATTTATGGAAGGAGTATATAACTAATCACTGATTTAAGAATATAGTTCATTTTAAACACATACATCTTTACCTACTAAAGAAACAAAAGAAACAAGATAACTAGGTTTTGTTTTACAGACTAAGAACAATCTTTCTCATTGTAACTCAAAATCCAAAATTCAGAAGGAAATGACAAATCTGACTACAGGTGAGTCAAAACATTGTGCTTGCAAAGAAACATCACATACTTGATAAAAATTTTCCAAAAACATATTTATATATAACCTATAATTTAAATGTATATCTTTCTTTGCATGATGACAGGGCTGTTACATACAGTCAGGTTCCTATGATTCAAAATCAAATCCTTGCCCAACCTCTACACTGCATTCACTCGTCTAAAAGCCTTGAAGTTGCATTACAGAAAATCTCATCGGATTATCTACTATTAGTTTTGAGTTAAAAAAGAAAAACTATCAGAGATTGCAGACTAAAGTGAACCAATAGTTCATCATAGCATTTTATTAGTTAAGAGGTTTCAAATTTACCACTACACCAGAAGTCAATCTGAGCCTGCCATGACTTTGAGGATCAATTTAAAGTTCCTCATTCTTGCATGCATGTAAACTCTGTAACTTCTAGCTTATCAAATTATAGTTTGGAAGCATGAGGATTTGCCTAAAATTGCTGGTTAGAAAAAGGTAAAAAGCACCCAAAAAAAAAAAAAAAAACCACCCACCAAATCTCATAAAAATTTCTTTTATCTTCCTCACAGTAGAAAGAAACCAGATCCCATTAAGTAATTCTATAAAATAATGGTTCACACAGAAATATGGTTGTTTTCTGATAAGGTCAATGCAGTGCTCTGTAATTAAACACTACAGAAGTCTTATTAGAGAAAGATCTACTCAAAGAACTTGAAACTGTTTTCATTCAGAAATTCAGGATTAAATATTTACTCAAACCATGAAAGAGCTATTGCTGTAGTACTATTTAGTGGGTGTAGTCTATGGATCACAAGTTTTTGCCCTCCTTTCTTGCAGTTTTATATAAACATTTAACTCATGTTCCATATGTTAACATATTTTATGGCTTACAAATAAAACAACAATAAAACCATTTAAATTATTCACCTTAACACTGTAGAAAAGAAATTCTGTTGGGGTTAATCCCCTTCTTGATGGAATTATTTTAAAACTAATGTACAGTGTTCTACCCGAATACCATGAAGAGTCATCTACAATCAGTATAAATTCACCTTGAATCTTAACTGTCATGTTTTCAATAAGAGTTTGAATTTTGCAATATAATATTTCAGTATAAAACAATAACCAATAGAATATTATGTCCCACTATCACCGACGATGCCATCATGCCTAATTCATTTTATAATCCAAGTGGCACTCCACTTAGCATTCCATGAGAGATGACCAATGTGCCCCAGGAAACAGTATTGAAAATTCGATTGGTGAAATTACTCTCTCTCTGATAAAACTGAATAAAGGTGCCAATCCAAGTTTAGAGGTAAGTGAAGCAAGAACTAGGCTTTCAAAAAATTTTGGTCTCTTAATCACACTTTTAAGCACTACCATGGTAAGTAAACACACACACACACACACACACACACACACACACACACACACACACACACGCTGGTAAACTGGGTACATAAAATTCTTTGGTAAATTCTCCTGGCTTCAAACAAACAAGTAAATGAAATGGAAAAGGATCTATTTTCTCTTTCTCCCTGAAATTTGTACATTGTTTCTCTGCACTGTCATACATTTTTGAGTGGACATTTTAACAAATGTCATCAGTATCTGCACGTTAATATTATAACAATGTCAAGCCCAATTCTCTAATTCAAAGCTAATAAGCCACAAAGGTACCAAGTTGTTCTGCCCAAAAGCCTTAAGGATTTAAATGTACTAAATGCTACATCATCCAAGTACAGTGGCTGTAGACAGCGCCATTCTCTTTCATGAATATAAAAAGGAGTTGCTGGAAGACGGATATGGTCAGAAGCTGCAGCTTCTATTGGTACACAGGCCAGAGTCTGTGCAATCATTCACCACCTATACATTTTGTAGCCACGTATAGATGACATTGCAGTGAGGACTGGATGTGAGAAGTCCCGTTTGAGACTAACAAAAACTCACTTAGTATATTCTGAAATTTTAAGCAAAGCATTCCAAATGTTTTATTTTCTCTTCTGGGTTGGAGAAAAATGAAAAAGAATAAACAGATAAATATGTTACTTAAGGCTAGGTGCAGTGACTCACACCTGTAATTTTAGCACTTGGGGAGTCCAAGGCAGGTGGATCATTTGAGCTCAGGAGTTCGAGAGCAGCCTGGGCAGCATGGTGAGACCCTGTCTCTACAAAAAATACAAAAATTAGCCAGGCATGGTAACACATGCCTGTAGTGCCAGCTACTTGGGAAGCTGAGGTGGGAGGATCGCTTGAGCCAAGGAGGTTGAGGCTACAGTGAGCTGTGACTGCATCACTGCACTCCAGACTAGCGACAGAGTGAGACCCTGTCTCAAAATAAATAAATAAATAAATAATTACTTAACTCCATTAAAAATTATGATTTCTAATCTCAGAAGACCTCCAGGGTCACCAGCTAATCTCAGTCCATTTCTCTTTTCTGACATCTGATATTTAATCTCTTACCTCCTTCCTCAAGTCCCCAATCATGTTCCTCTTTACAGTGGAACATGAACATCAACTACCTATTAAACAGTTCACAAGTTTTTCTACTAGAAATAATACCTTATAAAGCTTGGTTTCACTAAAAGTAAATGCTTACTTGAAATTGCTGGTTTTGAACTTGATATCTCGCCAACAAAGATTGGCTCATCATCATCGTCATCCTCAACTTCTTTTACTTTCTTCTGCCATGGTTCCAGCTCCTCTTCTTCACATTCCATAAACAGTTCTGCCATTTTTGAATTACCTAATTTTCAAAAGGAGAGAAGTAAACCTCATTTTTGAAAATAAAAATAAAAACATTTTTGTAATACATAGCATTAATTTTAAGGTGTACTTTAATAATCTTAATAGCAATTTCTGAATTGATATTTGTAGTCAGTATGTGGTAACAACAGTGAGAAATACAGAGCTTACTATCTAAAATATTAAATAGTAAAATTTAGATAAACAGATAATCAATGACAGTAGTTATTTACCGTAGACAGAAAATTTGGAAGTCAAATTCAGTGAAAGTGAGTTTTAGTCGTATACATAGAATATGATTATCTCTACAAAAAGGATTATACCCACTGTCTTTTTAAAAATGTATTCACAAAAGGCAGATAAACTAAGAATAATAGGCAACAGGTGGGAGATAAACTGGATAAACTAAACCAGATTCAAGAATGCCAGGCAGGATGGGAGCAGTGGCTCACACTTGTAATCCCAGCACTTTGGGAAGCCGAGACAGACAGATTGCTTGAGGTCAGGAGTTTGAGACCAGCCTGGCCAACATGGTGAAACCCCATCTCTATTAAAAATAGAAAAAAATTAGCCGGGCATGGTGGCCCACATCTGTAATCCCAGCTCCTTGGGAGGCTGAGTCAGGAGAATCGCTTGAATCTAGGAGGTGGAGGTTGCAGTGAGCTGAGATCATGCCACTGCATTCCAGCCAGGGGTGACAGATTGAGAGTATGTCTTTAAAAAAAAAAATGCCAGGCACAGAACACAGCAGGGAAGAGATGCTAGAATAGAATATGGAAAACTAATTAGGCTTATTCAATTAAAGGCAAAGTAGATATTTCTCACAGGAAGAATGTCACAAATCATTTCCCACTCTAATGTTATAGTATAGTCCATCTACCAAAAAAAAGGCCTTCCCATTTTCCTAAATGCCATCAATATCATGAAACTTTTTTCTCTAAACTGTACTATTTTACTAATTATACAGAGTTCTTCAAATCTAATAATTAAAAATACTAATTTTCATTGACAAGTCATAACTTAGCATTTGTGTTTTTTAAATACTTGAAATACCAGCCTTATTGTGTGTCTCAGAGCGATTATTTATACCACGTCTTCTACCTAGAATATCTTTCCTTCTCAGTTTTACAATCTATGTCACTCCAGTCTGGAGCAAAGAGAGCAGAGAGCTGACATCAAGTTGAATAATTCAAATCTTTCCTCCACTGTTTCTAATCATATGACTCTAGAGAAGTTACTTGAACCTATTTTCCTCATCTATAACACAAGTATGATATCTACCTAATACAAGTATTACATAGATTCAAGAAAATGCCACATAAAGCACCTAAAATCAAGTGGATACTCAACAAAATATTAATTCCCTGGCCCTCCTAACTCTTGGTTCAATTATAATTCCTCTTGTAAACCATTAGATTTTACTTTCCTTCAAAATCTGAACTACACTGATAATCAATATCATGCAATTCAAGATTTAACATATACGATCTCAAACTGCTATTTTTTCATGTGTCTTAATTTTATATGTCTAACGTCATATAGGAATACATTTCCCCCTATACATTAGAGGGGCAGTAGGCACATGGCATATAATAATCTATGGACTAGGCGAAGTCAGAAAATGCATAATTTTAAACAATCAGGGAGACTCGTTGTATAGTAATAACAAAAGTATTATTTATATCCAGTTGGTATAGGTATAGGCTGAACTGTGTTTTCTCAAAATTCATATGTTTAAGACCTAACCCTCACCACCATAGAATGTGACTATATTTAGAGATTGGGTCCTCAGAAGTAACTAAATTAAAATAAGGTTAGTAGGGTGGGCCCTAATCTAGTATGACTGGTGTCCTTAATAGAAGAGGAGATTAGGACACAGACACAAGCAGAAAAGGAGATCACAGGAAGATGTAAGGAGAAGATGGAGGACAGGCACAGTGGCTCACACCTATAATCACAACACTTTGGGAGGCTGAGGCAGGCGGATCACCTGAGGTCAGTAGTTCGATACCAGCCTGGCCAACATGGTGAAACCCAGTCTCTACTAAAAATAGAAAAAAAATTAGCCAGGCGTGGTGGCGAGTAACTGTAGTCCCAGCTACTCAGGAGGCTGAGGCGGGAGAATCACTTGAGCCCAGGAAGAGGAGGTTGCAATGAGCCGAGGTCATGCCACTGCACTCCAGCCTGGGTGACAGAGTGAGAATCTGTCTCAAAACAAACTAACAAACAAACAAAAAACGAGAAGATGGCCATCTACAAGTCAAGAAGAGAGGCCTCAAACCCTTCCCATATGGCCCCCAGAAGAAATCAATCCTAACGACACCTTCATCTTGGACTTCTAGCCTCAAGAATTATGAGAAAAATGTCCATTGTGTAAGCCACCCAATCTGTGGTACTTTGTTATGGCAGCCCTAGCAAACTCATATAGTATACAAAGGTCTTCCTTGTTCTTTTTAACAGGGCACTGTCATTGTTAATATACCCAGGACATATTTTTGAGAAAAAAAAAATTTAAGACATAATAGCTTTATAATTTTTTTAGAAATAATTTAATTTTTGTCTATGTACAGAAGAAACATGTATGATTATATGTACCAAATTGGTAAAAGTAGTTTCTTCTGATAATGGGGGAAAACACTTCTATTTTACTCACTTTTTTATTTATATTACTTGTTTTTATGTGAACATTTGTTACTTTAACAATTTTAAGCATTTTTGTTTTTTAAAAAATGTCTCCCAACTTTCATCCTTTCTCCTGAGGTAAAGTGATACAAAAGCCACATATATTAGTATTAGTTGTGGCAGCAACACTTACTTTTTGGTTGAAAAGGGTTGTCGCCCATCAAGCTGCAGAGATGACTTTCTGTAAATTGTCACCTAAGTACTGACACATGATATCAGTCAATTTAATGAGTCACTTTAAGTAACACCAAATATTGAAACATGAAACTTGGGATTCACAAATTATTGGATGTAAGGTTAACCTCTAAACTCACCATGTGACTCCAGACAAGCCAGCAAGTTATTTCTGTTTTCCTTCCTATAAAATAAAGATACCAACTATTAGGGTGGACTTCATTAAATTAGATGTATACATATTTAATCTTTTCTCCTATACAGAGGTCAATTATGTTTGATATATCTGATATACACATATAGTTCATTTTACATAATTGGTTCATTCCTGAATAAACCCAAATTTAATAAATAAATGGTGATTATACTTGGCACTTAATACTCGAAGAAATGTGATGATTTGTAAATTACAAATAATTTTTTAAAGTATTTAGTAAAAACGAGTAAACACCTTACAATGTACTGGTTTTGGAAATCTAACTTTTCAAACGCTGAGTGACATTAATCTTTAACGTTATCTTTTCTTTGTATTTCAGAAATACATGTAATTATTTCTGCAAGAAAACACAATTTTAAACAAATTTTAGTTTATATCTTTCTGGCTTTTTATCAACCGAAAGGGAACAGAAAATTCATTGGAAATATTTCATCATAGATTAATTCATTCAAAAAATAACTACTCATGGCCTTCTGTATGGAAGGTAATGTGCTAAGCTCAGGGGAAAACAAAAATGAGTAAGTCACATTCTTAAGACTTCAGAAGTTTACAATCTAGTATGTCAATAATTTATTTGGCTTTAAAAATGCTGTTAGAATAAACATTTTTTTAAAAACTATTTGAATTGCTTTATTCAAACTGGGAATCTGTTTTTTGAATTTCCATGCACACGCAATAGCATGAATTTTACAAAATAAACAAGCTTTTATAAAACTGAGTTATAAAGCAAAAAACGTCAACAATTAAACAATGGAAATCTAAAACACTGGAATATATAACTAATTCAACCTTCACTTTCCTCTTTATCCTTAGGCTGACAAAAGCAAGCTTTCCTACTTTTCAATTTCTAAAGTATGTAAACTGAATTACTACAAAGGAAAAATTATTACTTTAATTTCAGAAGTTATTGTTATTAATTCAGTTATTCAGAGTTACTATCACATGAGACTCTAGCGAATCTTGTGCTTAACTAAATATCCCCTAGTTCTAAAGTTGTACTATTAAAAATCTTTTAACTCAATTTTTGAATAGCTGTAGCTTGTCCCACTAGCAACAGTATAATGCTTATTTCAGATAAATACGTGATAATCCTTGCTTCACATTAAGGACTTATCAATACCAGGAACACGGAATATTTTTAAGATTCACAATTACATATCCTATGGACTCATACATAATGTTTTTAAGTTATCAGGTAAGTATCTACTGGCTTCAGAATTTTCTTGGTAAAGCACAGAATTCTATGAAAGATACCTGACTTCAAACTATACTACAAGGCTACAGTAACCAAAACAGCATGGTACTGGTACCAAAACAGAGATATAGGCCAATGGAACAGAACAGAGCCCTCAGAAATAATACCACATATCTATAACCATCTGATCTTTGACAAACCTGACAAAAACAAGAAATGGGGAAAGCAGTCCCTATTTAATAAATGGTGCTGGGAAAACTGGCTAGCCATATGTAGAAAGCTGAAACTGGATCCCTTCCTTACACCTTATACAAAAATTAATTCAAGATGGATTAAAGACTTAAATGTTAGACCTAAAACCATAAAAACCCTAGAAGAAAACCTAGGCAATACCATTCAGGACCTAGGCATGGGCAAGGACTTCATGTCTAAAACACCAAAAGCAACGGCAACAAAAGCCAAAATTGACAAATGGGATCTAATTAAACTAAAGAGCTTCTGCACAGCAAAAGAAACTACCATCAGAGTGAACAGGCAACCTACAGATTGGGAGAAAATTTTTGCAATCTACTCATCTGACAAAGGGCTAATATCCAGAATCTACAAAGAACTCAAACAAATTTACAAGAAAAAAACAAAGAACCTCATCAAAAAGTGGGCAAAGGATATGAACAGACACTTCTCAAAAGAAGACATTTATGCAGCCAACAGACACATGAAAAAATGCTCATCATCACTGGCTATCAGAGAAATGCAAGCGAAAACCACAATGAGATACCATCTCACACCAGTTAGAATGGCAATCATTAAAAAGTCAGGAAACAACAGATGCTAGAGAGGATGTGGAGAAATAGGAACACTTTTACACTGTTGGTGGGACTGTAAACTAGTTCAACCATTGTGGAAGACAGTGTGGCGATTCCTCAAGGATCTAGTACTAGAAATACCATTTGACCCAGCCCTTCCACTACTGGGTATATACTCAAAGGATTATAAATCATGTTGCTATAAAGACACATGCACACGTATGTTTATTGCGGCACTATTCACAATAGCAAAGACTTGGAACCAACCCAAATGTCCATCAACGATAGATTGGATTAAGAAAATGTGGCACATATACACCATGGAATACTATGCAGCCATAAAAAAGGATGAGTTCATGTCTTTGTAGGCACATGGATGAAGCTGGAATCCATCATTCTCAGCAAACTATCACAAGGACAAAAAAACAAACACTACATGTTCTCACTCATAGATGGGAATTGAACAATGAGAACACTTGGACACAGGAAGGGGAACATCACACACCGGGGCCTGTCGTTGGGTGGGGGTAGAGGGGAGGGATAGCATTAGGAGATATACCTAATGTAAATGATGAGTTAATGGGTGCAGCACACCAACATGGCACATGTATACATATGTAACAAACCTGCATGTTGTGCACATGTACCCTAGAACTTAAAGTATAATAAAATAAATAAATAAATACTAAATCTGCTGCCAGAGAATACATCCAACAAAGATGTTCAATGGAGACATCAAAGGCCTCAGCTCAGAGTTGGCTCTTTAAGACAGCCCGAAAAGGACGGGCGCGGCGGCTCACGCCTGTAATCCCAACACTTTGGGAGGCCGAGGCGGGTGGATCACCTGAGGTCAGGAGTTCGAGACCAGCCTGGCCAACACAGAGTCAAACTGTCTCTACTAAAAAGTACAAAAATTAGCTGGGCGTGGTGGCACACGCCTGTAGTCCCAGCTACTTGGGAAGCTGAGGCAGGAGAATCGCTTGAACCCAAGAGGCAGAGGGAGGTTGCAGTGAGCTGAGACTGCACCACTGTACTCCAGCCTGGGCAAGAGAGCAAGACTCTGTCTCTCGAAAAAATAAAATAAAATAGCCAGGAAAAAAAAAAAAGAGGACTCTCAACTTCAACTACTAACTCAGGTACAGATTACATGCCCATATTTAATATACTGTTTGCATGGGGGAAAAATGAATTCCAAGTAACTGACTTAAAATAAATTCCATTCATTTATGGATACTGCCCACATAAATAATTATAATTCCTATTTTATAAATTTTTGGTTTCAGTTTTTATCTAAAATTAAACTGTATCTTATTTTTTCTATAAAAAAAATTAGAAATCAATGGAAATGTGGGTCTAAGTGTTTTAACTATCTGAAATTTTCACTTTCATCCATTGATAGATATCACCCGATGTACTGCTGCCGTGTTAAATAATATTAATACTGCATGTGATCAAGTACAGAGCACATACTATGGACACAGGTGTGCTATATACTAGATATAGTCCTCTTTACTTTCTGATAAGAAAAAAATTAAGCAATTTCACAAACTACAACTGTAGTATCTGCACATTTAAAAAAAGAATATCGCACTAGAAACCAGGAGAACCAAGTCATAGTACCAGCATGGCCACAACCTTCTGCCAAGTCATCTTCAATTCTAGCTCTCAGGCTTATAGTTCAACTGAAAGATTCTGGCTTAATTCAGCTCAAAATCTATTGTATACTTTAAACATTTAGTAACCATGAAGAGTAAAACATGGTGAAGAATGAATGCCAAATTCAAATTCTGACTCAATCACTTATTACCAATATGATGTTGGACAAGTTAGTTAACCTAGTGCCTTGCTTTACTGCTTTTTATACATACATTTACCATTTACATATACATAAAAAATAAAAATAGACTTATGTCATTGGATTATAGTGAAGATTAAATGAGATAATATATGTAAAACACATCTCAGTGCCTGGCACATGGAAACCACTCAACGATGTTTAACTATTTTTAACTCTGAGATAAATCCCATTTTAAAGAACTCGAGGCCAGGCATGGTGGCTCACACCTATAATTCCAGCACTTTGGGAGGCCGAGGCAGGTGGATCACTTGAGGTCAGGAGTTCAAGAACAGCCTGGCCAACATGGTGAAACCGGGACTCTACTAAAAATAAAAAAATTAGCCGGGCATGGTGGAGCATGCCTGTAATCCAAGCTACTCGGGAGGCTGAAGAAGAATGGCTTTAACCAGGAGGCAGAGGTTGCAGTAGTGAGCTGAGATCGTGCCACTGCACTCCAGTCTGGGTGACACAGCAAGACTCAGTCTCAAAAAAACAAAAAAAAGAACTGATCCCAATTCTGTTATACTGGAATTTACGTGCTATCAGCTAAGCATTTAGAAATCATTTTGTTTTATGGTCATGCATCACTTAACAACAGGGATAAGTTCTGACAAATGTATCATTAGATGATTTTGTAGTTGTGAGAACATCGTAGAGTCTACAGTACTTACACAAACCTAGATGGTATTGCCTACTACACATCCAAGCTATATGGTATAGCCTATTGCTCCTAGGCTATAAACCTGTATAGCATGTTACTGTACTGAATACCGCAGGCAATTATAACACAAATCACTAGGTAATAGGAATTTTTCAGTCCATTATAATCTTACAGGACCACCGTATTATATAATGCAGTCTGTCCTTGACCTAAACATCATTATGTGGTACATGACCTTCATTACAGTGAAATTTCTCATGATGAAATTTTAGCTTTATATCTTCCAGACTGTGGCTGTCAAATCTATCCTACCACATTTTCATCTTTTTAAAAAAGCATTTCTAAACTAATTAAAATATACACCAAAAAAAATTTTAACCCTCATATAAACATAACACACTGTTAAATTACATACTACTAATCTAATAGAATAAGTATCCAATTCAAAAGTACCAACATATAAAAATTAACATTTAGATAAGGTATCTTTACACCATTTCTATTAAGAAAAAAACGTTCAGGCTGGGCATAGTGGCTCATGCCTCTAATTCCAGCACTTTGGGAGGCCAAGGTTGGAGGATGACTTGAGCTCAGCCTGGGCAATATGGCAAAACCCCATCTCCACAAAAAATACAAGAAAATTACTGGGAGTGGTGGCACATGCCCCTGGTCCCAGCTATAAGAGGTTGAGGCTGCAGTGAGCCGAGACTGGGCCACTGCACTCCAGCCTGGGTGACAGTGTGAGACCCTCATACCAAAAAAAAAAAAAAAAAAAAAGGAAAGAAAGAAAAGAAAAAACACTCATTCTACATGTATCTTAGTATTTTATTTTCTAAAAAATAAATAAATAAATAGCTGGTAATTAAAACACAAAAGTGATTATGAGGAACATGGTGAATGGCTTTTTTTTTTTTTTTTCTGAGGTGGAGTCTTGCTCTGTTGCTCAGGCTGGAGAGCAGTGGCACCATCTCAGCTCACTGCAACCTCCACCTTCCAGGTTCAAGTGATTCTCCTGCCTCAGCCTCCCGAGTAGCTGGGATTATAGGTGCGCACCATCATGCCCAACTAATTTTGTATTTTTGGTAGAGATGGGGTTTCACCATGTTGGCCAGGCTGGTCTTGAACTCCTGAACTCAAGTGATCTGCCCGCCTTGGCCTCCCAAAGTGCTGGCATTACAGGTGTGAGCCACCATGCCCGGTCAAATGGTTAACTTCTACATCTCCCCCAATCCCATAAATTCAAGATATAAAATCAATGAAATAATCCAAAAAATCACATTATAAAGTTAATCTTTCTTTTTGTCTCCCCACCATACAAATGTTTTAATTGGGGATTGCATTACTAACCAAGAAGTTGGCAACACCAAAACAAGATATGATCAACTTAATAGATACAAAAAACTATTTCAAATAGTGAAAATTTATACTCAAAATAAGTATTGCACATAAAAATGAAGTTCAACTAACTCATAAAGTTAGCTCAAGATAATGTTCTATCTATAAAAAAACTAACAATTTACTTATATACTTAAAACGAGTTTTTCAGTGGAATCATTTAGATGACACTGGCTTATTGGTTCAGTAAAGTTTGATCTTTCATTTTTTTACTCTCAGAAATTTTCCAAGAAATCAGGCATTTAAGTCATTCTACTTAAATCAGCTTTGTTTATATTCTATTTCATTTTATAAGCAATTCTTTAGTCTTTATGTCACTAATGGCATACTGAAATGGAGGACTATCATTTTAGAATTCCAATCTCAGATGAATAGAGCTTAAAGGATACAAAGTGAATTCTCAACTATGAATAACAATCTAATATTTCAAACCCTGATTTTGTGATCCCTCAAGCACTTCCAACTATCTCAATAAAGTATTCAAAAATTAATTTTATTTAATGTTCACCACCTTACAATCCTAAGAAATATTTTGAGTAAAAAGAGCAATTTTTAAAACTCCTGTTGTACATCCCCTTACTATCCATTGCCTGTTGATTCCATTATGGAAAATTGGAAATTACTGTAACAGGATTAGAAAAGCAGTGAATGATGATACCTACTTTGGCACTATAAGACAAATCTGTGTGATAGAAAATGTAAATCATAAGCGATAAACAATAATATAATTAAAGGAGAGACCTATGATTAAAATGATTTAATAAAATTTAGGTATTTAGCTATGAAATTTTATAAGGAAATTAGCTTACTATATTTTTTATTTACAACCTTTAAGCAGATGAAATTTCAAATCAATACTTCCTTTTGTGCCTCAAGTATTTCTTACAAATGTTTTAGTGTTAGAAAACTAAGTATCTTTTTCAGAATCAGTCCAGTTGTTACTGTTAAAAACCAGTCTTACTCTTGAAAAGGGCACATTCCCACCACACAAACTTTATTACTAAAAACACCTGATCAGCAGCTAAAACACTGTAGACAAAATACGGGATGATTATAGAATCTTAAGAGACTGTAGAAGATAAATCTCACCCAATTTCTGAAAGATTCTAATTTTTATGAAGAATATTGTCTCCCGATAATAAGCACTCTAAGGAAGAAAAGATCTTTAAAAAGGGAATATATGGATACACCATAGTTTTTATTTTTAAAATAAACCAAAAATATCTAATGTCATTTTTAAAAGACTATATATTTGAGAATCTTAACAGTGAACAGGCAAAGAGAAGGGAAAAGGTTGGAATTCAGTCTTGAAAGAAGTGGCCTTCAAAGGCGATCAGGACTAGAATAGGGAAAATCCAGGTCCTGGAAGAGGCTGCTCTTTCCAAGAATAAAAAGATAGAGCAATGAGGCCAGCTTTCCCTGCCCATCTCCTAACTTATACAAAAAACTTCATTCTCTGAAGGTAACTTATCAAAGAATTAGCACGTTAATTCTCTGAAATTAAGATAAATCCAGATGGATTCCTTGAAGCCAAAACAATTCTCCAAGTTAGTGAGCTCAGTCAAGACTTTGAAAGGACAATAAAATACTTGATAATATTAATGATTAAGAATTTGAAAAATAATATACTTATTTTCTTTCTAATGCAAGATGCAAATCTCAACACTTTTTTCATAGGATATGAAAAGGATCCTATCTCAAAAAGTTACCTATTAGGGGGATTATGATGAATACATAAATATCTTATAAAAGAGGATATGGTTGCTATAATTATAAAAACTAAAAGTGGTACAGCAGAGGTTCTTGATAACGTGTTGGGGGCACCATAGAAATAAAAAAGTTAGCAAAATTTTGTGAATACTCAATTTCTGGAAAGATAAGACAGTGCATCAAATTCTCATAACAGCCTATGAACCAAAAAGTTAAGAGTTTCTAGGTTAGGAGTTTGAATAAAAGCAATCACATTAGCCAGGGGTTAGGAAATACCCTATCATGGAAGAAACATATGCATTAATCCTTAAAGTAAAAATGTTTTCATTAGCACTTTTTTTAAAAAATAAAACATGTTTACTGAAAATGGTTCAAACATACAGTGTATATAAAGTACAAAGTAAGAATCCTATTCCCTCTCCTGCCCTATTCCCAATCCCACTCACTAGAGTTTGGTGTGTGTGATGCAACAGATGATAGTGATTGAAGATAGAGTTGTGGTTAAGGGATAAGAAGGGTATTCCAGTGCCTTGAATGACTTAACTAAGGGCAATATTTATAGCAATGATTTGAATAAAAGCTATACTGTGTGCAGATTCAATTTATGCATGAGTAGAGAGTATAATACATGTAAACTAGCAGAATGAGGCTTTACCCAGTCTGTCCCTGGATCTAAAAACAAATGAAGGAATATGTTAATTAAATAAATAAATGGAATGAAGCTTTAAAAGATCTCAATAAGAGAATGAATGGTAGTAACAGTTTTGTATTTGCCCAAAAAAAAAATTAACAAAAATATAAATTGAAGATGTACTGCTGAAGATGTACCAGAAGATCTACATGACAGAAGGTCATTTATTCCAGAAGTGCACATTTGGCCCTCCCTATCCGTGGTTCCACAACCACAGATTCAACCAACCATGGACTGAAATATTCAGAAACAAAACCAATAAACAGTAACAAAAGAATGATAAAAAATGCACCTTTAAAAAATATATAACAACTATTTACATAGCATTTACTTTGTATTAGGTATCATAAGTAATCTAGAGATGATTTAAAGTATATGAGAGCATGTGTATAGGTTATATCCAAGTACTACACCATGTTATATAAGGGACTTGAGCACCCTCAAATTCTGCTATCCACTGGGGTCTTGGAACCAATCCCTCATGAATACTAAGGGACAGCTGTACTGATTGAACATTTACTGTGTGTCGGGTAGGAATACAATAATGAACAAAAATTAATACATACTTACTGCACTCATGAAACTTGTGGTCTAGAGATAGGGACAAACACCCATACAAAGAGATGTAAAATGACAATGGTAAGTGCTATGAAGGTTATGAACCTGGAATTATAGTCAGCATAATCAAAATTGGCTTTGCTAAAAAAAGAAAAGTGATAATTAAGTTGTTATTTGAAGAAAGGGTTGGAGTTAACTAGGCAAACAGGAGAAGGAAGGGAGGATTCCATGAAGAAGGAACTGAATGTGCAAAAGACCTATGGCAGAAGATAAGCCAGCAAATATGAAAAGCTGCAAAGAAACCATTGTGACTGAAAAAAAAAAAAAAAAGCAAGGAGTTACATGGGAAGAGATAAGACATAGAGATAGACAAGAGTTAAACAATGAAGCACCTATGGACTGTGTTAAGAAATTCTGTCCTTATCCTAAGAACAATGAAAAACCACTGAGGGATTTTAAGTGGGGACTGATGTC
Organism: Homo sapiens; assembly: GCF_000001405.40. Taxonomy (NCBI): domain Eukaryota; kingdom Metazoa; phylum Chordata; class Mammalia; order Primates; family Hominidae; genus Homo; species Homo sapiens. Next base: position 56,716,667 of record NC_000015.10, read on the forward strand.
AGATTTGTGACACAGTGTCAAAATAACAGAATTTGAGTATTAAATCAGAGAGAAGACTATTTTACCCTATTCTATACTAATCAACACCCCCACTTGAAATACTACATATTGGCCATGATTCTTTCAACTATAAGTAACAAAAACCCAACTCAAACTGGCTTATGCAAAAGGATATTTATTGGCTCATTTGTAGAAATAACTACAGGCATAATTCACACAATATCATGTGAATCTGGTTTCTTTCTCCATTCCTGGGCTTCACTTCCTCTGTATTGATTCTATCCTCATAAAGGATCTCCATTGAGGATGACTATAACAGCTCCAGTCTAACCATCTTCAATATTGAAACCCAGGACAATGACAAGAGGCCCAGCTATGATTGGAGTTGGTTGGCTTGGCTAAAATTACATGCCCTTCCCTAACCCAATCACTAAGGGAATGCTAAGGCATTGTGATAGGTTTGGGCTTACATCACATGCTCTCCCTGGTACCAGAGGGAGAGTCTTAATCAAAAAGCACAAGAATAAAGATTGGAGGAAGAATGGTTTTCCAAAGGAAAACCAAGTAAGGGTAAATAGATGCTGGGTGGCAAAAATAACAGATGTCCACTACAAGGAATTCAGAACTAGAGCTTTGTCTAGGTCAAGTTGAAAGGACTAAAGTTATTTAACCTAAAAAACCTGAGACTATAGGGTGGGAGAAGTAAAAGCTATTTATGGAGATTTTAAAGTTTGTCATGAGAAAGAAGGAAAGAAGGTGACTTGAACTTTGTGTGGCTCAAGTAATAATAACAACAACAGTAATATTTACTTGTTTTGAGCAAACTAGAGAATTGCTAGTATTGAGCTTTAACATCACTTCATTCCTTACATTCTACTATGTTATCGCCATTATAAATTATACAATATGATAAATATATAATTATAAAATAATTGTAATTAGTATACATTAACATTAGCTAACATTAAATGCATATATTATTTCACCTAATCCTCAAAAACTCCTATGAGGTAGACACTATCATCATCCCCTGTTTACAGCTGTGGAAATTTAGTTATACAGGGTAAGTATCTCGCCCAAAGTAACAAAACTTAGTAGAGGAGCAAGGATTCAAATCCAGGCACTTCTAAGGCTGAATATTTCAGACACAACTCTATTTGCCTCCACCAGGAATACTGGAATATTTGGAATACCAAATTACAGGGAGGCAGACTTCATCTCAATATAAGAACAAAACAATTAGCAGTTAAAATATCAAAAACGAAGATGAACTCTAGGTGAGAAAGATCATCAAAGAAAAATATGAAAAATTTAAACATTATGTGACTGAAAATGTTCACTTTCAAGATCCCTTCAAGAACCCTTCCAACCCTAAAATATTTCCTTCTAGTGGAGGTATGTAAATTTCTGCCTAGACTGAAAGATACGGAAGATTTTTCATTATTTCAGTAAAAAAAAAAATTCTAATTAGAAATGTTGAATTATGAAACTTCATTTTTGAATTAGCAATAAAATATCTGATAATCAACCTGTTATATCCAAATATTTCTAAGACCCTTCAAGTACAATATAATGAATGAAGCAGTTAGGTTGAAGCTCAACACTGAGAACAAAAGTCTTGAGTTAATTCAAAACAAGTATATTCTTTAAAAAAAAGTAACAGCCAACAATCTTAAATTAATTTCATTTTAATAAAGATGTTTGAGGGCTTAAATCAAAACTCCCAATGAAATCAACTGCTTCACAGACACAGATTCAGATCAAACACCTCAAATATTATAGCATCATGATAAATCAACTTTTTAGAATTTTAACATTTTTGTAAATGCAAAATTCTTTTAATATAATATTAATACATAGAAAGGCTATGCTTCAACAGACTGCTTAAATCTACAATGAATCTAAATCAGTACAGTTATTAAAAGCTTTAATACGAAAGAAAAATTTTCACACAGGGTACAGGGAATATCTTCCTCTTCAAAACTTCCTCTTCATCCAACTAAAATCTCCTGCAAATCTGATCTAGGTTGCAAACCACTTGCTCTAGTTACTGCTACCCACTTTGTCAGTCAAAACTGAGCTGAGCACAGCAGGGCAGCTACAGCATTATCTACTCCACAGTGCTTTGCTAAAAGCAAGTATCCACCTCAAGACCCCAAAAACCCTCCCAATAGCCAAATCAAATTACCTTTTCTTCATTTGCATTTTCCTTGTTTATCTTGCAGCTATTTTAACACCATTTCTTGAAATATCATGCTCAGTAATTTTCTATACACCAATAGTCCTGTGTACTCACCTACTCCTTTTTAACTCTTTAGAGATTCTCCAGATCACTTCCTCCTTAAATAATGTAAAAACAGGTTTTCCACAAAGTTTAGACCTCAGTCCCACAGAAACTGTTCCCTAACAGCAGATCTAATAGATCCCATAGTCTCAGCTATCAATTCTCAACAGCAGCCTATAAGATCAGAAAATATTCACCTCTGCTACAGTCTGAATGTTTGTCTCTCAAACCTCAGGTTGAAATTTGATCCCCAATGTTGCAGGTAGGGTAATGAGAGGTGTTTGGGTGGAAGAGACAAATCCCTCACCAATGGCTTGGTGCTGTCCTCACGGTAATGAGTGAGTTTTCAGTCTATTAGTTCCCACAAGAAATGGTTGTTTAAAAAAAAAAACAAAAAACAAAAAACCAAAAAAAAAGCCTGGCACCTCCCTCCTCTTTCGCTTCCTCTCTTTCACCTTATAAATCGCTACCCACACAGACTCCCTTTTGTTTTCTGCCATGAGTGGATGCAGCCTGAGGCCCTCACCAGAAGCCAAGCAGATGCTGGTACCACGATACTTGCAGAAGCATGAGCCAAATAAACCTTTTTTCTTTATAAAATGCCCAAACTCAGGTATTTATTTATAAGAACACAGACAGAGAAAGACACCCTGACATCTCATCTAAGTCCCAGTCCTTCCTCTTTTACTACTGAAAACTACTATCTAGATATTTAAACGCACCTCAAATTCAGTACATGCACACCTCGGAGATATTGAGGGCTCTGTTCCAGACCACCACAATAAAGTGAATATTGCAATAAAGCAAGTCACACGCATTGTTTGGTTTCTCAGTGAATATAAAAGTTAGGTTTACAACTATAGTGTAGTCTAAATGTACAATAGCATTGTCTCTAAAAAACAACATATATACCTTAATAAAAACTACTTTATTGCTAAAAAAAAAAAAAAAAAAAAAAAGATAAAGCTCATTTGGGCCTTCAGTGAGTCATAATCTTTTTGCTGGAGGAAGGTCCTGCCTCCATGTTGATGGCTGCTGACTAATCAGGGTAGTGGCTGGCTGAAGGTTGGGGTGGCTGTGGCAATTTCTTAAAATAAGACAATGAAGCTTGGCACATCCATCGACTTTTCCTTTTACAAAAGGTTTCTTGGTAGCATACGATGCTGTTTGATAGCATTTGATCCACAGTAGAACTCCTTTCCAAGTTGGAGTCAATCCTCTCAATCCTTGCTGGTGCTTTATCAACTAAGCTGGTGTAATACTCTAAATCCTTTGCTGTCATTTCAACAATGTTTACAGCATCTTCACCAGGAATAGGTTCCATCTCAAAAAAACTACTCATCCATAAGAAACAACTCCTCATTCATTCAAGTTTTATAATGAGATTACAGCACTTAGTCACATCTTCAGGCTCCACTTCTAAATCCGGCTCTCTTGCTACTCCCATCACATCTGCAGTTACTTCCTCCACTGAAACCTTGAAACTCTCAAAGTCATCCATGAGGGCTGGAACCAACTTCTTCCAAACTTCTGTTAATGTTGATATTTTGACCTCCTCCATCAATCACAAATGATCTTAATTGGATCTAGAATGGTGACTCCTTTCCAGAAGGTTTTCAATTCACTTTACCCAGATCCATCAGAGAAATCATAATCTACAGCAGTTACACCCTTACAAAATGTTATTTCTTAAATATTAAGACTTGAACTGAAAGTTGAAATGACTCCTTGACCCATGGGCAGCAGAATGGATGTTGTGTTAGCAAACATGAAAACAACATTAATCTTCTTGTACACTTCCATCAGAGCTCTTGGGTGACTAGATGCACTATCAATGAGCAGTAATATTTTGAAAGGAAAATTTTTTTCTGAGCAGTAGGTTTCAATAACAGGCTTAAATTTTCTGTAATTCATGTTGTAAACCACGTTTACATCTGGTTCAGTAAACCAGATGTGCTGTCATCCAGGATTTGTGGTTCCATTTTTAAAGCATAGGCAGAGTAGATTTAGCATTTTTTTTGGGGGGGGGGGGGACAGAGTCTCGCTCCATTGACCAGCCTTGAGTGCAGTGGCACCATCTAAACTCACTGCAACTTCTGCCACCCAGGTTCAAGTGATTCTTGTGCCTCAGCCTCCCGAATAACTGGGACTACAGGCATGCACCACCACGCCTGGCTAATTTTTATATTTTTAGTAGAGACGGGGGTTTCACCATGTTAGCCAGGCTGGTCTCGAACTCCTGGCTCCTGACATCAAGTGATCCACCCATCTCCACCTCCCAAAGTGTTGCGATTACAGGCATGAGCCACCACATCTGGCAGATTTAGCACAATTCTTAAGGGCCCTAGGATTTTCACAATGGTAAATGAGTACTGGCTTCAACTTAAAAGTCACCAGCTTCATTAGCCCTTAACCAGAGAGTCAGCCTGTCCTTCAAAATTTGAAAGCCAGGCATGACTTCTCCTTTCTAGCTATGAAAGTCCTAGATGGTATCTTCTTCCAATAAATAGAAGTCTATTTAATCTATATAGAAAATCTATTGTTTAGTGTAGCCGCCCTCATAAATTATCTTAGGTAGATCTCATGGATAACTTGCTGAAACTTCTGCATCAGTACCTGCTGCTTCATCTTATACTTTTATGTTATGGAGACAGTGTCTCTCCTTAAACCTCATGAACTCATCTCTGTTAGCTTCAAGCTTTTCTTCTGCACCATCTTCACTCTCACAGCCTTCATAGATCTGAAGAGAGTAGGGTCTTGACCTCGAGCCTTTGGCTTAAGGGAATGTTGTGGCGGGTTTGATCTTCTAGCCAGACCATTACAACTTCCTCCATCTTAGCGATAATGCTGTTCCACTTTCTTATCATTCATGTGTTCAGTGGAGTAGCACTTTCAACTTTCTTCAAGAATGTTTCCTTCGCAATCACAACTTGACTGTTTGGGACAAGAGGCCTAGTATTTGGCCTACCTCTGCTTTCAACACGCCTTCCTCACTAAGCTTAATAATTTCTAGTTCTTTTTATTTAAAGTGAGAGATGTGCAAATCTTCCTTATACTTGAACACTTACAGGCCATTATAAAGTTATTAATTGGCCTAATTTCAATATTGCTATGTCTCAGGGAATAAGGAAGCCCATGGAGAGGAAACTAGGGAAGAGCTGGCTGGTGGAGCAGTCAAAACACACACATTATTATATAAGTTTACCATTTTACATGAGTGCAGTTTGCAGTGCCCCAAAACAATTACAATAGTAACATTAAAGATCACTGATCAGAAATCACCATAACAAATATAATAATTTAAAGTCTGAAATATTGCAAAAATTACAAAAATGTGACAGAGACAAGAAGTGCTCACGCTGTTGGAAAAATGGCTGAGATAGACTTGCTCAACAAAGTTGCCACAAACCTTCAACTTGTAAAAATGCAATATCTGCAAACCACAACAAGTGAAGTAGAATAAAGCAAGGTATGACTATATTTCCAAAACTGACCATATCTTCCCCTGAAAAATTATGTCTACAGCATTATTCATAATAGCCAAAAAAGCAGGAACAACCCAAATGTTCAACTAATAAATAAAATGTGGTGTATCAAGAATGGCAATCATTAAAAAGTCAGGAAACAACAGGTGCTGGAGAGGATGTGGAGAAATAGGAACACTTTTACACTGTTGGTGGGGCTGTAAACTAGTTCAACCATTGTGGAAGTCAGTGTGGCGATTCCTCAAGGATCTAGAACTAGACATACCATTTGACCCAGCCATCCCATTACTGGGTATATACCCAAAGGACTATAAATCATGCTGCTATAAAGACACATGCACACGTCTGTTTATTGCGGCATTATTCACAATAGCAAAGACTTGGAACCAACCCAAATGTCCAACAATGATAGACTGGATTAAGAAAATGTGGCACATATACACCATGGAATACTATGCAGCCATAAAAAATGATGAGTTCATGTCCTTTGTAGGGACATGGATGAAATTGGAAACCATCATTCTCAGTAAACTATCGCAAGAACAGAAAACCAAACACCGCATATTCTCACTCATAGGTGGGAAATGAACAATGAGATCACATGGACACAGGAAGGGGAACATCACACTCTGGGGACTATTGTGGGGTGGGGGGAGGGGGGAGGGATAGCACTGGGAGATACACCTACTGCTAGATGACGAGTTAGTGGGTGCAGCACACCAGCATGGCACATGTATACGTATGTAACTAACCTGCACAATGTGCACATGTACCCTAAAACTTAAAGTATAATAATAAAAAAATAAATAAATAAATAATCAAAGTGAAAAAAATGTGGTGTATCAATACAATGTAGCATTATTTAGCAATTTTTTAAAATGAAGTACTGATACATGCTACAACATGAAACTTTGAAAGTGAAAGAAGTCAGTCACACAGTTTGATTCTATTTATATCTAATATTCAGAATAATGGGTAACAGGTTTCCTTTTGAGGAGCTGAAAATATTATGGAATTAGTGTTGACAGTTGTACAACACTATGAATGTACTAAATGCCAGTGAACCGTATATTTTTAAATGGTGAAATTATATGAATCTTACCTTAAATTATAAAAGTTAGTTTTACTTTTGCATTTCCCTTTTTCTACTAAACTGCCATCCTTCTGATCTTGAATCCCTGGAGGTTTTTTTCAATGTCTCCCTCTTTTAATTATATCTAGTCAATTCCCCAACCCTATAGACTTCCTTCAAAATATTTCCCACACCATCCTTGCCTCTCCATCCACTCAATACTTGACCACGCCCATAGAACCTCACACCTAAAGTGAAATAGATTTACTTTATAAGATTCACTTTATATAGTTGCTCTTCAGCTTGTGATGGGGTAATGATTAAACCCATCATTAGCTGAAAATATCGTAAGTTGAAAATGCATTCAATACACCTAACCTACCGAACATCACAGCTTAGTCTAACTTACCTTAAACGTGCTCAGAACCCTTTACATTAGCCTGTGGTTGGGCAAAATCATCTGACAACACAGTATACTGTATGTTATCAGTTGTTTACCCTCATGATCATGTGGCTGACTGGTAGCTGCAACTTGCTGTTGCTGCCTAGTATCACAATATGGTATCATACCACATATCACTAGCCCGGAAAAAGATCAAAATTCAAAACTTGAAGTACAGTTTCTACTAAATGTATATTGCTGTCACACCATCATAAAGTCAAAAAAACTTAAGTTAAACCATCTTAAGCTGGGGACTGTCTGTACTTGGTCTCTCAGCATCCAGATTTTTGCTTTCATCTCTTCAATAAAGAGCCCCCAAATTAACAATTTACTAAAATAATGCTTTCATTCTGTCATTTACCAATTCCAAATTGTTTAATAACTTTCCAACCTAAGCAGAGCTCGGTTAGGTTATCCTAGTGTTAAAAGCTTCCAGGTGCAGTGAGGTGCAGAACAGGTCAAATGCTCTAAGGAGGCAACACTTCTAACAGTTGTTGTCACTGCCTGCCTGTAAGGCTCACCTGCATTGTATAGCCCAAATAGAAGAGAACATGTAATTCTGAGATAAAAAGGCTGACGGTGAAGTGAGGGAAAACCAAGGCATCGTATCTTATAAAATGAATACACAATATCTGGCACCCAGTGTTATTCCAATGAATAAAATGAACTTTTTCTAAGACTTGATTTCCTCATCTGTAAAGGATGATAACACCGCCTTTTGCAAAGAAGTATTTGTTCTGATGATGGAATACGGTAACTGTGAACATACTTTATAATCTCTAAAACACTACAATAAAAGAAATCAAAGAATAGAAAGACATCTGTTGTGTATAACTTCTCAAATGAACAGACACTACAATGTAGTGTCACTGAAGTAGTGCCAATTTTCTTATTTACCTTTTTCTATTCAATAACGTTGTCAGATCTATTTTTTTTCTCATGGAATGTAAGAAAGCTATTTCCATGTTGCATTTTGGTTATGAAGGCCTTTCTAGCAGCAGTCAGCAATCCTGTATAGCTGAGAGTCAGATAATCTTAAACCTTGAATAGGAAAAGCAGAGCAAGTAAAAAAAGCAAGAGATACGACAGAGATTAGGATTATACCTAAAACCCCCAGGCCTCTCTCAAGCCCCTCCAGGCTTAGCTTCTTAGATTTGCCAAAGGTAACCCACAAAATAAGGAACGCACAGGAGTGAAGCCTAGAAGCAAAGGGCAAATTAGTTCATAGACTGATCATCTTTGCTTTGGTTACTAGCCCTAGTCAAAATGCGTATCAACTCAAAGGCATTCAGTTAATAATGTTAAAAAAAAAAATCCCAAACCTGATCAAAAAAAGATGTGTGGTTGACTAAACTTTAAGGATGGAATCTTTGCCTGGGAGTCCAGAAACCCCAAACCTGAGAAATTTTTTTCAATATGTATTCATTTACTTAAAGATGATAATAATGAAAGCAGCACATATTAATATATTTTTACAAAAAAAGTGTATTTCTCAAAACAAAAAATTTAAAGAGTGGTATTGTTTTACATTTTTGCTACATTTTTGCATACCTCATTGTCTTAATAAAGACAGCTGGATTCTCTTACGACCTTCTGCATTCAACCTGTTGCACTACACTCTTCTGTTGAAGAAAATACAGCTTCACAGGAAAAGTATGTGGTAAAGGGAGGACCTAGTAGAATCCTTCAAAGAGTCTCAAGCCCAAGACCACATTTAGAGAACTACTGTACTAGATAAACACAAGTCAAAGCCCTTTTTAAAAAAGAAAGCTAAATTACTATGCTAGCTGGTCAAAAATTTGTAAGTTACATACCAATCCAAAAAGTAAAGCAATAATTTTAAACTGTTGGGGAATATTCAGGTGATTAAAAAAAAAAACTAAGTATTTATCGAACATTAATTATGTGTAAGGCATTGTGTTTACAAACACAAAGAAACAAGGCATACATCATCCCAAAAATTACTTTGTCTTCATCCTGTTATATAAAACCAGAAAAACAGGAATGTTTGCAATGAAAATGACTGAAATATTTTTTGGTGTAATCCATTTAAGCAAAAAGCCTAAATACAACGTTGGCCTGATGTGCCAGGGTTCCAATTAATAATTTTTTATTATGAAGGGTCTCTGAAGGTAAAGCTTGGAAGAAAGGTTTAAGAAAAAAAAACTGGTAACAACAAAAAAACTTTAGAACAGAAACCTCAAGGAACAACTTTCTAGGTACTGCCTGTATTCATTAGAGATGTATTAAAGTACAACAGGCTAAAAAAAAAAACCTATTATGGAAGTAGAAGAGGCAGGTAGGTTTAATGTGTGTATTGGAGAGGGGTGGAACTCTAACTGTCCAAATTAACCATTAAAGTCCAGTATACTATCAGAGTCCAAAGGAAACTAGTTTTTTACTTTCTTTCTTGAGCAGTTCTTTTTAGAAAGACTGACATTATTCACATTGTTTCCTAGAGATCTTTAAACAAAGAAGGGAAAATTTACTTACTACTTTAAAATAGATTAAAACTCATTATATCTTATAATTATTATGTGGGTCTATAACAGAATCCTTTTATCAATCTAAAATACATTATGGGATGTTAGTGGCTTTATTTTTCCTACATCTTGAAATATTTTGCTAACTCCATCATTCTAGGTATTATTTCACCATTGTTCATCAATTAATCCCAACTATGCTAAAAAAATAATAGGACTGCCTAAAAGAATAATACAACAGTGAAATAAATCATGACTAATGCATTAGCCTTAATTGTTCTCATTTATTTTCCAGTTTTCTTATAGTTTTGCAAAAATATTGCATCAATTTTCAAAGACATATGGAAAACTGAAGACATTTTTGTAGTCTATGTCAGAGAGGGAAAACAATTCCTCTATCACCTTTGGTTCAGTATCTCATGGCCTGTGAATTAAACTATGAAAAGACAGATTCACAAGAGAAGAAGCATACAATTTTTATTAATATTGACATGCACAGGAGTTCACAGAAAAGAAGTGAAACTCAAACAAGTGGTTAGACGTAGAGGCTTTTATACTATTTTAACCCCCCCAAAAAAGGGAACTTGGAATTTCAGGGACAATAAACCATGGGAAAGTGACTAGAAAAAATGGGAGAACTAATGGAAAATAACGGTTATTTTAGTAAAATTTGTTTATACAAACTCATCTCTGCCTTGACTCTCAATCTCAAGGGAAAAGAGTTGCTCTTCCCTCCCTGTTATAAGAAGGAAACTGGCTGGGCGTGGTGGCTCATGCCTGTAATCCCAGCACTTTGGGAGGTGGGTCACCTGAGGTCAGGAGTTCGAGACCAGCCTGGCCAACATGGCAAAACCCCGTCTCTACTAAAAATACAAAATTAGTCAGGCATGGTGGCGCACGCCTGTAGTTCCAGCTACTCGGGAGGCTGAGGCAGGAGAATCACTTGAACCCGGGAAGTGGAGGCTGCAGTGAGCTGAGATCACGCCATTGCATTCCAGCCTGGACAACAAGAGCAAGACACGGTCTCAAAAAGAAAAAAAAGAAAAAAGATAGAAATTAATGCCCTGCTACTACTAGGCAAATAAGGGGAGGGCACAGAACTCTTCCAGCATCTACTGACTCTCAATTGCCTTCAACTCAAAATAATCCTCATGCGTAAGTGGCAGATTCTGATCCCCTTCATCTGTTTCTAGTTTTCACTGAATACAATTAAGAACTCAGACTTCATTTTCTGCCCAAAATGGAAGAGAAGAAAATTAACAGAGGAAGGCATTTCACAACTATTAGACGAACCAGAAGATTAACACAAAGATAGACAGCAGCACTTTAGACTCTTAATGATGGTAGTGAAAATGACTTTATAAGGGAAATCTCAGACTGAGTCCTTGGATGAGTTACTTTAGATAAATTCCCTCAAACTTAATCAATGAGAGAATAACGTATTTCTAAAAACAAAAAGGAAATACGGCATTCTCATCCAGTGGGAAGAACTTCATCACACAATATTTTTACATTAAGAATATGGACCATGCTGTTCTGCTCAAAGAAAATGTGACAGTCTTTCATCCTTTACAAGTGTGTGCTAAAATTTTACTTAATACATTTTTTTTTTTTTAAGAGACAGGGTCTCACTCTGTCACCCAGGCTGGAGTGCAGTGACACAATTGCAGCTCACTGCAACCCAGACCTGAAGCGATCCTCCCACCTCAGCCTCCCAAGTACCTGGGACCACAGGCACATGCCACTACACCCGGCTAATTTTTTATTTTTTGTAGAGACAAGGTCTTCTTATGTTGCCCAGGCTAGTCTCAAACTCCTAGGCTCAAGCAATCCTGCCTTGGCCTCCCAAAGTGCTGGGATTACAGGCATAAGCCACCACACCCGGCCTTGATACAACGCTTAAGTGCCCAAGTATTGAATGCAGGGGTATGCAAAGGTGACTGGAAGGAAATAGAAAATATAGACATTTTAAAAAATTCATTGGATTGATCATTCTAGTTAGTTGCTCATAAATCTGAAATTGAAAAATCTTGCAATTGTGGAGCAAAGAAGATGGCCGTCCTGTCTTCAACAAAATTATGAACCATCAAAGGTTTCAAAAATTCTTCCAGTATTGCATTTTGATGATGTACATGCAAAAAGACAACCCAGAAGGAATGACAAGCAAGAACCTATCAGGGAAGCATTTGAAATTTAGAATCAGTATTTATAAGACAAATAGTTCCAGGGTCTTGTATGAAAGTTGCTAAGTACAGACAGTCTCCAACTTAAGATGGTTCAACTTACAACAATTTTCAACTTTATAATGGTGTGAAAGTGCATTCATTACTTCCAGTACTCATACAACCATTCTGTTTTTCACTTTCAGTACAGTACTCAATAAATTACATGAGATACTCAACACTTTATTATTAAAAAATAAGCTTTGAGTTAGATGATGTTGCCCAACTGTAGACTAATATAAATGTTCTGTGCATATTTGAGGTAGGCTAAGCCAAGCTACGATGTTCAGTATGTTAGGTGTATTAAATGCATTTTCAACTCATGATACTTTCAACTAATGACGGGTTTATCAAGGATGTAACCTATCGTAATTCAAGGAGCATCTATAGTTAATTCCATTCAGATGATGTTGCCCATTTCAGGTAGAAATACCTTCAAAAGGTGAAAAACATGAAATGAAAATCTGAGCAACAGGTGACAATGAAATATGATAAGCTTGGACAATGCAGATCTACACAGAGATTGGGAAAAGGCATGAAAGTAGAATCAAGATTGATATATACGAAATGACAGAAAAATTTCAAAATTCTGTCAGACATATAACTTGTGACAAATTTTTTACAAATTTAGACTTGGCTGAATATCACACAGCATCAAACTCTCCTTAGTTGGCACTGTTAGGAAGAACAGCATTGAACTTCTGTGAATTTTCACAAATGGAAAAGCAAAAGAAGTCAACTGCACAAAATCTGGATTTCGAATATAATTCATGATTCTTATTGTCCTAAGGAAAACTATACCTACTCTTCTCAGCTCAGTGCATTCTCAACCATCAATGAATTTTAAAATCCTTGCATAAATTAATCTGAAGTGATCTGTATTACAAAAAGACTACAGAAGTGACACATTCAAAAAGTGGGTCAGAAACAATACTTGGAAGAGAATGATTTGAAGATGGCTTATGACTGATATTAGTTCAGAGTATACTTTCATTGTACGGGAAAAGCTTCAGTTACAAAACTGGAAGTTACCAAGAAGAAATTCCTCATGCAACTAGGAAAATAACTTGCAGAAAATAGGAAGGGAATGTTGTCTTACCCTCTAACCACAATGATTTCTGCACAGATCTGAAAATGGGAAGAAAGAAAGATGTTCTTTGTACAGATACAGAAACTCAAAAAGAAAAAAATGTGTGTTACAATGAGAATGTTTATGCAAAGCGTTCAAATGTGATGTATATTTGTTGTAGGAGTGTTATGTAATTAAATGCATGAAATAGATTTTTTATTTTTTATTTTTCTAAGTACATACAAAGATATCTGCTGTATTGAAATTCTTATTAAAAGCTCCAATAAGTTGTTTTACATTATGCTTTATTTTTACTCCTATAAATTATACATAATAACGTAAAATGCAAAAAAAACCAGTCCCTTTTGACCCAGATGATAGTGATAATTGTACACTTTTCCTCGTATACTGAGGGTTAAGAGAATCCTTAAAATTGCTCTGGAGAAATAAATCAAAATTCTAAACATACAATTTTTGATATAAGGCACTGATTAAATCAAGTCATTATTTAAATCACTATTTAAAGCAATCTGAAAATTCAAAGTTTTTAATTCCTTTCTAAAGCAAGAAAAAAACTATTCAGGATTTATATATTTAATTAGTGAATATGTCGTAAGTATTCCTCATCTTCCAAAACTTGCTTTTGGAATAACAAAGTATGTTGTCAATAGAAATATCCAATTTCCTGTCACCTAAAACTACAGTTGACTTTTCATTTGTGAAAACTGCTATTTCAGTGAGCCAATGCTGATTAATAGAACACTGGAATGAAAAAGGACTGGATTAGTAGCCTAACTGGACAGATGTTCCAGTTGAAGCACTTGCAATCCTCCAACATCAAACTACTTCAGAACTTTTCTATTTACCATAGCTTACTATGGCTAAAATGGTCCTAAGCAAACTTTCAAAGAAGGCAAAGCTTTCTGACATCTACTTTCTGCCTCCTCTCTCCTAGTCTCCCTAGGCTCTGATGCCAACACATAGAAGCATTCCAAGTTCCCTAAAGTAGATGGGTTAGTATTTCCTCCAGAATTGTCTCCACTTCTTCTTCTTCCTAACTTCCAAAGCCATACCTAAACGACTGCTCCCAACTGTGTTTATCAGATTACTGCAGGTAAATTCCTACCAACTACTAATGCCAAAATATCACACCACAAATGACTTGCTAATTGCAGAAGGAAATGCTTACAATGGAAAGATAGCTTGTCACCACCTTATCTAAGAGATCAAATTTAGGATTATTAATAAGACAAGCCTACTTTATGTGCCTTTGGATGTTGTATGCAATGAAGCATACTGCATGGCTTATGAAGTATTCCTGTCAAAAAAATATTAAACCTAAATATATTCAAGCCTTTAGACCCAAATCCAAGTTTAGAGAAAACAGAGAGGATAGGGGGAACAAATTTAAACACTATCAGGAGGAACTATCACTAAAACATGGAATATGGGTTATTCTGAAAGACTACAGACCAGGTCTCTTCAAAAGGTCAATTTCGCCCAGTGCTGTGGCTCACATCTGTAATCCCAGCACTTTGGGAGGCCGAGGCAGGTGGATCACTTGAACCCAGGAGTTTGACACCAGCCTAGGTAACACGGCAAAACCCCATCTCTACAAAAAATACAAAAATTAGCTGAGTGTGGTGGCGTGCTCCTGGGTTCCCAGCTACTCAGGAGGCCGAGGTGGGAGGATGGCTTGAGCCCAGGAAGGAGGTCAAGGATGCAGCGAGCCAAGACTGCTCCACAGCGCTCCATCCTGGGACACAGAGCAAGTACCTATCTCAAAAAAAAAAAAAAAAAAAAAAGACTGAAAAGGAATTTTGAAGAAATGGGGGGAAATGTGAATATATACTACACCACGTTAGATTTTAAGGAATATTCTTCACTTTCTTAAGTGTGATTGCGGTATTGTTACACAGAAAAATGGCCTTGATCTCTTACAAAATACATACTGACACACATACAGCATTTAGGGCTGAACTGTCATATCCGTAATGCACTTTGAAACGTTCAGAAAACAGAATGTGAGATAAGTGGAAAAATGCAAATATGGCAAAAAGGTAGCGTTAAAACTAAGTGTTCAAATGGGCTATTTAACTTTCCAATATTTTCGAAAAAAATAGCAAGTTGCAAAGTTAAGAAATTAACTCGAGAATAAAAATATAAAAGCCAGGCTAGATGGTGCACACCTGTAATCCCAGCTACGGAGGCTGAGGTGAGAGGTCAGCTTGAGCCCAGGAGTCTGAGACCAGCCTGGGCAACATAACAACCGCATTTCAAAAGTAAAGTATAAAAATATCAACGAAAGGGCAACTGAGTAATGTTTCTTAAAATCTTTAAGTGAGCCTCCTTGCCTATTCTCATCTACCTCATTCCCACAAAAATGGTATATACTAGAGTTGAGCACCGGAGAAGGAGTCAGAAGACCTAAGGTTCTATTAATATAATTGGCCTTGGCTCTTCCTAGTCAGTGACCTCATTAAAGTCCTCTCCCTGAGGCTCTGTTTCCTCGCCTGCAAAATGATTCCAGCAACCCAGACCACTTCAAAAGGGGCTAAGAGATACAAATCAGGGGTTATCAATGAAAGGCACAAAAGCAAGACACAATTACAACAGTATTTGTAGTGATGTTAAAACATCAGAGGCACACAGCCCTAACAATGGTATAAGCAAACCAGTGCCTTCCCTGGTTAAGTTTCTGCGTGGAGACAGCTGGAGTTGGCACAGCAGTCCCCCAAAGCAGGACACCTTACAGATGCTAAGAGGCAGCTTTTGTGCTTTAAAACTGTCCTTCTAGCGTTCCATTTTATGTTTCATGGCACTAAAAAAGACAAATTCTGTCCAAACCTGAAAATAAAGCCAAATATTTAAGATGACAGATTTTTTTTTTTTTAACAAATCTTCGCAAACAAAGGCCTTTGGCCAAAGGTCTCCCGTGCTTGCAGAAGCGGGTTCACCTTGACGTTTTTCCTCTCCAGCAGATTTCTCCTTAAAAGCGTTAAAACTTGCGATAAGTTGGGAGGAATTCCTTCCATCGCTGGAGCAGGCTAAAACCTCAGAGTGAGATCATTCTTTCCGTCTCAGTAAGTGAACCTTGCAAAGCTCAGAAAATTTTGTCTCCAACTCCACGTTTCTCCTCAGGGCCCTTCTTCTGTAGACAATAACGGGAATTCTATGGCAGAGGAGGGGAGGTCTCTTTGACAAAAATGAGGGTGCAAACGTGGAACGACCGGTCATCTGGGCAAAATGAGGGGCCCTGTGCCTGCAAATCCCGAATCCCCTTTGGTCTCCTTTCCTACGACTGAAGAGACACGGGGGTGGGCTGTGGTGTGAGGACCATGGGTCTTGGCCAAACATCGGCACAAAATGTACCAAAGGGAGTTGCCTCCAGAGAGAAAAGCCAAAACCAGGCTGGGGACAAACAGGCGCACACGCCTGGGAGAGGAGGTGGCGGAGGAGCAGAAGGCGAAGGCCTGCGCGGCCCAGGCCTGCAGCAGCCGAGGCGGCTGCCGCGTCGCGCCGGGATACCTCCTCCCCCGCCTGGGCCGACGCAAGATGGCGGTCCGGCCGCCGCCGCGCAGCCGGTCTCCTCCCCCGCGCTCTGGGCGCTCCCGACGACCCGCGCCGGCCTCAAGACCCCCAGTCCAGCGCCCCCGGAGTGAGGCGGCGCAGGCCGCGCGGGAGGGCCTCTGCCTGCTGCAGCGCAGGGCGGGCGGGGGCGGGGGGGCGCTTACCGTGAGCGGAGCGGATCGGCCTGACTGGAGCCCTGAGGAGGAGGAGAAAGAGGAGGAGGAAAAGGAGGAGCACGAAAAACTACACTGCGGCGACGGCGGCGGCTCCCATTGCGGAGCTGGCAGCCGAGCCGTGGAAAGGGGGGGGCTCTCGTGCAGCCGGCGCGCTGCCTCATGGGTAGGCTCCGGGTCAGCCTCCCCGTGTCCGAGCTCCCTGTCTTCTCGCCGACGCGGGAGGCGGGCACCGGCATGTGCGCCGCGTCGCGGGCCCTCGAAGACCCACGCGCCCCGCCACGCGCCGGTCCGGGGCGAGGGCCAGGGCCCTGCCTCCATGTGGGTGCGAGCTGCTGGCTGGTGTGGCCGGGAGGCAGCCCCAAAATCCGGACTGCTCGGAATTTGCAGGCGAGGAGCCGTGCGTTCCGGGCCCTCCGCGTGTGTAACGACCCCCAGTCCGTTGGCTTGGAAAGTGAAAAGGTCATGGGATACAGCCGCCGTTCGAAAGAAGCAAGGGGCCTGTGGGTCGAAGACTAAACCAGGAGAGAAAAAGGAATCGTCCGTTTCTTTAAATAACGAGCTGATTTTACCAAGTCTGTTTTAAATGTGTGGTTTTGCTTGCGTTCCCTGTCGAGGTCAAATACGAAGAGACGAATCTGTACATTTAGCGTTTTATTTGGGACACAGGAATTGCAAGTTCAGGTTATTTACACATACAGGGTGGTCTTCAGTATGTCAGAAGAACAAAGAGGAGTTAGGGGGTTTTATTTTTTAAAAAAAGTTATCTATTGTTTTTCTAGAAAGTTCGTTGACATTTAGTAAAGTTTTGGGTAGCTGGTTAGTTCTGACTGGTGAGGGAAGGGGCTTGGTAAAGCTTGCCCTACAGCTGCAGCAGGTTCTTTGAGAAGCTAAAACCTGAAGATAAAACCTGTTTCAGGTTACAGCAGGCGGTTTCAGCAGCCAGGCTTGCTGAGAATTCCATTCTTAGAGCAATGTTATGTGCCCTGAGGGCTTCCCCCAGCACTGGCTTCTCCATTCTTTTAGTTGGCTATGACAAGAGTGACCCAATTAGAATGATTAACTTGCACACTCTAATTCCTAACTCTGCCATCTGCATATTAACCTGTAATAGCATTTTTTAAAGTTTGACAACGAGAAGTATAAGAAATTTACAAGAAGAACACTTGCCAAGATACTGCTTGCGTAAATACTTGCTAAAGGTTGTATTCTGATCTGTAAGGAAAGTTTCCTAAACTGATTGTCTTCTCAAGAGCAATGGCATTACTGGTGCAGCTTGTGAGTGACCAAGACTTGAAATCTTGCCTGTTAGGATCCATAACAGACACCCTGTTCAATCACTGAATCTTGCTAATTCATCTTCCTATTCGAATTCAGTTTCTTCTCTCTCATCTGGCTTTCCCCAGTTTTTCTCAAGTGTTTATCATTACTGTAGTCTCCATATTGATTACTGCCCCCAAATTAATCTTCCCCAAAGACCACCTGGATCACTCCTACAGATCTGGTGTACTTGGAGGTAACCATGACCTATCCTTCTCCCACATGGGCCTGGGATCATCTACCCAGCTTTCCCTTTTCTGCTGGCCCTGAAAAATAAACCTTACAGGAAAAGACAGAAAATAGTCAAAACAGCAAACATGGAAAGTTTAAAAATTCCAAAATCTTGGAACATTCTTAAGACATCGTTTTTCAAATGTCCCTAAAGGTTAGCAAAGCATGCTACAGTGTCAGGTGAAATTACAACAAATTTAAAGATCTCGGTTGGCTTTATTGCAATTCTAGATTCAGGCACCACTTCATTCAGTAAAACAGAATAGGTGTTCCCATGAATGGAGCAGATGTGGTTGGCTTTATAGACAGAAAATGGGCTGAAGAAAGAAGAAACAACAAAAAACAAGTTGGTCTTTTCAAAGTTACTTTCCTTGTAAGGTGGGGCACTGAGACAGAATAATAGAAAGAAAACTGATTGGTTAATACCAGGTTACTCCAGATTAATATTGTAAGAACAACAGCAGCCAGGTGTGGTGGTGTGTACCTGTAGTCCCAGCTACTGAGGAGGCTGAGGCAAGAGGATTCCTTCAGTCCAGGAGTTCAAGGCTGCAATGAGCCATGATCCTGCCACTGCAGTCCAGCCTGAGCAACAGATCAAGACGTTGTCTCAAAAACAAACAAAAACGACTTAAAACAGGGAACTTCATTATCATGGGGATTGAAGGTTTAAACTGGCCTGTTTGGGAAATTAGGCTGTTATCTCTCTCCTGATTTCTCAGAAGGCCACATAACAACTCAGTTTCAGTTTTGTGAGCATGGGTAACTCCATGTTGGTTTTTAGTCTAGTCTGCTGGGGCTTAGTGCAGGAGTTTGGTCCAAAATAATGGCATCCTCATAAAAAGGAATGAAATAATGGCAGTTGCAGCAACCTGGATGTAATTGGAGGCCATTGTTCTAAGTGAAGTAACTCAGGAATGGAAAACCAAACATTGTATGTTCTCGTAAGTGGGAGCTATGTTATAAGGATGCAAAGACATAGTAATGATAGAGTGGACTTTGGGGACTCCGGGGAGAGCGTGAGAGGGGAGTGAGGAATAAAAGACTATACATTGGGTAGAGTGTATACTGCTCGGGTGATGGGTGCTCCATAATCTCAGAAATCACCACTAAAGAACGTATTCATGTAACGAGACACCACCTGTTCTCCAAAAACCTATGAAAATAAAAAGTAAAAATAATAAAATGATGGCATCCTATTATTTTTATTTATAACAGGATGAAAGAGAAGATTGCACTCTGTATTCTAGAGTCTAGTCCTCACTTTGTAGAGACAAAAGCTCAATGTTGCCAGTCTCCAGAACTAATTTGAATCCTGGGGGA
This sequence comes from Homo sapiens, assembly GCF_000001405.40. Classification (NCBI taxonomy): domain Eukaryota; kingdom Metazoa; phylum Chordata; class Mammalia; order Primates; family Hominidae; genus Homo; species Homo sapiens. The sequence goes on from NC_000015.10 coordinate 56,736,338, forward strand.
TGATTCATACCAACCAAACTTACTGAGACACATGTGTAAGCCAAAATTGCAATTATTTTTTGTTGTTGTTCATGAAAAACACAACTGCCATGGAGACCAAAAAGCTGGTTAATGTATTTTCATTCAAAGGAACATTTACGTGAGAGGCCAAATTACAAAAGATGACTCATGAGAATAGAATCAGCACACAGGAAGTTATTTGGATGATTCTGACATCGTCCTTCAAACTTCTGACATCATACGCCCTTGGCCTCTAGAACGCCGTTCTTTTGGTTCTCCTGACTTACGGTCTGAGCTTTCCCACCATTTTTTATGAGCTTCTCTGACTTACATTCTCAGCCTGTTCTACATGTTACACACTTGCTATAGATATCCTCACAGTACTCATTCTCCTTAAGTGAGATTATGCTCCACATCCTTACCTGAATTATTGCAGTGAATATGGGTGATCTCCCAGCTTTCATTCCACAATTACTTTGTGTTCATCCATGCAATTTGGACAGACGTAATACACCGCACAGCAGGTCCAAGAATTGTCCAACTGGCCAAAAGTTATCAGAGTTACCCTCACCCTTTGAACTAGTTTTTGTTTCAGAGGCCAATCAGAGGGAAGCCTAGGATTTTTGTTTTATTGCAGAGAATACAGAAGTTCTTTTTTTTCTCTGAATGGTATGGCATTCAAATGTAAATACTGGAAGAGCTACATTCTCCCTCTTTTTTTTTTCTTTGCTACTAAGTAGAGCCAACTGAAAATAAAGCCAACACGTGAAGGAGGAATAGCTGGGAGAATCAATCATAGGGAAAGGAAGCCAATCCCTGAGAGAATCATAAACCTTCAAATAAAACATCACCGGAACCCATACTGCCTCTAGACTTTTCTGGTTTATGAGCTAATAAATCACCTTTGTTGTTTAAGCTGAAGGGATCCAGAATAAGCCATTGTGGCATAAAAATTATTTTGAGCTGAATATGTTTATGTTCCTGAAATCCCTTATCTACCTAAAAGCAGAGCCTTTCAAAAGAACCCAAAAGAACTCAATTGTTATAAATTCCCTCCAGGGAGCAACCAAGGAAGATTGAGTCACCGTCAGAGACTATGAGAATGTCACCACATCTAAACAGACATTGTCAAAACAACTATGATATCTCCCATCTATTCTCCAAAGGGCCCATTTATCTTTCCCAAAAGTCATTTCCGTAAGTTCCCTTTCTGCTCCTTCCCCTTCTAAGAAGTCATTTGTTTTCCCATAAGTGCTTTTCTCCCCCTCCCCTTCAGGGAAGTATATCAGTCTCTAAGCCCCAAATTCTAACCACCCTCTGGAGTCAACACTTCCTTGTGATCTCCTTACGTACATATGTGATTAAAATCTGTCTTCTCTTGTCCTTTGTCAGTTTATTCACAGGCCCCCAATTATAGAACCTCAAAAAGTAGAAGAAAAGTTTTTCCTCCCCCACAAGGCCAATTTGAGTTGAATTTTCTCTTACCTGCAACTGAAATCATCGTTAAGTGTGACAGAGATAATGATACATATTCACCATCTTATTTTCCTCTTTGCACCCAGGAAACCTATGTTTCCCAGCTTCCTTACCTTTTATATTGGGCTGTGTAACTAATTCTGGACAGTGGAATGTAAACAGAAGCAGTGACCCTCCCATGCAAGCCTGACCTTAAAACTTCCAGTAATTTATAGTTCCTATTTGTTTTTCACACACCAGTCAGCTAGATACAGAAAACTCTGAGAAGCTGGGGGATGGCAGCAACATTATATAGAAGGACTCTGGGTTTCTTAAAAATTGCATCAACACACTGATCCTCACTGGACTGATTGGAGCAAAAAATAAACCTTTATTGGGTTAAGACCCTGAGATTTGAGGGTGGTTTGTTGCAATAGCTCAAATCACTAACTCTGATTAATAATAGTGATGGCCTACAATGATAAAAACTAAAATGTGTGTCATTAGCTTAGCACAGCAATCAGGTGGGAATCGAGGAAATAGATGTAGGAGGGTGGACAGCTGAAGGTTCACTTTAGGCAGTGGCTAAACTCTTGCTTACAATATCTCACAAGGCAGATTAGTATCTACATAACTTGTAGAGCTAAGGGAAGAGTTCAGAAAGCAATATTAATGGTAGAGGTTGGTGATTTTTGATATTTTTAGCAAGATGTTATCAGAAGGAGATTAGCATAGAACAGAATTAACCAGTTTATTGTTGGGGGCGAAGGAAATTTTTCACATCTGAAGGTTTGAGTCTGCTGAAATTACCAACAACAGAGAGAATAACAGGAGAAAAGGCATACAAAGGTATTCACATGGTACTGTGCACAGGAGTCATACAAAACATAAGACTCAAAGAAGGGCCAGACAGTTGACACTCAAATACCCTCTTCATAGCAGAGAAGAAAATAGAAGACATAAGCAATTTTGAGGGGTAGCAAATGATTTTCAGAAGACGTGAATGAGCTCAAAGAACAGACAATGGTCTGGGACAAAGTTTTCTGAGCTCTGAGGGAGGTGGCAACAAGTTGAAGGAAGGTGAGGGGCAATAGAACACCAATAGAATAGGTGTTCCCATGAATGGAACAGATGTGGTTCACTTTATAGACAGATAAAGGACTGAAGAAAGAAGAAACAACAAAAAACAAGTTGGTCATTTCAAAGTTACTTTCCTTGTAAGGTGGGGCACTGAGACAGAATAATAGAAAGAAAACTGATTGGTTAATATCAGGTTACTTCAGGTTACTATTGTAAGAAGAGCAGCAGCCAGGTGTGGTGGTATGTACCTGTAGTCCCAGCTACTGAGGAGGCTGAGGCGGGAGTATTCCTTCAGTCCAGGAGTTCAAGGCTGCAGTGAGCCATGATCCTGCCACTACATTCCAGCCTGAGCAACGGAAATGAACAAAGACGGTCTTCTTATGCAGATAAAGTCTCCCAGGTAATCTCAGTTGCCCTGAGAAGAATAGAGGAACAGTCTGTCTGGGCATGATGATGACTTTTAGTCTTTTCTCTTCTCCTTATGGTTAATCTTCACTGGTTATTTGATGAGATTCCTAGGGAGGAGGCTTTAGAACAATTGCATTTCTTTGGAAATGCAATTTCTTTTGAAAAAAGTTTTCTTCTGAAAGATAAGGGAACTTCCAGGGAGAGCCTCTCCCTGTGTTTGGGGGTTGCGAGGACAGAAGAAGTTTAGAAAGTCCTTTATTCTGAGGCAACTTCTAAGCGTTTCCAAGTTTCTTTAATTCAGAAGTGCTCAGCACACCCCAAAGCCCCATACTTTGAGGTATCGTTCTCTGAGCCCTAACATTACAAACAGAAATGAAAGGTAATAGAGAGAGTCCACCACTGGGGGACTTTGCAGGGTTGGAAAACACTACTTCTTCTACATTCCAAACAGAGATGTGACTTTCAAAGGCTTTGAGCAAGGAAGCACCAGTACAAAGTGACTTTCACTTAGGAAAAGATCAGATTACATATGTTTCAGATAGCACCTATTATTTCAGATAGCCTCAAAGTAACGGCCATTAAATTGAAAAAGAAAAATTTAGTCAAAAAAGCAGAGAAATAGGCAGCTTTTAGAACTATGCCTCCAGAATAAATACTATTGATGCTTCAGTATTTAAAGGTAGGTGATATTCATCTACCTTTTTTGAGTGTTCCCATTACCTGAAGTTTCACTGTGCTTCTGTTTTCAACAGCTGGGATCTGCAACTCTTTTTCACAGGACTGTCCTTAGGCTTTTGGAACTACTTTGCATGCTTTCACAAGGACTGGAAGTCCCTGGGAAATTATATCCCTCAAGGGCAGTTCTTAACCAATGACTGATAAATGCAGGAGTATGGAAGCTTTAGCTCCCCCTGTCTTGGGTAGGAACAATTTAGACAAATAACTTACACTCCAGAATTTCCCTGTAGGATCAAGCTGAATATACCCTCTGTAGGGTTTTACCTACAGCTGTATCCTTGGCTTGTGGGCAAGTTAAACTACTATTTATTCCAGTTCCACAGCCACCCTTCTTGCTTTGTGATGCTGGGAGCTAGGACTCTACAAAACAAATTTGTGCCTTGCCAGTTGCTGGTAGGCTCTGCCAATAGGGGGAACTAAAGAGGGACTGGAAGACTGGAGGAAGAAGAAGGGCTTTGCTCCTTCCTGTTTGCCTGTTTTTTCTTCCTGTCTTCATGAATCCAGCAACTTTTCATCACTCCAGCAGTGACCATTCAATCCTGTAACAGAGGCTCCTAGCACCATATATTGAATTAGGGTATCCTTTCCTTAGTGTGTATTTTTGTTGACTTTGTCAAAGGTCAATTGGTGGTAGGTATGTGGCTTTATTTCTGGGCTCTCTATACTGTTCCATTGATCTATGTGTCTGTTTTTACATTACCATGCTGTTTTGGTTACTATAACCTCATAGTATATTTTGACATCAGATAATGTGATGCCTCCAGCTTTGCTCTTTTTGCTTGGAGCTTTGGCTCTTCAGGATTTTTTTTTTTTAATTCCATAATTTTTTTTTTTTTCTTGAGACAGAGTCCAAGTCTGTCACCCAGGCTGGAGTGCAGTGGCACAATCACAGCTCACTGCAGCCTCAACATCCAGGACTCAAGTGATCCTTCCACCTCAGCTTCCCAAGTAGCTGCACTACAGACACATGCCACCACACTCAGCTAAGTTTTTTCAAATTCTTTCTAGAGGTGGGTTCTCGCTATGTTGCCCAGGCTGTTCTCAAACTCCTGGGATCAAGCAATCTGCACCTCGACCTCCCAAACTGTTGGGATTATAGGCATGAGCTACCATGCCTGGCATTGGTTCTATAAGAATTTGAAGATTGTTTTTTCTAATTCTGTGAAAAATGACATTAGTAATTTGATGAGTTGCATTGAATTCATAGATTGCTTTAGGCAGTATGGTCATTTTAGTGATACTGTTTCTTCCAATCCATGGGTTGTTTTTCTATTTGTGTCATATACAATTTCCTTCACCAATGTTTTATAATTCTTGTGGAGATATTTCACCTCCTTGGTTAAATGTATTCCTAGGTATCTTATGTTTTTTTCTTTTGCAGCTATTGTAAATGGGATTGAGTTCTTGATTCGGTTCTCAGCTTGATTGTTATTGGTGTATAGAAATGCTACTGATTTTTGTATGTTGATTTTACATCTTGAAACTTTACTGAAGTCGTTTGTCAAATCTAGCAGTCTTTTGGAGGAGTCTTTAGGAGTTTCTAAATATAAGGTCATGTTATCAGCAAACAAAGATAATTTGACTTTCTCTTTTCCAATTCAGATGCCTTTTATTTCTTTCTCTTGGCTGATTGGACTAGCTAGTATTTCCAGTACTATATTGAATAGGAGTGGTGAAAGTGGGCATCCTCGTGTGTTCCAGTTCTTAAGAGGAATGCTTTTAACTTTTCAGTAAAATGTTGGCTGTGGGTTTTCATATGTGGCTTTTATTATTTTGAAATATGTTCCCTCTGTGCTCACAACGTTACAACATTTTTATTGTCTTTTACAAAAGTAATGGTCTGCAGTGGATTGGAATTTTTTTTAATTGGTCCTTTCTGACAGATAGTTTGAGAAGCTCCATTTTTTTTTTTTTTTTTTTTGAGATGTATTTTTGCTCTTGTCACCCAGGCTGGAGTGCAATGGCGCAATCTCGGCTCAGTGCAACCTCCGCCTCCCGGGTTCAAGCAATTCTCCTTCCTCAGCCTCCCGAGTACCTGAGATTACAGGTGTGTGCCACCACACCCGGCTAACTTTTGTATTTTTAGTAGAGACGGGGTTTCACCATGTTCGCCAGGCTGGTCTCAAACTCCTGACCTCAGGTAATCCACCGGATTTGGTCTCCCAAAGTGCTGGGATTACAGGCATGAGCCACTGCGCCCAGGTGGAGAAGCTCCATTCTAACATTACTTCTAGCCTGACCCCTAAAACTTGTTAACATTCTCCCAGCTTTTTTTGTTCTTGGGTCAGTCAGATGCAGAGGATCGACCAGAGTATTCTGAGCTCTAGAAGACATGGGAGCTACTGCAAAGAAGTAACCTGAGGTTTCTGAACGGTTGATGGAATAGAAATATCTCCCCCACCAAAATCAGAGGATTGCTCTGAACCATGAGGTGCATAGAAAATAAACCTTATTATCTTAAGCCAGTAAGAATTTTTGGTAATTTGTTTTAGTACCTAGTGTTAGTTATCCAAATACAATGTCATTGAATTTTCCTGTGATACTGACTTTTATCTATGTGGCCATGATTTCTGAATTTATACTTTCAAACCACATCCCTCTCCAAAGCATCAGAGCCATATATCTTATCACAAACTTGAAAACTCCTTGTAACTATCCCACAGGACCTAAAAGCTCAACATTTCTAGAACTAATTATGCTTCTTTCTCTTTTTCTTTCTGTATTCCATTTTGTTGAATCATGTCACCACTCCTTCAGTTATCCAACTCTGAAAACTGAGAGTAAACCTCATCTTCTCTTTCTCTAACCCACTATAACCAAGTGACCCTGTACCATGTTCTGAAGCGTCTACCTTCTTTGTATTTCCCCAACACTTACTTTACTCTCAATTCCTAGTTATTCTATAATATCTCGCTTGAATTACTACAAAAATATTTTATTGTATATTCTTGCAATTAATTCCTTCCAGTGTCACAGGAACAACTTTTCAGAAAGCAAATATAAGTGTGTAATATCCATACTTCAAATATATATTAACCATTTTCATAGTCCTTGAGATAAACTTCATACATAAAATTACATACATGGTGCGTTAGACACTATGGATTGCCCACTTTAATGTCCCTCCATTCTCCTAATAGGAGATGATGGAAATCTAAAAAAAATTAAAATAAAAAAATAAACAAACAAAAAAACCCTAAATTCCCCATACAGTAGTGCCACCGGAGCACCAGATGTAGTAGATTCTGCCAATTTGATGTGCTACCACCAGGTTTGGAAGATAAAAATGAGGTAGAAGTGATATTCTGTTGTTGTTGCTATTGGCAAGCAAAGTTATGAAGATGTTGGTGTTAAGAGGCAATTACAGTAGTTAAACTTGGAGTCCTGATATCCATTCACCAGCTTCATGGATGTAAGAGGCAACTGATGCAGCCTCAATGGTAACAGCAGCAGTGGCTTCCTGAATCCTAGATCTCAGCTATGAAGTTATAGCAGCCCCTTGATTTCTATTCTTCCATCTTTTCTGCCAATGTTATATTTCCCCGAATTAAATACTTTTCTATATGAAATACCTATTTTCTCTTTCTCCTACATTATAACTTGACCAATTAACATTACATAACATACAAGGCTTGGCCAGGCACCATGGCTCACATCTGTAATCCTAACACTTTGGGAGGCCGAGGCGGGTGGATCACCTGATGTCAAGAGTTCGAAACCAGCCTGGGCAACATGGTGAAACCTCGTCTCTACTAAAAATACAAAAATTAGCTGGGCATGGTGGTGGGTGCCTGTAATCCCAGCTACTCAGGAGGCTGATGCAGGAGAATCACTTGAACCCAGGAGGCAGAGTTTTCAGTGGGCCAAGATTGCACCATTGTACTCCAGCCTGGGCCACAGAGCAAACACTCCGTCTCAAAAAAACAAAAAGTGGCTTTCATGATGTATCTCCTATTTCTTTCACCAACAATTTCATGACACTTTTCCATGACCGCTCCGTACACATCCATCCCCATACGTTGTATTTAAGCTGTGCTAAACTATTGCACATCCACAAGTGTGCCATTTTCTCATGACTCTTTCTATTTCAAAGGCCATTTTTACCCTTTGTCAACTCTCTAACTCCTCCTTATTCTTTAAGAGTCAACTTGAACCTAATCTATCTACTCTGGGAAGATTTTCCTGATACCTCTGCCTCCATCTGTGTGCTTGTAATGGAAATTCCTCATTCTTACTTTTTGCCACACGGCATCTGAGTCCCCTACCTATGTTTGAGATGTTGCTATTATGAGATGGAGGCTTCCGTCTCTTTAAAAACTGAAAAAGCCAAATGCTTGCTTTCCCACATCCCTTGTAATCAGGGCGTGCATGTGATCTAGGATCTGCCAATCAAATATATATGTCCCAGATTTTGAATTAGAAGCTAATGGCATGAAAAAGAGCATTTTTTTGCAGAACTCTGACAATGTATAGCAACAAAGAAGGCAGCTAAAATCAATTTTTAGAGGCAATAGTGCCAGTAGTTATAGCAACAGAGTTGTATTAGTGGTGTGGGTAGTTATAGTGGGAGTGTCTGTGCTACTGGCAATAACAGTGGTGTCCTCTCCAGCCTAGTTTTGTGTGATTTTGGAAGTTGTACCTGGTTGCATAGTCTCTGGGACTGGTTTTTAGACCTTTCAAGAGACTTTATGTACTAACCAATAGCTCCTTAATAAATTCCTTTTCTGCTTAAATACTCCAAAATCTGTTTCTACTGGTTATAACCAAGAGCTTTGAGTTATATAATCCCGCTCTGCTTTTTCCAATTGCACTGTGTATGTGTGAGTTTGGATTATTGTTCAGCAAATATTTGCTCCTATAGACTCCAATTATAGTTTCTTTCCTGCCCTATTGACATTAGTCTTGATCATATGTTTTGGGTTTTGGCCAATGGGATGTCAGCATCTGTAATTCAGTGGTTTGACATATGCTGTGTGCTTGAGCTTGCCCTCCTATTCCAGTTATGAGAAGAGTATTTCCCTGGTTGCTGCTGATTATTCAGCCTAGTCCCTGAGTGAGACACATGGAACAGACCACATACCCCAGGCACCTTCTGGTCCAAAGACGAGGAACATATGGAGCTGACCTAAACCCAAGCTGTATCCTGGAGCCCAAAACCCAGGGGTTGGAGTCTTACCTATCTAGCCCACAGACTTATGACCTAGAGAATACAATTGCTATTTTAAATCACTGCATTCTTATGCAGTATTGTGTCCATAGCTGACTAATACAGTATGTAATTATTATTAATAGTTACAGCCATAGCCAGCCTGTATTATAATTATTGGTTTATTGGTCTGTTGCTCTCTACTAGACTGTAAGTTTGTTGTGAGTGGAGACTGTGTCTTATTGGTCTTTACATTTTAATGCTTATTACAAAACCTACACCAAGACTCCGTGAATGTTTGACAAATGCATAAACAAATGAAGGAATAAATGGCAAGCATTCTTTGCATTTTTCGATCTATTGCACCACTATAGGAGCCGTGTAGGACAATATGTCTGTATTAAAATATTTCTTCTGCTGCCAAAGTATGGTAAAATTGATTAGATTGAGGTGGATTGAATTATAGCATAGCAATACATTCATCTTTTCCTGAGACTATTCTCTTTTTATCTTGTGTGAAGTTTTGGGCACTCCTCAATCAGGTAAAAACACAGGACCAGCTCATAATAAATATGCTCAATGAATTTCATTTTAACTTGCTTTCCAGAATTCCTTAGTTACTGATTTACACACAGACCCTTCTGCTTCTTTATAGATAGTTGGTTACTTCTATTATGTACAGAGTCTACTAGTTTTACTCTCAAATATTAGATTAATTTCTTTGCTATCAATTTGGGCTTATCTTTAGTATCTCATTATTGCTTTCATGTACCAAATACCTAACCCATAGCTGAGACATAATAAAAGTTTGTTAAATCAATTTGGCATTTGTTATATTAATAGTCTCCAGAGTATGTAAAATTTTGATGCAATCATTTTGACTAGGGTACATTTTGGTACAGACTAAAATAGAAACTCTTATACTTTTTTTTTCTTATTTTGTCATAATGTGCAAAATGACTGTTTTCAGCCCATTCCTGAGCCTCCTGCAATTACTGACATCCTCAGCTAGGGTGAAGATCAGAAATGTGATGAAGCTCAGGAATGAAGTGAGTATAAGGAATGAGGTATAAACAATAAAAATTAATTTATATTTTGTCATAACCGTGGCCATTTTGATGAGTCTGTAACTACAGCAAAGTGACTATGTCAGAAACAGAATTGAAAGCTATGCGTACATCCTGTCTCCCTACGTTTAAGCCCTAAAGCAGTAGTAGTAAGGTACTGGACCATAAATAGATATGTTGTCTATAATGCAGAAAGTCAATCAATTTCTTGGGAAAGCAAAACTGCTTGAATTAAAACCAGAAAATAATTTCTCTATTGGGTCATTACAGGCAAGATTCTATGTATGGTATGTCTTAATCCAGAGGTAGATTTTCTTGTATCCAGAAAAATGAATGAATTGCAAATCCTTCCAATGGCCCTCTTTCAGCTGAGCTTTTAAAATACAGTGAACAGCTCTGAATTTGAGATTAACTCTCCTGAGAAATACCTAGAAAACATCTATTCATCGTCACTAATTAAGTACAGAGCCTTATGTTTTAATAATTAGCAGAGCTGGGGGGGTAGCATTGACATTTTCTGGCAAAGATTAAAACATAAAAAAAGCTACATGGATAGAAAGTCACTCCACCTGGTACTTGGAGTTGTGCCAAAGAAATAAAGTACTAGGAATAAGGATGAGATTGTCTTCAGAAAGTAATGTGTGTCCCCTCTGAATTACAGACAAATGAGTTACTGATGTTTCAGAGTTCCACATCATAAAACATGGCAGCAATAATTTTAGTATGGAAAATGTTAAATACCATTACCACCCTTTAACAATAAAATTTGTATACTAAAATATCTGTAGAGCATCAAGATGTTAATTTCTTATTATAGAATGGCCCACCTGAAACTTGCCTGCTTTTTGAACTTAATATTGGCCCAAGATGGCTACAGTTGAAATTTATCAAGTATGAAAGTGGAATTTTAAATGACATATTAAATAAGCAACACATAAATGAAGCTTCAAATTTGTAGATGATGAGTGGAATAGTGTTTTTAAAATGGAATAGCCTGTGTTGCAAACATTTGAGATCTATAGTGAGATGGACAAGTCATCTGAAATGAGTTTCTTCATTAGTTCTGGAACATCCCTAGTCATTATTTCTTAAAGTGTTTCCTCTGCTCCTTTCTCTCCTTCCTCTTCTTTTATAACTCTGATTTAAAAATGTTAGATTCCCCCACTCTCCTCCATGTCTCCTAACTTTTCTTATATATTTTCTTTTTTGTCTATTTATGCTACATTCTGCATAATTTCTTAATATATATGTCTTCTAATTTGCTGTTATATTTATCCACTGATTTTTTTTTAGGAGACAGAGTCTCACTACGTTGCCCAGACTGGACTCAAGCTCTAGGGCTCAGGCAATCCTCCCACCTCAGCCTCCCAAATAGCTGAGATTACAGGCACATACCACCAAGCCCAGCCTGTCCACTGATTTTTAATTTTTTCATTTTTTATATTTATTTCTATACAATACCATTGGTTCTTTTCAAATGTGGTCACTTGTTAGAGTATTTTGATGTTTTAAATTGTAAATAGGCTCTGTCTGATAATTCATGTATCTGCTAAATTTCGTGTGTATATTTTTTCTCATGAGATCTTTTCTGTTTGTGTGTGTGTATGTGCATGTGCACATGTGTGTTTTACTGTACACTGATTAGTGTCCCTAAAATATTATGTAAAGGAATTCTTCGAGGCCTAGGATGAAGGTTACCTTCTTTCAGTGAGGATTTTCCTCTACCAGTCAGAACCACATTATCCAACTTCATGGTTTCATGTTCCCTGACTATCCAAACCAGCTCTGTAATTCTTGGTGGGGCACAACTTTTCAGGGAGGAGTTCTCTCCTTTTCTTTTTTCATCTGTTCTTCTCAGTGTTAAGGCAACATTCACCTCTACCCCTGGGAGTATGGGAGTGTAGTATAACTATCTGAGATTGGGTAATTTATAAAGGAAAGAAATGTTTTTTGCTTTTTGTTTTTTTTTGAGACAGAGTCTTGCTCTGTCACCCAGGCTGGAGTGCAGTGGCGTGATCTCGGCTCACTGCAACCTTCACCTCCTGGGTTCAAGCGATTCTCCTGCCTCAGCCTCCCAAGTAGCTAGGACTATAGGCTCCTGCCACCATGCCCAGCTAATTTTTGTATTTTTAGTAGAGACAGAGTTTTACTATGTTGGTCAGGCTGGTCTCGAACTCCTGACCTCGTGATCTGCCCTCCTCGGACTCCCAAAGTGCTGGGATTACAGGCATGAGCCACCGCACCCAGCCAGAATTGTACGGAGGCTGGGAAGTCCGAGATTGAGGGACTGCATCTGGTGAGGGCCTTTTTGCTGGTTGGGACTCTTTGCAGAGTCCTCAGGCACTATAGGGTATCACATGGTAAAGGGGTTTATGATAGGTGGCCCTACTGGCTTTTTAAAATAACAGATCTACTCTAGTGATAACTAACTCATTCCCAAGATAACTCATTAATTTATTAATCTGTTAACCTACTAACGCATTAATCCATGAATGGACTAATACATTCAGGAGGGCTCTGCCTGTTAAAGGCCCACTTCTTAAAAGTGTTTCCTTGAGGATTAAGTTTCAACATGAGTTGAAACCATAGCAGTATATTTCAGGTTTTCTTTTACTCTGAGGGTGACACCCCTTTGGGGTGCTAGCTCAGTTAGGGAGGGGTCATCTTGTAGGATCCCCTCCTTGGATAGGCCCTGGGTACATCTGCTAAAACCAAGGTTCAAATCTGTCCAGATCAACAAGTTCCCTCAGAGAAAAGGCATCTTCAGTGCATTCGTGCTCAGCTTATCTCTCCAGATTCCAGTGTTTTCTTAGATTTTGGCCCGTAATTCCTTACTACCTTGACAGTTCTACAATGCTTCTGAGAAAAAAATTAATATTTTTTCCAACATTTTTAGTTTTTTCAGCAGGAGGATTCAGAATAGAAATAAAATACATAACTTTAAAATGAAGAGAGGAGATAAAAGGGAATGAAGAAAAATTGATCACGGAAGACAAAAAAGAAACACAAACTAAAAGCATGGTAAATAAAAAAAAAAACTAAAATAGAAATGAATCCAAGTTGCAAAATGATTCATTCAGTATGATACCATTTATATAAAATTTGTTAAAACATAAAATAAAATCACATAGAATGTATTAAAATATTCATGATAATGAACATACCAACTTCAGTAGAAATGCTAGTTCAACAGAAAGGAAAGGATGAAAGGGAAGAAATGGAGAACTTTATTGTATTCATTTTGTTTATCTAAAAGGAGAGAGTGAGGCTGGGTGTGGTGGCTCAGGCCTGTAATCCCAGCATTTTGGGAGGCCAAGGCAGGTGGATCACTTGAGCTTATGGGTTCAAAACCAGCCTGGGCAACATGGCAAAACCCCATCTCTACCAAAAATACAAAAAATTAGCCAGGCATGGTGGCACGTGCCTGTAGTCCCAGCTACTCAGGAGACTGAGGTGGGAAGATTGCTTAAGCCTGGGAGATGGAGGCTGCAGTGAGCAGTGATCATCCCACTGCACTCTAGCCTGGGTGACAGAGTGAGACCCTATCTTGGAAAAAAAAAGAAAGAGAGAGAGAGTGAGCTGAAGCAAATATGGCAAAATGCTAATGTCTGTAAATACTGGTAGTGGGTACATACGTGTCTGTTACATTATTGTTTGTATTTTTCAGTATGTTTGAAATGTTTCCTAATTTAAAATATTTTAAATAAAACTTGATTCAGTGTGTTAAAAGTTTAAAGGAGAAAGTCATATGATCAACTTAGTAGATGCCAAAATTATTTAATAAAATTCAACATCCATCCCTAAGGGGATTGGGAAGCAACCTTAGTAAAATAGCAATCGAATGAATGTTCTGTATAATTTTTATTGGCTCTGGAGAAATGCTAAGAGAGCACTAGGAGATTCAGACTTCAACTTTTCCATTTTAAACAAACTTGTGAAAACAAAGTTGTGAAACTCTTGGCAAATACAATAGTTCAAGAGAAGGAGCAGAATGGCTAAGTTACATGCAAGTCCAGGACTAGGGTGAAACCAGAGAAGAACCTAGGATGCAATTTAAAGGAGACAGTCTCCTCAGTCATCTCACTCCAGTCCTGGGCCACATGGCAGGTGTTATGTTTAACTTTTTAAGAAACTGCTGCATCCTTACCAATACTTAGTATGATCAATCTTTTTAAATTTTAGACATTCTAATAAATGCATATATGGCTTAAAATTTTGCTTGTTCCTAATGACTAATGATACTGAGCATTTTTTCATGTATTTATTTGCCATCCATATATCTTCTTTGGTAAAGTGTGTGTTCAAATGTTTTACCCATTTTTTATTGGATATTTTTAAATATTTAGATTTTGAGAAATCTCTATATATTATGAATACAAGTCTTTTATCTAATATATGACTTGAAATTATTATTTCTGGTCTGTGGCTTGTCTTTTCTTTCTCAGAACGGTGTCTTTCAAAGAGCAAAAGCCCTTAACTTTTTGGTATAATTTATCATATTTTTTAATGACTCACACTTTGGGTGATGATGTGTCTTTACATAAGCCAAAATCACAAATATTTTCTCCTGCTTTCTTCTAGAAATATTATAGTTTTAGGTTTTAGATGTAAGTCTATGATCTATTTTGAATGAATTTTTGAATATGTTTGTATATGGTGCAAGATATGAATTGAGGATATTTATTTATATACTTATTGAATATGGATATCCAATTATTCCAGAATCATTTGCTGATAACCTTTCTCCATTGCAATGCCTTTGAATCTTTGTCAAAAATCAATTGATCATATATATGTAGGTCCATTTGTGGATTCTCCACTCTGTGTGGTTGATCTGTCTGTCTATATTTTTACCAATATCATACTCTCCTGATTAAAATAGCTTTATTTATCATACTCTGTTGACTAAAATAGCTTTACTAAAAGTTTTGAAATCAGGTAGTGTTGGCCTTCCAATTTTTTTCTTTTTTGCAAAGTTGTTCTGGCTCTTCTAGGTCCAGGGTATTTTCATATGAATGAAAAAATCAGACTGTTAATTTGGTCAATAAAAGTCTGCTGGGATTTTGAATGAGATTACATGGAATCTATAGATCAATTTGGGAGACAATTGGCATCTTAACAACATTGAGCTTTCATTTCCATAAATGTGGTTTATTTTTTCCTTTATTTGGGTCATTAATTTCTAGTAGCAATATTTTAGTCTTTTTAGTGGACAGGTCTTACCCATGCAATGTCAGATTTTTTTATATGTATTTCATGTTTTCGATGCCACTGTAAATAGTAATTTCTTAAATTTCAGTTTCAATTGTTTGTTGCTAATATGTAGAAATAAAATTGTTTTTTTAAAAAAATTTACCTTGTAACCTGTAACCTTGCTAAAGTCACTTACTAGCTCTACCAGCTTTTTTGTAGAGTCCATGGGATATTCTACATACATGATCATATGGTCTGCAAATACAGTTTTAGTTTTTCCTTCCCAATATGGATGCCTTTCTTTCATTTTTTTACATTATTGTACTAATGGTGAATAGAAGCAGTGACCGTGTACATTTTTCTTTTTTCTTTTTTTTTTTTTTTTTTTGACATGGAGTCTAGCACTGTCGCCCAGGCTGGAGTGCAGTGGTGCAATCTTGGCTCACTGCAACCTCCCTCTCCCAGGTTCAAGTGATTCTCCTGCCTCAGCCTCCCGAGCAGCTCGGATTACAGGTGCCCGCCACCACACCCAGCTAATTTTTTGTATTTTTTTAGTAGAGACGGGGTTTCACCATGTTGGCCAGGCTGGTCTTGAACTCCTGACCTCGTGATTCACCCACTTCGGCCTCACAAAGTGCTGGGATTACAGGCGTGAGCCACTTTGCCTGGTGACAGTGTACATTCTTCTATGGCTTCTGATCTCAGAAGATAGAAACAAAACATTTAGCTTTTTATCTATAGGGTTTTTTGTCAATGTCCTTTATCAGGATGAGTAGATTTCCTTCTATTTCTCATTTGCTGAGAGTTTTTATCATGAGTGGATGCTAGATTTTGTCAAATGTTCTTATTGCAACTATTGAGATTATCATTTTTTCTTTTTTAGTCTGTCAAAATAGTGAATTACATTGACTGATTTTCAAATGTTAAGTCAGCCTGGTATTCCTGAGATAGACCTTTTTTGGTTCTTTTTATATACTGTTGGATTTGATTTGTTAAATTTTTAAAAATATGTTTACATCAAACTTTATGAGGGGGATTGGTCTGTGGTTTTCCTTTCTTAATAATATCTTTGACTGATTTTGGGGATCACGGTAATTCCGGCCTCACAGAATGAGTTGGAAGTAGTTCCTCCTGTTTAATTTTTTAGAAGTGTTTATGTGGAACTGGTATTATTTTCTACCCCAAATATTTGGTAGAATTCACCAATGAAGGCATCTGGGCCTGGATATTTTTTTGTGGGTAAGTTTTTAAATACAAATTCAATCTTTTAATAGATATGTAGATATTTGTGTTATCTATTTCTTCTTGGATAAGCTTTGGCAGCTCATTTCTTCTTATTACTGAATACCTCATTGCATGGATGTACCACAATTTATTTATTCACCTACTGAAGGACATCTTGGTTGCTTCCAGTTTTTTGCAATTACGAAGAAAGCTGCTATAAACATTCATATGTGGGTTTTTGTGTGGACACAAGTTTTTAAATCATTTGGATAAATACCTAGGGCACTAAGAGGCTGATTTACTTGCCCAAGGCCATATAATTATGGAGCAACACAGACAGAACTTGAACTTGAACAACCTGACCCAGAGTTTATACACCTAACCACTATGCAAAACTGCCTTTCAACATTTGATACAAGTCAGGCAAACTCACTAAAGGAAGAGTCTGCAAATGAGGGGGCTTGAGTCAGATCTTGGATGAAGACTAACAGTTGATAAATAGAAGTAGAAAGAAACTTTCAATGTAGGGTATGGTGAAATGCTACTTAGAAAAGCATAGTGTGGGATAATGGTGATGGTTGCACAACAATGGGAATGTACTATTAAGTTATTCCACTGAATTATAAACTTAAAAATAGTTAAAATGATAAATGTCATTATGTGTATTTTACCGTAGTTTTCTAAAAAGTGTGTATGTTGGGTTTTGGGTGCAGGAGTAAATTATTCTGATTAAAGTTTTATTAGGGAAACAAAAGGAGATGAATATGTAAATTTAGAATAAAATCAGTATGAACTGTTAATTATATTCTACAGTCTAGGAGAATCTGAAAATTTTGCAAGGTGGAATGGACATGAAATCTACAATTTCAAAGTGTTAACCTGTGCTATATAAAAAATGTATAGAAGTCTCATACAACATAGATTATGACAAGGGACAAGGCTGGAGAGAACAGGTTCTCTGTTGTTAAGAGAATGAACTCAATTCAATCTAGATGCATTTATATATGCATTATTTCATTTCCTCTAACAACAGCTTTATAAGGTGGATATTACTGTCTGTTATCTATTTCTTCTTGGATAAGCTTTGGCAGTTTGTATCTTTCAAGGAATCTGTCCATTTCATCTAAGTTGTCAGATTTATTGGCATAAAGTTGTTCACAATATTCTTTTTATCCTTTTAATATCTGACTAATATCTTTTTAATATCTTGACTAATCTATAGTCAAGGAAGCTAAGACTTATGCACATTTGTATTACGTAAAAGTGCAGTAATTAAAAACCAGATCTCTTAATTTCAAATCCAGTGGGATTCAAAATGGGTAGCTGAAATTGAAATAACATGGACTGAAGAATCATACAGACCTTTGAATCCTGGTTCTGTCTTATTAGCTATGTGGCTTTGAGAAGATTATTTAGCTTGTCTGAGCCTCAATTTTCTCATCTGCTAAAGTGTGATGAAAATAGCCATCTCCTATGAATTAAATTCTACATACATAAAGTGCTAAGTACATAGCACCCAAGAAGTGTTCAATAATTGTTAATCCACTTTCTTCCTCCTAAATCTCTGACGTTTATCTGACATTTATTTTGTAGAATATATGTGAATCAAGTTATTTGTTGATTGGTGATATTTAAAACTTCTTATTTGTAAATTTAGGCTTTCCTGCATTGACAAATGATAAATTTTCACACATTAATCTCTTTCTGGCTAGAAGAAAAGCACATTTTACTAATTAAAGGCAAAAAGTTCCAAAGAAAAATTATGAACATGGTTTGGAAACTCATGTACATATTTATTTAACACCATTTCATATCTTTAAGAAGGCTTTTGGAAACTTATTTAGAAAACTGAAAGTCCTTGAATACCAAGTAGTTTAACAGGAATTTTTTAATGAGTTAAGTGTAAATGAATCAAAAACACATGAATTCTATTTTCTGTAAATAACACATGGTTTTGAAACTGAAAACATACTTGGGAAAAAAATGTGTCCTGTGTATTATTAAATTAAAACTCTTTAAAAATGGTGCTCCCCAAAATGAGGCAAGCTTCATTTAAATTCTAGAGTGCTATGGGTTGAAGTTCTCTTGGAGAGATCACAGCATATTTTATATGTTTGATTTTGAGATAAGATTACTTTAGGATAGTGTCCAAGGCTCCATCTGATGAGATGTTTTAGGTATTTCCATTTTCACAAGGGGTAGAATTAATCTTTTTTTTTTCTGGACAAAAGAGAAAGCAATTGTGTTCATCAACATAAAATGTTCACATGGAAGTAACCCTAGGACCTCAGACATGAGAGTATTGGGGTGGGAATGAGTGGAGAAGTATTGGTGAAATGTAGCGCCACAATTTCCCAGGATGAATAATTTATTCTGTCAGAAAGGCAGGAGAACTAATCAGCTAAATTTTCATCAACATATTAAAGCTTTTCACTAACATTGCCAAGTAATATGTGTCTCCAAATATTTTAGATACACTGTGCCTATGATTTCCTCTCTCTCTCTCTTTCGCTCTCTAGCTCTGTCTCTGTTTTTATTAGAAGGAGACAGCTACCACATCTGGGATCCAGATGAGGCAATCATAATTTTAATATTACTGTTCTTCTGGTTGGAATCATCCAATTCCTTCCTCTGGTATTCAGAAGAATTTCCACTGATTTGAAGTAGGAGACATTGCCTTTTATTATTTGCTGTCCTTCTCTCCTTTCAGATGGTAAAACTGACTACATTTTGTTAAATGTACAAACTACATTTGTGGAAACTGACTGCATTTGTGAAATAAAAACATGCAGATAAAATTGCTTTGGAATAAAACATATGTTTGTGCAGTGAAATGGGCCCTAAGATATGACCAAACAGACATTGATTAAAAGGACCAGAGCACTGGCAGAAGAATAGACATACAGATCAATGAAATAGAATTGACAATCCAGAAATAGACCCTCACATTTACAGTCAACTGAGTTTTAACAAGTGTGCCAAGACAATTCAATGGGGAAAGAATAGTCTTTTTAAAAAAAAAAAATGGTGTTGGAACAATTGGATATCTACATGTGAAAGAATAAAGTTAGACCCCTACCTTATGCCATATACAAAATTTAAGTAAAAATGGATCAAAGATCTAAATGAATCAAAGACCAACTCAAATGAATCAAAGCTAAACTATAAAACTCTTAGAAGTAGAAGAAAACATAGGCATCTGCATGACCTGTAATTTAGCAATAGCTCTTAGATGTGATGCCAAAAGCACAAGCAACAAAAGAAAAAAATAATGTAGACCTAATCGATATTTAAAACTTTGTGCTTCAAAGCATACCATCCAGAAAGTGAAAAGACAATCCATAGAATGGGGGAAAAGTTTGCAAATCATATTTCTGATAAAGGACTTCTATCTAAAATAATAAAGAACTATTACAACTCAATAATAAAAAGACAAATAACCCAACTTAAAAATGGGCATAGGATTTGAATAGACATTTCTACAAAGAAGATATACAAATGGCCAATAGAACATAAAAAGGAAATCGATGCCATTAGTCATCAGGGAATTGCAAATCAAAACCACAAGATACTTTGTACCCACAAAAATTAAAAATAAAACATTTTTTAAAATGATAAAAAATTAAAATAAAAATTTAAAAAACCACAATATACTTCATTACTACTAGGATGGTGATAATAAGAAATGCAGATAATAAACAAGTTTTGACAAAGGTGTGGGGACATTAAAACTTTCATGCACTGCTTGTGGCAATGCAAAATGGTGCAGCTTCTTTGAAAAACAATTTGGTTATTCCTCAAAGTTTAAAGATACAGTTACTACAGGACCCATCAATTCCACCACTGGGTACTGTATATAACCAAGATAAAAGAAAACACATGTCTGCACAAACACTTAAACATGAATGTACATGGCAGCATTATTTTGATAGCCAAATGTGGAAAGACCCAAATGCCCATCAACTGATGAATGGATAAATAAAATGTGATAGATCCATACAATGGAATATTATTTGGCAATAAAAAGAAACGAAGTACCATTGTCCCTCAATATCTGCAAGCGATTGGTTCCAGTACCCCCTGAAGATACCAAAATCCATGGATGCTCAAGTTCTTTATATAAAATAGCGTAGTATTTGCATATAAGCTACACACATCCTCTCTTATACTTTAAATCATCTGTAGATTATTTATAATACAATGTAAATGCTATGTAAATAATTATACTGTATTTTTTATTTTTAGTATCTTTATTGTTATTTTTCCAACTATTTTCAATCTCCTATTGTTTTAATTCATACATGCGGAACCATGGATATGGTAGGCCCTCTATACTGATAGATGCTATAACATGAATGAACCTTGAAAACATTATGCTAAATAAATGAAGCCAGTCACAGAAGAACACATATTTTATGATTCCATTTACATGAAATGTCTAGAAGAGGCAAGCCCACAGAGCCAGAAAGTAGATTAACCATTGCTTACTTAGGAGCTGGGAGAGTGGAGAAAAATGGGGCAAGAGCAGTTGACTGCTAAAGGATATGGGCTTTCTTGTTGGAATGATGAAATATTCTAAAACTGATGGTGTTATAGATGCGTAACTTTGTGAATATACTAAAAACTATGGAATTGAACATTATAAATGGGTGAATTGTGAGGTGTATGAATACTATATCAGCAAGGATTTTACCAAAAAAGGGACCAGTAACAGTTGATAAATAGTAATGTGTGGGCCAGGCACGGTGGCTCAAGCCTGTAATCCCAGCACTTCGGGAGGCTAAAGGGGGCGAATCACTTAGGCCAGGAGTTTGAGAGCAGCCTGGCCAGCATGGTGAAACCCCGTCCCTACCAAAAATACAAAAATTAGCCGGGTCTGGTGGCAGGTGCCTGTAATCCCAGCTACTCGGGAGGCTGAGGCACAAGAATCGCTGGAACCCAGAAGGTGGAGATTGTGATAAGCCGAGAATGTACCACTACACTCCAGCCCAGGTGACAGAGAGAGACTCTGTCAAAAAAAAAAAAAGAAAAGAAAAGAAAAGAAGGAAAGAAGGAAGGAAGGAAGGAAGGAAGGTTAGTTATGTGATTTTTTAACCCTTAAAGTATTTTAGATAACTTACACTTGAACTACTATGTTGAACTTCAGGTTAAGAAGTAAGAGAAGGAGGATGAATGGTCTCTAACAGTATGAATATAATTCCTTTCTGTTTCTTCTATTTATTTTCTAGTCGTTTCTCAATGCACTTATTAAAATATAAAACTAACTTTAACACTGGTTATATAATAATTGATCTGACATATATTTCCTTCTACCTAGCATGTGTCATGCCTTGTTTTTGGTACTGGACATGCAGAAGTCAGAACAAACTCCCTGATGTCAGCTTATATTCTAGTGAGGAGACTAGAGTGGAGTTGGCAGAAAGGAAGTCCACTTTGAGGAAGTGATATTTGCACAGAGACCCGGATAATATGAAAGCTCTGGAGGAAGAGAGTATCAGGTAGAAGAGAATGCCGAAGAATAAAGGCCCCAAATTGGGAGGAAGCTTAGTAAATATTAGAGCAGTGGTTTTCCAACTTGAGCTAACACCAGCATCAACTGGAGGGCTTGTTAAAACAGACTGCTGGCTCCACACACAGAGCAACTGAATCAGTAGGTCTGGGATGGTGCCCAAAAATATGCATTTCTAGCAAGGTAATGCTGATCCTGATGGTCTGGGGAACCATGCTTTGAGGAGTACTGTCTTAGAGGAACAAGAGAAAAACTAGGTAAATTTGAGTAACAGAGAATGGTAGGCAGTAGTGTGCTGAAGGCAGCTTATACTAGCTCACGAGAGCTGAAACTGTACATCTCTTTCCAACCTTGCAATCAGTGATGTTACCTTGGTAGCTGATATCAGGCATGGTAGGAATACTCATACTTTGGAAATTGACAAATGCTACAAATCAAGGATCCTGCTGCTGGTGGTAGGGATGAGGTCAAAGAAGTAGGGAGATGCCAGAATTGGAAGTCTTATATTCTATAATGAGGAATGTGGATTTAAGTATAAGGATAATGGGAAGCCTTGAAGAGTTGTGAGCAAAGGAGAAACATTATCTGACTCCTGTTTTAAAAGGAATATCCTGGCTGCTAACCGGAATATAGATTATAGGGGACATGATTGTACCCACCAAGTTCAATCTCTCCTTCTTGGGTGCAATTAGCTGCTCAGCTAAAGCTACATTTCTCAGCCTTCCTTGCAGTTGCATGTGGGTATGTGCCTAAGTATAAGCCCTACAGGAATGGAATGTGAGTAAAATGATTTGTGAAATTTCTGAGTCACTGGATAAAGAATAAATTCCTTGCCCTGAATGTCTTTTCCCTTCCTGAAAGCCACAACTCAGACACAGCAGAGACCTTGTGTTGATATGCAAATGATGACAGTACCCAAGGAGATAAGAAGCAAGGACTCAGAAGGAGCCCTGGTCTTGGGGTTTTGAAGAGCAAAGCTCCCATCAACCTATCAACCTGTGAGAGATAAAGCAATGTATTTAAGCAATAAGCCATTGTATCATTGGGTCTCTGTTACCATAGCTTAATCTTACCCTAACAGCAGGAGAGGTTAGTAAAGGCAGGGACATGACTTAGGAGACCATTGTAATAAATCCATCAACAGATGATGGTGGCTTGAATTAGGTTCCATGCCAGCTGGGCCTATTTGCTCTCAGACCCATTCTTCTCCCTTCCTTTGCTCTGCTTAGCTAGCTGGTCCCTGCATTCTGCATTTTCCAGGTCCATTTCATCCGGCTTCTGGCTGGCTTTAGGCACTGTTTGGAGATGGAAGAGCCCAAATAAGAAGCAAGTTCATTTCTTTCTTTCCTTCTCTCTTTCTTCTCCTTCTCCTCCTCCTCCTTCTCCTTCTCCTTCGTCTTCTCCTTCTCCTTCTTTTTCTTCTTTGTCTTCTTCTTCGTCTTCTTCTTCCTCCTCTCTCTCTCTCTCTCTCTCTCATGTGTGTGTCCCAATCAAGCAGCACTGCTGGCAGGGACCCAATGACTCTTGCTTCTGCTATTCCCACTGTGGTTAATCTCTAGGTAACCTTGCCATCCCCTCTAGCTTCTCGCTTCTTGTATCATCGTGTAACTAATTCCGTGCATTAAATCTCCTCTGTTTTAAATAGTGTCTGTATTCTTGGTTTAGCCTGGACTGGTACAGAGGAGGTAATGGATTAGTGAGAAATATTGGAATAAGGACATATTTTGAAGGTGGA
The DNA here is from genome assembly GCF_000001405.40 of Homo sapiens. NCBI lineage: Eukaryota > Metazoa > Chordata > Mammalia > Primates > Hominidae > Homo > Homo sapiens. Next base: position 56,759,893 of record NC_000015.10, read on the forward strand.
AAAGACAGAATTGATGAGGCATTGGATATGTGGTATGAGGAAAGTGCTTAAAGCTCAAAACAGCCCATTTCCTTGCAACTTCCCCAATAAAGTGCTTCTCGGTCTTACCAGTCTCAGATTGCACCATCATTTACCTAGTAGCTCAAAACAAAAATCTGCAGCTTATACTTTATTCATTGTATTCTTCATCAAATCCATTTATAAAGCTTGATCCCAACTTTTGGGATATGTGGGAACTTGTCTGGAATTATAAGAATCCAGGTACACCTCATCATAACTTATCAAAAAGCTCAGACTGGAAACAGAGCCAAATTCAGACACTACTGATAGTTTCAAAAACTCCAGTGAACTTCACAAAGACTGTACTTTGAGAAAGAAACCAGATTCTGTATGTAGGCTAGACAGGCTGGCCACTGGACCATTGCCAAGACAACTTCAGGGGGTGTGGGGAAGTACAACAATCCAGGTTTTACTACATCAATTGGGAAACCAGAGCATTTTTAGGTAAGCTGAAACATGGGAGCTCAAACATGCTTGAAGGATCCTAAGAAAGTGGAAAGGGATTACCAGTTACAAGGCCTGAGGCTCAGAAAACATCTGTTTTCTTTTATTTGAGACTACTGAAGACAAAGATAATCTCTGGGAAAAGAAAGGCTTCCCAGTTTATTAGCTGTGTGACCTAGAACAATGTTGTTATCCTTCCAGGCTTTAGTTTGCTACTCTATTAGAAACAGGCAAAGCATTACCTACCTTGCAGGATTGTTGTATTAAATCATGTGATAGGCCTTCGAACATGGTGCATAGCATGCATTCATATTAATTTTTCTGTTCTTCCCTTCCTCTTCTCCCATGTGGATAACATTGTAGAATAGATTAACTATAACTTGCTGTGACTTAGTTTACTCTCAGTTAATAACTATTGATCTGCTACACATGTGGTCCCCAGAGCAAATGTAGGCTGTGGTTTGATTCACAATTAAGATAAAATGTTTTCACTGCAGAAATTCATTGCCGGCTTATTTAAGTTTGTGGAGAAAATGTTTGTGGGTAATAGAGTAGGGTGCAAAAGTTTTGGTAAGAAAGGCAAAACATTGTCATTATTTGTGTTACATGCAAGATTAGCAGTTGCAAATGTAAGGACCATGGCCTCATAAAGGGCTCCTCTTCAATGAACACTATTGTTTGATTCTCTTCACTTCCTTGTTTGTATTAAAAAGTGGCAATGACCTATTGCATACCGTAGGCAGTTTGTATTTAGTTGCTTCGTAATAAGTTTTCTTAATACATTTTGTAAACTTGATTTTAAAATATTCCTTATTTTAAAAATCGTAACTCCCAATTTATGAAGCCATTCTAGACAAAGTCTAATTGAAAAATATAACTCAGGATTATGAGGACAGAGTCAGTTTTGTTTTATTTATTCTATTTTTTGACATTTAAAAAATGTATCATAATAAACAGGCATTAATTTTTCTTCTGAAAAGAAATTAAGTTCCAAAATACCATAGTGCCTGTATTGATTACTTTAAATTCTCTCTGCTCAACAGTTGGCCTGCTCTTTCTCTGCTCTCAACAGTTGATAGCCAAATTGGAATAAAAAATTAAAATTACTGTACTAACTTCCCCACATAAGTGGGTATAATTGTTAATTTTATATGTCAACTTGGCTATCCATGCTATCCACATATTTGGATATTCACATATTTGGACATCTAGACTGGGGGGTCAAACACCAGTCTAGTTGCCACTTTGAATGTATTTTTAAGATGGCATTTAAATCAGTAGATTTTGAGTAAAGCACGTTACCTTTCATAATGTGGGTTGGCCTCATCCAGTCAGTTGAAGGCCTTAAGAGAAAAAGTGGATCCCAAGGAAGAGGGAATTCTGCCTTCAGTCTGCCTTTGGACTCAAGCTGCAACACCAACCCTTCCCTAGGTCTCCAGCCTGCCGGCCTGCCCTGCAGATTTCAGACTTGCCGGCCCCAACAACCACATCTGCCAGTTCCTTAAAATAAATCTCTCTCTCTCTCTCTCTCTCTCTCTCTCTCTCTCTCTCTCTGTATATCTATATTGATATTGGTCTTAATAGGTGTTTGTGACCGGAGCCTGTTGTAGGGTGGGGTGAGGGGGGAGGGATAGCATTAGGAGATATACCTAATGTAAATGACGAGTTAATGGGTGCAGCACACCAACATGGCACATGTATACATATGTAACAAACCTGCACGTTGTGCACATGTACCCTAGAACTTAAAGTATAATAATAAAAAAAAATAGGTGTGTGTGGGGGTGTGGGGCTGTGTATATCTGTATCGATATTGAGACCAATATCAATATAAATATGCACACACACACACACACACAAACACACACACACACACATCCTACTATTGATTTTGTTTCTCCAGAGAACCTGACTAGTAATACAGTGAGGAAACACTTAACTGGGCATTAAAGTAGCCAAAATACTTTGCTAGATAAAACATTTTTAGAGCTTGTAAGAATTCCTGTTGTATTGTTAAGTTTTCATTGATACTCCATATCAAAATGCCATCAGATTTTTTTCCCTATGACTGTTAGAAATGTGACTGATATAAGAATCTCACTTTCCTTTTTTCATTTTTTTAACGGATTAAGCTAGACATAATTCACATAACCATATAGGTCACCCATTTAAAGTATATAATTCCATGATTTTTAGTGTATTCACAGAGCTGTACGGCCATCACCACAATCAATTTTAGAACATTTTTATCACTCCAACAAGAAATCTCATATCCTTTAGCAGTCACTCCCATCCTGCTGCCCTCTGCCCAGCCCTAGGTAACCACTAAGCTATTTTCTGTCTCCCTAGATTTGCCTATTCTGACATTTTATATAAACTGAAGCATACAGTTCAGTAAGCAGTCTTTTATGACTGGCTTCTTTCACTTTACATAATGTTTTCAAGGTTCATCCATGTCATAGCATGTATTGGTATTACATTTCTCTTTCTTGCTAAATAATATTCCATTTATGGAGATACATATTTTATTTATCCACTCCAGTTGATGGATACTTGGATTGTTTATACCTTTTTGGCTATTATCATTTTCCTTTTTCTTGATCTTAGTACTAAAATGTAAAATGACTAAAAGGGAAGAAAAAAAAAAGTACTAGATCCTGGAAAAATTCTCAATTAAGTGAATGATCACTGAATAAATAAGTTATAAGAACACAATATTTATTATAGGCGCAATTTTTATTAACTAATCATTTCCAAAACCATAACTATTAATAAAATGGCTTGCAAAATATGTTCTTATTGCAAGTATTTGTGCCTAAGTGCTTCTGTTTATGAGACAAGAAATTCAAATAGCTGTCTTGGCAGTATCACTCCAGTTGTATAAGCCAAAGGATTAAGAGTACTTTTAAGAAGGAGTAACAATGTGTTCTGCTTGGCTTTGGAAATGATGGTAAATTTATACATAATGTATGGATGATTATATTATACCCATATGAGGCTGTCAATCAAAACAGGATTTCTGTCAGATGATAGTTTCCAATTCACAAAGCTTATTTTTTTACATTAGAATCTTTGCTGGATTCAGATCATATTGAACATCCACATTTCTCTGTCACTTTATTTTTAAAAATCCATTTCTAAAAATGAAATGACTGGATAATTATGACTTTGAGCAACAACTATCCATGCCAGCCTGGTACAGGAAAGCTTAATTCTAATCCTAACATCACTCTTCATATAAAATAAGAGCTGTTGATATTGCAAAATCCCAGGGTGGAGCTTCTTTTAATTTCCCTTAAACTAGCTGGTCTGGCCAGTATTCCTTCACAGGATATAAACAGAACAGTAGCTAAGCTTCCATAGAGCAGAGGTATGCTCTAGGAAGAACAATAAGGTCAACTGGACTTAGTGTGGAATGAAAGGCTTAAAAATTCCATAAAATAAGGAACGAATGTAGGCATTACTTATAGGCATTTTAAAAGTTTTTGCCTTCTCACCAGAAGTACTTACCTACCAAATTTTACATTTAGTTTCCCTACAGGTATGGTTATATAATTTTACTAATATAACTATTAGTAAAATAATGTGAGTAGCAACTTGACTTGCAAGCTACATCAGATTGTTAAGAGAGTAATGTTTATCTTGGATGTTTCTTAATTTCCATTTCCTCTGTTTCCTTTCTCAATGTTCCTTCCTCTAGAAACAGTTTTTTTAAAGTAATTTCCACAAAGATGTCAATGAAAACTTGCTTATTTTCAAAGAAATATAGGCATTTTAAAAGAGGCCCTAATAACACAAAACAGTAAATTATTACTGATGAGATTTCACATATTGTACATAGATCAGAGGTACATTTCAGGGCCTTCCTGAATGTGGGTCAGCAGGGTCTTCACAGTGGAGCAAGCCCCTGCTATACACTCATAGATGTTCAAGTTTTTGTTGTTGTTATTGTTGTTGTTTTGGTTTTGGTTTTTGGTGGTTTTTTTTTTTTTTTTTTTTTTTTTAATACCGAGTCTCACTCTGTCGCCCAGGCTACAATGCAGTGGCATGATCTTGGCTCACTATGACCTCTGCCTCCCAAGTTTAAGCAATTCCCTGAGTAGCTGGGATTACAGGCTTGCACCAACGCACCCAGCTAATTTTTGTATTTTTGGTAGAGACAGGGTTTCTCTATATTGGCCAAGCCGGTCTCGAACTCCTGACCTCAGGTGATCCGCCCACCTCGGCCTCCCAAAGTGCTGGGATTACAGGCGTGAGCTACAGTGCCCAGCTAAAGTCAAGTTTTTCGTATGCAAATATGTTTAGTTGGAAGAAAGTGGAGGGTCATTTTTTTTTTTTTTTGAGAGATGGGGTTCTTGCTATGTTGCTCAGGCTAGTCTCAAACTCCTGGACTCAAGCTATCCTCCTACCTCAGCCTCTGGATTCGCTGGGACTACAGGTATGCACCACCATGCCCAGCTGCAAGGGCTATGCTTAGATCACAATCACAGTATTGGCTAGTAACAGCTGTTTTCCTTCAAATCTGAAACTTGTAGGAAAGATGGAGTGATAGAAAATATATCGATGGTTATGACAATAGACTCAGAGAACATAAAGGTGTCGCATGCGACATACACAACTAGGAATAAGCCAGTGCCGGCCTCCTTTTGCGAGGCTGCTGCTTCTTGGTCTGCCCTCTCATCATCATGCTTGTGATTGCAATTGTCAGCTGGGTCTTCTTGGTTCAAATATAAATAATCTTACCTGAAATTTCTCTAACTTGAAGGTTTATAAAAACGATAATACATTTATTTGAGAATCACTTATCCTAAGCTATGGAAGAAGAATTAAATACAGATTTCCAGTTTGAATATAATGAAGTAAAAATTGGCATTTCCCCCTTTTGCTCTAGGAAATCACCCAAAAGAAGAATGAGAAACAGAAACACAAGCTAGGATGCATATGAAACTTTAAGCCACAAATAGGTAGAAGGGCTGCCAAAAGCAATGAAGAACAAACAGGATGTGGGAGGAAGCAGAAGGAGATGCCTGTAAATGCAAATCCCTGAGACAACTGGCACTACCCCAAGATGTGGAGTACTCCCAAGATGCAGAGCTCTAATCCTCATGTGTCCTAACAGGGGAGGTGGGGTGGTGACAGAAGCATCCATGACCATTTGATTCTGAGAAGTAGAGGTGGTAGGACTGAACAGACTCATGTGATAAAGCCATATTTTAAGAAACAATCTGTTGATGAGGCAGAGGATTGAAAAAAAGAGCCTGGTGTGAGTCGTAGAGCTGCCTATCTTTGTCAGTTGGGGAGAGGTAATAGTTAAATGGACTCTCACACTTTGCTGGGGTCCCTAAGGAGAGCTGCTAGCCTTGGACACGGCTCCAGCATCTCCATCATATGAACCATTTACAAGTAGCTAGTCAAGAAAAGCCCTTTCATCCAAAATGAGAAATCAAGAATAAACCATCCAGAATGAATGCACATATATATTCATTACATATATGCGTGTATATATACACACATTATATATATTTATTATATATGTGTATATATACATTATATATATTCATTTTATATGTGTGTATATGTATACATTATATATATGTATGATGAGAACACACCACGCACACACACACACGGAGAAAAGGAACAGAAAAAAATAAATATAGGTGAACTCTGATCACAGAAGTATTTCCATGGAGCAGATGAAAGTTTCGAGCAAATATTTTGCCATGGATTTAACAGTTAATGAAGAAATCTATGTATAAAATAAGAGCCCATATGTACATACAATGGAGTATTACTCAGCTTTAAAAAGGAAGGAAACTGGCCGGGCGCGGTGGCTCACGCCTGTAATCCCAGCACTTTGGGAGGCTGAGGCGGGCGGATCACGAGGTCAGGAGATCGAGACCATCCTGGCTAACATGGTGAAACCCCGTCTCTACTAAAAATACAAAAAAAATTAGCCGGGCGTGGTAGCGGGCGCCTGTAGTCCCAGCTACTCGGGAGGCTGAGGCAGGAGAATGGCGTGAACCCGGGAGGCGCAGCTTGCAGTGAGCCAAGACAGCGCCACTGCAGCCCAGCCTGGGCGAAAGAGCAAGACTCTGTCTCAAAAAAAAAAAAAAAAAAAAAAAAGGAAGGAAACTGACACATGCTACAATGTGGATGAATCTTGAAGACATTGTGCTGTGTGAAATAAACCAGCCACAAGAAATACAAATACTATATGATCCCACTTATATGAGATACCTGGAGATATGAGATACCTTATATGATATATCAAATTCATAGAGACAAAAAGTAAATTTGTGGTTACCAGGGGCTTTGGGGAAGGAAGAATGAGAATTAGCATTTAATGGGTACAGAGTTTCAACAGGAGGAGACCAAAAAGTTTTGAACATGGATAGCAATGATAGTTGCACAGCAGGGTGAATGTGCATAATGCCACAGAAATGTACACTTTAAAATGGTTAAAATCCTAAGTTTTATGCTATGTAATTTTACCAATGTTTTAAAAAGACAAGAACATACAGCAGATATACAAGACTCAGGAAGTAGCCGGGTGTGGTGGCACATGCCTGTGGTCCTAGCTACTCTGGAGGCTGAGGCAGGAGGATCGCTTCAGCCTAGAAGTTTGAGACTACAGCGAGCTATGATTGTGCCACTGCACTGCAGCCTGGGTGACAGAACAAGACTCTGTCTCTCAAAAAAAAAAAGACTCAGGAAAATGGAGAGACCAGGAAAGTGGCTTAAAAATAGAAATGGAGTCAAAATCAGAAGTAGCACAGTGGAGACTAGATACTGATGAGAATACAGAAAGAAACATAGAAGTTAGCAATAAGAAAAGCAAGCAAAATTAACGAAAGTAAATAGAATTTAAAACAATTAGAGATAGATAAAATGTAAATAAGTAGGGAAGACAGGCAAAGGAAATCCAATATACAGTTATTCAAAATCTCTATGTAATGAATTAGAAAAAGTATTTGAAATACTGTGGAAGAAAATGTTCATTTTGAAAGGGCATCTCAGGTCTCAGGAAAAATTGATGCATAATGGCCAACACTGAGACATATCCTAATACAACTGCTGAACTTTGAAGATAAAAAAATGAATCCTTTGAACAATCAGACAAAAACAATGAGTCATCTATGCAGGGTAAAAACAAAACAAGCTGACATAAGATGTCTCTACAGTAATATTCAATTCTAGAAGACAATAGGGAAATGCCCCAAAATCTTCATGAAAAAAAGTATGATCGCAAAATTTTATATCATCCAAATTATTATTCAAATGATAAAGGCAAAGAAATTTTTAATATCCATGAACTCTGTGGAAACAGTTGGAAAACATTTGCAATTCATATCACAAAGTCCCAACTTTTTTATCTATAAGAATTAAAAAAAAATAAAACTAGAGACAAACCAATAACCCAGAAGATAAATGAGCAAAGAATGTGAATGGTTTACATGAAAGGAAATAAAAAGGACTCTCAAATATATATGAAAAGATGCTCAATTGCATTCATAGTGAGAAATGCAAATTAAAATTAAACTGGCCAGATCCAGTGGCTCAAACCTGTAATCCCAGCACTTTGGGAGGCCCAGGAGGGTGGATCACCTGAGGTCAGGAGTTTGAGACCAGCGTGGACAACATGGTGAAAACCCATCTGTACTAAAAGTACAAAAATTAGCCAGGCGTGGTGGTGGGCACCTGTAATCCCAGCTACTCGGGAGGCTGAGGCAGGAGAATCACTTGAACTTGGAAGGCGGAGGCTGCAGTGAGCCAAGATCATGCCACTGCACTCCAGCCTGGGCAACAGAGTAAGACTCCATCTCAAAAAATAAAAATAAAAATAAAATAAACTGAAATATTACAATTAACCCATCAAATTGGAAAACATAACAAAGCTTGGCAACACTGCATAAATAAGAGTGTGTGAGAGAGGCATTTTGTTTGTTTGTTTGTTTGAGACGGAGTCTGGCTCTCTTACCCAGGCTGGAGTGCAGTGGCGGGATCTCGGCTCACTGCAAGCTCTGCCTCCTGGGTTCACGCCATTCTCCTGCCTCAGCCTCCCGAGTAGCTGGGACTACAGGCGCCCGCCACCACGCCCGGCTAATTTTTTGTATTTTTAGTAGAGACGGGGTTTCACCACGTTAGCCAGGATGATCTCGATCTCCTGATCGCGTGATCCACCTTCCTCGGCCTCCCAAAGTGCTGGGATTACAGGCGTGAGCCACCGCACCCAGCCAAAAGAGGCATTTTCATATATTGCTGTTAGAAACATAAATTGTACAACCTCTATGTAGGATTATTTGGCAACATTTGTCAAAATTACAAACACATATACTCTTTGAATCAGTAATTCTACCTCTAGGAATTTATCCTGCAGATTAGTTACATATGTGCAAAATGACATACGTTCTAGAAAAGTCTTTGAAGCATTCTTTGTAATAGCAAAAGATTGCAAATAAATATCCATCAAGATGAAGTTGATCAAATAAATTATAATGCATCCATTCTATGGAATATCATGCTGCTGAAAAAAGAAGGGTAAATGTTTTACTGATATGTAGTAAGTTCCAAGTATAGTTTAGTGAAAAAAAAAAGCAAGCTTCAAAGTATATAGAATGCTATCATTTGCATGAAAGGCAAAACTGTATGTTTATATTTGCTCATATTGCATTGAAGGATATATAAGATTTTGGTAATATTAGTTGCCTGTGAGGAGGGAAAGTAGGTCGCTGTATTGGAATTGAAGAGAATGTGTTGCTGTATACTCTTGAGCAGTCAGAATTTTGAAATGTTAATTCATTACCTATTCATAAGTAAATAAATAAGCAAGCAATGTGTGATTCTGTTGTTTACATGTAATATATTTTCTGCAGAATCTGTGAATTCCCTTAGCCTGGAGTGGCTAAAGGAAATGCCCTTACCCTAGGCTGCCTCCTCTTTTTTCAACCTATTTCTGGGCTATCTCCCACTCTCTTTGGAGTCCTACCCTATTCATAGTTCCTACCCTATTCATAGTTCCCTGATCGCCTGAGTCAGAATGCTGCTTCTTAGCAGCAACGCTTTTAAGACAAATTTCAAATAATTCTCATGGTTATTCACATGCAAACACCCATAAATTTATGAACAGAAATCTTCATAACCCTCTGACTATATTTGTTTTTTAACTGCATTCATCTTAAGGAGGGTTCCTTTTAGTTGTTTTAGAGTCTGCCAAATTAGGAAAGCTTCCCTTCTCTGGGATAACTCATAGTTTACTTCTTTGGTAACAATTAGACAGAAATTCAGAATTCTAAAAAATAGAAAACAACTCCAGTACAGCCACCTAATTCCCCTCCTTACCAGCAACTAATATTACCTACCAGTCAAAGGTGATTAATATGCTCTTTTATTGTCTATCAAATCCATTGTCCAAACAATAATTATATTTAGCCATGATCTTTTCAGCTGTTTGCTTGAAAGTGGAAAACTTCAATTATCCAAGCAATCCTGGGCTCTAAGTTTATGTAGCTTGTTCATAACTGGAGGTGAACAGTAGATGGAATATAAGAAACCTTCAGGTAATCCCTGCAGGGTATTTCTAGAATATTCCTCTAGCAAAGCTGGGGATATCCTGACCCCCTACAAAGTATATATGTTTGACTTTTTTACATATATATATATATATATACACACACACACACATATACATGTATGTATATACACACACGTATATATATGTAATCTTTCCTGAGGTAGAGATTGTAGCTTCCTAATGAAATTTACTTATAATCTCCTGATGCCCTATTAAGCCTCCACCAATAGCAAAGTCCCGTTAGACCAGTCTATGCTAAAGCCTATTTGATATTAAAACACAAGGAAAGGTCTTCGCCTAAGTAGATTAAGGAGACATAAATCAAGCAAGTCAGATTTCTAAACAAGGGAACTTTAAACATGGAATTTGCAAATGCTATTCATTCGTGCCCCATGCAAACATGCAAATATTGGTTAGTGAACTTCGGCCTACCAGGCTTTGAAACAATGGTTATAACATTAGTATTCCTCTTTCCATGATTGCTGCCAGAGGAATTTCAGACCCCGTTTGGGGATTTTCACAGTTATTCCCTCTTAATACCCTCCAATATCCTTTCTCTCAAATGCCACTTGGAACTTTCTAAGTGGAATGGTTTCTTTGCCTCTGTGTGGCAAGTTTCTGCTCTGTGCATTTCATATCTCTTCTCTGGCACTTTTCCCTTTCATCTTACCTTCTGGCTAAAAGAGTAACTTCTAGCTCAAATTTAATTAATAAATTTAAAATTTTAATTTGAGGAAGGCTATGTTTTATAGTGTAACCTTATTAAACACCATCTATTTCACTGGGCTGTAGCCATCTCAGTTTTTCTGATTAAATTGCTTAAGGTCTGCTTATGTTCTCTGCAATGTGGTCTGTTCTTTGAGTCATATTGTTGTCCACCTTGATTTAGTGCCATTGTCCCTGCATGTCCATGTATTCATTTTGTTTACCGTTTACCAAAAAAAAAGTTACAGCCGGGGGCGGTGGCTTTTGTCTGTAATCCCAGCACTTTAGGAGGCTGAGGTGGATGGATCACCTGAGGTCAGGAGTTCGTGACCAGCCTGACCAACATGGCGAAACCCCACCTCTACTAAAAATACAAAAATTAGCTGGGTGTGGTGGTGCACACCTGTAATCCCAGCTACATGGGAGGCTCAGGCAGGAGAATCACTTGAACCAGGGAGGTGGAGGTTGCAATGAGCCAAGATCGCACCTTTGCACTCCAGCCTGGGCAACAAGAGTGAAACTCCATCTGCAAAAAAACAAAAACAAAAAAGTTACTTATCATTGTCCTTAAAATTTAACTCAGTCGGGATGAGATAAAGTGGGTGATGTTCCTCTCATCCCTGCAGGCACATATGGAAAGCTCATCACTTTTATGACCACTCCAAGGTACTAGAAAGACCTGTGTTATTTTAACCATAAATATGATCTCAGTTCAGAAAGTTGAATACCCATATCCATAAATAATCACAATTCTGAACTTCATTTAATGTCTTTACCTGCTTTTGATACAGGGAATGGGACACACATGCTGTGATTGTTTCTGGTTACTGATATGACAAATTACCACAACTTAGTGGCTTAAAACCACACAAATTTATTATCTCATAATTCTTTAGGTCAGAAATGTGACTGTTTCTTCTCCTTTCTTATATTCTAGAGGGTGTCTTCATTCCTTGGCTCATGGCCCCCTTCCTCCATCTTCAAAGCCAGTAACATCACGTCTCTCTGACCCTTCTGTCACAACATCTCTGACCACAGCCGGGAAAGCCTCTCCACATTTAAGGATTTAGGTGATTTGACTGGACCCACCTTGATAATCCAGGATAATCCCTCTTCTCCAGGTCTGTAACCTAATCATCTACAAAGTCCCTACACCACTCATCCAAGCCCGCATCATCTCTCACCTGTATCTCACCTGGATTATGGCAATAGCCTTCTATCTGGTCTCACTCTTCTACTTTTGCCCACTGTAGTAATTATCCTCACAGCAAAATCAGAAGTTTTGTTCTGAACATTTCAAGTTTTGAGACCTATTAGACAATTAAGAGGATTTCAAGTAGTTGTCTTGTATACAGATGGATCTTCAATTCTGAAGCTCAAAGAAAGCTTTCAACTGGAGATGTAAATTTTGGAGACATTGCCATACAGATGGCACTTAAAACTATGGGGCTGGAAGACATAACCAAAGGAGTAAGTCTACATACAGAAGAAGCTGAGGACCTAGTCCTGGGGCATTTCAACATTTAGAGATTTCAACAAGGAGGTGTTAGCAAAGAATCCTAGTCTATCTGTGAAATGAAGGAAAACGAGAACTGTGCTACAGTCTGAGACTCTTCCTTCCCAGTTATCCTTCCTTCCCCTTCTCCTTTCCCAGGTATCAGGCCTGGATGATAGTCTAAAGGCACTCCCCAGGTACTCCTCCACCCTCCCTTTATCCTCCACAGATATTTCCCCAATAAATTTCTTACCCATCTAATTCCATCTTGGTATCTGCTTTTCAGAGTACCCAAACTAACACAGAGTAGGTTAAATAAAGAGCAGGAGGAAGGCCAGTCATGATCGCTCATGCCTGTAATCCCAGCACTTTGGGAGGCCAAAATAGGAAGATCCCTTAGGCTAGGAGTTCAAGACCAGCCTGGGCAACATAATGAGAACCCATCTCTACAAAAAAAAAAAATTTAATAGGCAGGTGTGGTGCTGTGCTCCTGTAGTCACAGCTACTCCAGAGGCTGAGATGGGAGGATCCCTTGAGCCAGGAGTTCGAGGCTGCAGTGATCCAAGATCACAACACTGCACTCCAGCTAGGTTGGCAGAGTGAGACCCTGTCTCTAGAAAAGAAAAATGTTTTGAATAATAATTTGAAAAATAAAGAGCAGGAGGAAATAAACATTATAAAGAGGAGCAGACAAATTACACCTGGTGGGGGAACAGAAGGTCTAGGTTTGTTGTTGTGAAGTCTTACAGATGTGAGCTATTACAGCATGGTTGTATGTTGACCAGAATTACCCAATAGAGAAAGACAAACTAATGGTGTGGGAGACAGAGAGGGCAGTTCCAGGAACAAAATGCTTGAGTAAACAAAAAGGGAAGGGATCCAGCACACACAGACAGAGATCAGGCAGCTGCCAGTATCTTCTGCTCTATACCTCCTCCATAGTTCATTTCGCACTTCAAAGCCAGAAAGAGGCTTTCCAGGGCAATTCCCTAACACACATTATTTCATTTGATCCTCACAACTATCCCAAGAATTGGCAAGCATTAGCATTCTACGCATAACAAATGAGAAAACTAATGTTCACAGCGCTTAAGTAAATTTCCAGTTTCTATGATTAGGAAAGAGTAGAGCTGAGAGTTAAAACAATTTCCTTTTATTCCAATGGCAGTATTGCTTTTATTACTACACCTTGTTGCTTCCAAGAAAAGGCAAGAGGTTGAGTAAACGGTATAAAGACTGAGTAGACTGGGAATGATTGCACTAGACTTGGGTGTCAGTGTGGGGGAGAATTGGAGCTCATATTTAGGAGTCCTGGGCTATTCAATAAACACTGCCACAGGCAAAAATAGAAAGTCAGGAATTCCATCTGACTGATGTATCATTCTGAAGATGTTAGCTGGCCAATACAAAGTCCAAGCGTATGGCGACAAGGCAGATGATGGGATACTTCAGACCAGAACAAGAAGGTTCAAAGCTGAAAGTAGAATTCCTGAGTCCCTAGAGCAGTGCTGTAGGCATTTGTATAGGGTGCCTGGCATTGGCTGTAGTTTAGAAAGGAATCATTAAGGGTACTGAGCTTACAGGGATACAGGTATACTAAAATTCCATAATAGCTTTAAGGTTCCTGTAATGGGAGACCATAAGAATGCACTCAAAAAAGAATAATGAGAGCACATTGGGGTGGAGGATGGGGTGGGAAGGTTGTGATAGACACAGGTGACTAATTTCTCTTGATATATAATGATGCTTGGGATGGGAAAAGATTCCCCTCTCTATCTAAGGAAACATATTTGATTGGTCTAATGAGGTAGAACGAGTGTCATTTCTATAAGTTCTTTAGTCGGGGAAGAGTGGACAAAAGGAGGCTTAATTATTAATAGGTCCTAAGGATCAGGAAGGAACAGATCATTTATTTTTTCCTGAATTCCTTGATCACAGTACTGAATAATACACCCTTCCTGACTTGTTTAAGCTTTCAACTGCTTAATTTTTGTGTTCTTATTCCAAATGTTTTCTTTTTACAAAAAGATACTTTCTGTTGTTTTCATTATGGGAATACACATAGCAATAGTTCTCACTTCACGTTACGCAGCCTTCCTGTACATAAAAGCTAGCCAACCAATTCTATGAGTTCATCTCTCCCTCTCTACCCTTCTCCCGTTTTCCTCTCCTCTTCTAATAGGAAAAGAATATTCCTGATAAGAAGCTCTAGAATGTGAGTGTTGGCCCCATATTTTTCTTCATAAACTATCTTCCTCATGAAAGGAGGATCAGTCACCAATGATATGTAGTGGAGAGAAAGAGAAGAACTCTGAATATCCACCACAGAAGAGCAAAACCACATTGACAGTTATAGATAGGAAACAACTGAGAGGAAGCTAAACTGTGCAACCTAGAAGTCTATCGCTTTGGCTGACTTTCTATTGGTGCTCCATGTTTCAAAACCCTGCGCAGTATGTATGAAGGGTGATCAAGTGGGGGGAACCAAAGTAAACAGAATACATATGCAAATAAGTAGCATTTAGTCAGATTGTTCACTGATCATTTAAATATTTTCTCTCTCAGACCTGGTCCCTGCTCCCTAAGTGTAATTGAAGCCCCTCCACCCTCTGAACAGGAAGGAATCTTCTACTCATACAGGCAATCTCTACCTTTTGACAATCTATATTTTGCTACTGCATTCATCGTAGGATTCTTCCACTTTAGATTTAGTGCAATTTACACCCATTGTCTCAATTCGTTCAGTACTAAATGAATTATTTTTCATTATTCAACCCCCTTGTGCTCTGAACTAAGCTTTTACCTAAATTATAAGCTACACAAGAGGAGAGTATTATTCATCTCCACAGTCTCCCACTGAAGAGGGTCGCTTCAAAATGTTGTATGGATGGATATGTGGCTGAGTGGATGGATGAGTGAACTACTCTTCCCTTATCTTCCTTCTCTACCTATTGATTCCTTACCTCAAATGTTCTCTCTTTCATGAAGCCATTCTTGATTTTATTTATTTGAACACTTAAGGGCTTTATCTCCTAAGACACTTTTTCTACCTTAAATTTTTGTTTTGCCATCTTGTGTTTTCTTATTTCTTTTTTTTTTTTTTTTTTTTTTTTTAGACAGAGTCATGCTCTGTTGCCCAGGCTGGAAAGCACTGACACAATCTTGGCTCACCGCAACCTCCACCTCTGAGGTTCAAGCAATTCTCCTGTCTCAGCCTCCTGAGTAGCTGGGATTACAGGCATGCACCACCACGTTCAGCTGATTTTTTTGTATTTTTAGTAGAGACGGGGTTTCACCACGTTGGCCAAGCTGGTCTCGAACTCCTGACCTCAGTTGATCTGCCTGTGTGAGCCTCCCAAAGTACTGGGATTACAGATGTGAGCCACCACGCCCAGCTTATCTTGTGATTTATACTTGTTTTAGTCTTCCACAGAGAGAGACTTTCTCATTTGTTTTTATATCTCCTGCTGCTCTTAGCACAGAGCTTATACACTGTAGATGATCAACAAATATTTTTGAAGTAATTTAATCTAGAGTAATTTGAGACTCAAAATATTTCTGCAAGGCAGGCAGCGCTGGTATTCTTGTCCTCATTGATGACTTGCCCACTGTCACCTACCTGGCCAAAAAGCTGGCCAGAACACAAAAGCAGGAAAGGAGAACCAGTTTTTGCCAGCACCATTTCCTGTTTCAGTATGGTTTAAACAGACCCAAACAGATTCAGTATGCTTTTAAACAGCCCTTAAAAAGAACATGCTGGGTCACAAAAATGAAAAACTTCTGCATTTAGAAAGAGGGTAAAGTCTGTAAAGATATTTCCCTGCTTTGATTTTTTCCTTAAGGAAGCCATATGTTAAGTTTTCCTTTTAACCAGTATGCATACATCACCATACACCATCTTACCCAGATGTCTTATGTGTTTAAAGTCTGTTCTTAAGTTTCTGTGTCACCATTGCCCACCTAGTCAAGGTCTCAACTGCCTTATGATTACACAATTACTACAGTCCCTTAATTGCTTCTACCACCTTATGGGTCCCTCTACCTTCCAGTCAATTCTCTACAATGCTGACAGATTTTTATAAAAGATCATTGTTTACATACCCACCAACCCCCATCTCATCTTTTTTTTAATGACCATCTTCTGATTTCAGAATAAAATCAAACTCTTCTCGGACTCAGAATATGATTCCAAAAAGTATGGCACCTTGGCATGTTAAGTACTTTGAACTGAAGGAAATTGGAAAGGTCTCAGTGTTACAGGAAAGGGGTCCCGATCCAGACCCCAAGAGATGGTTCTTGGATCTCACACAAGAAAGAATTCAGAGCAAGTCTGCAGTGCAAAGCAAAAGCAAGTTTATTAAGTAAGTAAAGTGGTGAAAGAACAGCTACTCCATAGACAGTGTAGGGCATTCGCGAAACTAAGAGGAGGAATGCATTCACCCTAGGTACAATGCTTGTACGCATAGGATAAAAAAAGATTAGGTGGCTCTGGTTCGAAAGCCTCTTACATCAGTATCAAGGTCCGTCTGACCTTCTCCTGTCTTCTTGTGTCCCACTCCTCTTTCTCCACCTAAGAGAGTCATAGAAACCAGAATTCCTGTTCCCCAAGGTGAGTCACCCCTCTTCCCTAAAGCAAACCAGAAAACCTGGAACGGGCAGCTCACACCTGTAATCCCAGCACTTCTGAAGGCCAAAGAGAGGATAGCTCGAGGCCAGGAGTTCAAGACCAGTCAGGGCAACATGTAAGACCCCGTGTCTATAAAACAATGAAAAATTAGCTAAGCATGGTGGTACTTGCCTGTAGTCCTACCTATCTGGGAGGCTGGGGTGAAAGGATTGCTTGAGCCTAGCAGTTCAAGGCTGCAGTGAGCTATGGTCACAACACTGCACGCCAGCCTGGGCAACACAGTGAGACCCCATCTCAAAAACAAACAAATAAAAATCTGGAAAGGTCACTCTTTTCCCTCTCCCTTGAAAACCCTCATTCTGGAGGGGTCCTGCTCCATACTGAATAAGGAAGATTTCTACACAGAGAGGCCAAGAAGAATCTGAATATACAGGCCTTGCTGGTTTTCCCATCCTCCCTCCATTAGCATTAGATCAAACCCTTTTGTCCAATCACATTTCTACATGGCTGTGCATTCTTTATCATACCTAAGCATAAAAACAGAGCTGGGCATGGTGGCTCATGCCTGTAATTCTTTGGGAGGCCAAGGCTTGAGGTCAGGAGTTTGACACCAGCCAGACCAACATGGTGAAACCGCACCTCTACTAAAAATACAAACATTAGCCAGGCATGGTGGCACACACCTGTAATCCCAGCTACTTGGGAGGCTGAGGCATGAAAAATGCTTGAACCTGGGAGGCAGAGGTTGCAGCGAGCCGAGATCACGCCACAGCACTTCAGCCTGGGCGACAGACCAAGAGTCCGTCTCAAAAAAAACAAAAACAAAAACAAATACAAAACAAAAAACAAAAAAAAAAGTTTTTCCTGGGTCTTCCTTGAGTCTTCATTTTTAAGGTTTCCTGTGTCACATAAAACTTCCATTACATAAATTTGTTATGCTTTTCTCTTGTTAACTTGTTTTTGTTATAGGGGTGTTGGCCGTGACCTTTATGATGGATAAGGAAAAGGATCATACCTTCCCACCCCATGCTCTTCAGCCTGAAATTCAGTCTTCTTACAGCCTAGTCACCAGTCTTATTTCCAACCTTTTCTTGTACTACTCCTCAGAGGATCCTTCCATTCTCCAAGTTCAGACTCCCCATACATAACACCTGTGTTCCTTCCCATCTTAGTCAAGTGATTTCGACTAGTTAAAATGTCTTCCCTTCACCTTACAATACTTTCTTCAAAGAACAGCTCAAAAGCTACCTCCACTCTGAAGTTTTATTATACATGTCAACCTTCAATAATCTTTCTTTCCCTCTGTCAACCTTCAATAATCTTTCTTTCCCTCAAATTCCTTTAGCACTTACTATAAGCTACTTGACTATCTTTCAAGATACATACACTCACTGACCCCAAATCTTTACTCTCCTAAGAAGACCTAGAAAGGTTTATATCCTCATTCCCTTTGCTAATTATGATTTTATCTTTTTCTTTTATACATAGTTGAATCCACAAACATTTTTTATGCTCTACATGTACCAAGTCTCTGCAGGGAAAAATTATGTTTCTTAAGCAAAAATCTGTAGGGGCCAAGGGAAAGTTTCCTTCCACCCTCTGAAGGTTTGCTGAAAATGAACTGACAATCAACAGATTAACAGGAGAAAAGACATACAGATGTATTTAATATGCTTAGCACAGGGAAATTGTAGGAGAATGATTAGCCAATAACCCAATGAGATCCAGATGTTTATACACCTTCATAAGGGAAGGGGAGATGGCAGGTGTAGCAATTTTGAGGAGTAGTAAATAGTTTTTTAAGGGGAATGAATGGACCCAATCTTTAGTCAATGTTTAGCAAATAATTCTCTTTGGGAACTGAACGGCACCCAAGAACAGACAGTAGTTTGAGACAAAGTTTGTCTGGGCTCTAGGTGTGATGTGTGATTTTCAGTCTCTTCCTCTTCTCTGGTTAAGTTTCAGAGTAGGGTAACAAAGTCGATTGGGTTCCTTTTAGAGGGCCTGGTTTCTAGGTGGATTAGGAACTTTGGAAAGCAGCCTCATCCTGTGCTCTGGGTCTTGTGCTTTATTTCTCAGGGTTTGGTCCTTGCTCCACTTAAAGGTTAACCTTGCTGTTTTCAAATCAGTTTCTGGAATGACCTGGAGTTGCATCTCTTAGGGTCACCCTCACCAGTACATTCCTGGCTGAAGACAGGGATAGTTTGTTTTTGTTTTGTTTTTGTGTGGTCATTTTATATTATTCATTGCCTACAGAGCATCTTTATGAATTTAAAGGAATGTTTGTGGGGTTGAGCATTTTAGAAGGCACTACTTTTCCGTTTGTGGGAAAAGTTGTGAACAAATGAGCTTTCTATTTCAGGGCAATGAACTGATTCTTAATTTTTTTTAGCTGCTGAAATATTTAAAATGCATGGTTTTATTTACTGCTCTTCTACCATAATATATAACAACGAGGATAAGGAGAAATATAGAGGGATAAAATAAACTTACTTAAACTTTTGAAAGTATAATGCTGAAATTGTGAGCCTACTGTCACTCATGTTTGAAATTAGGGCAAAGGTAAAGTAGAGAACAAAAAGTAATGACAAGCAAGGTGCAATTATTTGGACTTTTTATCATTCATTTACTTATTGAGCACCTGATACTGAAAGGTGACAGCATGCTGGTGTCCCTCGCAGCCCTCGCTCGCTCTCGGCACCTCCTCGGCCTGGGTGCCCACTCTGGCCGTGCTTGAAGCCCTTCAGCCCACCGCTGCACCGTGGGAGCCCTTCTCTGGGCTGGCCGAGGCCGGAGCCGGCTCCCTGGGCTTGCGGGGAGGTGTGGAAGGAGAGGCACGGGCAGGAACCAGGGATGCGCTCGCGGGCCAGCTAGAGTTCTGGGTGAGCGTGGGCTTGGCGGGCCCTGCACTCTGAGCGGCCGGCCGGCCCTGCCGACCAGGCAGTGAGGGGCTTAGCACCCAGGCCAGCAGCTGCAGAGGGTGCACTGGGTCCCCCAGCAGTGCTGGCCCACCAGCGCTTCCCTCCTCACCGGGCCTTAGCTGCCTCCCCGCGGGGAAGGGCTTGGGACCTGCAGCCCCCCATGTCATGGCTGAGCCTCCCCCCGACCCGCCACCCCTGCCACCCCTGCCACCCCCACCATGGGCTCCTGCTTAGCCCTAGCCTCCCCGACGAGTGCCGCCCCCTGCTCCACGGCGCCCAGTCCCATCGACTGCCCAAGGGCTGAGGAGTGTGGGCGCACCGCACAGGACTGGCAGGCAGCTCTACCTGCAGCCCCGATGGGAGATCCACTGGGTGAAGCCAGCTGGGCTCCAAGTCTAGTGGGGACTTGGAGAACCTTTACGTCTAGCTGAGGGATTGTAAATACACCAATGGGCACTCTGTATCTAGCTCAAGGTTTGTAAACACACCAATCAGCACTCTGTGTCTAGCTCAGGTTTTGTAAATACACCAATCAACACTGTATCTAGCTAATCTAGTGGAGATGTGGAGAACTTTTCTGTCTAGCTCAGGGATTGTAAACACACCAATCAGCACCCTGTCAAAACGGACCAATCAGCTCTCTGTAAAACAGACCAATGGGCTCTCTGTAAAATGGACCAATCAGCAGGATGTGGGTAGGGCCAGATAAGAGAATAAAAGCAGGCTGCCTGCGTCAGCAGTAGCAACCTGTGGGGCCACCTGTGGAAACTTTGTTCTTTTGCTCTTTGCAATAAATCTTACTACTCTTCCCTCTTTGGGTCCACACTTCCTTTATGAGCTGTTAATACTCACTGCGAAGGTCTGTAGCTTCACTCCGGAAGCCAGCGAGACCACAAACCCACCAGGAGGACCGAACAACTCCAGACGCGCTGCCTTAAGAGCTATAACACTCACCGCGATGGTCTGCAGTTTCACTCCTGAGCCAGCAAGACCACGAATCCACCAGAAGGAAGAAACTCCGAGCACATCCAAACATCAGAAGGAAAAAACTCCGGACACGCCGCCTTTAAGAACTGTAACACTCACTCTGAGGGTCTGCGGCTTCATTCTTGAAGTCAGTGAGACCAAGAACCCACCAATTCCAGACACAATACCATGTCCATAATAGAGGGATTCCAAAATGAAAAGTCATGGTCCTACCTTTTAGGAGCTTACAAATAAGCTGTTTACGAACGAAGTTAAAAATGCAAAAAGGAGTAAAATTAATAAGCTATAGTAGGAGTAGAGGAAAATAAGATTATTTCACTCCAATTATGTGAAAAAATTTTAAAACTCGGTGGTAGAAACAAAATTTGAGCAATGTCTCTGAAGGCAGTGAGATGTAAACACTATGTCAATATTGTAGAAAGGTCTATTTAGGATTTTGGAACACTGGTAGCAAAAGGAGAGTCTGGCCGGGACACAGGTACGTTGGTGAAATAAGCACAAATTAGAGGCTTTTGTCACTAGACTGTGGAAAACTATCGATGCTCTATTCAGATGAGTGTCATAATTAGAGTTGTGTTTGGCCAGGTGCAGTGTGGCTCACACCTGTAATCCCAGTACTTTGGGAGGTCGATGCGGGTGGATCACCTGAGGTCAGATGTTCAAGACCAGCCTGGCCAACATGGCGAAACGCTGTCTCTACTAAAAATACAAAAATTAGCTGGGCATGGTGGCGGGTGCCTGTAATCCCAGCTACTCAGGGTGCTGAGGCAAGAGAATCACTTGAACCTGGGAGGTGGAGGTTGCAGTGGGGCAAGATCATGTCACTGCTCTCCAGCCTGGGCGACAGAGTGACTGTCTCAAAAAAAAAAAAATTGAGTTGTGTTTAAGGTAGGTAAATTTGACCACAGTGTATTGGTCTAATTGGAATTGAGATAAGAATTCATCTGGACTTCTTTTACAGGACCCTGTTGATAAGACAGTGTGCGATAAAGAAGCCAGCCAAAAACCACCAAAACCAAGATGGCAGCAAAAGCAACCTGTACCCGTCCTCACTGTTCATTATATGCTAATTATGATGCACTAGCATACTAAAAGACACCCCCCCCCCACCACCAGCACCATGACAGTTTACAAATGCCATGCCAATGTCCTGAAGTTACCTTATATGGTCTAAAAGAAAGAAGAACCCTCAGTTCTGGGAAATCCTCACCCCTCTCCTGGAAAACTCATGAAAAATCCACCCCATGTTTAACAAGTCCTCAAAAAATAACCTTAAAAAGAGCCAGCCAGCAGCCCACAATGGGTGCTCTGCCTGTGGAGTAACTTCTCTTTTATTCCTTTATTTATTTATTTATTTTGAGATAAAGTCTCACTCTGTCACCCAGGCTGGAGTGCAGTGGCACGATCTCGGCTCACTGCAACCTCCGCTTCCCGGGTTCAAGCAAGTCTCCTGACTCAGCCCCCAGAGTAGCTGGTATTACAGGAGCCCACCACCAAGCCCGGCTAATTTTCATAGTTTTAGTGGAGACGAGTTTTCACCATGTTGGCCACACCGGTCTTGAACTCCTGGCCTCAAGTGATCCACCAGCCTTGGTATCCCAAAGCGCTGGGATTATAGGCATGAGCCACTACACCTGGCCCTTCTATTCATTTACTTTGTTAATAAGCTTGCTTTCACTTTACTCTGTCGGCTGGCTCTTAAATTCCTTCATGAGCTGAGCCAACGACCCATGTGGCTTCCCGGGCTGAGCCCTACTTTTGGGCTTTGCCCTGTGCCAGAATGGGAAAGTCTAGAGGTGGAGATAATGCAACACTACACTGCATTTTAAAGTTTACATTCTAGCTTTTTAAAACGAGTGGTAGCTTGATACAGCGGGAAATGGAAAGTCACTCGAAGTCTGAAGGCATTCTCTGGCTGCTGTTTACTAGCTCTGTGACCTTTGGCATATTAATCAATATCTGTATCCTCAGTTTCTTTTTCTGCTATGCGGGATTAATGTTGTAGAGTTGCTTTGGTAAGTGAGATAAGCCTCGGAACACAATGCCTCACACATAGTAAGTGCTCAATGAATATTTGTTTCCCTCCTTTTTTTGCCTAATTCAGAACCTTAAAAGCGTTTATTTCTGACTGTTAATATAGCTTGAGTTAGTGAACACCCACGTATCTCATTTCAGTATTTTAGATGGTTCTAAAGTCTGTGCCACAGAAGGCAAAATTGCATCACATTTGCATTTGGGAGAATAAATTTACAATCAAGAAATTAACAGGTACTTTGGGTTCTCAAGATAGTCTGAGTTTATTCAACATTCATTTGATCGATATTTGTTGTGCCTCTGTGTCTGTGGCTCTGCAAGGAGATACAAAAGTGGTACAACTCAGTCTTGCTGTCAAGGAGTTCAAAGTCAAGTTTGAGATATATCAACATACAGATGATCAAAAGGGTTTATACAAGTGTTATGGGAGCACAGAAGAATGCGTAATAGGCTGAGTTTGCAAAAAGAAGTAAGGGAAAGCTTTGCAAGGAGGAAGAAATGCCTTTAGATAAATCTTGAAGTATTAGTTGTAGTTCACCCGCTACACGTTATTTCTTCTGCTAGACCCATACCAGGTGGGAAAATAATTTGTAAAACTGTCAGAAGCATTTGAACCAGAGCGCCACCATCTTGAGCAGGGGCTGGGTAAAACGAGGCTGAGATCTGCTGGGCTGCATTCTCAATAGGTTAGACATTCTTAGTCACAGGATGGGATAGGAGGTCGGCAAAAGATACAAGTCACAAAGATCCTACTGATAAAACAGGACGCAGTAAAGAAGCTGGCCAAGTCCTACCAAAACCAAGATGGCAACAAAAGTGATCTCTGGTTGTCCTCCCTGCTCACTGTATGCTAATTATAATGCATTAGCATACTAAAAGACACTCCCACCAGCACCATGACAGTTTACAAATGCCATGGCAACTTCCAGAAGTTTACCCTATATAGTCTAAAAGGAAGAGGAACCCTCAGTTCTGGGAGCTCCCTGCCCCTTTCCTGGAAAACTCATGAGTAATCCACCCCTTGTTTAGCATATCATCAACAAATAACCATAATAATAGCCAACCAGCAGCCTTTGGGGCTGCTCTGTCTTTGGAGCAGTCATTTTTTATTCCTTTGCTTTTCTAATGAACTTGCTTTCACTTTTCTCTGTGGACTTACCCTGAATTCTTTATTGTGTGAGATCCAAAAACCCTCTTTTGGGGTCTAGATCAATACCCATTTCCGGTAACAAAAATGTAAAGAAGAGAGGAATTGCATCGGGCTGCATTTACCTGAAAATACCAATAACAGGGATTTAAACAAAGTTGGAGTTCTTTTTCTCACATACTTGGAAATCTAGAGGTAGGCACTTGCTGGTATTGACATAATGACCTGAAGGATGTCAAGTCCTAGGTCTTTGGGGTTCTTTTGGCCTATCCCTTGGGGTCTCTAGATGGTCATTTCAACTCCAGCTTTCAAGTTCCATACTTCAAGCAGAAAGAAGTGTCAGAGGCATTTGAACAAGAGCAACTCCATCTTGAATAGGGGCTGGGTAAATTGAGTCTGAGACCTATTGGACTGCATCCCAGCAGGTTAATGCATTCTAAGACACAGGATGAGATAGGAGGTCTGCACAAGATACAGGTCATAAAGACCTTGCTGATAAAACAGGTTGCAGTAAAGAAGCCAGTAAAACCCATCAAAACCAAGATGGCGACAAGAGTGACCTCTGGTCGTCCTCACTGCTACACTCCCAACAGCACCATGACAGTTTACAAATACCATGGCACATCAGAAGGCTACCCTATATGGTCTAAAAAGGCGAGGAACCCTCAGATCTGGGAACTGCCCACTCCTTTCCTGGAAAATCAGTGAATAGTCCACCCCTTCTGTAGCATATAATCAAGAAATAACCATAAAAATGGCCAACCAGCACCTCATTCTGCTGCCTCTGCCTATGGAGTAGCCTTTCTTTTATTCCTTCTTTTTCTTAATAAACTTACATTCGCTTTGTACCGTGGGTTCTCCTTAAATTCTTTCTTGTGCGAAATCCAAGAACCCTCTCTTGGTGTTTGGATCAGGAGCCCTTTCCAGTAACTGAAGGAAGTTCCAGTGCCCATACAAGGGAAGTAAAACTTTCTTAGAAATCCCCAGCAGAATTCCATTTATATCTCTTTGGTCACAGTGGTATCCTATAGCAGCACCTATCTCCAAAGGAAGCTAAGGCATAGAAGTTTTCTTTTCATTATTTATTTTACCCTTTTAAAGCAGGGCACAAAATTACCCCCCAAAAAATCAAAATTCTGTTAAAATGGAAGAAGGGAAAATGTATTAAATATATGATGTAAGCAACTTAAGATGCTCTGCTAATGCATGTTGAGGGAATTACAAATAGTTGGTATAGCTAGATGATAGAATGTCAGAAGATTGGTAAGAGATAAAGGCTGGAGCCACAAGCCAAACTGAGCCAAGGACAAATCTAAAAGTTTATTTGTGCAAAAAAAAAAAAAAAAAAAAAAAGTCTTTTTTAAGACGAGGTTTCACTTTGTTGCCCAGGCTGGTCTTGAGTACGTGGGCTCAGGTAATCCTCCTGCCTCAGCCTCCAGAATAGCTGGACTACAGGTATACATAGTTCATTTGTGCAAAGTTTTTTCACAGGAAAATATACTCAGAGTTCCATGATGGGATATTGGGAACATTTGCCTGGTTACAGCCATATGGCAATAGGAAAGGAAGGCTCCATGTTCCCATTACATTTTGGCCAATCAATTAATCAGAAACCTTCCAAGTCCTGGAAATGCAGCCAAGGGCAGGGTTCCAGCAGAAAATACTGACCGTTTTGCATAGGCAGCATAAGACCTGTTTTTAGCCCATGTCTTGATAAAAGTCACCGCCAATATTTCTTTTGCTATTATTCCTTTCTTTTTTTCCTTTCCTTCTACTCCTTTTTGCTTTGAATTTACACCAGTATGTGTCCCAGTGAGTCCATTTCTTCTCCCTTTTAAAATACGTTCTCAGCAAGTTTCCAAGCTCCTGACTAAAAGCCAGGCAAGGTCATTTCTAGACTTCAAGGTTTCTGAGACATAATTTTTCTTTTTCTTTTTCCTATTTATTTGTTTATTTATTTTGAGAGAGTGTCTCACTCTGTCATCCAGGCTGGAGTACAGTGGTATGATCATGGTGCACTGCAGCCTCGACCTCTCAGGCTCAAGCGATTCTCTTACCTCAGCCTCCCAAGTTGCTGGGACTACAGGCTCATGCCATCGGGCCCCAACTAATTCTTTTTTACTTTTTGTAGAGACAACGTTTCCCTGTGTTGCCCAGGCTGGTCTCGAACTCCTGGGCTCAAGTGATCCTCCCGCCTCGGCCTCCCAAAGTGCTGGGATTACAGGCATGAGCCACCATGCCTGGCCTAGTTTTCAAGTTTTTATCATTCTATCACATCATTGTGATATTATATATATATTATATATATTATTATATAATATAAAATATATAATATGTATAATATATAATATATCTCATATAGATACATATAGATATATATCTCAGCATCGTTCACAGTCGTTGAATGCACTGTACTACATTTCGTTTCTATTACAACGTTTACATTTCCTGGAGTCAGTAATCACTTCGGTTTCTGTTTTTAGATATCTATATATAATATATATCTCTTATATAGAGATATATATTATAGATATAATATGTAGCTATATATGAGATATCCATATATAATAGATATCTCATATATATATCTATATATAATAGATATCTCATACATAGATATATATAATCTCTCTCAGCATCGTTCACAGTCATTGAATGCACTGTACTACATTTCATTTCTATTACAACGTTTACATTTCCTGGAGTCAGTAATCACCTCGGTTTTTGTTTTTGTTTTCCTACTGGCTTAGTTTTTTATGAAACAGATCCCAGACCTTCCAATAGAACCATAAAATTTAAGTCAGTGTAGCTCAAACACATCAGTTCGTTTTGGTTTTTTCCTTTGACAACATCCCTTTTGTCCTCCTCCATAGTCCCACTTCGTTTGAACTGGAAGTTTTCACCTTGAAATTATCTTACCTCTCTCTCCTATGTTGGATGTCTTGTTTCTTGAACTCCAGTACTGTACTTTTTTCTGCTTTACTTCTTCATTGATGAAGCACATGTTTGAGTAACTTTCTGAAAAACTCAATATGAACAGCAAATTGTGCTCTTGAATGAGTGAAAATGTCTTTATTTACCCTTACTTAATTTGTAGTTTGTCTGGCTATAGATTTTAGGTTGCAAACAATTTTCCTTTAGAATTTCGGAAGTCCTGACTTCAGTGTGTTTTAGCTGTCAGCATTGCTGTTGACTCATCTGCCATCTGAGTTTTAAAACTTTGTATGTCATCTGGTTTGTGTGTTTTTTTCCTTTTAAGATTCTCTCGTTATGACTGGAGATCTGAAATTTCACAATGAATCTGCTTTGGTATGGGTGTTTTTTCATTCAGCGTGCTATCACTTATTATGCTCTTTATGCAGTTTCGATTTGGAAACTTGTATCCTTCTGTTCTGGGGAACTTTTGGTGTTTGTGTGATTATTTCCTTCCTCCATTTTGTTTTTGTTTTTTAATTTTGGAACTTCTGTTACTCCGATTGCCTTTCTCGGATTGATAATCTTTTCTTTCCTCTTTTCTATCTCTTGTATTTCTGTATTATTTTTGGGAGATAAAGTGGGAGCTTTACCTTCCAACTCTTCTATTTAATTTTCCTTTTTTTTTTTTTTTTGGAGACAGTCTCACTCTGTCGCCCAGGCTGGAGTACAGTGGCATGATCTTGGCTCACTGCAACCTCTGCCTCCCGGGTTCAAATGATTCTCCTGCCTCAGCCTCCCGAGTAGCTGGGATTACTGGTGCACACCACCACGCCCAGCTAATATTTGTATTTTTAGTAGAGAGGAAGTTTCACCATATTAGCCAGGCTGGTCTTGAATTCCTGATCCACCCGCCTCAGCCTCCCAAAGTACTGGGATTACAGGCAAAAGCCACCGTGCCCAGACTGAATTTTTCCAAAGCTACTTATTATCCATAAAACTTTCTTTTCTTTTGGGGGATGGTGGGTCTTTTATAGAAAATAGAATTATTTTTTGTGTCATGAAAGCTGAAGGTATTAATGGTTTAAATAAAATTTTTTTCTTCTCTAAGTATTATTTCTGGGTTAACTGTTTCCTGAGTTGCTTTATTTTTCTGTTTTAGTCTCTACTTTATGTTGGCGGCATTCCTCAAATGTTTTATAATTTTGTCTTTTCATATTTAACAAGTCACTAAAAACTGATTTGACTGGAAGCTCTGTGTGCCTGAGTGAGGCTTCCTAACTGATGAGTCCACTGCTATAGAAGGAATAGGACCTCAAAATCTAATTGCTAGTACTTCTTTTAGACTGATCCCTTTCACTAGAAAGAAACTTTCATTCGCTTTTTTTAGGGAATGTAGGCCTGACCACCAGCATACCATGTTGCCTCATATATTTTTCTGCAAGTAAGATTATACTATACATAATGCTTTCTAAAATTTGTTTTTCATCTAATAATATATCCAAGCCACTCATGTCTGTAGGCACGGGAATATAAAATGGCTGTCTAGAATTTCATATTATAGACTATTCTTGACTTATGCTGATTCGACTTACAGTTTTTCAACTTTACAATGATGTGAAAGGGATATGCATTCAGTAGAAACTGTACTTCAAATTTTGAAGTTTGATCTTTTCCTGGCCTAACAATATGCTGTCCAATACTCACAATGCTAGGCAATAGCAGTGAGCCTCAGCTTCCAGTCAGCTGTCAATCAAACAGGAGGACAGACAACGGATACTCTCCAATGGATAGTGTTGCCAATGATATTGCCCAACTCTAGGCTAATGTCAGTGATCTGAGCACATTTAAGACAGACTAGGCTCATTCTACCTGACTTCAAACTATACTATAAGGCTACAGTAACCAAAACAGCATGGTACTGATACCAAAACAGGTATGTAGACCAATGGAACATAACAGAGACCTCAGAAATAACACCACACATCTACAACCATCTGATCTTCAACAAACCTGATAAAAACAAGAAATGGGGAAAGGATTCCCTATTTAAGAAATGGTGCTGGGAAAACTGGCTAGCAGAAAACAGAAACTGGACCCCTTCCTTACACCTTATACAAAAACTAACTCAAAAAGGATTAAAGACTTAAATGTAAAACCTAATACCATAAAAACCCTAGAAGAAAACTGAGGCGATACTATTCAGGCCATAAGCATGGGCAAAGACTTCATGACTAAAACACCAAAAGCAATGGCAACAAAAGCCAAAATTGACAAATGAGATCTAATTAAACTAAAGAGCTTCTGCACAGCAAAAGAAACTATCATCAGAGTGAACAGGCAACCTACAGAATAGGAGAAAAATTTTGCAATCTATCCAGCTGACAAAGGTCTAATATCCAGAATCTATAAGGAACTTAAACAAACTTACAAGAAAAGAACAAACAACCTCAACAAAAAGTGGGTGAGGATATGAACAGACACTTCTCAAAAGAAGACATTTATGTGGCCAACAAGCATATGAATAAAAGCCCATCATCACTGGTCATTAGAAAAATGCAACTCAAAACCACAATGAGATACCATCTCACACCAGTTAGAATGGCAATCATTAAAAAGTCAGGAAACAACAGATGCTGGCGAGGCTGTGGAGAAATAGGAACACTTTTACACCGTTGATGGGAGTGTAAATGAGTTCAATCATTGTGGAAGGCAGTGTGGTGATTCCTCAAGGATCTAGAACCAGAAATATCATTTGACCCAGCAATCCCATTATTGGGTATATACCCAAAGTATTATAAATCATTCCACTACAAAGACACATGCACAGGTATGTTTATTGCAGCACTATTTACAATAGCAAAGACTTGGAACCAACCCAAATGCCCATCAATGATAGACTGGATAAAGAAAATATGGCGTATATACACCATGGAATACTATGCAGCCATAAAAAAGAATGAGTTCATGTCCTTTGCAGGGACATGGATGAAGCTGGAAACCATCATCCTCAGCAAACTAATACAGGAACAGAAAACCAAACCCCATGTTCTCACTCATAAGTGGGAGTTGAGCAGTGAGAACACATGGACACAGGGAGGAAAACATCACACACCAGGGCCTGTTGTGGGAGAAGGAGCAAGGGAAGGGAGAGCATTAGGACAAATAACTAATGCATGTGGGGCTTAAAACCTAGATGACAAGTTGATAGGTGCAGCAAACCACCATGACACATGTATACCTATGTAACAAACCTGCATGTTCTACACATGTATTCCAGAACTTAAAGTAAAATTTTTTAAAATTTAAAATGAGAAAAAAAGAAAGTATACCTATATAATTGATACAGGAGTACCATGATTAATACCCCAGTTTTATGAAAAAATATGAAGTCATTATGGAGTAGCAAGAATTATACTAACATAAAGACAAAGTAGAAATAAGACAAACAAACGAAAAAAGCAGACAACTTAGGTCAGAATAGTGTAATCTTGCCAAAGGTCATATAGCAATGTATAAGTAAGTACTCTTAATTAAGTGGTAAATTGCTCAATGTCATTGTTCATGTCTCCTTAGTATGAATAAACAATAATCATTATTGTTTTCCTATCAATAAAAAAAAGATAGATAGGCTAAGCTATGATGTTCGGTAACTTAGGTGTATTAAATGCATTTTATTTTATTTATTTTTCTGAGACAAAGTGTCACTCTGTCATCCAGGCTGGAGTGCAATTGTGCAACTATAGCTCACTGCAACCCTGACCTCCTGGGCTCAAGCGATTCTACCACCTCAGCCTCCTAAGCAGCTAGGACTACAGGTGTGCACGTCCATACTCAGCTAATTTTTTTGTGTTTCATAGAGATGGGGCTCTCACTCTATTGCCCAGGCTGGTCTTGAACTCCTGACCTCAAGGGATCCTCCTGTCTCAGCCTTCCAACTGTTAGGATTACAGGTGAGAGCCATTATGCTTGGCCATTAAATGCATTTTTTACTTAGGGTATTTTGAACTTACAATGGGTTATAGGGGCATAACTCTACCATAAGTCAAAGAGCATCTGTATATATTAGCCATAATTTATAAACAGTTTCTAACTGATGGGCACTTGGGGATCTTTTTTCCTTATAACAACACCTTAATTGGGTCTGTATCTTTCCATACTTATGCAAGAATATCTGCAGGATTAATTTCTAGAAGTGAAATGATTGGATCAAAGAGTGTGCATATTTTACATTTTTGTCAATATTGCCAAATTATTCTCCAAGAAGTTTATACCAATTCATACTACCCCTTTGACAGGATTTTTTTTTTTTAGACTCCAGCTGAACAGGATTTTTTAAAGTGTATCTAATTCTACTTAGGAATAGATTTCTCTAATTATTAGTGAAGTTAAACAACTTTTATTATTTTTATTATCTATTTGCATTTATTTTAATATAAACTTAAAAAATACTTTGTCCATTTTTCCATTGGGTGGTTAGTGTTTTCTTATTAATTTGTTCAGTTTTTCTGTACATTAAAGAAATTAGCTCTCTGCCCATTATTTACTCTGACATTTTCTTTTTTTTTCAACCTTTATTTTAGGTTCATGGGGTATATGTGCATGTTTGTTATATGAGTAAATTTTTTGTTGCTGAGGTTTGGTGTATGAATGATTCCCATCACCCAGACAGTAAGCATAGTACCAGATAGGTAGTTTTTCAACCCTCCCTCATACCCTTCCCCCACCCCAGAAGTCCCTAGTGCCCAGTGTCTATTGTTCCCATCTTTATGGCCATGTGTACTCAATGTTTAGCTCTCACTTTAAGTGAAAATGTGTGGCATTTGGTTTTCTGTTCCTGCATTAATCCACTTAGGATAATGGCATCCAGCTACATTCATGTTGCTGCAAAGGACATGATTTTGTTCTTTTTCATGGCTGCATAGTATTCCATGGTGTATACATACCATATTTTCTTTATCCAGTCCACCACTGATGGGCATCCAGGTGGATCCCATGTCTTTGCTATTGTGAATGGTGCTGTGATGAACATATGAGTGCATGTGTCTTTTTGGTACAATGATTTATTTTCCGTTGGGTATACACCTAGTAGTGGGATTTCTGGGTCAAATAATAGTTCTGTTTTAAGTTATTTGAGAAATTTCCAAACTACTTTCCACAGTGGCTGGACTAATTTACATTCCCACCAACAGTGTTTGTAAGTGTTCTCTTTTCTCTGCAACCTCACCAACATCCATTATTTTTTGACTTTTTAATAGTAGCCATTCTGACTGGTATGAGATGGTGTCTCATTATGGTTTTGATTTGCATTTCTTTAATGATTAGTGATGTTGAGACTTTTTTCATATATTTATTGACTGCATGTATGTCTTCTTTTGAAAAGTGTCTGTTCATGTCCTCTGACCATTTTTTAATGGGGTTATTCATTTTTCGTCTGTTGAATTGTTTAAGTTCGTTATAGATTCCAGATATAAGACCTTTGTTGGACGCACAGTTTTCAAATATTTTCTCCCATTCTTCAGGTTGTCTGTTTACTCTGTTCATAGTTTCCTTTGCTGTATAGAAGCTGTTTAGTTTAATTAGGTCCCACTTGTCGATTTTTGGTTTTGTTCCAACTGCTTTTGGGGACTTAGTCATAAATTCTTTGCCAAGGCTGATGTCCAGAATGGTATTTCTTAGGTTTTCTCCTAGGGTTTTTATAGTTTTAGATCTTACACTTAAGTCTTTAATCTATCTTGAGTTAATTTTTGTATATGGTGAAATGTAGAGGTCCAGTTTTATTCTTCTGCATGTGGCTAGCCAGTCAAGTAGGCTCTTTTCCTGGGTTACAGGGATCATTCAACATATGCAAATCAATAAATGTGATTCACCACATAAACATCATTAAAAACCATAAGATCATCTCAATAGATGTAGAAAAAGCTTTTGATAAAATCAAACATCCCTTTATGATAAAAACCCTCAACAAACTAGGCATTGAAGGAATATACCTCAAAATAGTAAGAGCCATCTATGATAAACCCACAGACAACTTTTTATACTGAATGGGCAAAAGCTGGAAGCATTTGCCTTAAGAGCTAGAACAAGACAAGTATGCCCATTCTCACCACTACTATTCAACATAGTACTTGAAGTCCTAGCCTGAGCAATCAGGCAGGAGAAAGAAATAAAAGGCATCCAAATAGGAAAAGAAGAAGTCAAATTGTCTCTCTTTGCTGAGGATATGATTCTTTATCTAGAAAACCCTAAAGGTGTTGCCAAAAGGCTCCTTAGAGCTGATAAACAACTTCACTAAAGTTTCAGGATACAAAATTGATGTACAAAAATCAGTAGCATTTCTATACTCCAATAATGTTCAAGCTGAGACCCAAGTCAAGAACACAATCTCATTTTTAATAGCCACACACACCCACAAAAGAAAATACCTTGGAATTAATCTAACCAAGAAAGTGAAAGATCTCTACAAGGAGAACCACAAAACACTGCTGAAATAAGTCATAGATTATACAAACAAAAGGAAAAACATCCCATGCTCATGGATTGGAAGAATCAATACTGTTAAAATGGCCATACTGCCCAAAGCAATCTATAGGTTCAATGCTATTCCTATCAAACTACTAACATCATTTTTCACAGAATTAGAAAAAAATATTCTGAAATTCATATGGAACTCAAAAAGAGCCTGAATAGCCAAAGCAATTCTAAGCAAAAAGAACAAAGCTGGAGGCATTACACTACCTGACTTCAAACTATACTACAAGGCTACAGTAACCAAAACAGCATGGTACTGGTACAAAGACACACATAGACCAATGGAACAGGATAGAGAACCCAGAAATGAAGCTACACAGTATAGCCATCTAATCTTCGACAAAGGCAACAATAACAAGCAATGGGAAAAGGACTCCCTATTCAATAAATGGTGCTGAGATAACTAGCTAGCCATATGCAGAAGAATAGGATATTTTCTTTTAAATGTTCTTTCTAGTTTTTTTTCTAATGGAAATTTCAAAGTTAAATGTTTTTACTGTATGGATTGGATTTTATGTGATGATTAGAAAGGCCTTCCTTACTCCAAGATGACAAAAAAATATATTCACTATGTTTTTATCAATTGTTTCATGGTATTTTTCTATTATATGGAGGCACCATAATTTATTTAGACAGTCCTATAATGACCTTTATGTTGTTTCCAGTTTTCCAAAGGCCATGTCCTCTTGTTTTGTCCTGGACTCCCTGAGAAACTGAAGAGCAACAGGCAAATGTCTTCCTTATTGAGCGTCTTCCTTAAAATGTAAGATTTTCTTCTCCCATTTCAATAATCACCACTACTTTAACTGCATTTTATTTCATTTTTTGGTTCATTTTTGTTATCCTGCTCTCAAATCCTCCCTGCCATTTCACATGTGCATTAAAATGTCAGTGCCCAAAATTGGCATGATACTTTAAGGGTGTGACCAATTTCTAAGTTTAGCAGAAGGATATTTTCCCAGCTCCTGGATGTCAGAGACCTATTAATATATTTCACTATCACAGTTAGCTTTATAAAAACAGCCATACTATACTGCTGACTCATACTCAGCTGGTGGTCTCAAGCCTAACCAGTTTATTAAACTAGAAATGATGTCCAATATGTTAGATGACAGAAAAAAATATTTGAAAAGTTCCTGGGATTTTGAACCCTGGGCCAAAATTTGAAGCTTATCAGGAAGACCACGAAAAGCTCATCATTTATGTTTAAAAAAAAAACCACCAATATGAGTACAAGATAAGGATGATTTCCCTTAACACATAAACATTGAAACTTTTTGGATTACCATGATTTAATATTGGCAACAATATTGCACAATGTAATGTGCAAAATTCATTACATTTTTTGACAGCCATTTCACATTGTTGCCAATGTGAAAAAAAAATTAATGGCTAACTGTTCACAGTCTCTCCCTTTTCTCCTTCAGCCAAGGAAAGTTCTTTCTTGGCAAGTTCAGTTCCTTGGCCTTGTTAAGAGATTGATGGATCGAGTAAGAGGGAAAAGGTTTGATTTAATCTCTTAGAAAAGTTGGAGAGCTGCACAAGAAAAAAGAAGATCCTGAGGATGAGAAGTTGCTGAGAAAGGCAAACGCCAATAAGCAATGGCTGAGACAGCAAGTTTGGGAAGCTTATGAAGGAGAGAAAAGAAAAAGAAATTAGATTAGCTGCTACGTCGTGGCAAGGGGGGCTTTTCAGATGAGGAACGAGATTTTTAATGAAGTGTTACCATGTGTTAGGAATATTGCATCACATTGCATGTGTTCTAAGAGACTTAAGTAAAATTTAAATATTTTTCCAATTATTTTTGGATGTCTGAAATGTGTGTCTTTGGTTGGAACTTTGAGCTGAGAATCAGTCACAGGATATCTCAGCTATGTACAGGTTACAAAATCTTACATTGCATCAACAGAGCTATGGTGTTCAGTGCAATAAGGATGACAATTATGTCTTTGGTCAGACAACATTTGCCTTATTATCTTCAGCCTTGGGTGCCACATTTTTACAAGGTGCATTGATTTGCTAGGGCTGCTATAAAAAAGTACTGCATACTAGGTGGCTTAAACAAAGTTTATTTTCTTACAATTCTGAAGGCTAGAAGTCCAAGATCAAAGTATTGACAGGGTTAGTTTCTTTGGAGGCATTTCTCCTTGGCTTGTAGATAGTCATCTTCTCCTTGTGTCTTCACTTGGTCCTTCCTCTGTGTGCGTCTGTGTCTTTAATCTCCTCTTTTTATAAAGACACCAGCCACATTGGATTACTGCAAACTTAATATTGGCAATGATATTGCACAATCTAATGTGCAAAATGAGTTACATTTTTTGACAGCCATTTCACATTGTTGCCAAAGTGAAAAAAAAATTAATGGCTAACTGTTCACAGTCTCTCCTTTTTCTCCTTTGGCCGAGGAAAGTTCTTTCTTGGCAAGTTCAGTTCCTTGGCCTTGTTAAGAGATTGATGGAGGCTGGGCACGGTGGCTCATGCCTGCAATCCCAGCACTGTGGGAGGCTGATGCAATTGGATCACGAGGTCAGAAGTTCAAGACCAGCCTGGCCAACATGGTGAAACCCCATCTCTACTAAATATACAAAAATTAGCCGGGCGTACTGGTGGGCACCTGTAATCCCAGCTACTTGGGAGGTTGAGGCAGAGAATTGCTTGAACCTGGGATGCAGAGGTTGCAGTGAGCCGAGATAGCGCCACTGCACTCCAGCCTGGGCAACAACAATGAGACTCTGTCTCAAAAAAAAAAAAGAAAAGAAAAGAAAGAAAAGAAAAAGAAAGAGATTTATGGATCAGGCAAGAGGAAAAAGGTTTGGATTTTACAATGGATTTACATTGGATTATAATCCATTATACTGACCTCACTTTAATTATTTTTTCTTTTTTTTTTTTTTTTTGAGACAAAGTCTTGCTCTGTCTCCCAGGAGGCTGGAGTGCAGTGCCACATGATCTCTGCTCACTGCAACCTCCGCCTCCCAGGTTCAAGCGATTCTCCTGCCTCAGCCTCCCGAGTAGCTGGGATTACAGGCACCCGCCACCATACCTGGCTAATTTTTATATTTTTAGTAGAGACAGGGTTTCACCATGTTGGCCAGGCTGGTCTCAAACTCCTGATCTCAAGTGATCCACCTGCCTCAGCCTCCCAGAGTGCTGGGATTACAGGCTTGAGCCACTGCACCCAGGCTAATTACCTCTTTAAAGACCCTATATCCAACTACAGTCACATTCCAAGGTACTGGTGGTTAGGACTTCAACATATGAATTCTGAGGGAACACAAATCAGCTCATAACACAAGCCTACTGACAAATTCATAATTTATTGTTATTTTTAGATCCCTTTAAATTTTATTGCTGATCATTCAAGACTCTTACCAAGTTCTCATAATCTGTAAACAACCAGAATATCATCAACTTCTTCATTAAATTGTTAAAAGTAGTGAATTAACCTGGTTGAAGCACATTATTGCTATTTGACTTAAAAGGATTTAGAATATGATAGTTTGTTAGGTTTGTGAAAATGGTATTATATAAATTGGTCCTTTGGAGATAAGGTATATATACACATGAAAAGAAACAATTCCTTCTCTCCTGTAAAATGAGGCAACTGGACCAGATAATCTCTAAGGTCTCTCCCAGTTCTAAAATCCTACAATTCTGGATCAAGAACAATAAAAATATAATATGTTATTTAAAATAATATTAAAGTATTGGATCTGTGTTATAAATTATGAACAGGTAGGAAAGACACAGATCAAGGTAGGAGCTGTAGAAGGTTTTCTTAAAATTTGAATGGGTGATATAAAATATCTTGGAGGAAAGACCATCAGATTTGACTGCTAACCTAAATTTCGGCCTCAGAATCACAATAACTCATACTGATGGCAATTTAGATCCCAAGTTTTACATTGTTTTGATAACCAGAATTTTCTCTCATAGCTGCTTCAAAACTGACCCAGAAGAATCAACCACATCCCCTAATGCCCTGCTGTACATTTCATCTTTCTGCATAACTACATGAAAAATACATTATATCTCTCATCTCCTTGACTTTTATTTCATAGTTTGTTGCAGAAATAGTAGCATTTAATCAGCTTGAACTGATTGTCCATGTATTTAGACATAAAATAATAGATTGTAAACTTCTGCATTACACAGATAAATATCTGAGTTTGACAGTGTTGTAGGCATTATATTTATTCATATTTCTCAAGCTCATGCAGAAATCTATTCATATACTTCTCAACAAGGCAGGATTACACAGATCTGCCAATCCCTAAAATTAGTTTTTAAAAATACCTTGTACAAGTCAAAAACATGGCTCATCTCTCAGAAGGTTGAAGACAGGCTAATATTTTACTTTTCTTAAAAAAAAAAAAGATAAGGACCTACTATCAGGCAAAATTTGTGAAAATGTAGCAGTAATACTTAGAGGTTGCTTTCTGCAGTGAATTATTAGACTTTGAAAGACTCTCATATACTGCAGAGGCTCATTTCTGACATCAAGTTGAAATCACTTTAGCATGAATAATTTTTAAAATGAAATGCTTTTTGAGGATGGAAAAGAGCCATACTGGATTTTATCTGGTTATTAAATTCAAAAACGGCCTTGTATCAAGAAAGTGGATGTTGTGCCAAGCATTATTAACATATTCTATTTAGAAAAATGACATTGTTACTCATATGAAAACAGATGTTGCTCTAGATAAAGTTAAATGCCTTCACAGGTCTCAAGCATGTGTACATGAAATTACAGAAATTAATCATAGTTCAAGCAAGGACTTGACTCCACTTCTGCTGTAAAGAAAGTGTTTGGGTTATCTATGGCTGCATGACAAACCATCCCAACACTTAATGGCTTAAAATAAAGGTTGGGAAACTTTTTCTGCAAAAGGCCAAATAGTAGGTATGTTAAAATTTGGTGCACCATGCAATCTCTGTTACAACTACTCAACTCCAGTGTAACTCAAATGCAGCCATAGACAATATGTAAACAAATGGATGTGGCTATGTTCCGATAAAATTATATTTACAAAAAGAGGCAGTATGGTCAAGTGCAGTGCCTCACACCTATAATCCCAGTGCTTTGGGATGCCGGGTGTTCAAGACCAGCCTTGGCAATATAGCAAGACCCCATATCTACAAAAAGTAAAATAAAAATTAGCTGGGCATGATGGAGAGCACCTATAGTCCTAGCTACTTGGGAGGCTGAGACAGGAGGATCACTAAAGCCCAAGAATTTGAGGCTGCAGTGAGCTATGATCATGCCACTGCACTCCAGCCTGGGCAACAGAGTGAGATACTCTCTA
Organism: Homo sapiens; assembly: GCF_000001405.40. NCBI lineage: Eukaryota > Metazoa > Chordata > Mammalia > Primates > Hominidae > Homo > Homo sapiens. The sequence goes on from NC_000015.10 coordinate 56,798,637, forward strand.
AAAATAATTTTAATTAAAATTAAACACCTTTTTTATATGACAGTGGGCCAGTTTTGGCCCACAAGCTCTAGTTGGTTAACTCCTGGTTTATTAAGCCTCCTAATTCTATGGGTTGATATTTTCAGCAGGACTCTCAGTGGGGTTGACTCATATCTGCTCTCCATGATTGACTGGATTGGCATATGTGTTTGCAGTCAGTTGGCAAGGTGACCGAGGGCTGACTGGTCCTGAATGGTTCCACTCACGTGTCTGGTGGTTGACTGAAGCTGTTGGCTGCATGCTTCGGTTTGCCTTTACACGGCCTCTGTGGTAAGGGCGCTCTGGATTTCTCCCATAGTAGCTGGATTCCGGGGGGACAAAAGCAGAAGCTTCTTGACTTCTGAGGCCTCAGCTAGGAAGCCACAATGTCACTTCATATTCCATTGGCCAAAGTCACAAGAGATGAGGATATAGACTATACATTTTGATGGAAAAGCTCAAAGAGTCTGTGGCCCTTTAAAATCCACTACAGTGAGTAAACTGTCAAAACAGTGTATCAATTCCTGCAAGACTTTTACCAGCAACTTTCCTACTTTGAAACTCACCAGTACTTTGTGTATTATGGTCACAATTCTCACTGTAAATAACACAGCCATAACTTAAGCAAGAAACAATAATTAATCAAAATTTCCATTCAAAATATTTTGAAATGTTTGTGAAAAGGAAGCAGTTATGAAAATAAAAGAGGTCTTTTAAGACTCAGAGTGGAATTATCTCATTTTTATTTTTAATGGGGAGCTTGGTTAAAAGGGTCATTTGAGGAGGAGATAGTGAGGGAAGATATGGGAGGTAGTAAACAGAGGGTGGCTGAAATTTTAATCCTTGGAGGTAAAGAGGTTATTGCTTTGGAGAGACTCCTTTTGTTTTAGAAAACTCCCCTCAATAGCTGGCACGGTGGCTCACGCCTGTAATCCCAGCACTTTGGGAGACTGAGGTGGGTAGATCACTTGAGGCCAGGAGTTTGAGACCAGCCTGGCCAACATGGTGAGACTCTGTCTCTACCAAAAAATGAAAAAAAATTAGCCAGGCATGGTGGTGTGAACCTGTAGTCCTAGCTCCTCAGGAGGCTGAGGCTGCAATGAGTTGTGAGTCATGATCATACTACTGCACTCCAGCCTGGGCAATAGAGCAAGACTCTGTCTCTAAAAAAAAGAAAAGAAAACTCCTCTCAATGAATCTTGAGTTACATTTGATTGAGGTGGTGTCTGCCAAGCTTTTCCACTGTAAATTTATACTTTTTAAACTTTCTAATTAATAAGAGTTTATTAAGAGGTAATTTATTCCATTCTTCAAATTTTATCCATTAGTTGTAGTATTTATTGATTTTTTTCTGAATTAATTATCTCTATGGTGGTTGTCAAATAATGATTTTCTAATTCTATCATTCCTTCTACATTTACTAGTTGTAAGGAAAATCTTTACCCTCTCTACATTTACTTATTTATTTATATCAGTATAGTTTCATAAATTCATATTTAATTCAATTTTATAATCCATGTTGTTATTTATTTTGATGACCAAACTCCCAAATTTTGGCCAGGGAGAGCCTCCAAAATCTGGCTTTTCTATTTTTTTTAACACCCTCATCTTTCTTTGAGCATGTCCTTACTTTCTGACACAACAACAAGATATTCCAGGCTCATCTTGTAATTTTCCTGCCTCGACTCTGCCTTGTTGCTTTTAATGAAGGAAAAAAAAAAAAAAACAAGATCTTGATGCTAAATGTGCTCATTGCTATTGGGATATTGCTGTTTTCAGGCCTTCATGACAAACATTTTTTTCAAGACAGGTTCTCACTGTGTTGCCCAGGCTGGAGTGCAGTGGTGCAATCTAGGCTCACTGCAACCACTGCCTCCTGGGTTCAAGCAATTCTCCTGCCTCAGCCTCCCAAGTAGCTGGGATTACAGGCATGTGCCACCACACCTGGCTAATTTTTGAATTTTTAGTAGAGACACGGTTTCGCCATGTTGGCCAGGCTGGTCTTGAACTCCTAATGTTAGGTGATCCATCCACCTCAGCGTCCCAAAGTGCTGGGATTATAGGCGTGAGGCACAGCGCCCGGCCACTATCTTCATATTTCTATCACCTTGTATTAGACATGTTAATCAACAGTTCCTGCCATGGTTCACAGTCCTCCTGAAAAGGGAGTCTTAGATTCTGTTTAATACCACATAAGTACAATTCCTACAAGAGCCAAAGCTGATTAGACACTGACCCAAAGGCTGTCAACCTATGATTTGACAGGAATAGGGTTTTCCCTATAACAGATGCTGTTGGTTCCCTGCCTGTGTCCCCTCCCATACTCCCTGATCCAGTTTACGCTGACAGCATCTTGCTGTAAGCACCTGCCACTTACCACTTGAGAAAATGGACATACTAGATGGACATGGACATTAATGCCCCTGAAATTAGCTTTCAGCCACTGACAGATGAGAGTTGGAGGGGAAATATCCAACTTCTTTGCCTCTCAACTGGGATAACTCTGAGAAATATTCTACACTGTCTCCCAGAGTCCCCCAATGGGACAAAAATCCAGTTGCCTACAGCAGTAGCTCAGTAATGAGCTTCCTTACCTTCCTTGTCTCAATTTCCCACTCCCTTAAAAGTGCTTCCAGAAATTATCTCCCAAATTAACTACCAGCTCTTAAATCCTTGCCTCCAACTTGGGTTCTGTGGGAAACCAACTTAACACACTGCTCAGATGTCACAATGGTTATTAGTAAAGCCAAACAGGCATCCTCTCTGGTATATATGTATTTTTAAAAAACCTTTTTTAGCTGGACCAAGAGAAACAGATATGTCATCTCTATTTGAACCACATATTTGGTGAAACGCTAAAGAGAAGATACAAAAAATTCCTGCCCAGAGGTATCACTCTTTGGATGCAGAACAACCCTCTATCCTAATCTTGATAAGACTGTGCCCTATTACAGCTCCTTTTATTTCCATGAGATTCTTTCATTCTATAGCTTTATATGTACCCTAACAATAGTGAACACCAGCATTCCCAATCCCACTTACTTGAGTTTGAGAATTTCTCTTCCTAGACACTAAACTATAACTTGGGAGGCACTATATTTTGCTTCCCGTATTGCAACTAAAGTAAAGCTTTGCACAAAGTAGACACTCAGTTAATATTTGTCTAATGAAGAAATGGGAGGAGTATTTTAATGGTAGATGTGGATTTACCTGGGTTTAGAACTACTTGGCAAGTCTTAGCTATGAAAAAGTCTTTTTCCCCTCCATGGAGCAAACACTTGAAGAAATTTTCATACCTTGTAATTAGAAGGACAAATTATTATTTTTATTATTTTTGTACTAAGCATCCCTTTCTATCTTCTTATGGTTACTGTGTCCCTTCTCCTCACTTCCTTTCCCCACAAACATGCACATGTCCTTTGGAAAACTACTTGTCCTTTGATTCCTAGGTTTCTATCCCTGCCCCCAAGAAGCTATATAGCCCCCACAACTGGTCAATCATAATTCCTTATCTTCCTGGGGTTTGGCACATGACCTACCAAGATAAAACTTCTGCCCTTGAGTTTTATAAAGGGGCTATGGAGAGGAAAGCTCTTTTAATCTCCTGAGTTTGCCAAGCTGTGTTAATGTAAGTGTGAATTTGTTAGCCCACCCCTCACATCTCATTCCTACCAAACCACAAAAAGTCATCTGTCTTCAGTAGATGTGGTTGAAAGAATCACATACGAAAATACAGCCTGGAGAGAGACAGGAAGATCTAGCAATGTTTTATGTCTCTAGACTTCTCCAAGCCACCATCACCTTGTATTTCTTTTTAATAAGAGCCAATAAATTCCCTTTTAATTTTCAGTTTTTTTGAATTGGGTTTTTACCACTTGCAACCAAACAAGATACTATATGCAAAACTTGAAGAACTAACTCTAAAACTGACAGGAGTACGTTTTAAAATTGAAGCCCTTCCCCTGCAAACACCTCACCAGCACCTCAGTTCTTAAAGCATATTAGAACATCAATAGTACCTGTAAACCCAACATTTTGGGAAGCTGAGGCTGGAAGATCACCTGAGACCAGGAGTTTGAGACCAGCCTGGACAACATAGTGAGACCCTTGATCTACAAAAGACTTTTGAAATTAGCCCGGTGTGATGGAGTGTGCCTGTAGTCCTAGCTACTCAGGAGGCTGATGCAGGAGGATCACTTGAGCCCAGGAGTTCGAGGGTGCAGAGAGCCATAACTGAGCCACTGCATTCCAGCCTGGGTGAGAGAGTGGGATCAAGAAAGAAAAAGAGAGAAAGGAATGAAGGAAGGAAAGAAGGAAGGAAGGAAGGAAAAGAAAGAGAAAAAGAGAAAGAAAAGAACATGAACATCAATAGAAGCCATGAGTGTGTGTCTTTGTGTCTCCCATTGCATCATGTGCTAGATGTCTAGGAGCCTGCAGCAGGGTCCCTTGTACACTAGAGGATTGTGTTAATAGAGATTAGAGTGTATCCAGCTGAAGGGGATTTCAGAAAGAAAAGAGATTATTTCTTTTCTCTTTATGCAATGCATAAAAAAATTATGGGAGAAATGTCAACACTTATTCCTGGAGGTTATGTAGAGTGGTAAGCTATTTTTTTCTGAAAGGAGAAGATTTAGGGAAATTTAGCCAAGCATGAAAGGTGATTTGTTCCAAATCCTTTCATACATGTACCTGAGTAAACCCAAACAATGTAAGTGTCTTCTGGCTGGTTCCAAAAGGAACTAAAATTTATCTGAAACTGAGACCATAACTCCCAAACCTGGTATTCTTTTAGTACTTCTTATCAGTATAATGTCACGGCCATTTATCCAATTTATGTGTAAGACAGAAACCGAGGGGTTATCTTTAATAACTTCTTGGTCTTCATTTCCTTCAAATCCAGTGAGTCACTGAGTTGCATCCATTTCATCTTCCACATGTCTCTTAAATCTCTCTGCTTATTCCCAATTCTTCTGTGATTTCCTCTGTCCAGGCTATCATCACACTGGATTACTACTCTAACCCACTAACTGTTCTTCCCTGCATGCAGTCTTGATCCACTCCAAGCCGTTTCAGACCATTTTCTACTCCAAAGCCCATCTTGCTTTGTTGTTGTCATTAATGCAGATCTGTTTATGTTATTTTTTCCTTTCTCAATCTCCTTAAAAATCTCCAAAGTATGTTGGATATCTGATCATGTCTGTCCAGAAAATTTCTATCCTCCTTATGACAGTAACACCCTAAGTTTATTTTAGGAAACCACCTCTCCCCAAGGTGGTTTGAGTGGGATTACCCCCATCTCCAGCTCCAGAGTTATGGATTCCCTAATTGGCTTCCCTAGCCACAGAGATAATGTTAGGGGAGGGCACTTAACCCATACCTAAACCATGTAGAGCACAGCATTCCCCTAGCCAAAGAATGGCTTCAGAGTGGGCATATGATTTAAGCAAATCCAATCAGAAAGATTGACTAGTTCTTGGGACCATGGTAGGAGCCAGACTGAAGATTAAGGATAAGGGTAGAGTCATGGGATCCAAAAGAGCCAGAACTGGGGCAGGAAAAGATCATCACCCTATGAATAAAACTTGTCCTTAGAGTGGGATCTGAACTCTGGACTTCACCATAACATAAGCCAATGGTTCTTTTTCTGCCTTTCTTTATTTTATGAAGAAAGGCTGGATTGAATTTTCTATTACTGGCAACCGAAAGGTTCTTAGCTATTATTCATCCAAGCTAATGTATTATTGCACGTAGAATAAAGGCAAAGTTCTTAATATAGCTTGAAGCACATTTGCATTTGCTGCCTGAGCTCTAGCCACAGAGGCCTATGTTTAACTTTTGTTCATGCCCTTCCCTCTTCCTGAAACCTTCCTGGCCTCCCACACACCCAATATTATGCATTTTGTCTTACTTATGCTTTAACTCTCAGCTCAAATTCCTTTCGTGACCCCTTAAACAGACAAAATCCCCTTAATATTCACTCTGAAAGTCCAGGAAGGATTCAATTTTGGTACTTATAAAAATATTTGTGAGATTATTTCATAAATGTCTGTCTCTCTCACTTAACTCTAAGTTACATGTAAGAAACTCTCCATAAGTTTCAGTTAACAACACACTATCAAATAACAACTTGAATTATACTTGAAAGGAAGAAGAAAGTCATAGTAAATATCACTGGTTCACTCACAAAATGAAAATAGGTTAATAAAATTTATTTTAAAGCCATCGTAGGAGGAATTTTCCTGGTCACATCCAAGCAACTTATAAAAATGGGAAAATTTAAAAACAGATGTATCAGAAACACATATTATTTTATCTAGAAAATAAATTAAATAGTGGAATTAACATCTTTTTATTGTAGAAGATTAAAGAATAAATTTGTCTTTAATGTAATTCAACCAAAGGGGGCAGAATACAACCAATGCATTAATTTAGAAGTGGATGGAATGATTTGGGGAAAAAAAAACCAGGATTTCTGGCAAGTTTCCCCTTCTGATTCAGAGCTGCAACAAAGAAGCTGTTAAAATGTTTGCAATTTCGTTTCAGTGTTGGATCAAATAATATACACGTGCAGCTATTGGAAAAAAGATTTTGAAATGATTTTGTTGTATTACAACTTACGCAGTCCATCATGGTCAAAAGACCATTTTAGATGAATTTCAGTTTTAAGAGGTCATATTACTGCATCAGTTTTTTTTTCCCTTGCTGTTCTATCTTCACTCCAGAGAAAAAAACAGAAATGTATGGGAAGGCTAAACTAACAATGTTGTTGCTCTAATGGAAGTTTCATAAATACAACAAAATTTATTATATTCTTAGTGGAACAATACTTAGTTGTTTTCAATAATAGTTGAACAAAATATATATATTTCATGAGTCTAGACTTGGAAAGAGCTGTGACAGCACAATTAGAGACACCTAGAAAAATGCGGTATCCCCCTTACCGTGGGGGATACGTTCTAAAACCCCCAGTGGATGCCTGAAGACACAGATAGTACTAAACATGCAAGTGTACTATGCATGAATTTCTTTTTCCTTCTTCACAATTTCACAGAGGGAGGATTCATTCTTACTGTAGATCTTAGTAATCTCGGTATGTAATTTTTTTTCTTTTTTAAGTGGAGAACTTACACTTTTTCACTTAAAGAAAGCATTTTATGGATCCTCTTTGGCATATCCACCATCATCACCACTCTTGCACTTTAGGGCCATTAGTAAGTAAAATAAGGGTTACTTGAACGCAAGCACTGTGATACCACGACAGTTGATCTCATTATCAAAAAGCTACTAAATGACTAATGGGCAGGCAGCATATTCGGCGTGAATACACCGAACAAAGGGATGAGTCATGTCCCAGGCAGCATGGAGCAGAGCAGTGTGAGATTTCATCACAAAACTCAGGATAGAATGCTATAAAAAACATAGGAATTATTTATTTCTGGTATTTTCTATTTAATATTTTCAGATCACAATTGATTGTGGGTAACTGAAACCACAGAAAGTGAAACCACAGATAAGTGGGAACTACTTTAAAATCAGAATGTTTATATCTCTTAATTAATTTTTTCTCCAACCTGAAATGCCCTCCCTTCTCATTTTTGCCAAATTCAACTTCTCTTTCATTTTCAACAACACAAAAAGCTCTCACGTCATAACCTTATTGTTCTGTTTTTTTCTATACCTGTAGACTAGTACAAGTAGTACTCACCGTGTGGTATCAGTGACTTCCAATTGACAACTCAAGGACTATACTATCTGTACTCCAAATCACCTGGAAAACATTTAAAATATATCTTCCAAATTGCTCCCCACCCTGCCTCTCCCACTTTCAAGACTTGAGTCAGTAAATTAGAACATCTAAGGAATCTGCAGTCTTTAAAAATATTTTCTGGCCTGGTGTGGTGGCACACACCTGTAATCCCAGCACTTTGGGAGGTGGAGTCAGGTGGATTGCTTGAGCTCAGGAGTTCGAGACGAGCCTGCACAACATAGCAAAACCCAGTCTCTACAAAAAATACAAAAAGTAGCTGGGCGTGGCAGCCCACACCTGTAGTCCCAGCTACTCGGGAGGCTGAGGTAGGAGGATCACTTGAGCCCTGGAGTCAGAGATTGCAGTGAGCCAAGGTCATGCCACTGAACTCCAGCCTGGCAACAGAACAAGACCTTGTCTCAAAAAGTAAGTAAATAATAAAATATTTTCTGTACACCCCTGTTGATAACAGCATTATTCTCAATCTCCAAAAGGTGGAAGCAACTCATTGATAGACAGACAAACAAAATGTGGTATACACATACAATGGAATATTTTTCAGCCTTAAAAAAGAAGCACATTTTGACATATGCTACAACGTGAATGAATCTTAAAGAATTATGTTAAGTGGAATAAGCCAGTCACAAAAAGATAAATATCATATAATTCCAATTATATGAGGTACATAGATTTGTCAAATCCATATAGACAGAAAGTAGAATGGTGATAGGGGCTAAGGGAGGAGGCCACAGGAGTTATTGTTTAAGGATATGGAGTTTCAGTTTTGGAAAATGAAAAAAGTTTTAAGGATGAAAAAAGTTTTGGAAGATGAAAAATGTTAGAGATGGATGGTAGTGATGGTTGCTCAACAATGTGAATGTACTTAATACCATTGAACTATACACTTAAAAACAGTTAAGATTGTGCATTTTATGTTATGTGTATTTTAGCACAACTGAAAAAAATAGTTAAAAGGGTAAATTTTATTTTACGTATATTTAACTACAACTAAAAAAAACATTGTACGTGGGAAATGCTGGTCTCAGTTTTTTGTGTTGGTTCTTCATTCTTAATTGTCATAATATTTTATTCATTCATTTCTTTATAAATAATGCACCATGCATAATTCTAGATGCTGGAGACATAGCCATGACTAAAGCAGACAAGGTCCCTGCTCTCACAGAGCCATAATTCTACCATCTATGACATCTTATTTGTGAGGATGAGATGGTATAGCATGGGATGGAAACCCCAATTTTACAGTGGCTTTAACACTCAAGATTTTACTCTCTGATATAAAATATCAATTTGGCAGGGACTCAGGATCCTTCCAGCTTTGTTCTTTATCAACCCTAGGGTATGACTGTATAGACATGATCCAGTGTGACTGCTGAATAGAGCTGGTCTTTGCATCTGTATTCCTACCAGCAGGAAGGAGAAAATACAACCAAGGGCATAATCCTTATTTTAGGTATACTCTTTGAAAGTGACATCCCATTGACAATAACTTAAACAAATGGCCAAGCCTAGCTGCAAGGGAAGCTGGAAAATGCAATCTTTGTTCCTGGCAGACATGTGTTTAGCTAGAATGCAAGGGTTCTTTTACTGAAAAAGAGGAGAATGGACACTGGAAGAGAACTATCAGAATCTGCTACACAATTATTTTCCCAGCACATCTTGAATTCTTTGAAGGATAAGAGGTCTCTCAACACGTAGAATTAAAAGGAAGAGCCCCTAAGGGGAAAGCAAAAAGATAATTTGAAATGATATCCCTCTGAGGGCTTCACCCCTGGAACAGCCCACTTCCTATTGGGAACATTTCCTTTTGATATGTAGACCTATGAACTAAAGAAACAAAACTCTCTTGCACATTCCCAACATGCAGTAATGGAACAGGTAGAAAATACTGCTATGAACATTGCTTTTTAAAAAGGAAGAAAATTGATACACACAGGATTCACTGGTCCACAGCAATTTTGAAATCTAGCTGGACATATGTTGCCAGTTCCTTGATTAAAGGATCAATTCTACTGCCTGGGAACAATTCACTTTGGCTCTTGGCTCTACCCTCTTGGCCATCTTCATTTTCCATGGAAAATAGCCCATGTTTATGGCTGAGTAATTTTTGCAGCCTGTTTCTGCCCACAGAAATTTGGATTTCATTTTGTATTTTCTATATCTTTCAGTCCAAGTTGATATAATTCTTTTAAAATCTTTGAGTTTTTAATGAATTATATTATAATCCACTCCATTAAACAGAATTCTTACCCAAAGGTCTCCTTCAAGATAAGCCCTTCTCTACCTTGGTCTTCCTATTAGGCTCCCAAGGGACAACATCTTTAAGATTCTTATAAGCCCTTTTTTGATAAAGGTGATCTGTGGGATATGCCCTTAAGATCCTTAGAGGATCTTTTATCTGACTAAATTGTTCTCTGAGGAATCACTTGAGATTTTTCTGAGATCATATCAAAGGATCTTATTGTTCTTACCTAGGTTTCATCTTTGCCTTGAAGCATTTTCCTTAATTGACAATCTTACAGAGCCTAGAAGTGACAGTTTTATTTTCAAATTCAGTTTTGTGTTCATCTTATTTCTTTCTTCTCATCTTTTACCGTAAACAAGAAGAAATAGCCAGAGGGCACCTTCAACATTCTTCCAGTGAATCTCCTTAGCTAGATAATTCAGTTCATTGGGTATAATTTCTGCTTTCTACTTTATTACAGGTCCTTGTGTTGCTAAACATTCTGCCACTAAATAACAAAGATCTTCCTCCAATTTCCAAGAACTTTTTCTTACTTTACTTCAAGCTCTCTCTACAAGCCTTCTTGAGGACCATCAGACTCTTCTACCAGTATCTTCATGGTCCTTCCAACTTCCACCTTCTTCCCCAAAGCCACTATCATATTTTTAGATTTTTATTACAACACCCCGCTTCCAGGTAAAAACCTGTTCCAGTTTCTATGGCTGCAAAATAAATTACCCCAAAACTTAGTGGCTTAAAACAGCCATTTATTAGGCTCATGGATTCTGTGGGTCAGGAACTTTGAGGTAGTGACTTGTCTCTAGGTTAAAAGATTTGTGAGATGGAAGACAAAGGTTGGGGATGGGAATCATCTGAAGTCTCATCCCTCACATGTATGGCACCTGATACAAACCGTTCACTGGGGACCTTGGTCCTTCTGCCTGTGATTTCTTTGCATGGGCTAGTTTTAGCTTCCTCATAGCATGGCGGCTGGGTTCTAAGAGAGAGTACCCTGCAAAAGAGCCTGATGATAGCTAAATTGCTTTCTGTGACTTAAACTTGGAAGTCACAAAGTGTTATTTCTACTTTATTCTATCAGTAAAGACAGTCACAAGGCCCATTCAAGTTTAAAGACTCGTCTTCTTGAGGGAGAAGTGACAATATTCTAGTGGAGTATATGGGACCAGAAATAATGCTGTGGCCACTTTGGAAAACACAGGAGAAGCCTAGGAAGGTACTCCTTTCATTGAGCTCTTGGATAATAAGCTCATCTCAGGCTCTGCTTCTAGAGAACCCAACTGCATTAGTTTCAAGGGCTGCCATAATGAAGTACCACAAGGTGGGTGGTAGAAACAAGAGAAATTTATTGTCTCACAGTTCTCACAGAGAAACTTATTGTCTCACAGAGATCCGAGATCAAGGTGTTAACAGGGTTGGATCATTCTGAGGGATGTCTTCCACACCTTGCCTTTCCTTTCTGGTGGTTTGCTGACAATCTTGGCATTCCTTGGCTTGTAGGAGCATCACTTCACTGTTTGCCTTATCTTCACATAGTGTTCTCACTGTGTGCATCTTGCTGTATCCAAATTTCCCCTTTTTGTAAGGATGCCAGTCATATGGGATTGGGGTCCTCTCTAATAACCTCATCTTAACTAATTACATCTGCAATGACTGTTTCCAGATAAAATTACATTCTGATATAGTGGGGTTAGCACTTTAACATATGAATTTAGGGTAGACACAATTAAACCTATGACACTGACCTAAGGATAGAGGCAGGAGGCGGAGAACTATCCTAGACAGATAGGAGAGGGTCCCCAGAGAACCTCTGACCCACCAAGGTTATTGTGCACAGGGGGCTTGACTAAATATGCCCACGGTGAAAAATTCTGTCCCTTAGCACATGTGCGGTAAGGGAAATAAATCAATGTGGCGGGACTCAGGCTAAGGGCCCCGCAAGTACACTGGAAGGATGGCGTGGAGTCACCAGGAATTCACACCTTACAAAAATGGGGAACTGATATGGTTTGGCTGTGTCCCCACCCAAATCTCATCTTGGGTTCCCACATGTTGTGGGAGGGACCCGGTGGGAGGTGATTGAATCATGGGGGCGGGTCTTTCCTGTGCTGTTCTTGTGATAGTGAATAAGTCTCACAAGATCTGATGATTTTAAAAGGGGGAATTTCCCTGCACAAGTGCTCTTCTTTTGTCTGCTGCCATGTGAGATGTGCCTTTCACCTTCCGCCATGATTGTGAGGCCTCCCCAGCCACATGGACCTATAAGTCCAATAAACCTCTTTCTTTTGTAAATTGCCAAGTCTTGGGTATGTCTTTATCGGCAGTATGAAAATGGACTAATACAGGAACCCAGCCCCATCAGCAGATATATAGAAGCCCTTGTATTCAACTTTGAAGGGGGCCAACTGGCAACCTGCTTTCAGGACCCCTCTTTTTGCTGAGAGCTTTCCTTTTTGCCTAATAAATTACACTCCACTCACTCTTTGATGTCTGTGTGACTAATGTTTCCTGGTTGTGAGACAAGAACCCAGATCTAGCTAAGCCTTAAGGAGTGAAAAATCATGCATCACTAAGACATAAGAGTATCTACTCTATGCCCAGGTGCAGTGCCTCACGCCTGTAATCCCAACACTTTGGGAGGCTGAGGCAGGTGGATCACCTGAAGTCAGGAGTTCAAGACCAGCCTGGCCAACATGGTGAAACCCCATCTCTACTAAAAATACAAAAATTTGCTGGGCATGGTGGCACAAGCTTGTAATCTCACCTTCTCGGGAGTCTAAGACAGGAGAATCACTTTAACCCAGGAGGCGGAGGTTGCAGTGAGTCAAGATCATGCCACTGCACTCCAGCCTGGGTGACAGAGCGAGACTCAGTCTCAAAAAAAAAAAAAAAAAAAAAAACAAAAACAAGAGTATCTACGTTACGCTATTTATTAAAAAGATTATCTGAAATAATACATAGTTCCTGGCACCTAGCAAATGATTAATAAATGTTAGCCATCATCATTTATCTTTGGATCCAGACAGACTAGCACAGTGCTTAGCACATAGCAAATATTGACCATCTTTGGGTTTTGCCTGCCTGGCATTCACTCCATCTTTTTCTGGTAAAAACACCTTGAAACAATCTTTTTGCTAGTCTTGGTGAGGCAATCATTCAAAATGTCCTGCCCTGCCCTCAAGAGGTGAGTATATGTGTGACCCAAGAATGCCATTCAGACTCTGTCTCCTAAAAATTAAATCTCGAGCAGAGTAACGTAGAGATAGAAAATGACAGAGATCATTTATCCCGCTAACAGTGCCACGAAAAGAGACTGACCTTTAGTTCCTACTATCTGGATACTTAGAGCTGTTTTGACTCCTGGCCTTTTCACAGCCTGGTGCTTACTTAGCATTTCTTTTAATTATTTGTGCCAGTCCACATCCTTGAGCACATTTCTTGTTTAGCTTAAGATAGTCAGAGTGAGTTTCTTTTGTTTGCGCAGAAACAGAAATAGACTGAAGTAGAAATTGATTCCTGGACATAACAGTTACAACTGACACTTAGAATGACAATGTGAAGTTGGAAGGGTCATGGTGAGGCAGGAGACAGTGTGGACCTCCGTTTCTCTGGCTGGGAAATGCCTATCTTCAAAAGCATGTTGTATCTGGAAACTCAGGCAATGTGTCTGTCCAGCTGGAGATTTGGGAGAGTCAGTAGAAAAACGTCAGCTCGTTGGATTAGGTTGGATACTTTTTTTTAGCCCAAGATAAGTTACTACAAGTAAGAGACAACTGGGTCATCAGAAAGCAGAGAGAGAGAGAACAGAAACTGCTAAGGGAAGCCCTTTCTAATTGTGGCCTGTGATCAAAGAGGGATAGTAGTCAGATAATCTTAAGCTGAATTCTCTCCCCTGAGTTAAAGTTAGTGGAAGTAATGTCTTAAGATTCTGAAAACTTAAGAGGAGCTAAAAAAAAGTCTCCCGGAAAAGCTCTACTAAGCACCTCCTTCTGGGCCTTCCTTGACGGATGAGGCTTCACTTAGTCCCCAATTTACAGCCCAACCACTGAAATACATGGGATGTTGGAGCTGAGATTGGTTTTATCTCTTTCGACTCAGGCTATTGCTTGTCATTGCCCCCAGGAAATGTTAAAATTGAAGGCTTTGTGGCTGAGAGCTGGAGGGAAGGGCAGAGCTCTAAGGCCTGTTGCTATGAGAGAGGACATCCTACCATTGGATGTGCATGGAGGGCCTACTAGGTTTCTAAGAAAATTGTTATTTCTGGATAAACACTTAACCAACCTAAGGTAATCTCCAGGCCCCTGAACTCTTCTCAATAGAAAATTAGGTTCTAAATTAGTTTAACCCTCACAAGTGATCCTCTCCACTGTCCTTTTCAGAGGTGACCACAGTGGATACTGGACATTGGCTCTTCTCCCAGAGGAGAAAACCAGAATCAACTACTTTTGCTGACCAATATATCCACTCTGTCACTGGAGCAGACAGCACTTTTTATTCCTGAGAAGCAGGATGTGACAAATTCTGTTTGCCAATGACCACTCTAAGCTGTTTCTTCCCCTTCCCTTTTCCATGTGAGTTTTTTTTTTCTTTAATTAAGATAACCTGACCTATTTCTACCATTGTAGATCAGGTTAAATTTATCATTTAACCTCAGTTTGCCAATACACAAGGAGCTATTCTGGGCCAACCTGAGAATAATGCATGTTGCTGAGAGGTGGATGCAGTAACTGGCCTAGCACTTGGGGAAGGAGGGAGTTTTGAGAGGTATGTAAAAGAGTTGCACTATTGCAGGTGATAACAATTATGATGATGCTGCATGTATGAGAAGGAGAGTGTGTGTATGGATATCAAACAGCTTGGGAGATTATAGTGGACAATAATTGTTTTCACCTGCCAGTATCCCAAGTTTCCTTTATAAAAACTTTCTTCCGCGATGCTTGAGCCAGACAGTTCTAGAAGGGCTGAACCTATACCTCTACAGCTTGGTTGGCATGTAACCCAAAATTGTGTGTAAATTTATTCCATCTTCTCGGCTCAGTGAATGATTTAGGAAAGCTTACGTGATCCAAGTCAGATCAATAGAGTCAGCCACAGAGTTCTGAAGGAATGATTGGGAAAGACACATTCTTTCCAAGGGATTGCTTGGCTGGTAGAACGTAAGTTTACAGCTCTCAGGGCCTAACCTGCCACCAGGGAGAGAATGCCTGAAAATGAAGCTCGGGGAAAGGAAAGCAAAGTAAGAACAAGAGTAAGAAAGAGAATGAGAGCCAATAAATATCCTTTTTGCTTAGCCATTTGGAGTAGGTGTAGTCTATTTTGTCTGGAGCTCAGCACCTGTGAACACTCTCCTTTTGGTTAGGAAGTTTCTTTCCTCCCCAAATTAGATATCAGAAATTATGCTTTCTTCACCCCCCTTGTAGCTAGCTGGGCACAAGCATGTGACTCAGGCCCCATCAGACATCCTTGTGAAATTTCTTTGAGATGAGAGCAATGTGAGAAAGTAATGCCACATGGAATCCATTTCTGCCAGTGAGAGTGACACCACTGCCACTTGGCCTTCAGAGGTGGCATTGTTGAGTTCCTATAACAGGGCTGGCAGTAGTGCTTGTGTCAGTAAAGTTCCTGCTGGCGGTGCAAAATGTAGCATTGAATGCTGGGAGGTGAAGGCAGTAGCAGTGTCTTCAGGCTAGTCCTGACAACTGTTTGTGGTGGTATCCTGGAAGTTCATCCTTGAGCCTGGCTCTCTAGCCCTCCTGGCAATTCTGCGACCTACCAAATATCCTTTAATAGTTTTCTTTTTGGCTTAATCAACCAATTAGTTTTTGTCACTTTCAACTAAAACTTCTGGTACTAAGGTAAAAATCAGTAAAAATTTGATAGAGATATAAATCAATGAATGAATGGCAATTCTGTGAGGTATATATTATACTTCCATTGTACAGAGGAAAAATTGGCTGAGTAATATTGGACCTTGCATCCTGTCCAAGGTCACGCAGCTAATAAATCCTAGAGTAAAGATTTGAATTTTGCTCTTTTTTGAATGCCCGAAGTTCACGTTTTTGAAATAATTTTGTGGCAGATAGAGCAGAGGGGCTTGCACAGAATTCATTCTACCCTTCTTGTAGAGTGCCTTCCTATACTGCAGAGGCTAGAAAACTAAAAGTGACATTTTCCAGACTTTCATACAGCTAGGAATATGATTAGGATCCACCAATAAGATGTACTTGTGTGAAAATTTAAGTTAGCACTGAGTCAGGTAGGAAGGAAGGCAGTGCCCAGGCCTTCATTTTGATGGTACGAATCTGTTACAGTATGGTTTGGGGCCAACAGTTGAGTCCACAATTTTCTGATTGCCAAATTGTGGCAAGGCAGTGTGATCTAGGATCTGGTGAGTGGTATAGTGGTTTCCTGATCCCCAGCTTCCAGATTGTTGCAGAGATAGTTCTCTAGACAGGTGAGCTCTCTAGTGTTGTTCTGGAACCCAGTCCACAGCCCACTCCTCCAGCCCCTGTAACTGTGGGCATGGGATTCCCTGTAGCCAATCCTTTCTTGCTAAAACTACTAGAATGGTTTCTATTATCTGCTTCTGAATCTTGTTTAATACGAGCATGGATAGAGGTCAAATACTACATAACAAAGCAGCAGTACACAGAGATTCTTATCGTTTCTAAGCCGCAATTAAAGAGAAAAAAAAGGATGCATTCAAGGTAAATTTATGTATTTCAGTAATAAGCACCATGGACTTTGTGGTCTTGCCACACCCGTAATCCCCAGAAACTGGGTGTATCAGTCAGCGTACCACCGGCAGGAAACAGAAGGCTCATTCACAATGGAAACTCTGGGGAGACTTTAATAAAGACTAGTTTTGGCCGGATGCGGTGACTCATGCCTGTAATCCTAGCGCTTTGTGAGGCCGAGGCGGGCAGATCACTTGAGGTCAGGAGTTTGAGACCAGCCTGGCCAACAAGGCGAAACCCTGTCTCTACTAAAAAATACAAAAAAAGAAAAAAAGAAAAAATTACCCAGGCATTGTGGTGGGCACCTGTAATCCCAGCTACTCAAGAGGCTGAGGCAGGAGAATCACTTGAACCCCAGAGGCGGAGGTTGCGGTGAGCCAGGATTGTGCCACTGCACTCCAGCCTGGGTGATAGAGTGAGACCCTCCTTAAAATATAAATAAATAAATAAATAAATAAATAAAGACTCGTTTTTACTTATCTTTTATTTCTATTTATTTAATTTTTTAGAGACGGGGTCTCGCTATGTGCCTAGGCTGATCTCGGATTCTTCCCACCTTGGCCTCCCAAAGTGGTGGGATTACAGGCATGAGTCACCATGCCCAGCCTAAACGAGTTTTTAAAAATATAGACTGGGCATAGAGAACCACAGGGGTCGTACAGTGCCCCTAGACCTGAAGCAACAAGTGGAGGAATCTATTATGGAAATTTGAAGACAGCTAGGTAGAGAGGGTGCTTTACTGGAGCTGTGACCTTTGGTTGCCGAATGCAGTCATGGCAACCTCACAGGCAAGGTGCAGGGAGGGAGCAACCTTACACTCAACTGTTTTTTCAAACTTCTGCACATTTGCTGAGCTCACCTAGAAGCCACAGGACACAAGCGTGTGCTGTAGTCCTTATAGGACAGTCTGCCAGGGTGGAGAAAGATGGAACGTGGATCTAAAGGGCAAATGGGAGATATCCAGCACACCACGTGAAAAAATTAACAACCTCAGTGCAGTAAGAGATCATGAAGAACGCAGGCTGAAGTATTTTATGCTCCTGAATTTATAATGTTCACAGATTAAATTTATTCTTTTTTTTTTTTTTTTTTTTTTTAGACAGAGTCTCACTCTTCGCCCAGGCTGAAGTGCAGTGGTGTGATCTCAGCTCACTGCAACCTCTGCCTCCCGGGTTCAAGCGATTCTCCTGCCTCAGCCTCCTGAGTAGCTGGGATTACAGGTGCGCACCACCCCCAGCTAATTGTTGTATTTTTAGTAGAGATGGGGTTTCTCCATATTGGCCAGGCTGGTCTCCAATTCCTGACCTCAAGTGATCCACCCACCTTGGCCTCCCAAAGTGCTGGGATTACAGGCATGAGCCACTGCGCCTGGCCTGAGTTTATTCATTCTTTTTAAAGATAGTCAACACAATCTACTCATGTGATTTGAGGTCGTTTTGCTTAGTTTAGCACACAGTGCCGTGGAGTATGAGAAGTGGAAAGCACTCTAGAGATCTCGCTGAACACCCTTATTCCATAGATGAGGAAGTCAAGACTTAGGAACATGACACAAATTCCTCCAAAGTCACTTATCCAAAGTTGCATAATCAGCATGCACACCCAAATCTACTGATGCCCAGTCCAGAGCTTCTTCCACTATTGGCAGCTGAAATCCATGCTGGACGTGCAAGTTGTGCTCATTACAAACTGCCAGACTGTGATACAGCTGTGGTCTGAGCCTGGAGCATCCCTCTGCCTTAGTCTTATTATTCTCTTCATTTTAAACATTTACCTGAGAAGCTGAATTCCAAAGACACTTTTCCTAAAAATAACTCAAAGACATGCAGGAGGAAATTAGCATACTGTATTTTCTTCAGCTATAATTTACAGTGTGTAATCTAAAAATGTGCAACAAAGCAATGCTAGTAGTGCAGAGAAAATTCCCCTGGGATATTTGGTTCCATTTAAAAACACCTCAGTATGGGGGGGATGTGGGAGCAGCAGCCTGTGACACACTTCCATCAGGGCAAAATGTTATTCCAGTGATTCACAGCCAGAGGCCTGACAAACACTTTGAGTCGATATAAAGGTTCTTGCCATCAGGATAAAAATGAGAATTGCAGTGGGTGGTCCCATTCTAGCCTCATGTCTCCTTCTACTTCTGTCCTGGCTTAGGTGGTTGCCCTGGAAACAGTGGGGTAGCAAACAAAACCATTTGGAACAACTTTTAGAAAGCCTTATGTACAGAGGCCTGATGTTTATTTGTTGCTGCCTTTTCCAAAGGCTTTCTTCCCCTGAGAGGGTGTGCTTCTTGGACTACCTTGAAAGCTAGTTCATGTTAAAGTCTTTGGCAAGGTCCAGTTGGAGGGCTGGCCAGAGTTTGGCAGAGAATAGGAGAAAGGGGCTTTGCTTATCATTATTCAGCTTTGGATCCCCACACAGATGGCCCTGATCTCCTCCTCCCCCACCTAAGAATTTTTCTAAAATGACACCCAAGTTTTTCTTGGCAGAAGTTATAATTCCTGGCAAACAGTTCACTGCAGCTCTAATTATGATGACAGCTTTAATGGAGAAGATAATCATATTAAATGGTTCTTATTCACTTCCATGTGATGAATTAGTGATTACCATAAAATGTGTTAAGCAGCTAAAAGTAAGGGGAAGGGATAATGTACTGAGCTACAAGTTGAGGTTTTAGGGATTCCAAAACTGGGTAGGAGATAGGATAAAATGAATTTCATCAGATACCAGGGGTGATCAGGTATCAAGGGAGGGTATTCTCAATAAACTGACTTGGCAGGACTCTTCCTAAAACTACACCAGGCAGGCCAAAGACAGGATGGGGACCAGGGGAGAGGCCTAGTCGAGAAGAGGGTTCAGGGGAACCTGACTAAAGTTTGGTAAAGAAGTCTTTATCATATCCACCACTTGTACAACATACTTTTAAATACTGTGACTCAGATACGGAAAGGTAAGAATGAAAAGGAGGGAAAGAGGAAAGGAAGAAAGGAAGGGAGGGAGGAAGAAAGGAAAGTTTGTAAAATTGCCTTCCGAATTCAGGCTCTTCTGTACGTTGCTACAAAGTTGTCTGGGGTGGAGGGAACACATTTGGTCTTTGAAACAGCCAAAGGACATTAAGGGCCAGTCTTAAAAATAAGGAGGAGATCAAACTGAGTAACACTGTATGACTATAAAGCAATGGGCTGGTGGTTCTTGTGTGGTTTATGAATAGGGTGACCAAACTCAATCCATTTTGCCTGGAACTTTCTCAGTTTTAGGACTGGACATCTCCCTCAGTTCCAGGTAAATCAAGAAGATTTGCCTAAGACTCTCCCAGTTCTATAGCCCCACATTCTGGAAAACAGAAATAATCAGTCACCCTATTCATCAAAAGAGCTCTGAAGGTAGTTCCTAACAAGAAGTTCCAAAATCATTTAGAGCCATAGCACCTGACAAACTAGGCTTCCAATATAAGGGTTGTTCAGAAAACAAAAA
Organism: Homo sapiens; assembly: GCF_000001405.40. Lineage (NCBI taxonomy): Eukaryota > Metazoa > Chordata > Mammalia > Primates > Hominidae > Homo > Homo sapiens. Next base: position 56,818,873 of record NC_000015.10, read on the forward strand.
CAAAACAGCCTCATTCATTTAGTCACATATTATGTGAGAAAATAAATATTCACCCTGACTCCTATTTAATTAGAAGTACCTTTACTTAGATACTTTGATTCAAATACAGGGCCCAAACACCTCTCCACAAATGTTTGGTTGAAGAAAGCTTATTTACCTAATTAGAATATTTATGTGCCATCATGCATGTTTTATTTTTATATTAATATATCTCTTTGTGTTTTATTACAAAAATCTTGCTTTAAAAAAGACATTCAAATTTGTTTTTCATTCATCTGTAAGCTACAATACATGTAGTTACTATGTGTAGTAATCAAAGTGTGTGTGTGTGTGTGTGTGTGTGTGTGTGTGTGTGTGTGGTCTTCCATGAGGAAGCAACCTTCTTTATCCTCATCTTCTCTAAACCCTAATTCATTTGTACTTTCACTCATTTTCCCAAGGAATATGTTATTCCTTTAGAAGTCATTTTTAATGGCTAGAGAAAGATAAAGAAGGCTAAATAGGAAAGCCTTGCTCAGAAAGCCCTGTTGCTCCTGCTGCTGCTTTGAATAACACCTTATGGTTACACTATGTTATCCTTCTAAAATCTACTTTACATGGTTTCTCATATGTGTGAAGACCTTCATCCCTGAGAAGTGAGGGCCTAGGCAGGCTGGGAAGAGATATGGTAGCTGGGAGCCTGGGACATGTCTGAGGCTCATTGGAGCTGAAGAGGTAGAGATTCAGGGGAAGCATTCTACGGAGAAGCTGAATTTAAAACCATTTGGGCAGTACCAAAGAACCATCTTTTCTAAAAGGTTGGGTAGAGACAGAGTATCCATCCAAATATGAGGACAAACTGGGAAAATCCATTGTGAGCAAGCAAGTTTAAAACACAGCACAGAGGGAGAAGGTAAAAAAAATATTTAAGGTAGGTTTCTTAATTTTTTTATAGGATGCCAGCAGCCTTAGCCTGATGTGGGAGGAGGCTCTAATCAGGTCTGGCTCTTCTTCCACATTCCACTCCACTGGGTGGTGTTTTTCACTGGGTGACTACAAAGTCTTAACATGTTTAGGTGGGTTCTTAGTTGAGGTGGGAGCGTTTCATGTGTTTGCTTCTCTAGCAGACATCCTTTCTCAAGGACAGGTACCAGATCTGGCAGTGGCACTTCTGAGAATCCAGAACCTTTTGCAAGACACGTGGGCTCTTCTAACTCAGTTGTCAGGGTAAATTACTTGGCTCTGTGTCTAGGGCAGAGTCTCAGTGAACTGAGCTAGCATGAGCTGGCTGAAACAGACCTCATCTCTGCTTTTACTAAGAAAATAGAAACAACCACAAGACAACTGTAACATTTCCCACCAGCATTCTCATTAAGTTTTGCCTTTCCTTCCTTGATGATGGAAAAACTGTCCTAGACTCTTAGTCCTCCTAGACCTTGTGACTTAAGCCCTGGATTCCCCATCACCTACTCAAAGGCTTTGCTCTTTTCATCAATCACTGTCTCCACCATCTCTACATCTCCACTCTCTGTTTGATCATTCCCATAGCAGATACACATGCTATAATATCTCCTGTCTTTAAAAAACCTGTCTTCTCTAGAATTACACCCTCCTCCAACTACTCCCTCCTGCTTCTCAGGCCTCCTTACATCATCATTTCTAAAGCAAGTTGTCAATACTCAGTGTCTCTCCACTTCCTCATTTCATGGTCTCTTTTCAGTCTTCTCCAATCATGTTTGCTTCCCTATGATTGCACTGAAGCCATTCTTCTCAGGATCACCAGTGAGCTCTACATGTCTTAAATCCTCTGAACAATTTCCCAGCCCTTCTCTTACTTGACCTCTCAGTGGATTTTATTTCACTTGGTGAACCACCTGGAATCTGAGTCAACGCACTGTCTCGGTTTTCCTCCTGTGTCCCTGGATTGGCCTCTTCTGAGTCTGCTGGCTCCTTCCTCTTATTCCTCATTTTTTAATTTCTTTAAACATCTTCTGTTCTTTAAATACACTCGTTCACTTTATAGGAGATCTTATCCAGTCCCATGGCTTTAATTTCTGTCTCTCTGTCAATAACTCCCAGATCTATATTCTCTAGCCCTGACATTTCCCCTGAGCTCCAGACTTAACATATTCTGCCACCTACTTGACATTTCCATTAGATGTCTAATAAGCATTTCAAATTGAACATTTTCAAAATAGAACTTGGTCTTATCTCCCAAACCTGTTTTTCTTACAGTTTTATACACTGCAGCTCCTGGCTTTACCATTCATCCAGCAGCTCAGGATATAGACTTGAGGCTCATTCTTGACCACTCTATTCCTCTTACACTCACATATCATAAAAACCCAATTGTGTGGGCCCCTGCCAGACCTGACTACCTCTATTAGTGATGGCCAGGACGGGCTATCTTCAAAATTCCCAGCAGATGATTTCCAGGATTAGTGCTGTAGTCTTCCCTCGTGTGTCTATGGCTCCCAGGATTGGGTATGAAATGGTAAACCCAAAGTGCTTGAGGAAGGTGACTCTGGTGCAAACTGAGTTCCCGCATCTAATTTAGCCACTCCAACTCTATGACAAGTGATTCTTAATCCCAAGGAAGAGGAGCAATTATACTCTTTCAAAAGCCGGTTTCCTAGAGAAGGAAACCCAGAGGTGGAGACTTCAGGGCTGGGTCTTCCAAGCACTAGATATTGCTCATCTCAGTGGATGGAGACATTCACGTGGACTGGGCTGGGTCAGGTAGGTCAGGGGAAGGCAGGAATACCTTAAGTAAGGCTTGTTAGGAGACTGCATCTGCATCTGAGAACCAAGAAAAGCCTCCATCCCTTTTGAGCATGTCAATTATTACAACAGACTATGAAAAGAAATGTGTAGGGAATTGTCTAATGAATTCCAGGAATTGATAAATATATTTGATAAATCATGTGGGCTCTTCCTCTGGGACTACAAACACTTGAAGCATAATGCAGATGTCTCGACTGGACAGAATAGAGCCCAGTAATTCTTCCATTCTCTTGGACATGTACTTTTCAGGGTTGGCCTGCAGGTGGTGGTGTAGCCCACAGAGGACTTGAGGACCTGTCTGGACAAAGGACTCACAGGATGTTAGATTTAGATTCGTATATTAGGATTTTGTCCAAGTAGCTCATGCCTCCTTGATCCTGCATGAGAAGATGACTAGGGCCTGCACAGCCAAAATGACACCATAATCTGCCAGATCCCCCCTCTCCCATTGATGTCAAAGCTCTTGGACCAGTAAGCTGGGTTATCTACAACCTCTTCCCTGTCCAGGCAGAGGATAAGAGAAAAACTCCCTCCCAGATACACTCAAAATGTACTTCCCACGTGAGGTTGCTAGTGCCTTTGAAGAGAGGGCATCTGTGGGTTAAGTGGCCAATTCATCATGGTGCTGGTGTTGTTGCTCCCAGACTCAGTACATGAAGTTAGCATCCTCCCTTTCCCCACACATTCTCCACCCCTGCCAAAGCCTTGGAAATAGAATTGCTGTCCATCACTGGCTTGGCAGGAAGCCACACATATTTGTAGTGGGGTCACAAATTCATTCACTCTGTACTCAGATGTGCGAGGAAAATATAGCTTCTGTATTTCTCCATAACTCATCTACTCATCCACAGGGAATTGGGAAAAAAGGACCCTAAATTTATCCCCTTCAGTTAAACTTAGTTCAGCTCAATAATTCAGATGCCTTCTTTATGTAAATTATCTTTAGTTTCTTTAGGTAAAATACGGTCTTTACATTTTCTCTCCATCTCTTTGTTGTCCTCCAAGTTAGTGACTCTGTCTCTGTTTAGTGGGGTCTGTAAGAATTTAGATGACCCACGCAGCAGAGATATTATCTGAATCCTCACTAACCAAAGGTGAAGTGGCTAGATTTTCTGTTTACTGGACTGGTGACCACTGAAGGTTGATTTTTCTGGTTTGGCTTTTTGAGGTAAAGTAATTTCCTCTGGAATCTGTGTTTCTGGCCATCTCAAAGTTTCTACTCAGGTACCTCTTTGTTTTAACCAGAGCCCTTTGGCGTACCTCTGTGCTCTCAAAACCTCTGTCTCATCAGAACACACGGGACTTGCTAGATCACCTGTACAACATCCCGGCCATGTAAGCCCAGGAGTGATGGCTCAAGCTCATCTATCAACCCACCTACTATACCACCTCCTCACCATCACTCCTTGCCAAGACTCTGGCCTCTGGCCTTCTCACTTCTTGTCTTCCTCATTTCTTCCATAATCCCTTGGAACTGGAAGGGGCAGTCTTTGGGCAACTCATTCACCCATGTACTATCTCCCTTCCAGGGTAGAGCAACGCATATCATGACCTAGCTTTCATAGGTGGTAAGGTTATCTTCTTTTTTCTTAAGAAAAAAACACTATGAGTTGAGGGCCCCATCTTAGTTCATGGTATGCCTTAAATCTGAATTTAAAAATCCTTTCTGGACAAAGCCTAAGTCTTGCTATAGATCAGTACGAACAATAATCAAAGCACAAAGGTCAGAAATTACTTTGTTGTTTTAGAGTTATGCTGTGCAATATGGTAACAGCTCCATGTGTCTATGTAACTTTAATTTTTAAATAATTAAGGTTTTTAAATTCAGGTCCTCAGTCATACTAGCTACAATACAAGTTTTCAGAAGCCACATGGGGATAGTGGCCACTATGTTGGACATCAAATATATAAAACATTAGCAGCATCACAGAAAGTTACATCGGACAGCTATTCTAGAGGCTGTCTACCCTTTTCCCTTTTCTGAGGCACTAAAACGCTTTTTCTTTTTGGTGACGGAGTCTCACTCTGTTGTTCTGGATGGGGTGCAGTGGTGCAATCTCAGCTCTCTGCAACATCCACCTCCCAGGTTCAAGCAGTTCTCCTGCCTCAGCCTCCCAAGTAGCTGGGATTACAGGTGCCCGCCACCAAGCCCAGTTAATTTTTGTATTTTTAATAAAGATGTGGTTTCACCATGCTTGCCAGGCTGATCTTGAACTCCTGACCTCAAGACCCACGTTGACCTCCCAAAGTGCTGGAATTACAGGCTTGAGCCACCGCTCCTGGCCTAAAATGCTTTTTAGATGGGTGGGAGCTTCCCAGAGAAAAAACAATTACTTATAATGGCCGCTGCTCTGCACTCCCAAGACGCGGGTTAGTCGATAAACCCCACCCACTTCCCCAAGTGCCGGTGGTATTCTTCTCTGTTTCTCCTAAGGAGAGGCTACATAATTTATGGAGCCCAGTAAAAAGCAAAACTTTATTCACAAATTATTTTAAGTTTCAAGCTATCAACACCAGAGCATGAATCCAAGTACAAGGTCTGAGGGCGGGTCCCAGTGTGACTGCATAGGGCTCGCACCTAGGAAGCTGGCCTTCTTTGAAGAGAATTGCACCCAACAGAGATGTCAAGGCAGCACTGTGGGCTCACTGGGGAATTTACTTATGAGCAGCAATGCCAGAGCCCACAGCTGCACTAGTGCTGACCAGGCTCAGATGTTAACTCTGACAGCTGCCCAGGGAATGCCTGTGGCTAGATGGAGCCACCCAGCCAAAAAGAAGTGACAGGAAATAAGGGCCCCAACATGTTGTATTGGAAAGCCCATTGCTGGAAGCTCTGGACATGTCAGCTGCTTCCAGCTGGGCATGTTTCTATCATAGCCAGGGTTGTGTCCAGCCAGGAAGGCTGAGACCTGTCAAGTCCATCATTTTAGAAACTGCTGAAGGATGGGGAAAAGGCAACACACCCAGGAACTACGGCACAGAGAACTATGGCCAGCTTTCTTACCTGGACTCTGGCTGTGAGCAGAGCATGGTGTCCAGGAGCCTGTGTGCAGAGGAGGTCTTACCTCCCCAACCTGAGAGACAAAGGGATTTGAGGTGGCTCACGCCTGCAATCCCGGCACTTTGGAAGGCTGAGGCGGGTGAATCACTTGAGGTCAGCAGTTCAAGACCAGCCTTGCCAAATGGTGAAACCCTATCTCCATTAAAAATACAAAAATTAGCCAGGTGTGGTGGCAGGCGCCTATAATCCCAGCTACTCGGGAGGCTGAGGCAGGAGAATTGCTTGAACCTGGGAGATAGAGGCTGCAGTGAGCTGAGATCGCACACTGCTCTCTAGCCTGGGTGACAAGAGTGAAACTCCATCTTAAAAAAAAAAAAAAAAGAAAGAAAGAATCTACTAGTAAGTCAAGTAGATGGAAACAGAGGAAACCAGACAAAAACAAAAAGATGTGAGGTGGAAGGTGAGACTTGGAACTTGTAAATAGTCTGTAAGATAAGTAAATTAACTCCCACAGCTTTTTAGAGTATAGCAGATTGGTACCTACACATAGAAATAATTGGCAAAATGCAGTAAAAAATAACTTTTAAATAAACAGCTGAATGCAAAAGGAAGAAAACGGTTTTAGAATAAAGAGAGAGGACGAAGCCGCAGTGGGTTCAGCCTGACTTGACCCCAGCTCAGCTGATAGGCTCAGTGGTTCTTGTGCAGAATTCTCCTTGGATGCCCTTGTTGCTCATATTGACCCCTGGCTTTTGGCCTGGGGGACCCAGGCCCCAGGCCACCTTCTCTGTTTAGGTTCAGAAGCTGCAAAAGAGAACTGCCTGAATTCCCTGAGACACAGGCTCTGGAGACCCAGGAGAAGTCCTTGGAGGAAAACCTTGAAGAGCTACTCCTGCCATGAAGAGGGAAATAGAAAAGTCCAAATCCGCAGTCTGAAAAAGTAGTATGGAATCCTGGGCTTTTCGTTTCTCCCAGGGGTCTTTTAAATTTTAATCCTACCTTCTAACTTCCAGTATAGAGGAAAGGGGAGAATAAAGAAAAAAACGGCTGGGTGAGGTGGCTCACACCTGTAATCTCAGCATTTTGGGAGGCCGAGGAGGGCAGGTCACTTGAGGTCAGGAGTTTGAGACCAGCCTGGCCAACATGGCAAAACCCCATCTCTACCAAAAATTCAAAAATTAGCTGGGTGTGATGGCGCATACTTTTAATCCCAACTACTTGGGAGGCTGAGGCGGGAGGATCACTTGAACCCGGGAGGTGGAGGCTGCAGTGAGCCGAGATCATGCCAGTGCACCACTTCAGCCTGGGCAACAGAGTGAAAAAGAAAAGAAAGAAAAAGACTAGCTCAACCTAATAGAAAGTAGAAAAGAATAAAGAATCAAAGTTAAAGAATAACTGGCTGAAGGAGGATTGCTTGAACCTGGGAGGCAGAGGTTGTAGTGAGCCAAGATCGCACCACTGCACTCCAGTCTGACTGACAAAGTGAGACCCTGACTCAAAAAAAAAAAAAAAAGATAAATAGAAAACACAACATGAACCATGTATCAATAATCAAAATTCATATAAATATTAACATATTGAATTTCCCTACAAAAAGATGGAGATTCTCAGGATTTTTAAAAATTCAGCCAAGAGACTACCTAGAACTTGATGACACAGAGAAATGATTATGTAAATAGATGGATAAACTGTACTAGAAAAATATTTTTTTAATTAAACGTAATATTATCATCTTTTTTTAAACTTTAAGGCAAAATAAAAGTAAGGGATAAAGAGGGCCATTATATAATGATAAAAGGATAAAAAGATAAAAATAAGAATTCACATTGAAGAAATAGTAAGTTGGAACTTCAGTGTGTGTGTATGTGTGTGTACACACAATACATTGTCAAAATTATAAAGAGAAAATGATAAATGTATAATCATAGTTGTAGAAGATGTAAAGAACACAGGTAATACCTACACCCAAAATTATAGGAAACGCATTCTTTTCATTATTTTTGTTGTTGTTACGGGCAGCCTCCTGAGCAAGAGGAGGCTCAGAGATTCCCAGGAAACACATTATTTCTAGCACACGTGAAACATTTACAAAAAGCATAATATGTCAAAAAGTAAACTTCAAACAAATACCAATGACCAAAATCACACAAAACATTCTCTGACAGCAATGCAATAAAATCAAAAATCAATGTAATAGTCACACTGCCCCATTATTTTAGAAACTTCTAAATAATTATTAAGGTAGAAAAATGAATAGAAAATACCAAATGTGTAACACCACTCAGACAATAAAAACATGAGTACCAAAACCCATGGCATGGAGTTTAAGCAGTATTTAGAAGGAAATTTAGAGCTTTAAATGCCTATAATGGAAAGAAGGAAGCGTATACCCCAAAGGTCAAAATGTTTAAAAATTAGAAGAAAGAAAGTAGAAGGAAAAAAAGTCAAAAATAAGAGGAGAAATAGCCAAAAGGGGAAAAAAATCAATAAGGTTTCATATAGAATCAATAGTATTCATAAATCAATAAGGATTCATATATTCCTATTCTATATGAAGACAATATAATTCAATCGATTCAAAACCTAATTCTTTTAGAGGACTAATAAAATAGACAAAACCTGGCAAGATTGATTGAGAGTATAAGAGAAAAAAGCGGGAATAAAGGACTTGACTATAAATTTTTAAAAGTATAAGAGAATACGATGAACATCATTATATTAATACATTTGGCAATTTAAATGAAATGGACAGTTTTCTAGACACATGTAAATCACTAAAAGTGACATGAAAAAGAAATGGCAGTCTATTTATTTATAACCATTAAAAGAACTGAATCTGTAGTTTAAAAAATCTATCCATTAAGTACTATGCCAATCAAGTACTTACCCAAAGAGGTGAGTTTTACCAAATCTTCAAAGTTTATTTCCTGTATTGAACAGACTTTTTCATTCAGTGAAGACAAAAATAGGTGAGCTCTCTTTACTTCTTTTGTAAGTATATTTTTGATACCCAAACTGGAAAAAGACAATACGAGAAAAGAAAATCGTTGTTTTTTCTCACTTTTGGGCACATGTGCTCAAATATTTTAAAATATCATCTAATTGAATTCAGCAATGCATTAAGACATCATATTAGATAAGGCACAAAGCAGATATAATAAAATAATTATAGAATCTGGTTGGTGGGCATAAGGGTGTTCACCGTACAGGCCAAATTTTTCGTATGTTTGAAGTTTTCCTTATTAAAACCTTGCAAAAAGTAAGAAACGAAATCATTACGTATTTACCACCTGTAAAAACATATCATGACAGAATACCAAGAATGGTTGAATATTAAAAATCTATCAGTGTAATTCACCTCATTGATATAGATGATAAATTTTATCAGGAAAATGAGGTTGTAGTCCACTTCCAGTTTGCCAATAGCTTTTTTTCCCATAAATTGCTTTTTCATCAATTATATAATTATATAATTGAGCTTGGCTGTGAGTGGCAGAAAACTCCAAACTATATAGAATTTTATTTCTCTCCTAAGTAGAAGACTGATTAGGTGGCCCAGAGCCAAGTTACTTCCAATATTTTGATGTTTGGTAAGATCTCTGTTCCTAAGATCACATCAAGTACAATATGATTGCGCGAATTCCAGTCATTACATCTGCATTCTAGGTGGCAGGAAGGAGAAAAGGGAGGAGTGATTATGTTTCCACTTTAGGGGTACTACTGGAATTTGCATATATCACTTCTACTTACATCCCAATGGCAGGAACTATGTTATATGCCCTCACCCACTGGAAGGTGGCATTGAAATGCAGGCAATTTTCTTGACACTGATGTCTCCAAATAAAATAGAGATTATACAGAGGCAAAAAGGGAGAACCAATGTGAGAGGGAGGGATCAGCAATCTCTCCCAAGTATAAAGTTACCAAAAACCCACAGAAAACCTGATGCTTAGTGGTCAAACGTTAGAAGCATTCTCTTTAGAGTCAGGAGCAAGTCAAGAGTGTCTGTTATTACAGCTTCTCTTAACCATTATATTAATATTAAAAGTCCTAGCCAGTGCCAATACTCTTTAAAAGAATAAGAATTAGAAAGAAGGGGAAAAATTGTTCTTATTTATAAACTATCTGATAATTTACATTAAAAATGCAGGAGAGTGTGTAGACAAACAATTCAAACAGGAAAATTCAGCATTCTGAATACATGTTCAGGATATGGTGTGAGAGGAGAAAAAATTTGTGTGTGTGTGTGTGTGTGTGTGTGTGTGTGTGTGCTCTCCCATTTAGAATAGATATCTAGGCAGAAATATCTGCAAGACCTATTTAGGCAAAATTATAAAACACGACATAAAATATGCACTGGATAAATGATGAGACACTGAGGGATGGAAAGATAATTGTGTCAATCTGGCAGATCACCCTGTGAATTTATAATGAATCTATGAATCATTGTAATTCCAACCAGAATCCCAACAAGGCTTCATGGAATTTAACAATCTAACCCAAAAGTTGGTGTGGAAGATTAGACACTCAACTAGCACAGAAATGTTCAAAAAAGAAAACTAAGGAGAGGTGATTTGCCCTACCAGGCTAATTATACAAGGTTATAATTCTTTTAAGAAGTGCGGCTTTGGGGACAGGAATATAAAAATAGGCTGAAAGGGCCTGGCGTGGTGGCTTACACCTGTAATCCCAGCACTTTGAGAGGCCGAGGTGGGAGGATCACTTGAGGTTAGAAGTTAGAGACCAGCCTGGCCAACATGGTAAAACCCCGTCTCTACTAAAAATACAAAAATTAGGTGGGTGTGGTGGTGCATGCCTGTGATTCCAGCTACTCTGGAGGCTGAGGTATGAGAATTGCTTGAACTCGGGAGGCAGAGGTTGCAGTGAGCTGAGATCATGCCACTGCACTCCAGCTTGGGTAACAAAGCGAGACTCTGTCTCAAAAATTAAAAAGTAAAAATAGGCCAAAAGAATGGAATAAAGGGTATAGATACTGACAAATACATACATGGAAAATTGATATGGAACAGAAGTCTCTTACATATCAGCAGGGAGTGGCAAACATTAGCTAAGTGGTCCTAAGACAACTGGCTATGTACAGGGAAAAGGAATTTACATCCCCATTTCATACCACAACAAAATACATCCTACATGGGCTAAAAACCTTAAATGTATGGTAGGGTGACAGGGGGAATCTTAAAATTACAAAGTAAATACAGGAGAATGTCTTCATTACATTTTCAGTTTTCTTAAATAAAATAACAAAAGCATAAATGATAACAGTGATCATTTGAATACATTTAAATATTAAAATTCTATGAAACAAAAGACGCCAGACACAGTGAAAATGCAAGCCATTGGAGAAGTTAATTATAGTATATATTACTGGGTATTAGCATCAAGAGTATTTTTAAATCTCTATAAATGAATAAGAAAAAAGCAAGCAATACAGTAGAAAATTTGTCGATGATATCAACAGTTAATTGTTAGAAGGAAACTAAACAGCCAAAAAACATAAAAGATACTCAACTTCAGTAATAAATGCAAATTAAAACCACAATGAAGTACTATTTCACATCCATCAGAAGGGCAAAATTTAGAAGTCTGAGAAGCCCAAGTGTTGGTAAGGATGTGGAAGAAAAAGAAAAAAAGAACTTGTAAATATGGCTGGTGTGAATGTGTATTGTAGAAAATCACATTGGAGGACAATGTTGCAATATCAAACAAAGTTGATGAGCACATGCTAACCTATGACCTAGCAATTCTGCCTGTGGGTATGTATCCTAAAAAATTCTCACGCATATGCCCAAGGAGAAATGAAATACATTGTTTTTTGTAGCACCGTTTTTAATAGCAAAACATTGGAACCAACCTAAATGTTCAAAAATATAATTGTGGACAGGGCTCAGTGGCTCATACCTTTATCCCAGCACCTTGGGAGACCAATGTGGGCAGGCGGACCTCTTGAGCCCCAGAGTTCAAGACTGGCCTGGGCAACATGGTAAAACTTTGCCTCCACAAAAAATACAAAAATTAGCCCGGCATGGTGGCTCATGCCTGTAGTCTCAGCTACTCAGAAGGCTGAGGTGGGAGGATTACCTGAGCCTGGGGAGATTGAGGCTGCAGGGACCTGAGATCACAACACTGCACTGCAGCCTGGGTGACAGAATGAGACCTTGTCTCCAAAAAAAAAAAAAAAAAGAAAGAAAAAGGGAAAAAAAAGAATGGTGGATCAATAAATGGTGCCAAAGTCACACAATGAAATATCAACTATGTATGTGCAAAATATGTAAGAACCAGGAAGGAAGGATACATGCTAATTTCAGGATAGTGATTATCTCTGGGCAGAGAGCAATGGAATTGGGCAGTGGGTGCTATGGTTAAAATGTATCTGTAATGTTAAAACAAACAAGCAAAAAACTCTAAAGTCAGGCAAGATGTCAACATTGGTTAAATCTATGAAAAACAATAAGCCTGGATCATACTGCAGACTAATAAGAAATGATTTCCAGAACTACTTCAGAAGAGTGTGGGGTGTGGACTACCATGTGTGTAATGCTGAAGAAGAGGATGAGCTTGTTTGTGCAGACTTCCTAATGACACAAAATAAATTGGCAACAGTGATGGCCTCTGAGGGAGAGGGACACAGGAGACTGGCATAAGCAGAGGAAAAAGACCTTTACATCCTTTTTCTATTATTTGCCTGTTTTATCACTTGCATATATTTTCTCAATAGTAAAAAAATTAAAGCAAAAATATATTTTTAATAAAAATGATTCCTACCGCAACAATGCACTTAAAGCCAAAATTACAATTTTGAGGGACATTTTGCATGAAGTATAAGTGTACCCTTATGCTTGCCACCTTCCCAAATGACTGATTTTTCTACAGCGTTCCTGATAATAAGTTCCTTATGATCAGTCACACAGAAACATACACCCTGCCTGCTACATATGCTTTAACTGTGCATCTATTTATATGGGATGACAGATACTTTCCCTAATAAATCTTGCCATTTTCCCTGGTAAGGAACTGTGTGCTGACTAAATGGTTGCTGACACATGGGAGTTATTCCCATAATTTCCTCACACAGTAAGACAAATCAATGCAATGCAGAGCTCTGTTACAGACACTAACAGATTTGGAGCATGTCAGAAAGTGGGGGGGTATATAATGAATCCATGTTTCTAGACTTTCCTACCAGAGACAGCTTGAGGCAATCTGACAGCAAAGGCAGGATCTGAAGTCCTAAACTCAGACATTTTATCTCCGTGAGCTAATTTACAACCAAGAGAGCCACAATACTGTCAGATCTAGAACTCAACTACTTTAAACAGCGACCTTTTGTCTTATATTTTGCATTGATTTTTTTGAAGTGTTATGTTGTTTGAAAGCTAATTACCTTCCTAGAGGATTAATTTCAAACCTTTTCAAACCTAGAACCGCTTTAGGGAACAAAACAACTGACTCTCACTGCTTTCTTGTTATCCCAAGCTGGACTCCAAGGGCCCCAGGCCCCACTTGGTGTAAGGTATAGAATTCTGCTTTATACCAGTTTACAGGTATCAAGGAGGCAGGAGAGAGACTCAGGGTAGTGAGGGGAAAGAAGATCAGAGTCATCTCTTTTTCATGTCTTTCATTTCACAACTTCTTCCTTCCCATGCCTGCTGGTGCGCTCCCTCGCCTTGTTCCAGAGCCAAAAGACAGGTCAACTTCACTGCTTTTTATCCAAGTTGGCAGAGGTTGTGGCAGCGGGGTGGTAACTCTGCCCGATGTTCCCAAGCTGCAGCTGGGACATGTCCAACAGCAAAGTCACTCAGTAAACAGTTCTCTGTTTCTCTTTTCCTCGAGTTGGCTGGAATATCTCTAAGCCCTAGTACCACCCACTCTTTAATTCAAGACAAGCCCACAGACCAGAAACTTCACAGATCACTCTGTCTTAAAACAGTCTTTTGCTGGGTACAAAATACCATGTATAAAATTATTGATATGCTACAATTATTTCCATTCCAATCCCTATAGATTATCCTTTTTGACGGTTTAGTTTTTCTATTTTTATTAATATCCCTTGTACATCATTCAGTTCAATATTCAAAAACCTCCTTAGATGTTTATTTTGTGCCTAGCTTTGTGGTGATGTGGGGGAGATAAGCAAATACTGCACTTAACAGTTACTTATTTTAAGATGTTTACAAACTAATTGGAGAGAGAAAAGCCAATATGAAGCAAGTGATAACTAAAGAAAAACTGTCTTTAAACCCTAAAAGTGGGAGGAAATAGCAAAGACATGCAGAGGTCAGGAAAACTTTAAGAAAGATGTTGGCTGGGGCTGGGATTTGAAGGAGTGGAGGTTGAGGAGGGCTTTCCAGATCTCACAAGATGGTTAAGCTTCAGAGGCTGATCTCAGCAGAACATACTGTGGGACTGTCAGAGACCAGTTTAATAAAGCAACTCTGACACCAGAAAACTGGTAAACAAGCAAGCAAAAAAAACCAGGAACAGGTCGGGTGCGGTAGCTCACACCTGTAATCCAAGTACTTTGGGAGGCTGAGGCAGGCGGATTACGAGGTCAGGAGTTCGAGACCAGACTGGCCGATATGGTGAAACCCCGTCTCTACTAAAAAAAACATACAAATTAGCTGGGCGTGGTGGCATGTGCCTGTAGTCCCAGCTACTCAGGAGGCTGAGACAGGAGAATCACTTGAACCCGGGAGGCAGAGGTTGCAGTGAGCCAAAATCGCGCCACTGCACTCCAGCCTGAGTGACAGAGCAAGACTCCATCTCAAAAAAAACAGAAAGAAAAAGAAGAACAAGGGTAGATTAATAAGTTGGCTAAGAATTCATTATCCTTCCATATGTTGAGTACTAGAGATCAAAGGGAACTCATGAATCATGTCATGCACCTTCATGCCTTCATTTCACAGATGAGAACACCGAGGATAAGCGACTCAAAACAATTTCACCATAGCAGGTCACAAATTAGTGCCAGAGTGGAAATTCAACTCCAGGGCTTCCAACGCCCATGCATCACACTCCACTTCAAAACCCCACACTGTTATGCTTCACTGATGGAAGGCCCTTTGGAACAGTGATATACTAATAGTAACAAAATAATAAATTCCAAAGTAGAGGTATTATAGAAGGGATAAGGCTTATTTTGTGTACAGATATTTCTAAGTTTTTCTTTTCTTAAATTGCACTAGCTATTATATCAGGTTTCACCTCCTCTGCTTTTGACGAAGTCTTCCATGGCCCTGCCTAGCCTTTCTGACCTTATTTCCCAACACTCCCTATTCTACAGGCTCCACTCAAGCCAGATGTGTCCATTCATAGTCCCCAGCTTTTGCTAGGCTCGTGCCCATCTCTGGGGTGTTGCTCCTGTTTTCCCCTTTTCAACTTTCAATTGATATAAAACCCAAGGCTCAGTGAGGACCTTTGGCTACCTCAAGTCTTCTCTGGACTCCTATTTAATTTAACTCATTTTAATAAAATTTTATGGAGGACCTGCTGTGTGTCAGGCACTCTACAAGGCACTCAGGACTCCCAAATAAGTCAGGCATGGGTGCCACCCTCAAGGTACAGAGGCTAGAAGGGGAATGCAAACATGAAAAAATATCATTACCACCCAGAATCATAAAAATAGGTACAGGAAATATAGAGACATTCTGGTCTAGTAGATGGAAAGGGAGAAGATCTCATGGAGAGAGTGAGGTCTGAGATCAGTTAGTAGATGAGTGGAACTTCATCAGGGACTAAGTTGGGGGAAAGGGAAGGAAAGGGTTATTCCAGGAAGAAAAGACTGGATGTGGAAACGCACAGCATTTATCAACTTTGGTTTGGCTACCAGGTTCTGTACCAAACTAGGTTTGAGTTTGGTACTAGGATTTGGTTTGCCTTCAAAACAGTAGGTACCTAGAAGAGCTGGTGGGGAAAAGACAAGAGAGGTGGTCAGGACTGAACTGCGGCCTGTAGATGATAAAGAGCCAAAGACATCTGAAGAGGGACAATTTAAATCAAATGTTTGGGTGGTTTGTTCACAGGAATATGGGCCCGACCTTATATTCAAGAAATCAATGAAGCTATAGAAAGGACAGTTCTGGAGACAGATCCTGAAGAATGGGTAAAATTTCAACAGACTGAAATGGAGGGGAAGTCATTACATTATTAGTGGAGACAGCAAAGCAACTGTTTATTTGTTACCTGATTGTTCTGGGTACACTAATTTTTACTCCTGAGACATATTACCTAAATTCTTCAAGGACAGGAATCATTTTTCCAACTGCTTTTTAATAGTTCCAAGTAGCTAACACAGTTCTGGATACACAGTGGGTGTTTAGTCAGTTCCTAATAACTGCTTGGGGTGTGGCCAAAAAAAGGAAGAAAGAAAGAAGAAAAACCCTCATAATATTTGTTCATGACAGAAGCTCATTTTTATTCTTAAATCTGTTGCTAAGAATAAAAATTTTTAAGTTTTTATAAATCCAAAATTTCATATTTGAAACAAAGACGGTGTATATAATTGGAAGCTTATGGTTGTCTAATAAAGGACAGAAGATTCCAATTAAAGCCAAAATTTTATCTCTAAGCAGGCTTTCTCACTGTGTGGGCATCCCAACTGCTAAGTTTGTTTAATAGATCAAATTAAATGGATGACTGCTTTTGAAGGGCATCTTAGGGACTTGGGACTTAGCTTTGCTTTGGTGCTAGTTTACCTAAGCTCACTACTGAGGGGATTATTTGGTCTTATTATCAGAAAGATCACTTTTAAATATTGGGGCGAGTGATAATATGATATAAATACTTCATATATGTGTGTGTGTGCATGTATGTGCACGTGTGTGTTATTTTTTCTTAATGAGAAGCAAAGGGCACTGGGTTTCACCAATTCTCTTTCCCTCCTCTACCTCTGATCAGACTCTGAAAAATACCCTGCTTCTTCAACAACAAATGTTTTAAGTGCAAAGGGTAAATTTTGTTCTATAAAGATAAATGTACTTTTTATGCATTCCGCAGTGCTCATATTGCATTACATATGTTATTTGTAACTCATAAGTAGTGAGATACTGTCATGCAGGAATGATATTCTGAAGAGTTAACAATGGTACAGCATAGACACCAGCCATTCAGAATGGACTCCTGAATAATCTGGAAGGATGCCAGCTGGCTCACTGGACCTGCACATCCCAGCTACATCTCAGCTCTGGTGTAGTAGACTGTTAAACCTGCTTTTATCTGTCTCTACTTCCCTTCCAGTAACAGCCACACATTTTCCTTTGGAGAACTGCACTCCCTGAAAGGAAATGGCCAGCATGGGACTCTACTTTCCCTAGGACACAAGGCCAGGGCATGCAATCCAGATTTAGCAAATAAAGACATAGTTTAGGCCAAGCAGAGTCCTCCCCCGGACTTTTCCTCTGGAGTTAATTGGGAAGATTTTCTCTACTTCGGAGATTACTTTGAAGGATGTGAGCCTGAGGCATTTGGAGGCTAGCCATCTTGCCTTTGTAGAGGATAAATCCTAACTGAAGACTGAAGTCAAGAAGAAATAAGTGAACCTGAGAAAGAAAGAGAGAAACAAAGTCCTGGGAACATGGTTTGAGTCTTTGGAACAGCTGTGCCTACAGCCAGATGCAATCTCCCGAACTTCCCAGTTACTCAAATACATTTTTTCTTCTTTTTCTTTTTTGTTTTTGCTTAGCATTCAGGTAAGAACTGAGTAATAATTATGCCCACATAATATAGTTCTATGTAATTTCCATTACACAATGCTGATGAAATCTTGGACTTAATTGAAAACTCTGTTTTTTATTAGATTGTCCTAAGGCTCCAAACCAATACATCATGCACCTAGAAATCATCATGGATCCTTAATCAGGAGAATAACAAAATAAAGAAAAGTTTGCCTGGCAAGAGATATGTGGAAATAATCAAAACAACATATGCTCATAGATGTATTCAGGAATATACATACATACATATATATATATATATATATATATATATATATATATATATCCTTAATTTTGAAAGATGCCAGATGCCATTTCTTTCCATGTTAGTATAACTGAAAAGAACTGTTATTGCCCATACCTTAAAAATGTTTGGAGATTATTCTATACTCTTCACTTAATTATTTGCAACACTGGACCATAGATTTACCTCATTCATTTATCCTATAAGCATATTTTAGGAAGTTGTTATATGCACTTTGCTGTTACAGGCTCTAGGGAAAAAAGATGAATTAGGAAATTCCCCTATCCTCCAGGAGCTCAGATTCTAGTGGGAAGCAGAAGTGTAAATTGATAAATGGTGTGAAAGTTGGCAAGGCGAGCACTTTGCCTGCTACTGGAGGCTTCTTCCTCCTCCATAGAGGCACAGCCAAGAGCTGGACACAGTGGAGTCTAGCGGGTGCACATGGCTCCATAAAAGTCGCTTTCCCAGTGTTCCAGGCTAAGCTGTTCAGCAAATCATACGGTCCCGGATTTTCTGGTATTTCAGGCATTGAGATGCTTTACTATTGCTTTGATGTTTTTAAAGCAAAAAACTTTTTCAATGGAAAAATAAAGAGTTAGTTTCCCCATCATTGATCAATGTAGTCTTAACTTTCTTTGCAAGGCCAGACATGATCTCCAGGAAGTTACTGTGGTTGATTAACACTTCAAATTATAAATTAAATTTAAACTCTAAAAAGTGTAATTATGAACAAAATGCTTGAGAGCACAGAGAAAGGAACCATTAAATTTACATTTTCAGTCACTGTCAAGCCTCTATTTATTCAGAGCCATTCTTTCCTTTAAAAGGCACTGTAGCTAGGTCTTTGGAGTGGATTCTGTTACAAGAAATTCCTTGAAGCTGTCTCATTTTCCTCAGTCCCTCACTGGAATTTCATAATGATTTAACCCATAGCTGAATTCACTTAGAAATTCTCAGGAGCTAGAAGCCAAAAAGACACTGACAATAATTTCTTTCACTATTTTTCTTATTTTAGTTCGTGGATCTGTGAGTGTTGTTTCATGTAGTTTGGTTTTGGTGGATGATTGCTACACTTCACAAGTGAGGAGAAAAAATAATTCTTCCATTTCTTTTCCTTTCCTATTCTAACTGGCTTTTAAATTATCCACATGGGCTTTCAGATTAGATGTTGCCCAAAATGGCTTATGTTTTTTTGCTCTGGAAGTAACTCTTATAAGAGGAAAATAAAGCATTTATTTTGTTAGGTTATTTATTATAAAGGATTTAGTGCCTGAGTTACAACTTAAATGATTTGCAGACTAGAGAGCACCTCAGAAATTACCTATTCCAAATTCTTTATTCTACAAATATTCAGACAAGATAAACGAATTGCCCAATTTGCAGAGCTAGTCAGTGACACCGCCAAGACTAGAACTCACATCTCAGCAAGGCATTCGGTATTGCTAAGTTCCCTGACCATTTCGTATAATAACTATTACAAATCTTCACCACTGCTTTCATGAACCTCATAATACTGCCTCCCTATCACTCTGGCCCCTGCTTCACAGAAAATTGGAAGCTACCAAGCATGAACTCCAGTTTCCACTTTTAAACTTCCTCATATCTCATCTCAAAAGAAGAATATCAGAATATTATTACCCTTCAGGGTAATCTTGCCATTTGTCATCTGTGTCACACTGTCTCTTTTTTTTTTTTTTTTTTTTTTGAGATGTGGTCTTGTTCTGTCACGCAGGCTGAATCGCAGTGATGTGAACATGGCTCACTGCAGCCTCAACTTCCTGGGCTCAAACAATTCTCTTGCCTCAGCCTCCTTTGCAGTTGGGACCACAAGTGCGCGCCACTACACCTGGCTAATTTTTTTATTTTTTGTAGAGACAGGTTCTCATTTTGTTGCCTAGGCTGGTCTTGAACACCTGGGCTCGGCCTCCCAAAGTGCTGGGATTATAGGTGTAAGCCACCGTGCCTGGCCGGAGTCCCATCTCTTCTAAAACCTTATTCTGTTAATGTTAAACCTCATTCTTTCACCTATATGGGGATTTTCTCTCCATCAGCCTGTTGTGTTCAACACATAAACATGCTCAAACACTTGCATTCATAGTGACATTGTGCCCCATTCTGGAAGCATTCTTTGTTTTCTTTTCATCATAGCCAAACTTAGGAAAGTTTCCACAGTCACACCTCCCATTCATTTCTTCAACTTCAAAAATTTGACTTTTGACACTACTATTCAACCAAAATGTTTGGGCAAAGGCCATCTCTGTGCCTTTCAAGGATGTTTTTCAATTTTCTCCTTTTGAGAACCCTCTTCTCTTCTGGATTTCTTATTCTCCTCTTACCACTGGGTTTACTTTCAAGTTTTTCTCTCTCCCTTCATTCATTCCTTAATTTCTGATACTTTCCAGGGTTTCATTCTTAGTACCTTTTTCTTCTTATTCTGTATTGCAAATGACAAGTCCCATTGAAATCCATGCCTCAGTCCTTGCACAAAAATTTGTGTAACGTACAAATGTCATTTAAAGGAAAATATCTCTCCTAAGTTTTCAACATTGATGAAAATTTTTAAATTATAATATTATTTAGTTACTTGAATATAAAACTAAATGTAAATTCCTTGTGTTCACAGGGTTTTGTTTTTGCTTTCGGTTTTGGTTTTGGGTTTTTTCTTTTTTGAGACATAGCCTCGCTCTGTCACTCCGGCTGAAGTTAAGTGGTGTGATGTAGTCTCACTGCAACCTCCACCTCCCAGGTTCAAGTGATTCTCCTGCCTCAGCCTACTAAGTAGCTGAGATTAGAGACACCCAACACCACACCCAGCTAATTTTTGTATTTTTACTAGAGATGGGATTTTGCCATGTTGTCCAGGCTGGTCTCGAACTCCTGACCACAAGTGATCCACTGCCATGGCCTCCCAAAGTGCTGGGATTACAGGCGTGAGCCACCACGCCCAGCCATGTTCATAGTTCTTATACAGTGATACAACTAAAAACTTTTTTAAGTGAATGCAAATGAAACTAAAATTCCAAAATACTCATAAAATGAAGTGAACATTAATTTGTGTGGTTATGTTGTTTTCTTGAAACTGAATTGTCAACTTACAATGTGAATATAGGACTGGCTGCTAATAACATAGTTCCTTTCTAATTAAAATAGAGCTGTGTGCCATGTGATGATTCAGCTCTCCCACCACTTTTCTCTGTCCAAACTACTGTGAAACCTTCATTCCCATGGGCAAGCACACAGTGACACCATTGTGTCTGCACTTGACCTGTTTGCATCATTCACATATTAAACCTAGCTTTGTGATATTTGGCACCAGCAAGATTATGAACATAAATATCAATTCAGACACTGAAGTAAGTTGGCAATATTCATTCATGAGGTGGTCATCCAGATAATTCAGATTATTGTTGAAATGAAAGCATGAGTGTAAGCATGAATGTAAAAATCAACCTAGTGAACACAGACCACTGAAAATATAATCAAGGAATCTCAGGGATCTGAGGATCCCAACTTTATGAATCCCAGATCTGTATCTATAGCCCGAAACCCTCTCCTGAGCTTCTGCCCTGTATTTCCAACTGCCTACTAAAAATTTCTCTACCTACATGTCACCTCAGAGGCAACATGTCCAAACTGAACTTGTTATCATTCCCCACGCACACACCCACCTTAACCTGTATTCCCAATCCTAGTTAATGACATAATCATCTACCCAGTTACCGAAGCCAAAACCTTAAGTCTTATACTAGATTCTTTCCTCTGCCTCACCTCCTACACCCAAATCTTGTTGATCCTACTTCCTAAACTTCTTTCGCATCAATAGTCATTTTTCCTTTGACCCAGAAATCCTACTCAGAAATTATCTCAAGGAAATAATTTAAATATTAATGAAGCAACAAACATAAAAGCAAAATTGTTCACGCCACTATTGTACTTAATAAGGAAAAACTGAAACAACATGACCACTTAAGAGGAGGAGAAAGATTAAACTAAATAACATAAAGGTTATCCTTATCCAGGAGCAATATAAAATTATGGTTCCTCGCAGACTAACTCAAAAAAAAAACAAAAAACTTTTAAATAAATTTTATCTTATATATTTAAAGTATACAACATGAGGTTGTGGGCTGTATATAGACAGTGATATGGTTGCTATAGTGAAGCAAATAAACATATCCATCATCTCACATAGTAACCCATTAATTTTGTTGTTGCTGTTTTTGAGCAGCTGAAAACTACCCACTTAGCAAGAATCCCAAATACAGTACGATTTTATTAACTATAGTCCTCATGTTGTGCATTAGATCTTTAGGCTTGTTCATCCTACACATCTGCTACTTTGCATCCCCTGACCTACATCTCCCCATTTCTTCCCCACCTTCCTCTTCCCCGACTCTGGTTATCACTGAGCATTCAGAATGACAGACAAGAGACAGAACCTGGGCCCAAGGGAGGCAGCCTATCATATTGGACTTTGCATAAAGTAAGGAATCCCAAAAAAGCAATATTCTCAGTGAGTGAACTAGAAAACATCTACTCACAGAGGAACGCAGTAAGGAAAATTGCCTGTCTCAGTCTTGGCCATAAATAAAGGTCAGAAATAAGTTATTCTTGATAATTCAAAACTATAAGCATGCTCTCAGGTGGATTTAGTGACAGAATATACAGAATCTGAATGTTCCCCCACAACACAAGAAACAATTTGTATTTAAATAAGTCTTAGGTTGGTAGTGTCCCCAGGCATTTAGTAGAAACTGAAGCAAATTTCTCTCAAGAAATTCAATTTCAACTTGGACTTTCAAAAAACCCCACTAACAAAATCTCAAGGAACATAAATCCATAATAAAAGACAGTGAGACATGAAGAAATAAGTTATCAGGGACAAGTCTCAGCCTTTAAAAAATTGCATTATCAGACTCACAAAAGCTTCAGATATAAAAGTTGATATAGAATATAAAATAAACATTTCTAATACATTTTTAAATAAAAGAAAATATAGCCAAATAATGAGTCTATAAAAAATGAGTAGAGTAGTAAAACCAACAAGAATTTTAAGAAATGTAAAATATATTTACTGAAAAAAATTTAAACTATGGTATTGGGATTAAACAGCAGATTAGACGGAGGTGAAGAAATAATTAGTAAACTGAAAGATAAATCTGGAGAAATTGCATAGAGTACAACACAGAAAGTCAGAGAGATAAAATATATGTAATAAAGATAAACAAACAGAATGGTTAGAGTGTGACGCTCTAACAAATATATACTTGCAATACTGAAAGGGAATGAATGAAAAAATGAGGGAGAGCTACTAATATTTCCAACATAATTAAAGACATAAATTTTTAGATTCAAAAAGCCCAATATATTGCAAGTACAATAAATAAAACAGAGATCTAGACCAAGACCATCACTGAAAAACTATGACATACCAAAGACAAAACAAGATTTTAAAGCTGCCAGAGCAAAGAAAAGGATGGTAGATGTGAAGTTTGCTAGCTTCTCAACTGCAACAAATAGAAACCTAGAATATTAAAAATGTCACCTTAGAATTACATACCCAGTGAAAATATCTTTGAAGAATAATGACAAAATAAATACACTTTCCGATAAAGAACACCATGGAAGATGTATTACCGACAGACCCTTACTAGAGGGATTTATAAGCATGTACTTTAGAAAAACGAAAAATGATCCTATAAGGAGAGTTTGTAATGCAAAAGAAAGTTGATGGAGAAAATTTTAAACAGGTTAAGATCTCTAAACAGGCATGACTATATACCATCATATTTATTAATAATATATAATTTGTTTGCTTAATAAAATATAGAATTAAAGAATTGAGTAAAATTGTTTATAATCTAAGAGGAAGGTTATCAGAGTTGAAGTGTCCTAAAAATCTCTCAAGCAAATTATGTCTATTGAAATATTTTGAGTAATCACTAAAATAGAAATAGAATATATAACTTCTAAAGTAAGAGCAGAAAAAGTAAAATGAAGGGGGAAAAACTTCATCAAGCTAAAAGAATGGGGGATATGAGAAAAAAGAAACAAGGAAACAGCAGGACATTTTAAAAGCTGCAAAGAAGATTATATCAATCATAGTCCCAAAAGAAACACATGACACACTTGAACTGTTTACATGAAAAGAGTTTAGTGAAGGAAACATTTAATACGGCAAGGGCAGGTTTAAGGGAACCAGTAAGGGAGAGTGAAAAATACTGAGATGAGCAAGAGTGGGAAACCAATACTAACCCGAAGCCTGGTAGAGAAAGACATGAGGACTCTGTCACTGAAGCTCAATAAGAATTGGAACCAAGAAAGAGGCACCTCCCAACAGGAGCTAAAGTCATAACAGACTGCAGCCACTGACAGATGGTAGCCAGGTAGGGAGGAACACTGTCCCAAACCTATGGGTTTGTCCTATTTATGAACTTAACCCAAAACCAGATTGCAAGGGAACCCAGATGGTGCTGTAGAGGTCATCCTCATAGGCCACAGAGCAGTGCAGAGGAGGGTATTAGTGAATTACAGGGAGTAGTGGGGGACACAAGGGGTTCAAATAGGACATAATCAGCACAAGGAAAACAGAGATAAATTCAAATATATCAATAATAACAAGTGTCCAAATGGACTAAACTCTAAGTTACAATCAAAGATTGTCAAATTGAGTTTTTATTTTATTTTATTTTATTTTATTTTATTTTATTTTATTTTTTTGAGATGGGGTCTTGCTCTGTCACCCAGGCTGGAATGCAGTGGCACGATCTCGGCTCACTGCCAGCTCTGCCTCCTGGGTTCAAGCAATTCTCCTGCCTCAGCCTCCCGAATAGCTGGGATTACAGGCATTCACCACCATGCCTGGATAATTGTTTTCTTTTGTTTTTTTAAGTAGAAATGGGGTTTCGCCATGTTGGCCAGGCTGGTCTTGAACTGCTGACCTCAGGTAATCCACCCACCTTGGCCTCCCAAAGTGCTGGGATTACAGGCATGAGCCACCGCCCCAGCCCAAACTGAGTTTAAAAAAAAACAAAAAAAAACAAACATATGCTGCCTTAAAGAGATTTCTTTCAACTATAAAGACAAAGAAAGATTAAAAGTGGGGGAAAAAAAGAAAAACAATGTATCAGGGAAATAAAATCCAGGAGAAAGTGGGTTTACCATATACGATAGCATTAAGACAAATATTTAAGAAAAAAAAATATTAGAAATAAAATGAATCCCTAGACATTGATAAAAAGCTATAGTATACTGGTAAATATTTAACAGGCTCTCAGGGGAAGGGGAAGACTTATTTCTAGTGTTTTTCAATTTCTGTGGTGAAAATATCCTTACCTTGGCCAATTTCAAGCCACCAATGTGAAGTTAACTGACTCACAAAATTCTAAAAATTTAACATCAGCTCTTATGGGTTGCAGCTCTTACGAGTAAAAGTTAGTTTCAGCATCTTCACTAAACAAGTTTCAATTCACTGGGAAAATAAAGCAATTAAAAACACATTTGCCACCATGCTTTATGTGATACTTGATTGGAATAGGAATGGAGGGAAAAGCTATATTGGGACAATTGAGGAAAATTAATAATAGAATGTATATTAGATAATAATATTGTATCAATGTTAAATGTATTTGATGAGAGTATACCTATACACTTGTATTTTCCTAAGATATACTGTTTATGTTTGGGGGAAGGAAGTGCTATGATATTTGCAATTTACTTTCAAATGGCTCATTAAAAAGGATATATGGTGACACTGGTTAAAATTGTGCAAGAGAGAGCATCTTCCTCTCTCTCTCCCTGGCCCTTTCCCCCTCTCCCCCACTCTCTTCTTCCACAGAAACACTGATAAATTGAGCAAAATTATAGGAATCAACTTTATCAAAACTCTGGAAAACCGTCAAAGGTTTACAGCAAAAAACTGAACACCAAATCAAGAAACAGGCATTAAAAATGCCAGGAAGTTTTGCGAATTTTCACTTGCCTTTGCTCCACCTTTGTCCCAGACTCAGTGACAGTCTTGGAGACAGCAGCCAGTGTTGGACCCTGCACTCTGGCTCCAGAGATAAAAGAGCAGATCATATTCACAAAGAATCGTGTTTGTCTTTTCTAACCTGTCTGAAAGCTACCTGAAGGACTGACACAAGGAGCTTGCCTTTGTTTCACCTAACTCAGACTTACTCATGGGAGAAAAGTGGCTATGCAGAGAGTATTCCTTGCAAACATTATAAGACCAATAAACAACATGCCACACCTGGAACAAAAAAATTGCAATTGAGGCAAACTATAGATATGCTGAAAGCCTGGAAGGAAAAGACAGGGAGACAGTTTCTTTGGAAAATTAGGCATTCAAAAGTGTCCACATACATTGGGGAACTTAGAAAGCCATGTGCATACCCAAGGTAGAACACATGCTGGAAAAGACCTGAGAAGATCTATGTGGAAGATCAGCTTCCACTTCTGGCTGATCTCTAGGTTCAATGCAAGCAGGAAATGAAGGCTACAGCAGAGCTATAAACAGCCTGTCTAAACATTGAAGGAGTGCTCCAATACAGAGCTGACTAAGAGATATCTTTTCTTCCTTTTTTCCCTTTTCTTTCTCTCTCTCTCTCAATCTCTCCCTGGCCCTTTTCCTCCTCTCCCCCCTTCTCTTTTTCTTTTATGTCAACCAAGAATCCAGAAACACAAAACTGTCCTTCAAAAAGGAGAGAGAAATTAAGATATTTCCAGATAAACAAAAGCTAAGAAAGTTTGTTCCTAGTGAAACTGCTCTACAAAAATATACTAAATGAGATTCCTTTAGGCTGAAATGAAGACAAAAATTGGAAACCATATGAAGAAGCCATATAAAGAACTCCAGTAAAGGTAACTATATAAATAAATATAAAACTCAGTGTTATTGTATTTTTAGTTTATAACTCCTTTTTTTATTTCCCACATGATTTAGGAGATAAATACATAAAAATTCTTGTATCCTTGCTTCTCCTGTGCTTGGTGCTTAAATAACAAAAAAAGTAAGAAAAAATCTTATATATTTTTGTTAATGGGCACACAACATATAAAGATATAATTTGTGACAATCACAACATAAAGTATGGGCAGCGCTGTATAGAGCTATAGAGCAGAGATTTTTGTATGCTATCAAAGCTAAATTTGGATCAATTTAAACTAGGTTGTTATAAATTTATGAAGTTGATTGTAACCTCTGTGGTAACCACTTAAAATTTTTTTAATTTTAATTTTTATTTATTTTTTGAGACGGAGTCTCACTCTGTCGCCCAGGCTGGAGTGCAGTGGCACGATCTTGGCTCACTGCAAGCTCCGCTTCCTGGGTTCACGCCATTCTCCTGCCTCAGCCTCCCGAGTAGCTGGGACTACAGGCACACGCCACCACGCCCGGCTATTTTTTTTTTTTTTTTCATTTTTAGTAGAGACAGGGTTTCACTGCGTTAGCCAGGATAAAATAAATTTTCAACATACTGATAAGAAAATAGAGGAGTTTGAGGCTGCAGTAAGCCATGATCATGCCACTGCACTGCAGCCTGGGCAACAGAGCAAGAACCTGTCTCTAAAAAAAGGTCAAGAAAATTAGAAGGGTATTAAATGATACACTACAAAAAAAAAATCAATGGAATACAAAAGAAGGCAGTAATGGAGGAAATGAGGAACAAAAATGGTATAAGACATACAGAAGGAGTGCCTGGAGAGCAGCAACAGCCCAGCTGCCGCCACCATGTCCCTGCAGGCTGATTTTGACATGGTCACAGAAGATGTGAGGAAGCTGAAAACAAGACCAGATGATGAAGAACTGAAAGAACTTTATGGGCTTTACAAACAAGCTGTAATTGGAAACATTAATATTGAGTGTTCAGAAATGCTAGAATTAAAAGGCAAGGCCAAATGGGAAGCACAGAACCCCCAAAAAGGATTGTCAGAGGAAGATATGATGCGTGCCTTTATTTCTAAAGCCGAAGAGCTGATAGAAAAATATGGAATTTAGAATAAAGCATATGATAAATTTTCCTTTTTGAAGCCTTCATAATGGTATCATGACCAAACATTTAGAGTTAACGCTGTTAACTCTAGGTATCATGTATATTTTTGCTATTATTATGAATTATACTTAATTAGTAGTATGCTAAAACTGCATAGTTAACTAAATTGTACTTGCTTAAACCAGGTGTCTTTAAAAGTTCTTTTAGAAAAGTATTTTTTTTATTTTTATAGATTTAGGGGGTACAAGTGCAGTTTTGTTGCATGAACGTATCATGTAGTGGTGAAGTCTGGGCTTTCAGTGTCCCCATCACCCAGATAGTCTACAATTGTGCCCAAAAGGTACAATTGTACATTCCTTACCCCCCTCGAACCCTCCCACCTTTCCAAGTCTCCAGTGTCTATTGTTCCACACTCCATGTCCATGTGTACACATTGTTTGGCTCCCACTTATGGGTGAGAACATGTGGTATTTGACTTTCCATTTCGGAGTTATTTCACTGAAGATAACGGCCTCCAGTTCCAACCATGTTGCTACAAAAAACATGATTTCATTCTTTTTCTTAATGGCTGAGTGGTATTCCATGGTATACATATACCATATTTTCTTTGTCCAATCATCTGTGGATAGACACTTAGGTTGATTCCATATCTTTGCTATTGGGAATAGTGCTGTGATAAACCTATGGGTGCGGGTGTGTCTTTGATACAATTATTTATTTACCTTTGGGTAGATGACCAGTGGTGGGATTGCTGGACGGAATGATGGTTCTGCTTTTAGTTCTTTGAGAGTCTCCATATCGTTTTCCATAGAAGTTGTACTGGTTTGCATTCCCATCAGCAGTGTATGAGTTTCCCTTTTCTCTGCATCCTCACCAACACCTGTTGTTTTTTGACATTTTAGAAAAGTCTTGCTCTGGTAGTATTTACACAAAGGTTAAGAATTTTTTTAAAAGACATACAGAAAACAAAGAGCAAAATGGCATAAGTAGTACTTTCTTATCAGTTATTACTTTATGTAAATAGATTAAACTTTCAAATCAAAAGGCAGAAAAATTAGCACGATATGTTTTTGGTTTTTTGTTTGTTTGTTTGTTTGTTTTTTGAGATGGAGTCTCGCTCTGTCACCAGGCTGGAGTGCAGTGGTGCAGTCTCGGCTCACTGCAATCTCTGCCTCCCGAGTTCAAGCGATTCTTCTGCCTCAGCCTCCCGAATAGCTGGAACTACAGGCGCACACCACCACGCCCAGCTAATTTTTGTATTTTTAGTAGAGATGGGATTTCACCATGTTGGCCAGGATTATTTCGATCTCTTGACCTTGTGATCCACCCACCTCGGCCTCCCAAAGTGCTGGGATTACAGGTGTGAGCCACTGTGCCCGGCCCCAGCACAGTGTGTTTTTAAAAATGAGGCAACTATATGCTATCCACAAGAGACTGAGTTTAGATCCAAAGACACAAATCGTTTGAGTGAAAGGATGGTATTTGGGTTAAATTATGTCCCTCTAAAAGATATATTAAAGTCCTAACACCCAGCACCTGTGAATGTGACCTTATTTGGGAATAGGGTCTTTGCACACATAATCAAATTAAGATGAGGTCATTAGGATGGGCCCTAAATCAATATGACTGGTGTGCTTATAAGAGGAGGAGAAGGCTGGGCATAGTGCCTCGCACTTGTGATCCCAGCACTTTGGGAGGCCACAGCAGGAGGATCACTTGAGGCCAGGAGTTCAAGACCAGCCTGGGCAACATAGCAGTTCAAGACCAGCCTGGGCAACACAGTTAGACCCTGTCTCTACACACACATACACGCGTGCACACACACACACGCCCACACACACACACACACACAATTAGCCAAGGGTGGTTGCATGTACCTGTACTCCCAACTGCTTGACAGGCTCAGGTGGGAGGATTGTTTGTGCCCAGGAGATTGAGGCTCCAGTGAGCCATAATTCTATCACTGCACTCCAGCCTGGGCAACAGAGTGAGGCCCTGTCTATAAAAAACATAAAATAAAATAAAAACAAGATTTTAGAAAAAAAAGAGAGAGAGAAGAGGAGAAGAGACACAGGGAAGAAAGACGTGAAGAAGGAGGCAGAGATTGAAGTTATGCAGCTATCAGCCAAGGAATTCCTGGGACCACCAAAAGCTGGAAGAGGCAAGAAAGGATCCTGCCACAGAGGCTTCAGAAACAGCATAATCCTGTCAACACTTTGATTTATAACTTTAGGCATCCAGAACTGTAAGAGATAAATTTATGTTGTTTTAAGGCACCCTATTTGCAAAACTTTGTTACAGTGCCCCTAGGAAACTAATACAGAATGAAAAAAGATATTCCATGCAAATAGTAACAAAAAAGAGTGGGAATGGCTATACTTTGGACTTAAAGCCAAAAACTGCTACAAGAGAAAAAGAAGGTGATTATGTATTGATAAAAGGGTCAATTCACCAAGAAGATATAAAAATTATGCATATATTTGCACTAAACAAAATAACTCAAAAATATATGAAACAAATACTGACAGAATTAAAGAGAGAAATAGAGAATTCTACAATATTATTTGGAAACTTCAATACCCTACTATTAATAATGGTTAGAACATCTAGACAGAATATAAGTAAGAAAATAAAAGACTGAACAACCTAGACCAAGCTTTTCCAACCTGCAGCCCCACAGGCTGCATGCAGCCCAGGATGGCTTTGAATGTGGCCCAATAGAAAATTGTAAACTTTCTTAAGACATTATGATTTTTTTTGTGATTTCTTTTCTTTTTTTTTTTTTTTTTTTTAGCTCATCAGCTATGGTTAGTGTTAGTGTATTTTATGTGTGGCCCAAGACAATTCTTCTTCCTATGTGGCCCAGGGAAGCCAAAGGATTGAACACCCCTGACCTAGACCAACTAGACCTATAAAAACCAGACCTGACAGATATAGATAAAACTCTCCACCCAACAACACAATAAACAATCTTCTCAAGTGCTCATGGAACACTCTATAGGAGAGATCATATATTAGGCCACATAACAGTCTCAATAAACTTTTAAAAATTGAAATCAAAGGAAGTATATCCTCTGACCACAATGGAATGCTGCTAAAAATCAATAACAAAAGGAAAACTATTTTTATTCACAAATAACAAATTTGTGAAAATTCACCAATATGGGAAATTTAAAAACACTCTTAAACAATGAATAGATCAAAGGAGATATCACAAGGGAAGTTAGAGAATACTTAGATATAAATAAAAATGAAAACAACATACCAGAACCAATGGGATACAGCAAAAAGCAGGGGTCAGAGGGAACGTCAAGAAATAACCATTTACATTTAAAAGGGCGCAGTGGCTCACACCTGTAATCCTAGCACTTTGGGAGGCTGAGGCAGAAGGAAAGCTTGAGGCCACTCTGGGCAACATGGTGAAGCCCTGCTTCTACAAAAAATTAGCTCAGCATGGTGGCATGCTCCTGTAGTCCCAACTGCTCAGGAGGCTGAGGCAGGAGGATTGCTTGAACCTAGGAGGCAGGGGTTGCAGTGAGCCGAGATTGCACCACTGCACTTCAGGCTGGGTGACAAAGGAGGACTCTGTCAAAAAAAAAAAAAAGAGAGAGAGAGAGACAGAGAGATTATATCAATAATAATAATAATAATAAAACTCCCAACAAAGAAAACTCCAGGACCAGATGGCTTCACTGATGAATTATACCAAACATATAAATAATTAACATCAATCCTTCTCAAAGTCTTCCTAAAGAAGAGAAGGGAATGCTTTCTACTTATTCTATGAAACCAGCATTGCCCTGACACCTAAGCCAAATAAAGAAACCACAGAAGAATATGCAATATACTCAGCATATATGAATATAGTCGCAAAACTCCTCAGCGAAATACTAGCAAATGAAATTCAACAGCATATTAAAAGATTACACAGTGTGACCAAGTGGGTTTTATACCAGGAATCTATAGAATGTAAGGATGATTCAACATACAAAAATCAATCAATGTAATATATCAAATTAATAGAATGAAGGAAAAACATGATATTATGAACTCAATTGATGCAGAAAAGCATTTGACAAAATTCAATACTCTTTCATGAGCAAACACACCCAGAAAACTAAAAATAGGAAGGAGCTTCCTTAACATAATAAAGGGCATTTATGAATAACCCACAGCTAATATTGTACTCAATACTGAAAGACTGAAAGCTTTTCTCCTAAGATCAGGAACAAGACAAGGATGTCCACTTTCACAGGTACTATGTAACATTTTACTGGAAGTTCTAGCCAGAGAAATTAGGCAAGAAAAAAGTAAAAACAATATAGATTAAAAAGAAAAAGTAAAACTATTCCTTTTTGCAGATGACCTGATTCTCTAAATAGAAAATATCAAAAAATCCACAGAAGAAATAATAGAGCTAATAAATGAATTCATCCCAATTTCAGGTGTAATACAATGCTCAAAAATCAGTTGTGTTGCTATAAACAAGCAGTAAAGAATCTGAAAAAGAAATTAAGAATACAATTCCACTATAATAACATCCAAAAAACAAAAATAATTCATAATAAATGTAATCAAAGAAGTGAAAAGACATCTACACTGAAGCATTGCTGAAAGAAATTAAAGAGGAGCTAAATAAATAGAAACACACCTTGTGTTGGTGGACTGGAAAACTAAAGATGGCAATACTATCCAAATCTCCAGAGATAACATAATTCCTGTCAAAATTCCAATGGCCTTTTCACAAACATGTAAAAGCCAGTCCTCAAATTCATATAGCTACAAGGGGCCAAAACAAACTTGAAAAAGAATAACAGGCCAGGCGTGGTGGCTCAGGCCTGTAATGCCAGCACTTTGGGAGGCCAAGGCGAGTGGATCACTTGAGGTCAGGAGTTTGCAACTAGCCTGGCCAACATGGTGAAAACCCGTCCCTACTAAAATACAAAAATTAGCCAGCCTGGTGGCAGGCACCTATAATCCCAGCTACTGGGGAGGCTGAAGCAGGAGAATCACTTGAACTCAGGAGGCGGAGGTTGCAGTGAGCCGAGATCGTGCCACTGCACTTCAGCCTGGGCAATGAAGTGAGACTCCGTCTCAAAAAGAAAAAGAATAACAAAGCTGGAAGTCACACACTTTCTGGTTTAAAACTTACACAAATCTAAAGTAATCAAAACAATGTGATAATGGCATAAGAATAAACCTGTAGATCCATGGAGTAAAACTGAGAGTCCATAAGTAAATCCATACATCTATGGCCAATTGATTTTCAGCAAGGATGCCAAGACAATTCAATGGGGAATGAATAGTCTGTTTAACAAATGGTACAGAGACAACTGAATATCACATGCAAAAGAATAAGAGGGACTCCCTATATCACAGTACATAGAAAAATTAACTCAAAATGGATCAAAGACCTAAATGTAAGAGTGAAAACTATAAAACTCTTAGAGGAAAACATAGGGGTAAATTTTCATGTCCTTGGACAGTGGATTCTTAGATATCCTATCAAAAGCATAAGCAACAGACAAAATAGATAAATTTGATTTTATCAAAATGAAAAACGTTTGTACATCAAAGGCCATTATTAAATGAAAAGACAACCAATACGAGGGAGAAAAGACTTGCAAATCATGTATGTGATAAGAGTCTAGTGTCTAGAGGCCAGGCGCGGTGGCTCACGCCTGTAATCCAAGCACTTTGGGAGGCTGAGGCCAGTAGATCACAAGGTCAGGAGTTTGAGACCAGCCTGGCCAATATGTAGTAGAGATGGTGAAACCCTGTCTGTACTAAAAATTAGCCGAGCGTGGTGGTGCATGTCTGTAATCCCAGCTACTCGAGAGGCTGAGGCAGGAGAATTGCTTGAACCCGGGAGGTGGAGGTTGCAGTGAGCCAAGATCGTGCCCCTGCACTCCAGCCTGGGTGGCAGAGCAAGACTCTGTCAAAAAAAAGAAAAAAAAAAGAGTTCACTGTCCAGAATACATTTAAAGAACTTTAACAACTCAATAACAAAAAGACAACCCAATTTTAAAATGAGCAAAGTTCTTGATAGCTATTTCTCCGAAAAAGACTATACAAATTTTCAACAAGCACATGAAAATCTTCTGCATCATTAGTCACTAGAGAAAGGCAAATCAAACCCACAATGAGATACCACTTCATACCCACTAGGTCAGCCATAATAGTAATAACCATCATTGTCATCACTGGAAAATAACAAGTATTGGTAAGATGTGGAGAAATTAGAACTCTCACAAATTGCTAGTGGGAATGTAAAACGATGCACCCACTGTAGAAACAGATAGGGTTTTTTTCAAAAAGTTAAACATATAATTACCATATGACCAGCAATTCCACTCCTAACTATATACCCAAAAGATTTGAAAACAGAAGGTCAAACAGATGCTTTTACACAAATGTTTATAGCAACATTATTCACAATAGCCAAAAGGTATTAATAGAAATGTCCATTAACAGATGAACACATAAACAAAATGTACATACATATAATGGAATATTACTCAGCCATAAAAAGAGATGAAGTACTGATACATGCTACAACGTTCTTGAACTTCAAAAGATTATGCTAAATGAAGAAGCCAAATAAAAAGTTCCCATATTACATGAACAGTCTAGAATAGTTAAATCCATAGTGACATATTGATTGGTGGTTCTCAAGAGCTGGTTGGGGGAGTGGGAAGTGACTGCTCAATAGATACAAGGCTTTTCCTGAGGTGATGAAAATGTTTTAGAGATAGAGGTGGTGGTTGCACAACATTGTGAATGTTCTAAATGCCACTGAATTGTGCACTCTAAATTGTTAATTTTATGTCAATTTCACCTCTATGTGAAAAAATATATACATATATATTCATCCATACACATATAGAAATAGAGAAAGCAATACGGCAAACGTTAGTGTTTCATAAATCTAGGCAAAAGATGTATAAATGTTCACTGAACTATTATTTCAAGTTTAATGTAGAAGTCAGTCTCATGTAGAAGTCAATAAAATGTTGAGAAAAACTTATTCAAATAGTAACTTACCTTTAGTATAAATCAAAAATTGACAAAATCACAAGGAGAAATTGACAAATCTACCATCAAGATGAGAGATTTTAAGAAACTCTCTTAATAATTAACAGGTAAAGCAGATTTTTAAAACTTAGTGAGGATAAGGAATATATGAACAGTTTCATTTAATAGAAATACGTAGAACATTGTATCCAGCAACTGCAAAAACTGCAACCTTTTAAATACACATGTAGTGCTTATGAAAATGGACCATGTGTTAGGAGATAAAGCAAGTCTTGATAAATTTTGATGCATCAGTGTTATATAGAGCATATTATAACTATAATACTAGTCACAATAAATAAATTTTGAAAATATTCAAAAAGTTATATATTTAGCAATTATTCATGGAATAAAGAAAAATATGATGTAAGTTTTAAAAATTGACCTAAATTATAACAAAAATAGTTGAGATCAAAACTTGTAGTACCAGGAGAAAACATATAGCCAAATTTTAGGAAAAAAAAGGTAAAAATTAATAAGACTTAATTTTATTTATTTTGTACAGACAGGGGTCTCACTATGTTGGCCAGGCTGATCTCAAACTCCTGGCCTCAAATTATCCTCTCAACTTGGCCTCCAAAAATGCTCTTTTTCTAATGTTAAAAGTTAGGTCTGGCAGCAAGCCACTGTGCAGTGAGCCACTGTATCTGGCCAGACTTTTAACATTAGAAAACGGGCAACAGAACAAGATATTAAAAGTGAGAAAATAATCAAAATATAAATTAAAGAAACGGAAAACAAATACACACCAAAGAGCATCAACAAAGAAAAAGGTTGTTTTTGAAATGCCAGCCAAAATTGGCAAACCTCTGGCAAGGTTGATCAATAAAAAGGGAGGCACGTATTAAAATATTGAAAAAATTTTGAAAACTACAGATCAAGCATAATTAAAAAGCTAACACATGAATGTTAAGAAAATCTTTATGCCAATAAATTTGACAACTTCAGTAAGAAGGACAACTTCTTAGAAAATGGACCCCCAAAAAAAAAACAGAAAAAAAATGAGATGAAAATAGGAAAACATGAATGGTCTTACAACCAATATTGAAACTGTTGGCCAGGCACTGTGGCTCACTGTAATCCCGGCACTGGCGAGGCAGGTGGATCACTTGAGGTCAGTAGTTCGAGACCAGCCTGGCCAACAAGGCGAAACCTCATCTCTACTAAAAATACAAAAAGTAGCCAGGCGTGGTGGCGGGGGTCTATAGTCCCAGCTACCTGGGAGGCTGAGGCACGAGAATCACTTGAACCCAGAAGGCGGAGGTTGCAGTGAGACGAGATGGTGCCTCTGCACCCCAGCCTGGGTGACAGAATGAGACTCTGTCTCAAAAAAAAAGAAAAAGAAATTGTATCAGTACCCTAAATCTTTTCACAGGCATGTGCATGCATGCACACACACAGACAGACAGACACACACACACACACACACACACACACACACACACACACACACCATAGTAGGCCCAAAATGATTTTACCAGTAAGTTCTACTGGAAAGAGTTAATTTCAATTTTAATCAAATTTTTCCAGAGAATAGAAAGAAAGAAAGCAATTCCCAGTTAATTTACAATGATAGCACAATTTCCATTCAAAAGCCAAGCAAAAGTATTACAAGAAAAAAAATTTCAGATTAATCTCACTCACGAACATAGATGCAACAATCTATGTTAAATCTACCAAAATATTAGCAATTCAAATCTAGCGTCTAGATTCTAGATTCTAGAATCTAGATTCTTTTTGCAAAAGCCGTTCATCATGAACAAGCCAGCTCCCCAGCCAAAACAGCCTTGTTTGTAGTTGCCTGCTGATTTCCATGTGTAAATACTAAAACTTGCCTGCTTTCAAGGTACCAATATGACTTTACTGAATGCAGAGTTGGAGAGAGATGCTAACACTTAGCTCTCACAAATCACTATCGTGCACGACAGAGGTACCACCAAATACCAATGGATAAAGTTAACGAGCCTGGGATAATTGGCTATCTATTGTTTTTTAATGAAATAAGATGTCTACCTCATGCCATACACAAAAATCAATTGAAGATGAACTATGGACTTAAATGCAAATTTTAAACATTTTTAGAAGAGAATATAGACGAGCATCTTTATGACCTTGGGATAAGAAATTATTTTTACAATAAGACATAAAATCACTGACAATAATGAAAAATATTTTTATTACATTAAAATTATGAAATTCTGTCCATCAAAATGCACCATTAAGGGAGTGAAAAACACCACTAAATGAAGTGATGAAAATTCTTGCTGAAGGAATTTTTTCCCACACAAATACAACTGGATACCATTTTCTTCTGCCTCTTTGGGACCCCTGCCATAACTACTGTCTCTCTCATTCTGTAGCTTAAATCTCTTCTGTGCTGGATTCTTCCTGAAACACTCCCTCTCTTTCTTCTTCACAGTCCAGCTTATTGAAAGATTAATATACATTTACTTTTGCCATTTAGTCGCTTTTCAACTCATTTCTTAGTTGAGCATTTACTTCTCATTTTCACTGCACTCTGGTTTCTTAGTTGACACAGTTCTTTCTAAGGTGACCACTGGTCTCCATAAGATGAAATTCAGTGAACGCTTTTCAGTCTTTATCTGACTTGTCACTCTCCAGAAGCACTCCATAACGTTGACTATGCTTTTCTTAAAATCGGTTCCTCCCTTTGCTTCTGCAGCTGTGCTCACTCCCTATTCCTCACTCCTTCTGAATATTCTCTGCAGGTTTTTCCATTCTTTCTGCCTCTTCATACCACCCACCAAATTTAACTACTTTAAAATTTATATAGGTATATGTGTGTGTATGTACATGTATATGTAGAATATATGCTTACTTTTTAAAATTCCAGAACATTTAGAAAAATAAAAAGAACAGAATTAAAAGTATCAGTAATCCTAATACCCAAAGATAAGCATTGTTATTAATAATACCATAATTGTTATACATTTCTAGAATTTTTCTAGGGATATATATTTATTTTTATAAAATGGTAACTACTATACATAATGGTGCTTTCATCACTTAATATTACATGCATACTCTCTCATATCAGTATAGATTAATATTGTTACTTTATTAACAATAGCTAATACTGAGCTTTACTAAAGTCACTCTGCTAAACTCTCTATATATATATATTTGTCACTGACATTAAAAACTTATAAGATAGAAATTATATTATTCCCGTTTTACAGATGGGAAAACTAAGGCTTTGATAATTTAAGTAAATAGTTCATGGTGTAATGGTGAGTAGCACTAGTGAGAGCTACCCAAGATTTCAACCTAAGCTAATTCCAGAGTTGTACCTGTTTTCACTGCCTATAGAGCTTTACCAATAAGGTCAATTTTACTTGTAAGTAATGTTGATACTCTTTAAAAGAAACATTAATAATTAAAAAGTCTGGCATTAGTTTCAAAATTGGTCATGACCATTCAACAGTGAAGGCTTTGGGTGGTTTCTCTGTGACTCTCATGGCTTTCTCTCAGAGCCTCAGATAGTTACATAGCTCCAAGCACCACATTCTTACATCTTCACACAAAATATCCAGAGAAGGTGAAAATAAACAGTTTTCTCTTCATACATCTCTTAATATAATGTGTACTTCCAAAAAACACAAATAACTACTTTGATGTTTCACTGACCGGAAATAGACCATCTGTCAACTCCTAAACCAAATACATGGTAAGGTTACCATCATCAATCACAATTCACTACCTGAACCGCACCCATCTTCCTTAATCATCTTGCCACTCAATATCTTCAAAAAATGGCAATTCTGTTAGCAAGGGAGAAAAGGAAAATGACTGTTAGGGTGGCAACCAACGTGCTGCCAACAGTCATTTTAAATTTTACGTTTGTACCATGATTTAATTAAGCAATCCCATGTTGAAGGATATTTAAGTTGTTGCTAATTTTACACTGTTATACAGAAAGCTGCAATGAACATATTTGTAGATTTTTTCATACTTTTAAATCTTTCCCCAGGATAAATTCCTAGAAAATTTTTGTATCAAAGCAAATTTTTAAGGTTTGAAAAAATACATATTACCAAGTTGCAATCCAAAATGTATATGCAAATGAAAGCTCTCTAAAACAGAGTATAAGAGCATCCATTTCTTCACACTTTCAAGAATGTTAATTGGTTTTACTATTGCTTTAAATATTTGATAAAAAATAGTATAACTGACTCCTTTTAAGGCTTAGTTTTTAAATCACAAAAGCAAAAGTTGCTTATTGACAAAAATGTAATAGTCCAAATATGTGAATAAAGAAAAAAGTAAACATCCTTTCCCCCTCCCACTGCCGTCATTCTCATTCCCCAGGGGTTAACGATTTTTAACCTGTTGACATTTTTTTAACTCCACAATTGCCAGAATTTTTTCTATCTTGTTCTTTTCTGGATCACTAGTTAATGGCCCAGTTTCTGACATATACTACATTTAACAAATGTTTGTAAAAATAACATCATACCTTCCATTATTTTCTAGAATTTGACCTTTTTCACCCAATAGCATACTGTCAATACCTTTCTATTCTTGAAATATATACATATTTATATATATGTTTAATTTTAAAAAATATATAGGAAGAGTGTTCCACCATATAGATGTAACACAGCTTATCAAACTCCTACTTAGATTATCCCATGTTTTTACTATGATAAGCACCATTCAAATGAATAACATTGGAAGTATACCTTTGTTTTATACTGAAAATATTTCTGGGAAAATTTCTGTGCAAATATTTCAAATATTTCCCATAATATATTCAAGGTCAAAAGATATGTGCCAATTGCTTTCCAAATGATTGCACCAATTTACTTTTTTTTTTTTTTTTTTTTTTTTTAAATATGAGACAGAATTTCACTCCTGTTGCCCAGGCTGGAGTGCAATGGTGTGATCTTGGTTCACTGCAACCTCCGCCTCCCGGGTTCAAGTGATTCTTCTGCCTCAGCCTCCTAAGTAGCTGGGATTACAGGCACCCGCCACCATGCCTGGCTAATTTTTGTATTTTTAGTAGAGACGGGGTTTCACCACATTGGCCAGGCTGGTCTTGAACTCCTGACCTCAGGTGATCCGCCCGCCTTGGCCTCCCAAAGTGCTGGGATTACAGGCGTGAGCCACCACAGTCGGCCATCCAATTTACATTTTTAACACGTGTTTCCCTATTCTCAAGCCAGCATTTGATATCATAAATATTTTTACCTTTTACTACTCTGAAATGTAAATTTTTCTCATTATTTTAATTTTAGACATAATCACTTAGGCAGTAGTTTAACATTTTCTCATAATTGGCCATTTGTATTTCATCTGTAAATTGCCCCTTTACATTCCTTACCTATTTTCCTATTAGATTTTTTGCGCTTTTCTTATTTATCTTAGGGAATTGTTAATATAGTTACCATTTGTCTACTATATATTCTGAAATATTTTCTCCCCACTTTATTATTTGTTCAGTAGCATTGTGTTATTTTTACCATACACAAATTTTATATTCAAATCTATCTCTTTTTTTTTGGTAGAGTACCATGGTGACTTAACTGTTGTAACTTTACAACATAATGTTTTGTTATCTGGCTTGGCAAGCCCCTCACCAAAACTTCCTAACAGGTCTCCCGGTCTCCAGTTCC
The DNA here is from genome assembly GCF_000001405.40 of Homo sapiens. Lineage (NCBI taxonomy): Eukaryota > Metazoa > Chordata > Mammalia > Primates > Hominidae > Homo > Homo sapiens. The sequence continues at coordinate 56,859,312 of NC_000015.10, forward strand.
ACCCTTCTCCAATCCATTTTCCATGCTGTGATCAGAGATACTTTTATTGAAAGAAAATCTTACCATGTGTGAAATTCCTTGGGGTGAAGTTTGAACCCTTTAATTTATCATAACGATGTCCACCTACCACTTTGGTCTCTTCTCTGCCTCCTTTCCTATAATTTATTCCTGATTCTCTTCCTTTTTGCTGATGACTCTTCCTCCTGTCTAGAAACCTCTCCTTTGCTTTCCCATCAGTCATCTCTTACACCCCTAAAAACTCAGATCAAGCTTCACTATCCCCAGAAACATTCCTCTGTGCTCTCACAGTATCCAGTGCATAGTGCTGTCATACACCTATCAAACCACTCCTACATAAATGTCCATGGCAATTTTATTCATAGTAACCCCAAACAATCTAAATGTCCATCAATAATAAAATTTGTAAATAAATGTAGTTTGTTTGCATATTGGAATGTTAAACATCTATCAATAAGTAACAAACTACTGATACATAAAATAACACAAATAAATCTTACAGATACAATGTTGAGTGGAGAGAAGAGCAGACCAGACACAAAAGAATACATAATACACTATTCCCCCAGTCATACTGGAAAACCTAATAGAATTACATCAAACTAAAAAGCTTCTGCACAGCAAAAGAAACAATCAACAGAGTAAAAAGATGACCTACAGAGAGGGAGAAAATATGTGCAAACAACACTTCTGATAAGGGATCATTATCAAAAATATATAAGGAACTCAAACAAGTCAATAGCAAGAAGACAACCTGATTTTAAAATGAGCAAAGAACCTAAATAGACATTTCTCAAAAGAAGACATACAAATGGCCGACAGGTATATGGAAAAATAGTCAACCCACTCATCATCAGGGAATGTGAATTAAAACTACAATGAGGTTGGGCGTGGTGGTTCACACCTGTAATCCCAACACTTTAGGAGGCCAAGGTGGGCTGATCACCTGAGGTCAGGAATTCAAGATCAGCCTGGCCAACATGATGAAATCCCATCTCTAAAACACTAAAAACAAAAATTAGCTGGGCGTGGTGGTGCATGCCTGTAATCCCAGCTACTTGGGAGGCTGAGGCAGGAGAATCACTTGAACACAGGAGGCGGAGGTTGCAGTGAGCCCAGATTGCGCCATTGCACTCCAGCCTAGGTGGCAAGAGTGAAACTGCACTCCCCCCTGCCATAAAAAAGAAAAAAAGAAAAAGAAAAACGGGGATAATAATAGTTCCTGTCTTGTCGGGTTATTGTGGTGATTAAATGAGATGAAACAGAAAGATAAAAGAATGAAACAACAGGGCCGGGTGTAGTGGCTCACACCTGTAATCCCAGCACTTTGGGAGACCGAGGCGGGAGGATCACAAGGTCAGGAGATTGAGACCATCCTGGCTAACATGGTGAAACCCCATCTCTACTAAAAATACAAAAAATTAGCTGGGCATGGTGGCACGCACCTGTAATGCCAGCTACTCAGAAGGCTGAGGCAGCAGAATCGCTTGAACCCAGGAGGCAGAGGTTGCAGTGAGCTGAGATCGCACCACTGCACTCCAGCCTGAGCAACAAAGCCAGACTCAGTCTCAAAAACAAACAAAAACAAACAAACAAAAAACTACAATGAGATATTTATATTACCTCACACTTGTTAGAATAACTATTATCAAAAAAGAGAAAACACAGCAAGTCTTGGTAAGGATATGGAGAAAAGGAAAAGGAAACACTTGTGCCCTGTTTGTGGGAACATAAATTAGTATAGTTATTATGGAAAACAGTATAACGTTTCCTCAAAAAATTAAAAATATAACTATAGTATAATCCAATCCCACTGCTGTGTATATATCCAAAGGAAATGCAATCAGTATGTCAAAGAGATATTGGCACTCCCATATTCATTGCAGCATTATTCACAATATAGCCAAGACATGAAATCAATCTAGGGAGCCAGGCGTGGTGGCTCACGCCTGTAATCCCAGCATTTTGAGAGGCAGAGGCGGGCAGATCACTTGAGGTCAAGAGTTCAAGACAAGCCTGGCCAACATGGCGAAACCTTGTCTCTACTAAAGATACAAAAATTAGCCGGGCATGGTGGCATGCACCTGTAATCCCAGCTAGTCCGGAGGCTGAGGTGGGAGAATTGCTTGAACCTGGGAGTCGGAGGTTGCAGTGAGCCGAGATCGTGCCTCTGCACTCCAGCCTGGGCAATAGAGCGAGACTCCTTCTCAACTGAAAAAAAAAAAAAAAGAAATCAATCTAAGTGTCCCTCAATGGATAAATGGTTAAAGAAATTCAGCCTAAAAAAAAAAGAAGCAAATCTTGTCATTTGCAACAACATGGATAAACCTAGAGGACGTTATCATTATGTTAAGTGAAATAAACAAGGCACAGAAAGACAATTCATTGTATGATATCACTTACATGTAGAATCTAAAAAAGTCTGAACTCATAGAAGCAGAGATTAAAATGGTAGTTACTAGGGAGTGAGGGTTGAAGGTTGATATTGGGAAAATGTTGATGAAAGGATACAAAATTTCAGTTAGGAGGAACAGGTTCAAGAGATCTATTGTAGAATATGGTGACTGCATTTAATAACAACATATTGTATACTTGAGGATTGCTAAGAGAGTAGGTTTTAAGTTCTTACCACCCAAAAAAGACATACAAATGGTAAACAAGCATATGTAAAGGTGCTCAACATCATTGATCATCAGAGAAATGCAAATAAAAACTACAATGATCAGCACCACAGGAAAGGTTTAAAAAAATACAATGAGATATCATCTCACCCTAGTTGAAATGGCTTTTATTTAAAAGTCAGGCAATAACAAACGCTGGAGAGGATGTGGAGAAAAGGGAACCTTCATACGCTGTTGGTAGGAATCTAAGTTAATACAACCACTATGGAGAACAGTTTAAAAGTTCCTCAAAAAACTAAAAAGAGAGCTACCATATAATCCAGCAATCCCACTGCTGGGTATACACCCCAAAGAAAGGAAGTCAGTATATTTCTTCACTCTCAGGTTTGCTGCAGCTCTGTTCACACTAGCCGAGATTTGGAAGTAACCTAAGTGTCCATCGATAGATGAATGGATAAAGAAAATGTGGTACCTATACACAATGGAGTACTATTCGGCCATAAAAAAGAATGAGATCCTGTCATTTGCAACTGCATGGATGGGACTGGAGGGCAGTATGTTAAGTGAGATAAGACAGCACAGAAAGACAAACATCACATATTTTCACTTACGTGTGGGACCTAAAAATAAAAATAATTGAACTCATGGAGTTAGAGAATACAAGAATGGTTACCAGAGGGTGGGAAGGGTAGTGAGGTGCGGTGGGGAGGTGGGTATGGTTAATGGGTACAAAAAAAATAGTTAGAATGAATAAGACCTAATATTTGATAGAACAACATAGGGACTATAATCAAAACAATTTAATTGTACATTTAAAAATAACTAAGAGTATTATTGGATTGTTTGAAACACAAAGGATAAATACTTAAGGGATGGATACCCCATTTTCCATGATGTGTAATACATTGCATGCCTGTATCAAAACATCTCATGTAGCACATAAATATATACACCTGCCACATATCCACCAAAATTTTTTAAAAAATAAAAATTTTAAAAAGATAACTGTGAAATAATGCATATGTTAATAAGCTTGATTTAGTCACTCCACAATGTATACATGTTTCAAAACATCAAGTTTTTCACCATAAATATATACAATTTTTATTTGTCAATTAAAGATAAATAAATAGAAGAAAAAAATGTAAATGGTCCAAACACACCTAATTAAAAGACAGAAGTTATCAGATTGGATAAAAAAGTAAGGCAATAATATGCTATCTATAAAAAATACACTTTAAATATGAAAAACACCAATAGGTTAAGTTTAAAAATGAAAAAAAAAAAGTTAACTTTAACAAAAGAAAGAATAAATGGGTACATTAATGACCAACAAACTAGATTTCAGAGCAAACACTGTTACTAGAGAGTTTAAAATGTCATTTCATAATGATAAAGGGGTCAATTAACCAAAAGGATATGACATTCTAAAAACACTATTCACCTAATTAATACAAGAACTTCAATTTACATGAGACAAACATTAATAGAACTAGAAGGAGAAATAGAAAATCCACAATTCTAATAAAATATTTCAATACCCCCTCTCAATAATTCTTAGATCAAGTCAGCAGAAAATAGTAATGATACAGGTTTTCCAAACATTATCAACCAAGATGACCTAATTGACTTGTATGGACAGGTCCACTAAACAACAGCAGAATACACATTCTTTTCTAGTGCACATGAGATATTTTATCAAGATAAACAATATTTTGTGCCACAAAACAAGTCACAATAAACATAATAGGATTTAAGTCATACAGAAAGCAAATTAAACCCAAAATAAGCAAAAAAAGGAATTAATAAATATCAGGGAAGAAATCAAAGAAATAAAACAAAATCAAAAACAGAAAAACCAGAGACACAATCAATGAAGCTAAAGGAAATGTGGCTGGTGCCTGTAATCCCAGCATTTTGGGCGGCCAAGGCAGGAGGATCCCTTGAGCCCAGGAGTTCGAGACCAGTCTGGGCAACATAGCGAGACCCTGTCTCTACTAAAAATTTTTAAATTAGCTGGATGGAATGGTGCACACCTGTGTTCCCAGCTACTTGGGAGGCTGAGGTGGGAGGATCACTTGAGCCCCAGAATCCGAGGCTGAAGTGAGCTGTGATCACGCCACTGCACTTCAGCCTGGATGACAGAGCAAGACTCTGTTTCAAAAAAAAAAAAAAAAAAGGAGGAGGGGAAAGAAAAAGGAAACTGAAAGCTACCCTGCAAAGATTAATAAAATTGATAAATTTCTAAATTGACCAGGAAAAAAGAGTGAGGACACAAATTACCAATATCAGGAGTCAGAGAGATGACATCAGTATAGATATCCATAGATACTAAAAGGATAATGAGGGAATATTATGAACAACCACAAACTAATATATTTAACAATTTAGATGAAGGACAGACACACGACAGACACAAACTACCAAAGCCCATTCAAGAAGAAAAAGATAATATAAAGAGATAGGTCGGGCATCAGGTGACTCACACCTGTAATCCCAGTACTTTGGGAGGCCAAGGTGGGCGGACCACTTGAGGCCAGGAGTTCGAGACCAGCCTGGCCAACATGGTGAAACCCCGACTCTACTAAAAATAAACAAAAATTAGCAGGGCATGATGGTGAGTGCCTGCAGTCCCAGCTACTTGGGACGTTGAGGCAGTAGGATCGCTTGAACCCAAGAGGCAGACGTTGCAGTGAGCTGAGATTGCATCTCAAAAATAAAACAACAAAACAAAAATATGTATATCTATTAAAGAAACAAAATTTTCAGTTAAAAACCTTCCCACAAAGAAAACTCTGATCCAGATGGCTTTATTGGTGAATTCCACCAAACATTTAATGAATGTTACATTCATGAATGAACAGTTAATGAATAATTCTAATTCTTCACAAATTTCCAAAAAATTGAAAAGGAAATACTTTCCAACTAATTCTGTGAGTTCTCCATTACCCTGATATTAGAACCACACAGACACATAACGAAAAAAGAAATTTACAAACCAATATCCCTCATGAACACAGATGCAAAATGCTAAACAAAATTTAGCAAATCAATCAATATTTAAAAAGGATAAAACATCATGACTGAGTTAGGTCTATACCAGGAATTCAAAGTTGTTTTACTTTCAAAAAAATTATATAAGACACCATATAAACACTAATTTAAAAAGAAAAGCATATGATAGTCTCAATAGACACGAATAAAGCCTTCGAAAAAATCCAACATCGGTTTCTGATTAAAAAAAACTCTCAGCGAACTAGGTATAAAAGAGAATACTCAATCTAATAAACAGCATCTATAAAAACAAAAACAAAAACCTACAGCTAGCATCATACTTGTAAAAATTAAAGCTTTCCTCTAAGATTGAGAAAAAGACAAGTATGTCTGCTCTCACCACCTCCATTAAACATTTAACTGGAGGTTGTAAGCAAGAAAAAGAAATTAAAGGCATCCAGATGGAAAAGAAAGAAGTAGAACTGTCATTATTTGAAGACAACATGACCATCTATGTAGGAAATCCTAAAGAATCTACAAAACAGGTACTAGAACTAATAATGAGTTTAGCAAGCATGCAGGATACAAAATTAATGTATTAAAAAATCAATTGTATTTCTATTTACCACTAATGAACAAGTGAAAATAAAAAAAAATTAAAACAATATCATTTATAATAACACCAAAAACTAGAAAACATTTAGGGATAAATCTGACCAAAGATGTAAGAATCCTGCATACTGGAAACAACAAAACATTACTGACACTGATTAAAGAAAATCTGAATAAATGAAGAGATATACCTTTTTCATGCTTCAGGAGGCTCAATATGGTTAAGATGTCAATTCTTCCCAATTTGAGCTGTACATTCATTTCCATCTCAAGCAGGCCTTTTGGCAGAATTTGACAGGCTGATAATAAAATTCATGTGGAAATGCAAAGGATCTACAATCGCCAAAACAATTTCAAAAAAGAACAAAAAATTTGGAGAGCTAATGCTACCTGATTTCAACACATATCGTAAAGCTACAGTAACCAATACAATGTGCTATTGATAATAAAGATTGACAAAGAAATCATTGGCACAGGATGGAGTCCAGAAATAAAACCATGCATACATATATAGACAACAGATTTTTGACAAAGGTGAAAAGGCAATTTAGAGGAGAAAGTATACTGTTTTGAACAAATGGTGCTAGGACATGGAAGAAATATATATAGCCTTGAATTGTAGAGAGTTTCACAGGGCATGTCAGATTTGGCAGATTGGGCTACATAAAAATTTAGAATTCATGTATGGAAAAGATAACCTAAACTAACTAAAAGATATGCAATATATCTTTCGAAGACAAGCTATATTTAAAAGATATACCAACAGGCCAGATGGCATGGCTCACCCCTGTAATCCTAGCACTTTGGGAAGCAGAGGCGAGTGGATCACATGAGGTCAGGAGTTCCAGATCAGCCTGGCCAACATGGTGAAATCCCAGCTCTACTAAGAAATACAAAAAATTAGCCAGGCAAGTGGTGCATGCCTGTAGTCCCAGCTACTTGGGAGGCTGAGAAAGGAGAAAGGAGAATCACTTGAACCTGGGAGGCCTGAGGTCGCAGTGAACCAAGATCGCGCCACTGCACTCCAGCCTGGGCAACAGAGCGAGACTCCGTCACAAAAAAAAAAAATTAAATTCCATAATCTATCAAGAGTTCCTGCAAATTACTAAGTAAACGACAAAGAACATTAACAGACAAATCACTGGAAAAAATATAAATTTCAAATAAACCAATAAAAAGTTGTTCAACATCATTAATAATTACAGAAGGCCAATTATTTTCCCACAATCTTATTATTGAAACTATTAAATGTGGATAACACTCCCCCAAATCCAGACCAGTTATTTAATATGTTTTAGGAGTAGGTTGTCACTTCTCTAGAAACAGGAACAGAAACATGATCAAACTTCTGCTTACATTTGTCAATATGACCTTGAGAAAAGAGTATCAGCGCACTGCATTTCCATGCTCCACTCTGGGCAACAACGGAGGTAAACAAGATAGGCCTCCAGTCCTTGTCAGCTGTAATGTATTGTCTCAGATGGACTTAAAGGCATATTTTCTCTTAATTCAAGGGAAGATGACTCACCTTTCCAGAGTGGTCTGTCAGTGACATGCTATGCTAGAGACTTTGCATTAATTATTTCTTTTAATCTCTACCACAACCCTGCGAGGTTTTTATGGATGAGAAAACTGAAGACGCTATGTTAGCATTCCCCAGCCTTTTTGGCACCAAGGGCTGGTTTCATGGAAGACAATTTTTCCACAGATGGGGGAAAAGTTTGTCCATGGCCCAGGGATTGAGGACCCCTGCTCTACATAACCAGCGATATACTTCAGTGTCCATGTTTCTTTCCACTGCATCCTAAAGAAAGGAGTTCTCCTCTAGGTGGGGGGACAGACTAGAGTGTGAAAAAGGCCCTAAAAGACACTCAATAGATCAAAAGTATAACAATAAGTAAAAGTTCCACATAAAATGCTGAAAACAATTTTAACCTTGCATATGTCTGTGATAAGCACTGATGTTTATGATGTTATTTTGTGTTGCAATTTTAAAGTGAAAAGAATGCTGGTGTTGGCAATAGGCAGACCTGGTCTCAAACCCCAGCTCTGCTGCTTACCAGTGGTGTAATCTTGGTCAAGAACCTGATTCTCCACACTGAACTCTGACTTTACATTGTCACTATTGAGTGCAATGTATAATCCTATGATAAAGTTAATCATCATTTGACTTGTTTGGGGGTTAGTTCCTGTGACTATCTTTTCAAACAATATTGAAAATTGTGAGCAGCTGTAAGACAATCACTTTGTGTCACTGACAACACTTAAAAAGTTACTTGTACATTAAGAGTTTAACACACATATTTATTAGATGAATATTTTATTAAACCCAAGACAAGATAGGTTGACAATACTAAGAGCTGACAAAGACAGGGGAAGGCAATCTGGGTAGGAGAACAATTTGCCAGTGATTACTAAAAAAAGTGCTATAAAGAATAAGACCCAAATGTCTGCCATACGTCCTTTCACACCTTATTTCATGCCTCCCCAACCCAGTACCTTGATCACTTGACTTTATTTCAATCCTTTGGATTAAGAGAAAACAACTTAAGAACAGGGATTATGTTTTATTCGTCCTTGAATCTTCAGAAATAGCATAATAAGGTGCTCAGTAGATGACTGTTGAAGTGAACTGAATGGTAACTTAAGAAGCAAGAGATTATTATATGCAGAATATTCATCTCAAGAGGGAAAGCTAGTTTTATGTATTTTCCATTGTGATTCTTTTGTAAGTAGGGAAATTCTATGCCAAGGACTGAAAAAAGCACATCATAAATCATGGTTCAGTCCATCTGAGTACTGTTTTAATTTTAGCGCAGCATGTGTTGAACTTCAGTGCTCTTGATTTACACATTCCTAATGCAAATATATCAAATTTTCAATTATTCAAGGGTGAATTATCAAATTTGTAGATTAGCTAGGCTTTATGCTTATTCTACTCCCTTTAGGTACATAGGCCTTTGGGCGCCTTCTCCTTCTTCCTTGTGCTTGAATGGCAGTGGGATTAACTCATTAAGAATAAAGGAAACATCTGTGTTGCTTAAATGACAGTGAGGATCTTGTAGAAACTCAGTACCACCTGTATGTAGTTCTATTACTGGTCATAAATTCAAATAAAACTGTCACAGTATTCAAAATTCAATGGATATTTCTTGAAGTAGTTCATCAGAGAACAATTTTTCCTCATGTCAGAGAAAGAACTAAATGAAGCATTTTATTTACAATAATAAAAAATGTTATATTGATTCAAATCACCGGCAGTGTCCACAGACACATGACAGAAAGCGGACATACACGTCGTGGAGATATTTGGCCAATCACATTTATCCCAGCTTGACTATGTCTTTCATTTAGTGACAGGAAATCTACTATCAGCCCCTATCACTTCAATGGTCAATTAATTAAATATTTTGATTCTATTCACATCCTTTGCTTTGAGCCACTTGTAATCATCTCATAGAGGGAAGAAAAAGCAATCATGTTTATAAATTATGAGCATTTTCAACACAGTTGAATGTAATTTATTCTTTACTTCTTACGTTTTTCTATCACTATTAATACTTCATGTAGGTGTGAATATAAACCTTGATGCACACAAACACATAACTCCCAGTTGAATGTCAACACCTTCAGAAAGAAAAAAAAAAGACTTGTATAAGGAAAACAATGGATAAGCTTTATGTGTGTGTGTCATACAGTGAATGTATATAACTACACATACATTCATGCATTAACGATAGGGATGCATTCTGAAAAATCCCTGACTAGGTGATTTCGTCATTGTGTGAACATCATAGAATGTATTTACACAAACCTAGATGATATAACCCACCACACACCTAGGCTATATGTTATAGCCTATTGCTCCGAGGCTTCAAACCTGGACAGCATGTTACTGTACTGAATACTGTAGGCAATTATAACACAGTGTAAGTATTTGTGTTTCTAAACATAGCTAACCATAGAAAAGGCATAGTTAAAATGCTGTATTATAATCTTATGGGACCACCACCCTAAACACAGTCCACAGTCCATCATTGACTGAAATGTCATTATGCACACATAACTTTACGTGAAACAGAAAACAATGAATTGTGAAGAAAATAAACAAAGTAATTGAATGGTGGGATGCAGAGCTACCATGTATAGCTGCATGGATTGTCCACTGCACAATTTCAGGAACAGCAGTCACTCTGACTACCAGGTGGATGGCGCCCCCTGGAGTTGTACAATATGGCAGTCTTGGTGAACTTTTTTTCTTTGGGATTTAAACATTTGGGTTTATCAAAACGATTAGACTGTGACCACAGCTTCAGGTCACACTTCCTAATCTCCTAGCATCCTTAGAAGTGACTTGTTCTCTCACAAGCTGATGTGGGAAGGAGAAAGAAAAGTGGAAAGGATAGGAAAATGTATCTATATAGAGGTAATTTGACAATAACAATAGCTAATATTTTTTGGAACTTTTATTAGGTGCCAGGTGTGGTTCATCGCACTTTGTACACATTAACTCTTTATTTAATTTTTTTTTTTTCTTTTGAGACGGAGTCTCGCTCTGTCACCCAGGCTGGAGTGCAGGGGAGCTATCTCGACTCACTGCAAGCTCTGCCTCCCGGGTTCACGCCATTCTCCTGCCTCAGCCTCCTGAGTAGCTGGGACTACAGATGCCTGCCACCATGCTTGGCTAATTTTTTTTTTTTTTTTGTATTTTTAGTAGAGACAGGGTTTCACCATGTTATCCAGGATGGTCTCAATCTCCTGACCTCATGATCCGCCCACCTCGGCCTCCCAAAGTGCAGGGATTACAGGCGTCAGCCACTGCGCCCGGCCTGTACACATTAACTCTTAATCCTTATAACCACCCTAGTGGTAGGTACTATTCTTATCCACATTTCACAGATAAGGGAATTGAGGCTCAGAAATGTTAAATAACTGGCCCAAGACCATGTTGCAGTAAGTGGGGAAGATGTCAGGTAGGAATGAGAGAGCTGATAGACTCTTCTCCTTTGCAAAATTGTGACTATCAATTGAAGGTCAATTAGAGGCTCCTTTTATTTAAATTTTTATTTGCTCTTCCTAATATAATTATTTTTATGGGAAAAAGCAGTCTCTTAGGAAGATCTATCTTCAATCATAAAGTCAGATTTGGGCCAAGTGCAGTGGTTCACGCCTGTAATCCCAGCACTTTGCAAGGCCCAAGCAGGTGGATCACTTAAGCCCAAGAGTTCAAGACCAGCCTGGGCAATATGGCAAAACCCTGTCTCTACCCCCACCAAAAATACAAAAATTAGCAGGGCCTAGTGGCGCACACCTGTAGTTCTAGTAACTTGGGAGGCTAAGGCAGAAGGATCGCTTGAGCCAGGAGGCAGAGGTGGAGGTTGCAGTGAACCAAGGTCGCACCACTGCACTCCAGTCTGGGCACCAAGTGAGACCTTGTCTCAAAAGAATATATAAATAATAAAAATAAAATCAGATTTAAGAATGAAAGAAAAGTTCCAAATATAATTACTGACAAAATAATAATAAATCTCCAGAATAAGCCCCCAAATTAAAGTATAAAATGTCTAGGATTACATTTACATTTAACACAAATGCTAAAGGGATAAAGAATAATTCTTAACTGATTAGCTAGCACTTTCTGCAGATGTCTAGCTTCTAGAATGAGTAAACAGAAATGTTAGGAGATGAGAAAACATCACAGAGGCACTGATTAAAAAAAAGAAAAAAAGAGCAGTAAATAAACATAGGGAGAAGCAGTCACAAGAACTTCCACAACTAAAGGAAATGGGAATTGGGGTAGGCCATGGTTGCTAATACACAGCACAGGAGACCAAGAATATTTCTATAGTGAGTCATCGGCTTTTGTATACCTAATTGATTCCTTGTTTCATAACTTCCAGATATCTGAATTTCTACACATTCAACTTACTATATAGAATCATATTCATGTTGAAATGGCATCAACTTTGCATGAAATTTTAGTTTGAAAAAGCAAATGAATAAAATTATGATGTCAAATGCAGTAAGAAATTGCAACAATGGTCTTTGTGTTTTTGCTCTCACTGCCCACTCCAATGCTGCTGTGTTCAAATAAATTATTTCAGCAAATAAAATATTTAGAGCTATAAAGGAATATGGTAAAGACAAAGATAAAATACCATTTGTAATATGACTACTATTAAAGCTCTGGCTTGCAGATTGCTGGCAAATAGTCTATTTTCCAGCTTGTCAAAACAACCCATTCTCTGAGCATGTTCAGAGCTTGCAGAGGTCTTCATTTATACCAGAATGGGAATTGGAGAAAGAAAAACATTTTGAAAATGATCTGCAGAATACATTGTTTTGTAAAATATCTAATCAAATGAGAGCAGCCTGTCAAAGTCAAGAAATGTTACTTACTCGGCTACAATAGGTATGATGCAGAACTGGCCACCCACTCACCAGCTGCAGAAAATGAATTTAAAGTAAGCTGGTCATTTGTCCTCAGACAAAGTACAACTGCCAAATATTTTATCCCAATTTGTCATCCCTGCTCTATTCCAGTGAATTCCATCAATCCAAGGCCAGTCACAGTGTTTAGTCTCTCCAGAACAATAAGCTTAACCCAACAGGTTTATTTGTTTAAGTCATCTGGTGAAATCTTTTAAATTACGCCTTGTTTCTAATACCGCTTGTATTTTGCATTCACGTAAGCTTCTGCTGCAGCTGCTTGAGAAGAAAAGGAAAGGAGGCTTTTGCTGAGCAGTGAGAAGAGAATACATTTTTAAACTTTCCTTTCTTTCTCCTAAAATTAGCACCTGGCATATGGAATATTCAGCAGGTGGCTCAGCAGGGAGAGAGTTACTGTTTTTCTTACCTGCCACTGAGATGTTTGACATTTTGACTTCATAAGGAACAAGATTCTTGAGGCCATCAGTGTGTGTGTGTGTGTGTGCGCACACATGCACACACTCATGCACTAATGGGCATGTTGAGGGAAGTCCCATAGAGGACTTCTGGAGGACAGAGTGTAAGAGACAGGAGCTACTAACAGACAAAGTTATACAATTAAGAAACATTAAATATCAGAGAGGGGAGTACGTTTCATATTGTTGAAACTGAATAACTAATTCAATTCCCACTAGTATCGGAGAATAGGAAATTGCTTTGTAACTTAAAGAACTTCAGAAATTACACTTTATAATATAATAGGAATGTTCTTTGAATATTGTTTGAAGACTCTGATGTAAAGTTCACTGAGATAACTTCCCCCAGATGTAGGAAAAGTAGCTATTGAATCAGAATTTTACAAACATTTATAAATGTCAACAATCTGTGTCATGTACTATTCTAGGCAATAGAGCATCAGAGAAAAAAGTGGAGTTCCAAATGCGAAAGATATTTAGAAAGTATAATAAACTAACCTTGGATATGGGCAGTGAGGGAGAGAGAAGAGTCTCAGATAATCCCCAAGTCTCTGGCTTGATGACTAGGTGAATAGTAGGATCATTAAAGATGTCTGACAAGAGACCACTAATTGCTTGCCTAATATTCATTCTACCCATTTTCTATGTAACTGACCTATATAGCATTAATATAAAAGATAGCAACATGCCCAGCTAAAAACCACATTTCTCTGTCTCCATTACAGATAGGATTGTCTAATAAGACATAAGCAGACATTTTGGAATGGGGCATCCGTGAGAGCTCTCTAAAGTATATTGAATAGCAGGGTGGCAGCACTTTTTCTTTACCTTTCTTCTTTCTGCCTGGAATGTCAAGGTTAAAGCGCCCACAGCTGGTTTGTGACCATGAGGTAACTTGAAGATAAAAAAGCTTCATGGTAAGGATTATAGAACAAAAAATAGGAAAGGCCTAGATTCCTGATAATTGGTGATTCTTCATACTGGAATTAGCCCTGGGTTAATTAGCAACTGGGTTGCCTAACCCTAGAGTTTTATTTTGATAGAAAAATTAATCTTTACTTTGCTTAAGCTGCTGTTATTTCAGGTCTCTGTTTAGCCATCAAAACTAATCCTAACCGATACTCAATGACAGAGAATCAAGTTGCTTGGTGCTTTTTGGTAGGTGGGAGGGTTAGGATGAAGTTCAGTTTTGGATGTATTGCATACTAAGTGCTGGTAGAATGACCAAAAGTCACTTGGAAACTCAAGCTGGAGATATAGATTTGGGATTGATCCAAATGGGAGGCTAATGTCTACAGCTTATCATCTAGAATCAGTGGTTCTTCATTTTCTTCAGATCAGTCTATGGTAAGAACATTCTGGTTTTCATTTTTAAGCATTTAACTTGCACCTTCCCTTGAATGCAGGGAGTGCAGGCAGTGCAGAACCATAAAAATGAGAGTGCAAGCTGAAACTGTGCAAAGTGATTTTAATAATGGAGGCCGGGCGCGGTGGCTCATGCCTGTAATCCCAGCACTTTGGGAGGCCAAGGCAGGTGGATCACGAGGTCAGGAGATGGAGACAATCTTGGCCAACATGGTGAAACCCCGTCTCTACTAAAATACAAAACATTAGCCGGGCATGGTGGCACGTGCCTGTAATCCCAGCTACTTGGGAGGCTGAGGCAGGGGAATTGCTTGAACCTGGGAGGCAGAAGTTGCAGTGAGCTGAAATCATGCCACTGCACTCCAGCCTGGTGACAGAGCAAGACTCTGTCTTAAAAAATAATAATAATAATAATCAATGGAACAATTATGACTATCCTGTGACCTTTAAAATGTTTGTCAAAACATGAAAGCTCTCTTACTGTCAATTATAAATGTACAGAGAAATGGAAAAAATAGTAAGGCTATTATTTTGTAGTAGTAGTCCCTCCTTATCTGAGGGTGATACATTCCAAGACCCCCAGTGGATGCCTGAGACCGTGGATAGTACCAAACCCCATACATGCTGCGTTTTTCCTAAATATATATGTATCCATGATAAAATGTAATTTATAAATTAGGCACAGCTAGGCACGGTGGCTCATGCCTGTAATCCCAACACTTTGGGTGGCCAAGGCAGGAAGATTGCTTTAGCTCAGGAGTTCAAGACCAGCCTGCGAAACATAGTGAGATCTCGTCTCTAAAAAATTAAAATAATGTTCTGTCATAAAGGACACAAATTCTCTGTTATCCAATAATCTACTAATCTGAATCATCATCTGTTCATTCATGCATTCAGTAAATATGTGGTAGGCACTGTACACACATTTGGAATATATTATATCCATGAAAACAACAGGCAAACATCCTTGCCTCTGTGATGCTTACCTTTTAGTTGGTAGTCATGGGGGGCTGAAACAGGAGGCAACAAAAATGAAGCCTACTATATTATTTGAGGTGGATAATAATGATGCGATGATAAATGAGAAAAGTAGAGACATTTAAATGCATGTGTTAAAAAAAAAGGATTAGCAGTCTTGACCAGATGATGAATTGATATTACAGACATACTGTATGAACTTGTAAATGTGATTCCCTAAGAAAGACACAGTATCACTTATGAAGCATTCTGGCTAGATATGCAGAACTTGAATGTAATCATGAGGAAACATTAGACAAATCCCAAATAATGAACATTATATTTTAAAAAAGGAAATATTCTACAAAATGTCAATGTCATATATGCTGAAGGTTTTGTGTTTTTTTTTAAATCTCAATGTTAGGGCTCCTATTGTCATGAATTCTGAATTTACTAAAGGAAAATTATTTATATTTCTATATTTACAGCCAATTTTTTTCTTAGTTTATTTAGAAAATATCTTTTTAAGCACTTGTTATACTGTTTTGGGCACTGTCTTTGCCTGAGTTATTTAGAAAACAGAGCCTAGGCAAATTTAAGGACCAGCACTTTATTGAGAGGTGTAATCTGAGGACATTAAGAGTGCAGAATAGGTGAATGAGGCGGGAAAGGAGGGTAAATTAACGTAAGAGTTCATTTCTGAGCTGGCCACAGCTTCATTAAACAGTATGGTGGGGATCTCTTCAAGACCGCGTGAGTCCAGGAGTTCAAAACCAGCCTGGCCAACCTGGTGAAACCCCATGTCTACTAAAAATACAAAAAATTAGCTGGGCATGGTGACCCACGCCTATAATCCCAGCTACTCAGGAGGCTGAGGCATAAGAATCACTTGAACCCCGGAGGCGAAGGTTGCAGTGAGCTAAGATGGTACCACTGCACTCCAGCATGGGCCACAAAGCAAGACTCCGTCTCAAAAAGAAAAAAATTAGGCCAAATGTGGTGGCACATGCCTGTAATCCCCAGCACTTTGGGAGGCTGAGGCAGGAGAATCACTTGAGCCCAGGAGTTCAAGACCAGCCTGTGCACTATCTCTACAAAAAAATTTTTTTTTTAATTAGCCAGGCATGATGGTGTGTGCCTGCAGCCCTAGTTACTTGGGGGGCTGAGGTGAGAGAATCACTTGAGGCTAGGAGTTCAAAGTTGCAGCGAGCCATGATCACACCACTGCACCAACCTGGGCAACAGAACAAGATCCTGTCTCTTAAAAAAAAAAAAATTAAGACCAAGATATTTTTAAAAATTATATTCATTAATTTAATTTTAAAATAACAGTGACAACATGAATACATCTTGGAGACATTATGTTAAGTAAAACAAGCCAGACACAAAAAGACAAACATTGTATGATTGCACTTAAGGGAGGCATCTAGATTAGTCAAATTCATAGAGGTAGAAAATAGAATTGTAGTTGGTAGGGGCTCTGGAGAGAGAGGAATGGAGAGTTATTGTGTAATTGGTGTAATTGGTACAGAGTTTCAGTTTGGGAAGATGAAAATTTCTGGAGATAGATGGTGGTGATGGTGGCACAACAACGTGAATGTACTTAAGGCCACTCAACTGTACACCAAAAAATGGTTAAAATGGTAAATTGTATGTTATGTATATTTTACCAAAATAAAAAATAACAGTAAAAAATCAGTACATTTTAACACATATATTTTTATGTACAACTATATTTTCCAAAAAATAATTAGTAAGAAGTGGCATTATTTTGCACTTTTGCAAATCTCTTAAAGTTTGGTTTACTAGAAGATAACTGAGGCCGGGCACAGTGGCTCGTGCCTGTAATCCCAGCACTTTGGGAGGCCAAGGCGGGCAGATCACTTGAGGTCAGGAGTTCAAGACCAGCTTGGTCAACATGGTGAAACCCTGTCTCTACTAAAAGTACAAAACTTAGCCGGGCATGGTGGCGGGCTGTAATCCCAGCTACTTGGGAGACTGAGGCAGGAGAATCGCTTGAACCTGGGAGGCGGAAGTTGCACTGCACTCCAGCCTGGGTGACAGAGCGAGACTCTGTCTCAAAAAAAAAAAAAAAAAAAAAAAGACAACTGGATTTTCATATCTATTTCTGTTTTCAGTCTATCATGATAGTTGTTTTGGTTACATATATGAAGAAAATCTTACCTCACAAAGATAGATAGTGGGAAAAGGAAGAATTACTTAAATAGCCTTTTCAGAAAATTGTGAATAGTATTCTTTAATACTATATAAAACTTGAAAAGTGGTAGTTTCTTAAAATACTGGTTCACTATGGCCAGGCACAGTGGCTCATGTCTGTAATCCCAGCACTTTGAGAGGCCAATGCAGGCAGATCATGAGGTCAGGAGATTGAGACCATCCTGGCTAACACAGTGAAGCCTCATCTCTACTAAAATTACAAAAAATTAGCTGGGCTTGGTGGCACATGCCTGTAATCCCAGCTACTGGGGAGGCTGAGGCAGGAGAATCCCTTGAACCCGGGAGGCAGAGGTTTCAGTGAGCCGAGATTGCGCCACTGCACTCCAGCCTAGGTGACAGAGCAAGACTCCACCTCAAAAAAAAAAAAAATTTGGTTGACTAAATTATGTAGATCTCCCAAGTGTTGACATATTTCATTGTACATCAGAAAAATCACATTTGCTGATATCACCACCACAAAAAAGTCTTAAAGTACCGGGAAGACGTTACGCCCCAGGACAGTGAATATACATTTTTCACAATTCAAATTTTTGGTTTAAAATGCAAATGTTACAAATGTTAACAAATATAGTCAGTTGTTTTCCTCATCTTACACAACCTTTTTTTTTTTTTTGAGAAAATATCTGCCAGATACTTAAGTCTAAGTAGTCATAGTTTGTCCTTGGTTACTTTAAGTAAAAATAATGTTGCATAAAAAGAAGCAACCAGTTCACTTCTCAACTCAAACAATCACACAAGTGCTTTTCTTGAGGCAATCATATTTCTGTATGCCGCAATAGTACTTCACATGTACTTCCCATTTCGTCACACAGAATATTAAAAAGACAAGTACTAATTTCAGCAATCTAGGAAGAGAAGGGAAATTCCCCAATCTCATGAAAGACTAAGCAAAACCTATTTTTAATATGATGATTAATGATGAAAGACTACATGTTTTTCTTCCTATTGCCGAAAACAAGGCAAAGATGTCTTCATTCATTGCTTTTACTCGAGAATCCAGTCAATGTAATAAGAAAAGAAAAAGAAATTTTAAAAAGGACAAGAAATAAAAGGCATGCAGATTGGACAAGAAGAAATAGGCCAGGAGTGGTGGCTCACACCTATAATCCCAGCACTTTGGGAGGCTGAGGTGCGCAGATCACGAGGTCAGGAGTTCAAGACCAGCCTGGCCAACATGGTGAAACCCCATCTCTACTAAAAATACAAAAATTGGCCAGGCATGGTGGTGGGTGCCTGTAATCCCAGCTACTCAGGAGGCTGAGGCAGGAGAATTGCTTGAACCAGGGAGGTGGAGATTGCAGTGAGCTGAGATCTCAACATTGCACTCCAGCCTGGGCAACAGAGCAAGACCCCATCTCAGAAAAAAAAAAAAGAAGAAATAAAACTGTCTTTATTCACAGGTAACATATCATGTACATTAAATCCCAGAAATATCTACATAAAAGCTGCTAGATTTAATAAATGGGTTTAGAAAGCTCATAGGATATAATGTCAATATATATAAATATATGAAACTAACAGCTAGAAACTGAAATGTAAACAACAGTACCATTTTTAATGCCACCACTGTTAGGGATAAACCCAACAAACTTGTGCAAGATATGTATGCTAAAAACAGCAATACACTGACAAGAGAATTTGAAGCAGATATAAATAGATGGAGATACATACAATGTTCAAGGTTCTAAAGATGTAATATTGTTAAGGTGGCAATTTCCACAAAACTTATCTACAGGCTAATTGCACTCTCAATCAAAACTGCAAACTATTTGTAGAAATTGACAAACTAATTGTTGAATTTATATGGAAAAGTTAAGCATCCAGAATAATCAGATGAATCTTGATTTTTTTCCCTCTTATTTTTAAAAGGCATAAAGATTTAAAACAAGAAGAGTTTGAAAAACCTTTGTTTGTTTGTTTGTTTGTTTGGAGATAAGGTCTTACTTTGTCTTCCTGGAAGGAGTGCAGTGGCACAATCATAGCTCACTATAGCCTCCACCTCCTGGGCTCAAGCAGTTCTCCCACCTTGCCTCCCAAGTGCCTGGAACTACAAGAGCATGCCACCATGCCCAGCTAATTTTAAAAATATTTTGTAGAGACAAGGTCTTGGTATGTTGCCCAGGCTGGACTCAAACTCCCAGCCTCAAGTGATCCTCCCACCCCGGCCTCCAGTAGTGCTGGGATTACAGGTGTGAGCCACCATAACCAGCAAGACATCAAATGCATAATAAGAGAACAACATTAGGCCAACAAATTCAACAATACAGATGAAAAATGCACCAAAATAGTGCATTTTTGAATGCACTAAATAGTGTACAATGCACCAAAATAGTCACAAGAAAAAAACAGAAAACCTGAGTAAGCCTATATCTAATAAACAAATGGAGTATGTTAAGAAAAACCTTTCCGAAAAGAAAACTTAAGGGCCAGATGCTTTCACTGGTAAAAACATCAAAGTTACACAAATGTTTTCCAGAAAAGAGAAGAGGGGAGAATATGTTTTTCAGAAAAGAGAGGAAGAGAAAACACCATCCACTTCATTTTATGAGGTTAATTTTTATGGACTGAATTGTGCCTCCTCAAACTTTGTATGCTGAAGTTCCAACCTTTAGTACCTCTGATTGTAATCATATTTGGAGATAAGGTCTTTATGGAGCCGATTAGGTTAAAATGAGGCTGTTAGGGTGGGGCCCTAGTTCAATATAACTAGTGTCCTTAGAAGGGGAAGGACACCAGGGGCACATATGTACACAGAGAAAAGACCACATGAGGACACAGCAAAAAGGCAGCCATCTGCACACCAAGGAGAGAGGCCTCTGGAGAAATCCAACCTGCTAAGACCTTGATCTTGGACTGCTAGTCTCCCGAACTATGAAAAAATTAATTTACATTGTTTAGACCTCCCACTCTGTGGCATTTCCTTACAGTAGCCCTACAAACTAATACAGTAACATAAGCTTAATAGCAAAACCTGACAAAGATTGTATTTACATTTTACAGATCAGTATCCTTTACTGATATAGAGGCAAAATCCTTAACAAAATACTAACAAATCAAATCAATAGAATATTAAAAGAGTAACACTTAAAGATTAAGTAGGGCTTATCTCGGGAATGAAAAGTTAGTTTAATATTTTAAAATTGATAAATGAAATTCATTATATTAACAAAAAAAGGAGAAAACCCATATGATCACTTCAATAGATATGGAAAATGCATTTCACAAAAATTCAACATTGATTCTTGATAAAAACTTTCAGCAAATCAGAAATAATAGAGAACTTCCTCAAATCAGTAAAGGGCATCTATAAAATAAGTACAATATAATTAATGATGTAAGGCTGAATTGTTTTCCCCCACAATAGGAACAAGGCAAAGATACCATGGCCACTATTCTAAAGTTCTATTTGACATTGTGTTGGAGGTCTCAGTCATTATAAGAAGGAAAGAAAAATAAATGGAAAGAAGATCAAAAGGGAACAAGTAAAACTGTCCCTGTTTGCAAATGATAAGATTTTTAATGGAAAAATCCCCGGGAATCTACAAAACAATTACTAGAATCCATAAGTGAATTTCCCAAGGTCACAGGATACTGGGTTAATATATAAAAATCTGTTTAAGGCAAATATTAAAATGTATATGCTTATATACTAACAGCAAACTACTGAAAAATTGAATTTAAGG
The DNA here is from genome assembly GCF_000001405.40 of Homo sapiens. Classification (NCBI taxonomy): domain Eukaryota; kingdom Metazoa; phylum Chordata; class Mammalia; order Primates; family Hominidae; genus Homo; species Homo sapiens. The sequence continues at coordinate 56,880,705 of NC_000015.10, forward strand.
AGCAATTCCCTTTGCAATAATACCAAAAATATAAAATAATTCTGAATAAATCTAACAAAAGATATTTACATTGAAAACACAAACCCTCACTGAAATAAAATAATATACAAATACGTTGAGATATATACCATGTTTATGGACCAAAAGATTCAATATTGTTAACATAACAATTCTCCCCAAATTGTGCCACTGGCAAAAGGATAGACATACAGATTAATCATGCAGGCAGCAAAGTCTAGAAATAGACCCATATGTATAAGTTCAATTGAGTTTTGACACATATGCCAAGGTAATTCAATGGTGAGAGGAAGAAATAGTAGCCTTTTTAATAAGTAGTGCTGGAACAACTTTAATGGACATCCCCTCCAAAATTGAAAAAAAAAATGGACTGTTTAAAACCACACCATATGTAAAAATTAACTTGAAATGGATCATAGTCCTACATGTAAAACCTAAAACTATAAAACCTATAGAAAAAGAACATGGGAGTAGATATTTGTGTCTTTGGGTTAGACAAAGGTATTCCAGAGAGGACATAAAAAGTATAAACCTAAGGAAACAAAATATTCGTGCTAATATGCCAGCAGTTTTAACCATCACTGCTTTCACACCATCAATGAAAATATCAATGAACTGAAAAAGGTAAATAAATAAAATCTGGCCGGGCGCAGTGGCTCACACCTGTAATCCCAGCACTTTGGGAGGCCAAGGCTGGCAGATCACCTGAGGTCAGGAGTTCGAGACCAGCCTGACCAATATGGTCAAACCCCATCTCTACTAAAAAAACAAAAATTAGCCGGTTGTGGTATCAGATGCCTGTAATCCCAGATAATCAGGAGGCCGAGGCAGGAAAATAGCTTGCACCTGGAAGACGGAGGTTGCAGTAAGCTGAGATGGCACCACTGCACTCCAGCCTGGGCGACAGAGCAAAACTCCGCCTCAAAAAATAAAGGAAAATAAAATAAAATATAAATATAAATACATAAATAAAATTCTAAATTATTATCCACATAATTTTTACTCATAGTCTCCCCTGAAAATTCTCACAGACCCTAAGGGGTCCATAGACCACTTTGAAAATAACTTTTTTGCAACAATTAAAAACAATGAACTGCTAACGGATGCATCATACAGGTACAACGTTAAACAAAAGAAGCCAGGCACAAAGGAGAACATATTGTGTAATTCCATTTATATAACTTTCAAGAACAGGCTACATTGCACTACGGAAGAAGTCAGAATAATGGCTACCTATGCAGGTTGGAGGAAGAAGGGAATTAACTGAGAAAGTTCATGGGGGAAAGGACTTCTGGTTCTATATTTTGATTTGGGTAATGGTTTGTGCATTTCACTGTATGAATGTCAATGTCATACTTTAATTAAAATATAAAAAGAATATAAACCCTACAGAATAGCTTCCTAATGAAACATTTCTATATTTAGAAGTATTTGATTAAGCATCTTCTAACACTTTTATGCAACAAAACCATAGGCAATGGGTCAACTTTAGGAAAGAATTCATAGCACTGAGAATCTGGAAATTCTACTTTGAAAATGATGGAGTATAACATTTATTTCGCATTTAATATTTCAATTGTTAAGTACATTTGTATTTATATGTATTTATTTCAATAGATGATTAGTTCCTTAAAGGTAGGAATGTATTTCATGTCTGTTATACTACAGAATCTGGTACACAGTAGGTGACATTGATTTATTTTCTCATTCATTCATGCAATAAAGATTTCTTTAACATTTATGTGTAAGGTGCTTGCTAGTTCCTGGGTATATAATGATGGGTCGGTGTGGGGCTCAATAAATTCCTGTTAATAACTGATTGATAATTATCAGCTACATTTCAGAAAAAGTATAACTCTCTTTTCTCCTGAATTCCGAGTACAGGGGCACTACAGATTTTAACCTTGTTGTAAAAATAACGACACAAAAACACAGAGATGAATTAACTGACTTCTTAGGGTGATGCACTTGCTCATGAGTGGGGCAAGGATTAAAATGGTTACAGCTTCTTTCCTGGACTGAGGTGCTAGGGGAATTCATTCAGATTGATTCGGGTTCATATTTCATTTAAATGCTCTCATTTCACTTCTGCTACATGCACCTTCTCTGACTTATATTTCAGGACCTGCAGTCTGAATTGGTTTACTTCCACTTCAGATGCTGTCAAGATAAATTAGACACCAAGGGTCCATGATACCATCTGAAGCAGAACTGCTATTAGTAGGAAATATATAAGCAGTTTTATATTTCAATATAGTGTAGCACTTTTTTGGAGAATGTACTTTCTACTAAAAATGAAAGTGTATGTAACAAACCTTGGTGAATTTTGAAATGTTAAAAAAAAATTCAAATTTTATTTTACTGTACATTCTCAGGCAAATGTAGTCAAAGGAAGGTAGGTAACACTAAATATTTTTATCTCCTTTCAATGCATCTACAAACCATTCTGTTGAATAAGATCTCACAGGTTCCTGACTGTGAGCAGAGATAGGGTAACAACTCGGATGATACATAAGCTTGCATCAGATACAGACTCCATTTTTGCTGTAATCATCCATCCATAGCCTCGCCTGCTCAGCTGACAAGGCATGTTATTAATAAAGCATATTGTACCACAAGTGCATTCCCCTACATGGTGTTTATCTTGTTGGAAACTGTAATCGTTTGAAACAATGGCCTCAGTGAAAAGATATGAAACGTTATGAGCTATGTAAAAATCAAAATAATTTGTACTAATAATGGTAGTTGTTTGTGAAGGATTAAAACATAGATGAATGCATAGAGTTAATGACTCGGTCTTGCTTTTAGGTTTACTTTTTATTCTAGTCCTGTGAGATAACCTTAATTTCAAGCCAAGCCTGGTGGAGAGACAAAGTTCCCCCACCAGAAATTAAACTCCACTTTGGCTTACCCACCAATGTCTCCCTAGCACATAGCACAGTACTGGGAAGACAGTCAACATGTAATATTTGTTAAATGAAAGAAATGAATAAATATGAGTATAAGAGAAAAACGGAACACCTTTCAGGTTAAAGCCAAGCCATTATCAGAGCTCCTCCAGGATGTGATTCAAAGAAATAGAGGTGGACTCAATCTCCAGGGGACAAGTACTCCCATATTGCTTCCCTTTCACCCTCTCCCAATTCAGCCAATGGGACTCCCACATTGCCGAGCCAGTGGAGAAGCCCCAGGTATAGAATCCAGGTAGGAAAAGATGAAGTATGCCCTTTCCCATCTCCCTGCACCCTCCCCAATCCCACCCAATAAGATCTGGATGTGTTCTTGCAGTTTTCAATCTGAATTCTCTTGGAACAATTTTAAAAGGGACTAGAGCTCTCCTCTGATTTTTAATAACAGAATGCCAGGTAGAACAGCCTGCATGTATTTTAGCCCCTCACCACTGTGAGGGTCTAGGAGAAAAGTAAGATCTTAGGAAGATAGACAGATGGAAGGCCAGGTCTTGAAATGGAGCTGGTTCACCTCTTTATTGAGTTAGTTAAGAAAGAGTATGGCTGGGTGTGGTGGCTCACACCTGTAATCCCAGTACTTTGGGAGGCCAAGGTGGCAGGATCACTTGAGCCCAGGATTTCAAGACCAGCCTGAGAAACATAAGGAGATCCTGTCTCTATGAATTTTTTTTTTGAGACGGAGTCTTGCTCTGTTGCCCAGGCTGGAGTGCAGTGGCGCGATCTTGGCTCACTGCAACCTCTGCCACCCAGGTTCAAGCGATTCTCTTGCCTCAGCCTCCCGAGTAGCTGGGATTACAGGTGTATGCCACCACACCCGGCTAATTTTTGGATTTTTAGTAGAGATGGGGTTTCAGCATCTTGGCCAGGCTGGTCTTGAACTCCTGACCTCGTGATCCACTCGTCTTGGCCTCCCAAAGTGCTGGGATTACAGGTGTGAGCCACTGCGCCCGGCCCCCCAAAAAAATGTTTTTTATATCAGCTGAGCGTAGTTGCTTGTGCCTATAGTCTCAGCTACTCAAGAGACTGAGATGAGTGGATCACCGGACCCCACCACATCGAAGCTGCAGTGAGCAGTGAGCCATGATCACACCACTGCTCTCTAGCCTGAGCAACAGAGCCAGACCCTTTTGCCAAAAGAAAGAAAGAGAGAAGAGAGGGGAGAGACAGAGATAGAGAAGGGAGGGAGAGGAGGGAAGGGGAGGGGAGGGAAGGGAAGGAGACGGATAAATATAGAACAATTTAGAGGTGATGAAGAAGAGTAGATACAGAAACATTCTGAGGTAGAGGAAAGGAAAAATGAAGGAACTTGTTGGGGCCTAAGCCACAGCCACTTTTTTTCTGGCAAAATTTGATGCTGTTCTGATTATATCCTTCCATGTGTTCACAAAGGGTGATTTCTCTCCCCAGCGTGAGGAGTAGATTACGATTAGTGTCATTCCTCTTACAAATAATCAGTTTAGGATTCGTGTGTGACACAATTATGCCTAGTGGGACTCAGTTCTGCTAGAAGCCTCTAAAAAGGGTTTCCCTTCCTTTATTGTGAGATGGAGGGAGGGAGGGGGAGAGACAGAGAGAGAGGGAGAGAGGGAGAAAGGGAGAGAGAGAAATAGTATTCCTATACTTTGCTACTTTGCTGGATGCCCGACTGTATTTGACATCAAGACAAGCAGACGCCATCGTATAGCCATGAAGGGACATGACAGGAGAAATTACCATCATGTGAAGATGGCAGAGCAGAAAGAAGAATCCCACTTCAATCTCGGACAACTTCCCTAAGTTATTTGACCAACCAATAGTGGAACCACCTTTCTCCAAACTTCTTATTTTATGGGATAATAAATTCCATATTTTTCAAATTTCCACCTCTAGTCAGGTTTCCTGTTGTTTGCACTTTTGTTCATACCTTTTTTTTTCTACTAAAGGAAGAAGTGAGGGCATGTGTTATGAATGTGAAATCTGGAAGTTAAAAAGTTTGAAACAGATATTTCAGTTTTCACTTATAGCCTCCTTCCATCTTCTTCCCCCTCCCCAACTCCTACTGGATTCAGACAAGGGCCAGGACACAAGGCTGAATGCAAAAGGACCCCTCCCTTCCCAAGACTTTATCTTTGTTCCTAGCTCAAGCTCAGTGTGTCTGGCTCCTTCTTCCTCAAAGATTTGTTCTGTCCCAGGAGGCTCCTCAATCGCTCCAGTCAATTGGCTTCTAGAGCCTTGCCCTATCAGTTCCACAGATACATCCACACGTCTGAACTCCAGCCACAGTTTAGACTCAAGTGGGGAGCTCCCACCGCAGCACCGTTCTGTACCTGTAACTAGCAATGGTTTGTAGCCTTTGAGCAGAAATAGGGAATGAAACTGCCGAGAATTTAGGGATGGAAACTGGCACAGGCATGGGAAACCGTTTGAGAATGCAGGAGTTAGCTGGGTTTACTAGATTATAACTCTTATGAAGACCACATAGCACACAACTCAGCATATAAATTAGTCTTAACACATATACATTGAATTTCTTTGAAATGACCAAATTGTAGGCAGATAAAATGGCTTCCTTTTACAGAATCTTCCCTTCAGAGAGTGCCTTTCAATGGCACCACCTTCCCTCCACCCAAAATAAAACCTTCAACATTTTCACCTTAAGTGAAATGTTTATAACACACTTTGAAATAGTGAGTGTGGTGAAGATAGTTCTATTCAATCTGCTACGAAGAAACAAGACACAAAGATCTGACTTGGCCACCATCCCCGAAGGCATCCGTGGCAGAACTGGGATGGTCCCTCATTCCCCAGTGGTCTCAAGCGTTTGTTCTGATGTCCCTGTATGTAATTGTTTTGATAGCAATTTTCCTGGTTCTCTCTCACTAGCTTGCTAACTACGCATGTCAATCACATTCAGGAACACCATGGGCCTAAGGGTCAGCCACATCTCAGGAGAATGTGATTCAAAAGAGGACACAAGGCATAATATAGCACTTTCTCCTTCTAGCATGTATGTCAGTTGCGTTGCGGCCTCGAAAGTCTGACAATGTGTAAAGAGAGTGTTGCATTTTTTTTCCTTCCCCCAGATGCAGAAAGGAAAGGATTTATGAAGTACTCTGACCACAATTTTAAAGCAAGTGAGAAACCCAACAGTGTAAGATCCTCTTACTAGAGAACACTCAATGGTACTGAAAGAGTTCTCCACCTAAACTCTAAAGAACCCGAAGAGAGGTCCAGTTTTTTCCTCCCAAAGATCCATCTCCAGAGCTTCACTCCCTAGTCCGTTAGGGAAGCCGGGACGGTGGGAGAGCCACAGATACTCTTTCTCCTACGGAACCCTTGGACCTCTTGCCCCGTTTCCCTGTCACTTTAGGGAGCAGCACGCAGGAGACTAGAGGCCAGGGTCCAAGCCCGCAGCCGTAGCAGGCCGGACGAAGAAAGCGGGCCGGAAGGGCAGCGTCGCGGTGCTGGAGGCTGTTGCTGGGAGGCGTGGATTCTGGAAAGTGCGTGTGCGCGTCCCTGGAGCACCGCCCGCGGAGCCGATTGGCCCGGACGCGCGGCGGGGGAAGCCCTTGGCTAATCTCCTGCCACTCAGCCCGGCTGACGTCGGCGCCCGGGATGCAGCGCCGCGAACCTCTCGCCCCGCCGGGCCGGGCCGCGCGCGGAAGGACAAATAGTTCCGGCGGCAGTGCCGCGCACCTCTACGCGGCTCTGCTCGCCCCGCCCGGGCTGCCGAGCCCGAGGCAGGGGTGGCGGGAAGTGGGGGCGGGCGGAGCAGGGCCGGCCTGTGCGGCTCTCGGACCCCGGCTCCGCTCTTTGCGGCCAGACGGGTGGATTGCGCTCCCTAGGGAAGAGTAATTGGATTCCAGGCTCCCTCCAGCCGGGATCAGCGGAAGTCGGCTGCTAAGCCTGCAGCCTGGGAGGGGCGTGTGGGGAGGAAGGAAAGGTGGGGAGCGCCGCCGGGAGGGACACGGTGAAACCACTGTCCTCTTAAGTGCCTGCGTGCTTGTTTCTGTACAGGCCGCATCGGGAAGCTGGGTATAGAGAAGGATTAACAGAGATTGCACCCTGGTGACCTTTCCCCTCAGGCACGTGACTCTTGCCCCTTCCAAGTTGTCATCCTCATTGTGAAATTCACCTGGTAGCTGATACTCAGGAGAGGAATACTTTGGAAGCCTGAGTCTTCTAGCCATCACCCTTCTGTTTTTCTCTCAAAGCTCCACTTGGAGCTCAGCTGGAGAAGGAACCCTGTGAAGTCTGGAATTGGACATGTCTCTTATTAACGAAGTAATTGTGGAGAAAACAGCATTCTTACCACTATCATCCAGGAAAGTATCCCAAGTCCCTTCCTTGGCAGTAGCAAACTTCCCTTAATTCCCTTCCCCTTGAGGAGATGCAGCCAGAATGAGAGCCTTAAGCAGAGTTTTTGGGTGAAATGATAGGCATGTTCTAGGAATTGTGACTTAAACTTGGACCTCTTGTGATTTTTTTTCTTTTCATCTTAATTACTGCATTTCACTCATTCATCATGAAATAAACTCTTACTGAAGGCTTTGTTTGTTCCAGGCTCTGTTCTACTTATCAGACATACGTCAGTGAGTAAAACGAATGCACTCATGGAACCTCATTACAGTTGCTCTAGTGGGGGAGATAGTACATTTACAATCATATACAATTGTATAATGTCATGTAGGGAAGAGCGCTATGAAGAAAAAGAGCAGAAGGACGAAGTATGCAGATGAGAGTTGAACATTATTTTATATTTTAGATAAGTTGATTGAAGAAGGCCTCTTTGAGGAAGTTATGTTTAAACAGAGGTCTAGATAAATGAGGTAGAAAGCCAAGCAAATATTGGGGTTGGGGGGGTTGGGGAGAAGATTCTGGGCAGAAGTAAGAGCAAGTGCCAAGGCTCTGCAGCCAGAGACAGTTTGGTGAGTCTGAATTAGTAGAAAGGAGGCCAATGTGAATGCTGTGCAGTAAGCCAGAAAAACAGTTAGAAATAAGGCTGGAGATGGGGTGATGAGTATGTGCATGCTTGGCATTTACTTTTAACATAATTTGAAACTTCTCTAAGTTTTGTATGCACTAAAGTGTCCTGCATTCTTCCTGTGTCTCCACCAGACACTACATTTCATTTCATTCAGAGACACCACTTTTTTTCCTCTTGGTCTAGCAGTAAGTGTTTATTTCTGTTTTTCTCTCACCCTCTTCTACTGATCTATAACTATTGGTTCAAATGTTTCTTCTGTGCAGATCCTTATCTTTAATGTCACCTTTTTTTCCCCCAACTTGTATATTTGCCTCTTTATCTCATCAACGTATCTAACTGGACGTCCTGCCATCTTTAGGTTTCGACAGGTCTAAAACCAATCTCATAATCTCATTATCTTTCCAAAATCACTTCCCTTCTTTCTCATTGATACCACTGCTATCTCTGCCACCCAAGCTGAAAACACCGATGTCATTTTTTACCTGTTCCTTCCCTTTATTTCTTTTATCCAGTCATCTCAGGGCCTTCAATTTATCCTTTAAAATACCTCCTCTGTCAGATCCCTTCCTCTGTCTCTACTTCAGGTTCTCTGTCTAAGCCCTTAAATGCAGCCAGCTAGGCTTAGTTCAGCAGTTTCTATGTGGCCTTTCTGACTTCCTTCTCGCTCTGCTCCAATCTAACTTGCCAGAATAATGGTTCTGAATCTTCACTCTTAGCACATTTCTTTGTGCTTCAGCACCTTTATGGCTACATTTTCTATTTCCTTAAATTTAAACTCTTGTGACTGAATCTCTTTTTCTTTTTTTTGAGACAGGTTCTCATTCTGTCGCCTAGGTGCCCAGGCTGGAGTGCAATGGAGCGATCACAGCTCACTGCAGCCTCTACCTCTCAGTGTTCAAGTGAACCTCCCACCTCAGCCTCCCGAGTAACTGGGACTACAGGCATGTGCCACCACAACTGGCAATTTTTTTATTTTTATTTTTTGTAGAGACAGGTTTTTGCCATGTTGCCCAGGCTGGTCTTGAACTCCTGGGCTCAAGTGATCCACCTGCCCCGGCTTCTCAGAGTGCTGGGATTACATGCGTGAGCCACTGTGCCTAGCCCTGACTGAATTTCAAGCTCTTGCCCCAGCCTAGTTCTCTTCTACTCTGTGAACCACTCCTCAGTCTACCACTTCCATTTTAGTTAGGTTTGCCCCAGAAGTACATTTATATTCACTCATTCCTATATGTATTTGTTTATGGATCTATCCTCAAATAATTTAGTATTTGATTCAGTAAGGATCCATTGGTTACAAGTGACATAAAATCCAACCCAAATTGGTGTAAAGTGAGAAGGGAATGTATTCTCACATACCTGAAAAGTTGAAGATAGTTCTGTTAGATATGGCTTGGCTGAAGAGTTCCAATTATATCATCAAGATTCAGATTCTCCACTTGAACCTGCACAGAGGTTGCAGTGAGCTTGAGATTGCACCATTGCACTCCAGCCTGGGTGACAGAGCAAGATTCTGTCTCAAAAAAAAAAAAAAAAGAGAGTCAGATTCTCCCCCACATGTTAGCGCTCTCCTCTGCTGTTTGCTTCATTCATTCCACAAATGAGCAACCAGAAGCTCCAGACCATCCTCACTACTAGCAAAGGTCAAGCGCCCATTCTTTTGTCAGCCAATCACTGTAGCCAAAAGAATGAGATGCTCAGATTGGCCTGGACTGATTCACAAGCCCATCCCAGGAGTTGTGTCTATCAGTAACATATGAATGGCACAGATGATTTTTACTTAAAATAGGGGTATGGTTATCAGAAGAAGCACAGATGTGCCCTGGGTAATGGAAACAGCAGACACAAACACATCCCTGGTATTTTATTGAGGTCTCCAAACATTCTTCCCCTACATATGCCTTCAATGATATCTATGGCTACTCAATGTAACAATGTTTTTTTACCACCCAAAATGTACTCACATCTAGGTCCTACAAATAACTCCAAGTCCAGGATAGTAAGGTGATATGCATGCCTCTATATCATAAAGCAATTTGATAAAGTTCTTCATGGCCTAGTAACCTAAGGCTGTATGATAAAATTAACTAGAAAATACTTAATATATAATGACAGAAAAAAAGAACAACTGCAATGAAAATGCATATTTGGAAATATGAATAATGACAAACACAAAATGTCTCTAATTCATAGCATATGTCATATCTTGCTAGACAGGAATAGCAAGGGCTTCCTAACATGAGAGGGGAGAAAGTTCTTTGATCAACCAATCTGGCTGCCATATGTTCTATTTCTGGAGGACCTCTCATTCATTGTTCCTCCATGGCTATGTCTGTAATGGACAATGGGAGGATAATCCTTTAGGGACTACACCTCTTCAGCATTCTCCTTCCTGATCTAGTGGGAATTGAAAAATCACTTCCTATGGCAAAGATAATTAGCTTTTACCACCCAAGAGTTGTGAACCTCTTCTGTTGTATACAATTGTTGCTGGGAAGTAGCTACCTAGCCAGGGGCTACATTTCCCAGCCTCCTTGTTAACTTTGGTAAAGTCACATGACTGTCTCCATTGGAATATGAGTGAAAGTGATGTGTACCACTTCTAGCCAATTTGGTTAAGTAGTAGGTATGCCTTTGCCAGTCTCTTTTTCCCTCTTCTGGCTGCACTGAAAGGTCTCTAAGAACCTGGAGGACATTAGAGCCATAAGATAGAAGGAGTCTGGGTAGTTGAATGATTTTGTAGAAGACCACCTGCTACTTAGGGGCACTGATGTTAGACTTTACAAAAGTGAAAAATAAATATCTATTGTGTTAAGCTTAAGTAACCTAGCCTTTCTTCTCCACACTTAGGATTTCTCTCACAGTACAATTTTCTTTAATTCTTTTTTTTTTTTTTTTTTTTTTTTGAGACAAAGTCTTGTTCTTGTTGCCCAGGCTGGAGTGCAGTGGTGCTATCTCAGTTCATGCAATGTCCACCTCTCGGGTTCAAGCAATTCTCCCACCTCAGCCTCCTGAGTAGCTGGGATTTCAGGTGTGTGCCACCACACCTGGCTAATTTTTGCATTTTTAGTAGAGACAGGGTTTCACCATGTTGGCCAGGCTGGTCTTGAACTCCTGACCTCGGGTGATCCGCCTGCCTCGGCCTCCCAAAGTGCTAGGATTAGAGGCATGAGCCACTGTGCCTCGCCCAGTTTTCTTTAATTCTTAGTAAACTTCTAGTCTATTTGCATCTGGCCAATTCCATAGGGGGAGAATTCCAAAGCCAGAGGGTTTTTTTTAAGCTTCAGTCTTTGAATCTAGATTTTCATCTGAGCATTTTTGTCTTTTAGTAATAGGCCTTGGTATTCTAACTTAGAGGCCTCTATTTTGGTTTCTGCCTGATAACAATTTGAAACAATAGCCACTGGGTTTGCAAGGGGAGGGAGTGATGATGGTGTGTGAGCTGGTGGTGGAGGGAGTAGAGTGGAATAACTATTACCTTTCTCAGCAGGCAGGAATTGCTTGAAAGAGGCCTGAGTGTATTAAGACTTCTCCCTAGTGCCAATGTTATCCATTCTTGCCTTCATTAACATTAACATCCTCTTGGGGCTTTTTCAACCCTTTATGGCTCCAGATTATTGATGTTTCTGTCATCTTTTATTGCAGCCTATAAGCAAAAATGTTCACTTGTAACAAAGTGGTATCTTTTCCTCTCTGCCTTAGATAAATCAATCTTAGTCCTAAGTTTGAGCCTTTCTTAAAGGACATTACTAAAAACTAACAAGTAATAGTTGATATATTTTAGTATCCGACCTTTTAACAACAGGCCCTTTTACATTTTATCCTTGATAGGCACATGTTCTGAATCCCACTATACAACAGGTGCCAGTTTAACCTACTGCTTTGGTATCGAAGTCCCAGCCTGATACCAATGAGGCCTCATCTGAATCAGCTACTTCAACATTTCTGGATCTTTCTGTTACTAATCCCCATTCCTGGTATCAATTTATGAATTGTTAGAGCTATTTTAGTGAAAAACTAGTTATATATTTAGCTTAAGGCATAGTTTGATCCAAGGGCTTAAGCAATGTCATTAGAATTCTATTTCTTTTCATCTCTTGACTCTGTCTTGTGTGCTGGCTTCATTTTTAGGCTCCATGTGGTGGCTGCTGACAGCTCCAGTTTACATAATCCTTACTGTTAGCAATCTCAGTGGAAGAGTGCATGCTTCCTTCCCACAGGTGCCAGCAATAGTCTTCTTACATTTCACTGGCTCTGATTGGGATATGTGGCTAGAGGAATCCAGTAGCTCAGGTCTGATTCATGTCATTAATGTTTTTGAAAATGAAGTTCACTCCACCCAAAAGACATTGACTGAAGTAACAGAAGAGGAAAATCAGGGGATGGTTACCAGAAGAAGGGTGAATGTTAGTAAGAGGCAAACAAACGGAGTATCTCATTAGATGACAATGTGTAGTGTTTCCTAATTGCTTCACATGTGTTGGTTTTATCTCCTTCACTGGGCTGACTGTAAGTGTCTCAAGAGCAAGATCATGTATTATATGTCTTAACAGTGCCACCTCAGCAGGCGGTCCTTAGATACTGGCTGATTTATGGCCTCTTCTTTTATTACTAAAGATGGCACACTCTAAGAAGGTAACAAGAGCTTAATAAAGGGATAATTTATAGAGGGATGGGAATGGTTAAGGGAACCAACAAGGAATGGTAAAGTACTTAAGGACTGGCAACAATGGGAGACCTTAAGCTTGAAGGAACAGGGGAGGGGAGCTATTAGTGGAACCCTGTAAGAGCTGTAGCTTGGAAAGGGATGCCTGACAAAGGCTGTTACTATAAATAAAGAAATACAGTCACTGCCAAAATGTGGCCCAGCAAAGGACCGGGGAATAAACACTTGTCCTCTTTTCCTCCCATCCTCCAAACTTCTGTTGGTACCTCCCATTGACCAAACCAGAAACCAGAGGGCTTGTGTGGCACAGTCTGTAGAGTTCAGCTGCCAGTAAAAAGCAAGACAAATAGGGTAAAAAATGGATCTGTAGGTGCAAATGGAAAATTGCCAGGACACCCCTCTTATATTCCTTGAGCAACCCTAAGTACAAGCAATTCCTATTCTGTAAGTATTAACCATATAGACTGGATTTATCTGGAAAATATAACTTTACCCTTTTCAACAGACTTGTTAAATATATAGCCAATGTGGTTTGATTTTAATAGCATTTTAAGACTTTAACATTCATGAATTCATAAAAAGTCTTTTGTTAGCCCATGTAGTTGAAAAGGTGTCGTCATTGTATTGATATGGAACTCCTCAAGAATATTGTACCTGGCAATCCATCAGAAAGTCCTGGCACAGCACTCGTCAGAGTGACAAATTTGATAAATATTTGATGATTTGAAGAATGATTAAATGAATAAATTAAAGCATTTCAAGCCAGAAGACTGTAAGTGGAAAACTAGATGGGTTTTCCTTGTTAGAGGTTGATAATAACTATACAACATCTACCAATCCTGTCCCGTAAAGCCTGACCATCAGCTTCCTAGCTGTTGATCAAGATCTTATCTCTTACAGAAAATAGAACCAAATAAATTTTGTCAATCTTCAGAAGTTTCATAATTAATTGTCATGCTAATAAATTCACTATAAAGTCAATTTCAGTTAAGGGACTATTATATTTCCTATCTAAAACTCGGTTTCCTCATGGAATTGTCACTCAGATGTAAGAAAAATAAATATACTTGCTTCGATATGTAAACTAGGACTATAAGTGCCAGTCCAAACTTTCTCTAAAAGATTTTATAGTTAAGCCCAAAATCTATACCGCTGTTCTTTCACAATCCTGTGTATATAGGACTTAAAGTCCTATACTTAAAGTCCTGTGTATGTAAGACTTAAGTTTACAAAATACTTTCTTATGTGGCACCATTCATTTATTCAAACAAAAAATACTACTGAGCACATGCTATGTGCCACACGTAATCCCTGCCCTCAAAGAACTTACAATAGAATAGTACTTCTTAAACTTTTATGAGACTGTGAATCACCTGAGAATCTTGTGAAACTACAGATTCTAATTCGCTAAGTCTGGGATGGGCCCTGAGACTACATTTCTAACCAGCTCCCTGGTGATGCTGATACCACTTGGAGTAGCAAAAGTCTAATGGATTTATTTAATCTTCACCACAACCACATCATAGGAAAAGTATCAGTGTTTTGTTTCTTATCTGGAGCACTTAACTATATACAAACACTGTGCTATGTCTTTTGTAGATAAACAATTCAGTTAGATATAGAGATATAGGCTTTTAGGAAACTCACTATACAGATGCTTCTCCACTTATGACGGGATTATATTCCAATAAACCCATTTTAAGTTGAAAATATTGTAAATCAAAAATGCATTTAATACAGCTACTGAATGTGATAGCTTAGCCTAGCCTACCTTAAACATCCTCAGAACACTTATACTAGCCTACAGTTGGGCAAAGTTGTCTAACACAAAGTCTATTTTATAATAAAGTGCTAAGTATCTTGTGTAATTTATTGAATACTGTACTGAAAGTGAAAAATAGAATGGTTGTATGGGTACTCAACAGTAAAATTTCTACTGAACGTAAATCACTTTTGCACCATCATAAAGTCAAAAAAAATCCTAAGTGGAACCATTGTCAGTCAGGGACTGTCTGTATAGCAGAAACAGCTAGTGTAAAAAATAGTTATAATTGTATTATTCTGTTTATATAAGATGTCCAGAAAGGGAAAATGTATAGAGACAGAAGGCAGATTGGTGTTTGCTGGGCTAGGGGTGAGAATGGTGATTAACTATAAATGATCATGAAGGATCTTTTGGGGGTGATGAAAATGCTTTTAAATTGGATTATAATAATAGCTGCACACCTCAATAAATTTACTAAAAGTAATTGAAATGTACACTTGAGTGAATTTTATTATATGTAAATTATACTTCAAAAAAGTTGTAAAATAATCATGTATAATGTGAAAAAATCCAATAATAAAAACATGTCTTAACTCCCTTTCACAGCCAAGGAAATGGAGCTCATAGAGGCTAAGTAATTTGCCCAAACTCATGTACATAACTAGTTGGTGACAGGGTTAGCATATAAATCTAGTCCTATTAAGCCAAAAGCAGTCGTTGTCAGAAACCTCTCCAGAGGAGGCATAGAAATGTATGCCAGGGAATAGATACCCTTCCACCTAGAGGGCATTTGCCTCTCTCTCTGAACCCTCTTCACTCTGTGAGGCAAAGATCAAGCTGAGTGGTGACCTAGGTGGCATTCCATAAACATAGTGCATCTGACGGGGCTGTGCAAGCCATCTAGCTTCTGGCAGACCCTTTGGCTTCAATGGGGTTTTTAGTTTCAAGCAACAAAAATCAATCCTGCATGATTTAGCGGCAAAGGAATTGGGTAGCCCACAGAATCATTATGTGAGTTGAGAACCAAGCTCAAAGTGGTGCAGCCAAGACCAATGCCCAAAATAATGCTGCAGAGGCAACCCAGTGAGAAGATTACTATTACTAATGCTGCTGAGCATGCTAGACTCTGCTCCTTTCTTGACCAACACCACTGCTTTGGGAACTCAATTTGGCCACAACTGCACTGTTGCAAGAGAAAGAGAACTGACTGCTATCCTTGCTTCTTTGGGTTATTAGTTTCTGACTCAAAGCCATGCAGGTGCTTCTAATTAGAGGAGGGTAGCTCAAGCACCTGAATCCAAGTTGCAAGGGGGGATGGTGAAGTGACTATGTGATGACTTCTATCAGTTTCTAGAAAGTGAGAATCAGGCTTTACTTCTAAGACTCACATACCAGTGAATTCTCCAAGCTTAGACAGTTCAGATGCTGGGCAGCTGGGAAAACAAAACAAAAACAAAAATTCCCCCCAAAACAGATATCCACTGCGTCATTGCAGAGTGGTCCATGGAGCAGCAGCATCAATATCAAATGGAAGCTTTTTAGAAATGCAGAATCTCAGACCGGGCGTGGTGGCTCACGCTTGTAATCCCAGCACTTTGGGAGGCCGAGGCAGGCAGATCACGAGGTCAGGAGATCGATACCATCCTGGCTAACACTGTGAAACCCCGTCTCTACTAAAAAATACAAAAAATTAGCTGGGCGTGGTGGCGGGCGCCTGTAGTCCCAGCTACTCGGGAGGCTGAGGCAGGAGAATGACCTGAACCCGGGAGGCGGAGCTTGCAGTGAGCCAAGATAGCGCCACTGCACTCCAGCCTGGGCAACAGAGTGAGACTCCATTTCAAAAAAAAAAAAATTAAAAAAATTAAAAAGAAAAAAGAAATGCAGAATCTCAGATCCTGTTCCAGATCTGCAGAATTTGGATTTGCTTTTGATATGGTTTGGTTGTGTCCCCACCCAAATCTCATCTTGAATTGTAGCTCCCATAATCCCCACATATCACATATCACACGTACCCAGTGGGAGGTAATTGAGTCATGGGGCAGGTTTTTCCTGTGCTGTTCTTGTGATAGTAAATAAGTCTCATGAGATCTAATGGTTTTATAAAGGGCAGTTCCCTTGCACACGCTCTCTTGCCTGCCACCGCGTAAGACATGTCTTTACTTCTCCTTTGCCTTCTGCCATGATTGTGAGGCCTCCTCAGCCACGTGGAACTGTGAGACCATTAAACCTCTTTTTCTTTATAAATTACCCAGTCTCAGGTATGTCTTTATTAGTGGTGTGAGAATGGACTAATACAGCTTTCTAACAAGCAGTCAGGTGATTTGTGTAAATATTACAGTTTGAGAAGTGTTACTCTATATTATAAGACATATTGTTTTAAAAAAAATTTTCAAGGATCACTCATCATTATGCTCTACTCATCCGTAGGGTTACTAGATTTAATGCAGGACATGGCACTCAGTTAAATTTGAATTTTAGATAAGCAAGGAATAATTTTTAAAATAAGCATGTTCCATACAATATTTGTTATACTAAAAAATTATTCCTTGTTTATCTGAAATTCAAATTTAACTGGGCATCCTGTATTTTATCCAGTAACCATCCTTACAACCATCCACACAACCCTCACCTTATAATTAAGAAAAATGAAATAAAAGAATGGGAAATTAACATAACTGCCTACTGAAATGCATTTATATCAGTTTTCTGTTTTGGCATGGTAGACTGTAAGTGTCTTGAGAGCAGAACATGGAAACTGCACAAATCCAAACACACTCTGCATTCTGCTTAAGCATTTGATGCTTGAGGTCCTCTATAATTTGAAGGGTGAATGTTAACTGTTCTGTCAGGTAGGAGTTATTTTTTTAATATAGCTATGAATTTTAACTAATTTCACTTAATGAGTTTTGACCAATAACACCTTTATCTCACCGAACCTGACCATATAAACTGAGTAAATAAAGAAAGTATGTGATGACTGGGTTATATCATTGCTGGGTTACTTCTGGAGACTGCTATTATAACTTCATTTTCTTCCTAAAGAAAAGAGTTGGTCAAAAGCAAAACTTGACAAATGGGATCTAATTAAACTAAAGAGCTCCTGTACAGGAAAAGAAACTATCATCAGAGTGAACAGACAACCTGCAGAATGGGAGAACATTTTTGCAATCTATCCACCTGACAAAGGTCTAATATCCAAAATTTACAAGGAACTTAAATTTACAAGAAAAAAACCCAAACAACCCCATTAAAAAGTGGGTAAAGGACATGAATAGACACTTCTCAAAAGCAGATATTTATGTGGCCAAGTAACATATGAAGAAAAGCTGAACATCACTAATCATTAGAGAAATGCAAATCAAAACTACAGTGAAATACTGTCTCACGCCAGTTATAATGCTGATTATTAAAAAGTCAAGAAACAACAGATGCTGGTGAGGCTGTGGAGAAATAGGAACACTTTTACACTGTTGGTAGGAATGTAAATTAGTTCAACCATTGTGGAAGACAATGTGGTGATTCCTCAGAGACCTAGAACCAGAAATATCATTTGACCCAGCAATCCCATTACTGGGTATATACCCAAAGGAATATAAATCATTCTATTATAAACATACACGCATGTGTATGTTCACTGTAGCACTATTCACAATAGCAAAGACATGGGATCGACCCAAATGCTCATCAATGATAGACTAGATAAAGAAAATGTGCTATATATATACCATGGTATACTATACAGCCACAAAAAGGAATGGGATCATGTTCTTTGCAGGAACATGGATAGAGCTGGAAGCCATTATCCTCAGCAAACTAATGCAGGAATAGAAAACCAAACATAGTATGTTCTCACTTATAAGTGGGAGGTGAATAATGAGAACACATGGACAGAGGGAGGGGAACAACACGACTGGGGCCAGTCGGGGGTAGGGGAGCGGGGGGAGGGAGAGCCTCAGGATAAACAGCTAATGCATGTGGGGCTTAATCCCTAGGTGATGGGTTGATAGATGCAGAAAACCATCATGGCACAAGTTTGCCTATGTATCAAACATGCCTATGCATGTCCTGTACATGTATCCCAGAACCTAAAATAAAATTAAACTTAAAAAAAAGAAAAGAGTTGCTGCCTATGCCCAAGAATTTTAGAAAAATAGCTTTCAAACATTCTGGGAAAGAGGCAGATTGTATATGTCAATCAGAATTAGAAGTATCACATTCAGAAATCAAAGAAAACTTTTAGTACTTTAAAATGTAGCCAGGTGCAGTGGCTCATGCCTGTAATCCTAACACTTCGGGAGGCTGAGGTGGGCCAATCGCTCAAGCTCAGGAGACCAGCCTGGACAACATGGTGAAACCCTGTCTCTACAAATAATACAAACAAATTAGCCAGGCGTGGTGATGTGTGCCTACAGTCCCAGCTACTTGGGGGGCTGGGGCAGGACCATCACTTGAGCCCAGGAGGTGGAGGCTGCAGTGAGCCGAGATCATGCCACTGCACTCCGGCCTAGACAACAGAGTGAGAATGTCTCCAAAGTAAAATAAAATAAATGTATGCCAATTGCATGTATTTGTAAGACGGCTTAATTCATTTTAACATTTAGCAAGTCCAGTTATTTCCAACCGGCCAATAGGCAATTTTGGGTAGTTGAGAGACATTGACTTTCCTTTTATAACCTGTTGTGTAGTTATCAGTGAGCCACCTCCAATAGAGTTTACCAATAAAAATTTTCCATCTATCATACTCCCACCAAGGCTTATCTTATCCTGTTGGTGAGCAATGAAATGTCCAGGGACTGTGAGAGGGATTACAGTTCTAAGAAGCAGAATATTCTCTGGGACTAATGGGTGTTGGAAACCTAAACATGTATTTGCCCCCCTCTCCCAGAGTTTTTATATCACATTTGCTTCCACTTTTTAATTCATTGTTTGCAAGCCCCACCCTAGAGGTAGATATCTGTGATGACTGAATGATGTACCCTGGCCTATAGGCCAGACCACAAACAAGCTAGTTAACTAGTCTTACTTTTTTTTTTTTTTTTGAGATAGAGTCTCACTCTGTTAACCAGGCTGGAGTGCAGTGGCATGATCTCAGCTCACTGCATCCTCCGCCTCCCAGGTTCAAGCCTCCCAAGTAGCAGGATTACAGGCACGCAGCACCACACCCATCTAATTTTTGTGTTTTTAGTAGAGATGGGGTTTCACCATGTTGGCCAGGGTGGTCTCGAACTCCTGACCTCAAGTGATCCACCCGCCTCGGCCTCCCCAAGTGCTGGGATTACAGGCGTGAGCCACCACGCCCGGCTAGCCTTTCTTTAAACATTAAATAATAATAGAGAAAACATTTATGAGTACATTTTCAGTCACCTACGCACACTATTTCTATAAAACAGCTAAGTATAGCTATGTGTTACTTAACGATAGTATAAGTTCTGAGAAATGCATTATTAGGTGATTTTATCACTGTGCAATCATCATAGAGTGCACTTACACAAACCTAGATGGTATAGCCTACTACACACCTAGGGTATGTGTTATAGCCTATTACTCCTAGGCTATAAACCTGTATAGTATGTTACTATACTGAATACTATATGCAGCTGGAATATAATGGTAATTATTTGTGTATCTAAACATAGAAAAGGTAATGCATTGTGCAAAGACATTAGAACAGTTACATCACTAGATGATAGAAAATTGTCAGCTCCATTATCATCTTATGGGACTACCATCATATATGCAACCCACCATTGACCAAAATGTCACTATGTGGTGCATCACTGTATTTATAGTAGAGAACCATTAGAAATTATATAAAGCCCCTTCCCCCGAACAGTGGACTTATTAAATAAATAATAGTATAGGCTTACGATGCAGCCATTAAAAATAACATTTTTGGCTGGGCATGGTGGCTCACACCTGTAATCCCAGCCCTTTGGGAGGCCGAAGTGGGAGGATAACTTGAGCCTAGCAAGTTGAAGCTGCAGTGAGCCATGATGGCACGACTGCACTCCAGCCTGGGGGACAGAGTGAGACCCTGTCTCAAAAACAAACAAACAAAATAAACTTTTGCTGGGTTCCCTGTCACATCAGAAGGTAAGTATAAAAGACTTCTAAGTCATGTCAAAAGAGACTCAGGAATAAACCTGAAGATGCTTCCATCGATCAAAGAGGTGAGGAAGAGCTTGAGCATGAATTCCATCCGTAATGGATAGATGCATGGTAAATATGTTTTAGTCAGCTCAGATTGATACTCTAAGACAAAAAAACCTCTGTTGGTACCTTTGGAAGATACAAGGAAACCAACTTATTATTTAAAAAACTGGTAAATACAGAGAATGAATCAAGCATCTAGTTCATTTCTCATATATAAATTGTACCTCAGGGTAACCCAATAGTTGATGATAGGAGGTTTCTCTTTACAGAATATTTCAGCTAATAATTGATGTAGAAATGATAGAGTGTCATCATATTGTAACCCCTAGTGAAATAATGCAGCTAGGGAATGATCATTAATGATGACTAACTTTACAAAAAGATTAACAAGCAGACATATGTCTCCTACATTATCACATATCAAATATTCTTGCCAAAAATCAAACTAGAATTTGATCAAGCCTATATACCTAAATAATAACAAAATACAGAAGATAAAGAAACATATTAAATAACACTAAAGGAGTTACAATTAGAAAATTTACACTATAGGCCAGTCGTGATGGCTTACACCTATAATCCCAGCATTTTGGGAGGCTGAGATTGGAGGATTGCTTGTGCCCGGAAGTTCAAGATCAGCCTGGAAAACATAATCAGACCTGATCTGTACAAATAAAAAAAAAATTACCCAGGCGTGGTGGCTTGTGTCTATAGTCCCAGCTACTTGGGAGGCTGAAGTGGGAGGATTGCTTGAGCCCAGGAGGTCGAGGCTACATTGAGCCCTGATTGCACCACTGCACTCCAGCTAGGGTGACAGAACAAGACCCTGTTTCAAAAACAGAAAAAGAAAGAAAGAAAGGAAGGAAGGAAGGAATAAAGAAGGAGGGAGGGAGGAAGGAAGGAAGGAAGGAAGGAAGGAAGGAATTCACACTATGGAAAGTCCTATAGGACAAACAACTCAATTTTGCCTCAACAAATCCAATAAAAGAGAAGGAGGGAGAAGCAAAAGATTAAGAGGCTTAAGACACATATCAAATAATACAACATGTGGACTTTATTTGGATCTCAATTTTGAACAAATTAACTATAATAAACATGAGACAATTGGGAGAAATCCGAACACTGAATACTTGACGATATTAAAACATTTAAATGAAAACTGTGAGATGTTACAATGATATTGTCATTATATTTTTTACAAGTGTCCTTATCTTTTAGATGTAAATGAAGAAACATTTGTGAATGAAATAATTTGATGTTTGTTTCAAATTAATCTGGAGGTAGAAATGTTTCAATAAATGTTGAAGCTGGGTGGAGTTTCAAAGGGGTTCATTATACTGTTCTTTCTACTTTTTTATGTGTTTGAAAATTTTCCTAAAATAATGAGTTTATAAACTTGTATTGAGAGCATAATCTTAAGTTTGTAATATATATTATGTATGTATACACATGCATGTACATAAACAAAGATTAGAAAAGAGAGGAAACACACCAAAAAATCTTTAGGTTGTCTCCTTACGATGATATTATAAATGAAATTTACATTCTTTCTTATTCTTATTTCTTTCTTCTTTTTTATTTAGGGAAAATAGATTTTAAGAGGCACAAGATCCAGTTATTTTCAACTCTTTAACCTTGACAAATAATGAAGACCAGAAAAAAATTTTCTCAACTACTAGAAGTTGTCTTTATGCAGTGGAACTATATGAAATTTTATTTCAGTTTTTTACATTTCTGTATTTTTCCATTTTTAATATAAAGGGACATCATTTTAGGATTCAGAAATCCAACAAACATTAAATCTAAAGGGACAATTAATTTATGAAGGATAAACAAAATTATTTATGTATACAAGATTTTTAAAAAATACAGGTGCAGGCTTGGTGTGGTGGCTCACACCTGTAATCCCAGCACTTTGGGAGGCCGAGGCAGGTGGATCATCTGAGGTCAGGAATTTGAGACCATCTTGGCCAACATGGCAAAACCCCATCTCTACTAAAAAAAATACAAAACATGAGCATGGAATGTTCTTCATTTGTTTGTGTCCTCTTTTATTTCATTGAGCAGTGGTATGCAGTTCTCCTTGAAGAGGTCCTTCACATCCCTTGTAAGTTGGATTCCTAGGTATTTTATTCTCTTTGAAGCAGTTGTGAATGGGAGTTCACTCATGATTTGGCTCTCTGTCTGTTATTGGTGTATAAGAATTCTTGTGATTTTTGCACATTGATTTTGTATCCTGAGACTTTGCTGAAGTTGCTTATCAGCTTAAGGAGATTTTGGGCTGAGACGATGGGGTTTTCTAAATATACAATCATGTCATCTGCAAACAGGGACAATTTGACTTCCTCTTTTCCTAATTGAATACCCTTTATTTCTTTTTCCTGCCTGATTGCCCTGGCCAAAACTTCCAACACTATGTTGAATAGGAGTGGTGAGAGAGGGCATCCCTATCTTGTGCCAGTTTTCAAAGGGAATGCTTCCAGTTTTTGCCCATTCAGTATGATATTGGGTGTGGGTTTGTCATAGATAGCTCTTATTATTTTGAGATATGTCTCATCAACACGTAATTTATTGAGAGTTTTTAGCATGAAGGGCTATTAATTTTGTCAAAGGCCTATGCTGCATCTGTTGAGATAATCATGCGGTTTTTGTCTTTGGTGCTGTTTATATGCTGGATTACGTTTATTGATTTGCATATGTTGAACTAGCCTTGCGTTCCAGGGATGAAGCCCACTTGATTACAGTGGATAAGCTTTTTGATGTGCTGCTGGATTCGGTTTGCCAGTATTTTATTATGGATTTTTGCATCGATGTTCATAGGAAGAATCAATATCATGAAAATGGCCACACTGCCCAAGGTAATTTATAGATTCAATGCCATCCTCATCAAGCTACCAATGACTTTCTTCACAGAATTGGAAAAAACCACTTTAAAGTTCATATGGAACCGAAAAAGAGCCCGCATAGCTGAGACAATCCTAAGTCAAAAGAACAAAGCTGGAGGCATCACGCTTCCTGACTTCAAACTATACTACAAGGCTACAGTAACCAAAACAGCATGGTACTGGTACCAAAACAGAGATATAGACCAATGGAACAGAATAGAGGCCTCAGAAATAATACCACACATCTACAACCATCTGATCTTTGACAAACCTGAGAAAAACAAGAAATGGGGAAAGGATTCACTATTTAATAAATGGTGCTGGGAAAACTGGCTAGCCATGGGTAGGAAGCTGAAACTGGATCCCTTCCTTACACCTTATACAAAAATTAATTCAAGATAAATTAAAGACTTAAATGTTAGACCTAAAACCATAAAAACCCTAGAAGAAAACCTAGGCAATACCATTCAGGATATAGGCATGGGCAAGCACTTCATGTCTAAAACACCAAAAGCAATGGCAACAAAAGCCAAAATTGACAAATGGGATCTAATTAAACTAAAGAGCTTCTGCACAGCAAAAGAAACTACCATCAGAGTGAATAGGCAACCTACAGAATGGGAGAAAATTTTTGCAATCTACCCATCTGACAAAGGGCTAATATCCAGAATCTACAAAGAACTCAAACAAATTTACAAGAAAAAAACAAACAACCCCATCAAAAAGTGGGCGAAGGATATGAACAGACACTTCTCAAAAGAAGACATTGACGCAGCCAACAGACACATGAAAAAATGCTCATCATGACTGGCCATCAGAGAAATGCAAATCAAAACCACAAGGAGATACCATCTCACACCAGTTAGAATGGCAATCATTAAAAAGTCAGGAAATAACAGGTGCTGGAGAGGATGTGGAGAAATAGGAACACTTTTACACTGTTGGTGGGACTGTAAACTAGTTCAACCATTGTGGAAGACGGCATGGTGATTCCTCAAGGATCTAGTACTAGAAATACCATTTGACCCAGCCATCCCACCACTGGGTATATACCCAAAGGATTATAAATCATGCTGCTATAAAGACATATGCACACGTATGTTTATTGTGGCACTATTCACAATAGCAAAGACTTGGAACCAACCCAAATGTCCATCAATGATAGATTGCATTAAGAAAATGTGGCACATATACAACATGGAATACTATGCAGCCATAAAAAATGATGAGTTCATGTCCTTTGTAGGGACATGGATGAAGCTGGAATCCATCATTCTCAGCAAACTATCACAAGGACAAAAAAACAAACACCACATGTTCTCACTCATAGATGGGAATTGAACAATGAGAACACTTGGACACAGGAAGGTGAACATCGCTCACCGGGACCTGTCGTGGGGCTGGGGGAGTGGGGAGGGATAGCATTAGGAGATATACCTAATGTAAATGATGAGTTAATGGGTGCAGCACACCAACATAGCACATGTATACATATGTAACAAACCTGCACGTTGTGCACATGTACCCTAGAACTTAAAGTATAATAAAAAAAAAAAAGAAAGTTCTGCTTTAATAAAGACATCAAAAAAAAAAAAAAACATTAGCTGGGCGTGGTGGCACATGCCTGTAATCCTGGCTATTTAGGAGGCTGAGGCAGGAGACTTGCTTGAACTCAGGAGGCAGAGATTGCAGTGAGTCGAGATCGTGTCATTGCACTCTAATTTGGGCAAAAGAGTGAGACTCTGTCTCAAGAGAAACAAACAAACAAACAAGAAAAAACAAAAAAAATACAGGTGTAAGAAACATTATTTACATTTTACATGCCTGTTTGGCAGATTAACACTAAGGCAAGGATGGCAAAACAAATCAGAGAACTTTTGATTCAACAAATGAATGCAATGAAGCTACATTTCTAAGAAAACTGTATTATTTGGCTAAAAGGGAAATTAAGCACTGGACTAAGAGTATAGAGAAGGGCTGGCAAAGGAAACCAGGAAGGGGAAAAACCAAAGGGTAAATTTCAGAGTGTTTCAGAGAATCACTGGTTGGTTAAATCAGAGAAACTGAATTTTACTATCAAATGTAAGAAAGAGTAAGTTCAGAAAGAGATTATGCTTTTATGGTTTCATAGCCTACTTTTTTCTCCGTAACATCGATATAAGCCTTTTCCAATTGTAGGAAAAACTTTCTAAATTTCATTAAAAAAAACACGGTTAAAAAAATGCCATAGATTTGAAAATTCTCTTGATCTACCATAATATGTTATTAATTCCTCCTCACTGGATATCTATTTTTAAATCTTATAAACATAATGCTTTTCTTTACAAATAAAACTTTTCCCCTATTTTCCTGAAAGTAGAAATTTTTTGTAAGTAGAATCACTAGGTCGAGAGTATGAGCATTTAGAAGGCTCTTGAGATATACTGAATAGTTGCTTTCCATAGTGGTTTTGGCTAATTATTAATTTACTAATTCCTAATCTACATTCAATCCAGCAGTGTTTATGGGTGCCTATAGCTGCATATTCACCGGCATTGATCATCATGCTTTTTAAAATATCCATGCTAATTTGGCAGTTGTAACATGGGATCTCATTTTACTTGCATATCCTTGATGGGTACTCACATTAACTATTTTAAAGCTGTCTTTAATGAATATTCTGTTATGTACTTTGTCTTAAAATGTAAATCTTTTGAACTGTCTACTGTGTCTAGATCTTTGTTTCTATTTGATTGACAGAATAAACAATGAACCCACTTAGACATATTGACTAAAAGAGTCAGGTTTTAAGAACATTGCACTGGCATCTTTGAAATGCAGAGAACAAGTTCCCACTTGAGCATATGTGTTCCTCCCCACCCCCACTGTTTTACCTATTACTTCATGCTAATCATCCTAATGTTTCAGATAGTTCTTTTAAGTCCCCTACGTGTGTACCTAGCTGCAAATCAGTTCAATTTACAGATGGAGCAAAAAAACAACATGGATGTTATTGATGGGCCAGCCACATTCTTGTGCTTTGTCCTTCTGGGACCAATACCTTTTGAGGTGGTCAGGAACAGAAGACTGATCTGTGTGAAGAGACCCTTGCTTCTCTGAGAGAAGTTAACGGATCCTTTGGGGATAAGCCTATGATTTTGATTTCTCATTAGCATCGTGAGCTTCATTCAAGTGTGACTGACAGTCACACAAGTCAATACAGGAGCACTTTGGGAGAGCCAAGGTAGAGTTTTTTCTTATAGACTAACGCTTCTGTTCTTAGAGGGTTCATTGGAAAAACAAATCAGAGCACTTTTGATTCAACAAATGAATGTAATGAAGCTACATTTCTAAGAAAACTGCATTATTTGGCTAAAAGGGAAATAAAATACTAAATCCCTTGTTCAAATAAAAATGTTACTGAAGTAAATGAAAGTATATTCTAGATGATTATTAATGCTTTCATTTTCACTTTCTTTAATTCTATTTTAAGTCATATCTAAAGACTAAATGCAACTCAGATTTAGAAAGCAAAGAAAATTTATATATTTGGCAGTTTTAATCCCACCAAGCATACTTTATGAAAACTTGAATAATGTCAAGATGGAACATATCAGATCATTAGAAATAGAGTGGAAGAGGGTAGCCAAAGACCCAGGAAATAATGAGCAAATCTCAACCACTATTTTCCTCAGCTTTCGTTCCCAATTCCAGAGGAAGTTGATATCCCTCCATGTAAAAGATGTTTAAAATATTCAATGGCATTCTTTCATTGTGCTACTGAACACAGTTTGAAGGTTTAAGGTGAACATTTAAGCTTAACGTTTAAAGATTAGAAACAATTAAAAAAAAAAAAACTCCAATAGGCTTATAATGCAAATGAATAGGAAAATTATACTAAGACATCTCAAATTTAAAGAAGAATGTCCCAATCACAAAAACTTAATGTGTAATTGCATAAAAATGCCAGTGGAGTGAAATTAGAAATTCAACAGATGATCCCCAAATAAAATATTTCTGCATATATAAGAACAATTGTTCCCTAACTCTTCTTAAATAAAAGTGTCAATAATTAAGTGCAATTTAAATCATCTAATCCAAATCAATCAATTCATTTTTATGAAATCACCCAGGGGAATCAAGACAAGGTAACTTTCACTGAAAATACAATTTCTCATTTAATTAATAAACAATTACTGAGAGATTATTGGCATTAGAAGGAAGACACATTTATTAATAAGAAAAAATAAATACAATATAAACCTTTACCCTTGAAGAACTCCTGGTTGAAGGAAACTGATCATATGCAACTAAGAATTTGAGAATACTGACCATGATTTTTTGATGAATGTTCAAATAGACAACAGATTGACTATTATAATAGATTGAATTTGCCTAAGATGCCAGTGACTTGTAAGAAAACATTTACAAGATCTGACATGTGGTGAGAGCTGAACTTGGTGTCACATAGTGTCCTTTTTCTGGACTTTTCACCAGTAATAACTTTTGCTTTTAGCAACTATTTAAAAATGGTTAATTTAACCAGCCTGGGCAATATAGTGAGAACTCGCTACACAAAATACAAAAATTAGCTGGGCATGGTGGCGCATGCCTGTGGTTCCATCTACTTGGGAGGCTGAGGCAGGAGGATTGCTTGAGCCCAGGAGTTAGAAGCTGCAGTGAGCCATGATTGCACCACTGTACTCCAGCCTGGGCAACAGAGCAAGATCCTGTCTCAAAGAAAAAAAAAAAGGTTAATTTAAATGCATTTTTATTCCTTTTAGCGTTGCTGTATTTTGTTAAGTACATCTCTCCAATAGTCTTTATCTATTCAAGGTATCTACTCTGGTAGCCCGACTTAGGTTCATCTTAATTTTCCTGAGCTGTTAAGGACCTCACAGGGCCACTACTCTAAAGATATTGTTTCTCAAACTTTAGTGGGCATCAGAATCACAGGGAGGGCTTGTTAAAAAATAGGTTGCAGCAGGGCGCGGGGGCTCACACCTGTAATCCCAGCACTTTGGGAAGCCTAGACGGGCGGATCACAAGGTCAAGAGATTGAGACCATCCTGGCCAACATGGTGAAACCCTGTCTCTACTAAAAATACAAAGATTAGCCAGGTATGGTGGCATGCGCCTGTAGTCCCAGCTACTCGGGAGGCTGAGGCAGGAGAATCTCTTGAACCCAGGAGGGGAGGTTGCAGTGAGCTGAGATTGGGCCACTGCACTCTAGCGTGAGTGACAGAGCGAGACTCCGTCTAGTCTCAAAAAACAAACAAACAAAAATAGGTTGCTAGCCCAACCCTCAGAATTTCTGGAATGGAGTTCTACTCACTGAGTAGGTCTTGAATGGAGCCCCAAAATTTGGATTTCTAATTAGTTGCCAGGTGATAGTAATACTACTCATCCAAGAATCACAATATGAGAACCACTGTTCTAAGTGATATCTATTTGCTTGTTTTCAGAAGTAAGATAGTTGAGATCACAAGAAGAGTTGAGGAAACCAAGAAAGAATTTTCTTATTCCCATGAAAATCTCAGGCCTAGTTCTGTGTATTCATGTATTCAGCGCCATCTTTTCCCTTCTGCAGGGTTCTGGTATTGGGTGTCTTTTTTTTTTTTCTTTTTCTTTTTCTTTTTTTTTTTGAGACGGAGTTTCGCTCTTGTCTCCCAGACTGGAGTGCAATGGCGCAATCTCGGCTCACTGAAACCTCTGCCTCCTGGGTCCAAGTGATTCTCCTGCCTCGGCCTCCTGAGTGGCTGGGATTACAGGCACCCACCATCAGCATTTTGCTGCCCGATTCTTAAATATTACACACAGCCAACGAATATCAGAAGTTTGAGGGAAGTCTCTCTTGTGGGAGAGAGAAATTGAAATAACAAAAAGTGAATTGGTGAAAACAGAGACTAAAGAAGGAAAATAAAACTATATACAGTTAGACATATTTACTATTTCTAGAGTTACATGTGAGATACATACATATATATGTAGTCAGGAGAAAGTTGCAACCATGAAACAAAAGCAGACAGAATAATTTTTTTTAAAAAGAAGAAATAGTGTTCAGGATATTAAAAAAAGAGCCTTAGGATTGAAAATAGGAGGCTGGGCATGGTGGCCCATGCCTGTAATCCTAACATTTTGGGAGGCCGAGGTGGATGGATTTCCTGAGCTCAGGAGTTTGGGACCAGCCTGGGCAAAACCAGTGAAATCCTGTATCTACTTAAAAAAATAAAAATAAAAATAAAGAAAAAGCAAAAGAAAAGAAAATAGAAAAGTAGAAATGAAAAAAAAAAGATTAGAAAAGAAAATTAAGGAAATTTAAGCAGAAAGACAGAGAAGACCAGTTCAAGAAGTTCAGAATTCAAATAGTAAGAGCTCAGAAAAAAAAAAAGTAAATGAAATAATCTAAGAAAAATTCTCTGAATTGAAGTATAAATTACCAAATTGAATGAATTCATCAAGTGGACACCACAATGGATAAAAATAGATCTACACCAAAGTCTGTGATCAGGAAATCTGAATACACAGCAGACAAAGAGAAGACCTTTAAGCTTCCAGACAGGACACAAAAGAAGACAAATAGAAAGGACTGAAAGTAAAAAATGGAATCCATTGTTTTACAACAACATTGGAAGCAAGCGGGCAATGGAACGAGACTTTCAAAGATTCTTTTTTTTTTTTTTTGAGACGGAGTCTCGCTCTGTCACCCAGGTTGGAGTGCAGTGGCTATCATAAGTGCAGTCACAGCACACTACAGCCTCCAATTCCTGGGCTCAAGCAATCCTCCCACCTCAGCCTTCAGCATAGCTGGGACAAGAAATGTGCACCACCACGCCCACCTTCCAATATGCACATTTCTAATAGCTAGCTCTCACGTTACTCACTAGAATGAGAGAAGCATTCCAAACACTAAATACTTTTTGGAATGCATCCCTGCCACGTATTTGAAAAGGCAGGTGCAGACCCGGTGAGGTGGCTCACACTGGTAATCCCAGCACTTTGGGCGGCTGAGGTGGGCGGATCACCTGAGGTCAGGAGTTCAAGACCAGCCTGGCCAACAACCGCATCTCTACTAAAAATACAAAAAAATTAGCCAGGCTTGGTGGTAGGCGCCTGTAATCCCAGCTGCTTAGGAGGCTGAGGCAAGAGAATTGCTTGAACCTGGGAGTCAGAGGTTGCAGTGAGCCGAGACTGCACCACTGCACTCCAGCCTGGGTGACAGAGTGGGATTCTGTGTCAAAAAAAAAAAAGAAAAGGAAAGAAAAGCCAGGTGCCTAGGAACTAAGCCAACAAACAGAACTTATTCTAAATCTGAAAAAAGACTAGATTTCTTATTCTGCTCTACCCATTTAACCTGTCCTTGTTTGGAATTTAAAAGTTTGAAAACTGATGTTGAGTACCAACAGGGACTGAAGACAACCCATTAGAATGTAAGCTCCATGGAGACAGGATTTTTTTTTCTAGTTTTTCATTAGTATAGTCCAAGCATAGAAGACAGTTCTGGCACAAAGTATGTACTTAATATATATTTATTCAATTGATGAAAAACTGAAAGAATAAATTAATGGCAGAGGCAGTCAGGAGTCTACAAAATAGCAGCTGAATTTATAAGGACTCAAGCTTTTGAAAAATTAAATTAAATCATCATTCATAACTTTCTACTGACCACCTTTACAACCAAACCTGCAAAAGAATGGTAGTGGATATTTGTCATAGTCCAAGATGATGAATGACCATCATCTTTTTAAACAACTTTTTTTTTTTTTTGAGACAAAGTCTCACTCTGTCACCCAGGGCAGACTGCAGTAGTGCAAACACAGCTCACTGCAGATTCAGCCTCCTGGGCTCCAACAATCCTCTCGCCTCAGCCTCCCAGATACCTGCAACCACAGGTGCATGCTACCATATCCAGCTAAATTTTAAAAATTTTTTGTAGAGATGGGGTCTTGCCATGTTGCCCAGGCTGGTTTCAAACTCGTGGGCTCAAGCAATCCTCCCCTTGGCCTCCCAAAGTACTGGGATTACAGGTGTGGGCCACTATGTTAAACAACCATACTACATTAAAGGACTTTTTTTGTGGTATTAAAGGACATGCTCAAGCGATTCTCCTGCCTCAGTCTCCTGAGTAGCTGGGACTACAGGCATCTGCCATCATGCCCAGCTAATTTTAAAATTTTTTGTAGAGACAGGGTTTCCCTGTTTCTCAGGCTGGTCTTGAACTCCTGGGCCCAAGCCATTCACCCACCTCGGCCTCCCAAAGTGCTGGAATCACAGGCATAAGCCACTGCATCCAACAATTCTTTTAACAACAGCTATCCTTTCCCTATTCTCATCATATGACTGGCAAGTCACCAAATACTTAAGTTTTTAGTCTGTACAAGTTTTACTTTACTGGCAAAAGGGAGGATTTTTTCAGGTGCTTTGATGTGGTAAGTATTCTTTGCTTTTTGATTTTTTTCTTAGAGCATCTATTTTGGAAATAATTAATCCTTAATCTGTGGGAGTAGCCTACACAAATCTCTAAATATGTAAGCTGACTTCCATCATGCCATTACAAGCACATGAGTCCGGCACTCCTTCCTTAAAAAGGTACCCAATATGGCCAGGCGCAGTGGCTCACACCGGTAATCCCAGCATTTTGGGAAGCCGAGGTGGGCAGATCACCTGAGGTCAGGAGTTCGTGACCAACCTGGACAACATGGCAAAACCCCGTCTCTATTAAAAATACAAAAAATTAGACGGGCGTGGTGGCGGGCGCCTATAATCCCAGCTATTCAGGAGGCTGGGACATGATAATCGCTTGAACTTGGTGGGTGGAGGTTGCAGTGAGCCGAGATTGCGCCGTTGCACTTCAGCCTGCAACAGAGCGTGACACTGTCTAAAACAAAAAACAAAAAACAAACAAAACATTTGGGGGACCAGGTGCAGTGGCTCACGCCTGTAATTCCAGCACTTAGGGAGGCTGAGGCAGGCAGATCACCTGAGCCCAGGAGTTTGAGACCAGCCTGGGCAACATGGTGAAACTCTGTCTCTACAAAAAAATACAAAAATTAGCTGGGTATGGTGGTGTGCGCCTGTGATGCTAGCTACTCAGGAGGCTGAGGTTGGAGGATTCCTTGAGCCCAGAAGGTCGAGGCTGCAGTGAGCCGTGACTGCACTACTGTACTCTAGCCTGAGCGACAGAGCAAAATCCTGTCTGAAAAAAAAATTGTTTTGAAAATTTCATTACTGATGTCTTAGTGTGGTTTTGGGAAGGAACAAAATTTGGAGCATGTGTTCAACTGCCATCTCTACCTAGAAGTGAATAACAATTCATTTCTCAACACATGTTTTTTGAGCAATTTACTACTTGCTAGGCACTGTGCCAAGATACACACAGAAATATGGAAAAAGGTTATTAATTCATTTTTTCTGATTAACTCTACTAAGTTAAAAAAATGGAAATATCTCTCCAAGTTTGATGCTCTAGATTGTTTAGCAGTTTTTTTCCTTTCCTGGCCTCTGAATTTGTCTCGATTTTGGTGTAAATGTGTGTTTTTATAAAATATGAAAGGAGATTCTAAAGGGGAAAAAGATACTGAGTGTAAAAGATATTGAGTGACAATTGGGGGGGGCATGTCCTCATATCTGAATATAGCATTCATATAAGCCATCTAAGTGTCTTAAATAGTGGATAAAAATGATATTGGCAAGGAGTAGAGAACTATTTTTATCTATCAACATTCAGAGGGAAAAGACGAAATCTCTACCAGGAAATACCACAACAGTGGGAGGTTCTTGCTGGCTGGTGGAAAAGAATGCGGAGAGTAGATGGTTGGTCATTAGTAGAATTTGGCTCATGAGAGAGTAAAAAGTCTTGGCTTTTAGTTCATCAATGATGGTAGTGCCATGAACTGAGGATAATACTTATTAAACTCACTGTTACATAAATTATCCCTGTTAGTCACAAGGGGACAGTTATTCTCCTTTTCTCTTTTCTGAGACAGTTTCATTCCCATTGCCCAGGCTGGAGCGCAATGGTGCAATCTTGGCTCACTGCAGCCTCCGCCTCCCGGGCTCAAGCAATCCTCCTGCCTCAGCCTCCCAAGTAACTGAGACTACAGGCGCATGCGACCATGCCCAGCTATTTTTTGTATTTTTTGTAGAGACAGGGTTTCTCCATATTGCCCAGGCTGGTCTGAAACTCCTGGGCTCAAGCAATCCGCCAGCCTCAGCCTCCCAAAGTGCTGGGATTATGGGCATAAGCCACTGCACCTGGCCAGTTATTCTCCTATAGAGCAGAAAGCTACCATACGGTCTACTAGCCGTCAACCTCGGATCTTAGTGGATAACGTTAGGAGGCCAGTCACTTCATCCGGAGAGTAATTTACTACCCCCGCTAAACACCTGACTTGATTCTCTTCTCTCTCTCCTTCTCCTCTTAGCTTCCTAGAATACTTGTCTTCTAAAAAGGGTCCAAGGTTAAGTCAATCTGCCAAGGAAGCAAAAAGCCCATTGCTTTAGCTACTTTTCCTTTTGACTATAAAGGTTTCTCTGGGCAACTCTGGTGTCCCATAAAATATGCATGTGTGTTCAAGGATGAAGTGTGTGTGTTGTGTGTGTGGGGAGGCTGAAACCATGTTGACAGAATTCCTGTGTCTGTCCAGTAGTGGATTACAGTGAATGGACAGTGAACTAAGCTCTATTAGATTGCTGGGCATCGTGGCTCATGCCTATAATCCCAGCACTTTGGGAGGCTTGAGGTGAGAGGAGCACTTGAGCACAGGAGTTTGAGACCAGCCTGGGCTATATAGTGATACCTTGTCTCTATGAAGAAAAATTTAAAAATTAGCCAGGCGTGGTGGCATGCACCTGTAGTCTCAGGTATTTCAGAGGCTGAGGTGGGAGGATCACCTAATCCCAGGAGGCAAACGTGCAGTGAGCTGAGATTGTGCCACAGCACTTTAATCTGAGCAATAGAGTGAGACTCTGTCTCAAAAAAAAAAATCTATTAGATTATAACTTTCTTGAGGGCAGTATGGGTTTTAGACTTTCTGTCCTGAAACATTTAACACCATGCCCGGCATGTGAGAAATGCACATTAAATACTTTTCAATATTAACTTATCGATAGGGATTAACTTATACTACACAAATAGTACTATTAATTAACACTGAATTTGTATTACTTAGTTGTTTCTCTCTGAGCTTTTCAATAAAGGCTTCTGGCCCTATCTAGATGTGTCAGCAAAGGCCCAGAAATGAGTTATAAGTGATACAAAACTCCACTTTTTATATTCTTTTTGTCTTCTATATAAGTCAGAGCTATTATAGGAGATTCACTGGTGGGAATCATTTTCTCTTATTAAAAATGACACAAGCAAAGGCTATATTATGAAAAATAACTTCATGTTATAATGTCAAATGAATGATAGCTTTAATTCCAGCTCCTCCTTTTTGGGTCTACTATGCTCTTGGCACTACGTTAGGTGCATGGTACTGACAGATGCATGTCAGTCCGAACCCTCAAGGGGTTCACAATCTAATAAGGAAAATAAATTATAAAGTAAAACTATACGGGCCATAATAGATATGAAAAACTTCACCAATCAGTCCCTAAGTAATGAGGGAGCCCCTATGACTGAAGGTTTGGGCAGACAGATATTCTTCCTCTGCACTAGTTGTGTGAGCAGGATGAGAAGAGAATCTTGAAAACAGCATGAATCCAACATGTGGGATCACATACCTTCTCCTTCTGCAAGATTTCTTTCCAGTTTTACTGTGGAGTCATAGAATCTTATCACAGTGCTATGGTTTCAATGTGTCTCCCAAAGTTCATGTGTTGACAACTTAACCCCCAATGCAAAAGTGTTGAGAAGTGAGACCTTTAAGAGAAACTTCTAAGAGGGTAGAGCCCTCATGAATGGATTACTCTCTATTGTGTGTGCTCACTTGCCACGGGATAACACGGCAAGAAGGCCCTCTAAAGATGCCAGTGCCATGCTCTTGGACTTACCGGGCTCCAGAACCATGAGCCAAATAAACTTCTTTATAAATCACTCAGTCTATGGTATTCTGTTAGCAGTAGGAGAAAATGAACTAAAACACATGGGAATGGGGCCTTAAAAATGATCTAATCAGACTTCCTACCTGACGTTTATGTCTTTGCTACTAAAAAAATGGTCATTGGGGTGGTACTGTGTAGACCACACTAGATTACAGACAACAGAAAATTCGAATCCTATTGGTCTAATCAGTGAAGATAGACCTGAATTCAGAAGTTGCTTGATTCAGAGCCTCAAAAATGTCACCAAAGCCAGGCACGGTGGCTCACGCCTGTAATCCCAGCCCTTTGGGAGCCTGAGGAGGGCAGATCACTTGAGGTCAGGAATTCCAGACCAGCCTGGCCAACATGGTGAAACCACGACTCTACTAAAAAAATAAAAAATTAGTTGGGCATGGTGGCGCGCACCTGTAATCCCTGCTATTTGGGAGGCTGAGGCAGGAGAATCGCTTGAACCTGGGAGGCGGAGGTTGCAGTGAGCCGAGATCCTGCCACCACACTCCAGCCTGGTGACAGAGCCAGACTACATCTCAAAAAAAAAAAAAAAAAAAGTCACCAAAGATCAGATCTCTATGCATGTTTGTTTTCTTGATGTCTTCTTTATTTTAACCCGGCTAGACTTGTATTTGGAAGATGGCTACCCACCATCCAGGGGACCCGTTTTTTTGAGGACATGCAGAAAGAATGGGTTACCTCTGAAGCGCTCTCAGAAAATGAAAGAAAAACTTTTCCCAACAAAGACCAGGAAATTGCTCCTCTCATTGGCCCAAATATGTTACGCTCATTGCCAGCCAATAACTGTGGCAGGGAATGGGATTCTGCTGATTTAGGTTGGAATTATGCTACGTTGCTTAGATTGGGACCACATGCCCCTGTAAGTAGGCAGAGCAGGGATGTGACTCAGAACTGGGCTTGTTTACCAAGATAAGGAAGAGTGGATACTGGGGAGTCTAGGCCACCATAAGTTTCAGGTACAGCCAATGCAAAGCCTTGGAAATCCACCTGACAGCTCCGGTTGTACCGTCCGCCCTCCGTATCTGGGGTTTCCAAATTCCGGGATTCAATCAACTGAAAACAAAAAATGTAGTTAGGCTTACCAGGCCTGAAAATACATGAAAATATAGAGCCTAAAATATAGCCTGAAAATGTACTGAAAATATAGAGATTTCTTTGGATGATTATTTCCTAAATACACCTTAACAACTATTCACATAGCATTTGCATTGTATTAGGTTTTATAAGTAATCTAGATATGATTTAAAGTATATGGGGAAACACACCATTTTTATGTAAGAGACTTGAACATCTTAGAAAATCCAGAGTCTGGGAACCAATCCCACGGATATAGAGACAACTGTACTAACTACAGTAATGGCATATGGTAGCTGAATCTACCTCTCTTTCCATCCCAGTCCGGAATCCAAAGGCTCCTTCTTGCCATGTTGTCCTCGGGCGTTGGCTGCTTCCTCCCATTTGTTACTTTGGAAGTGTCTTCTTTCCTCAGTGTTTCTTCTGCGTGGGCCTTACCGGTCTTTACTGCACTCACTTACCTAAGAGGCAAAACAATGGCTGCCATTCAAGAAAATCTCACTTCAGCCCAGAATCGAAGAACTGGGGCTTATTTTGTCTTCTTTCTACTCTGGGGCTTCTCTGAGGCCAAGTTCAGAACTTGTGCACAAGACAGTGGCTGTGTGACAGAGCCACCCAGGGCTGTCTCCGTTAGATGAAGAGACTGGCTTGATCCATTCCCAAGAACTAGTCCCACGTGCAGTTCGGTTGCTCCGAATGGGATTTGGGTGCGAGGGGCTGACTGGAGATGTGGGGTCTGGGTGAGTGGGGTATTTGAGAACCTGAAGCTCACAAGGCTTTGTCTGGTTTGAGGTACGTTTTGCCCTTTCTCCCGCATTCGGCTCTGCATCGAATCTGACCGGCCGCGCCTACTCTCGGAACGGCCGAGGAGGATGGGTCTCCCGTCTCCACACGCGCGGTGTCTGCGCCGACTGCAGCCCTCCTGGACGGGAGCCTCTGGGCCCAGCTTAGGGTGGCGTCCAGCGTGACCTACTCGGGAATGGCAGCCTTCAGTGTCCTGCGGCCTCGGGTTCCGGGAAGCTCGGGGACCTGGGCAGCGGATCCAGATGCTTCCACAGCTGTGTCTCCGTCGCTCCGCTTCGGGGGCCGAGAACCAGCAAGACCAACGCGAGGAGGCGCCACGGTACCTGCCACCCCGCTCCCAGGAGGCCCGGACGAGGCTTCGTCGGCGAGCGGTCGGGGCCTGCTTCTCGAGGTGCCTGCGAGCGCCTCATGCCCCTCCCCACCGGCCCCAACTCCGTCCCGCCTCACCCGACCGCGGGCTTTGTCCACCCGCCGCGGTGCGGCTCCTCCCAGTCCCCGACAGCTCCTCCCCGCCCCCTCTGCCGGCCCCACTTCCTAGGCGGCGGAGCGGGTCGGGGAGGGAAGGGTTAACCCGCGGCTCTTCCCGGCGCGGAGGGATCCGGAGGCGAGCCGAGCGCGGTGGTGAGGCCGCCTCAGCGAAAAAAATGTCCGCCTGAAGAGACCCACAAGTTCTATTCGGGGGGACCGACAGCC
Source organism: Homo sapiens (assembly GCF_000001405.40). Classification (NCBI taxonomy): domain Eukaryota; kingdom Metazoa; phylum Chordata; class Mammalia; order Primates; family Hominidae; genus Homo; species Homo sapiens. The sequence goes on from NC_000015.10 coordinate 56,918,731, forward strand.
CGCCCCGGGAGGAAGGGGCGGCCAGGCCCGAAAGCCGCCTCCCCCTCCCAGACCCGAGAGCTCGTGCGGGGCAAAGTGAACCGAGCCGCTGGGCGGTGCAAGGGGAAGCCCAAGCCCGTTCTCCCGGCCAAAGTGAACTTTAATCGGGGTGGTTGGATGCGGAGACGGGGCGGCAGGTAATTGCGGGCTAGCGAGCGGGAGTGGGGCGGCGCGGCGGGGCTGGGGGCTGCGGGGCGCCGCCGCGTCCCTGCCGGAGTGGGGGCGCCCCCGTCCCCCGCCTCAACTCCGCGCCCCTTTGTACAGCGCGAAACCCGGGGTCCCCTCCAAGTTGGGGAGCGGAGTGGGGGCGGAGGCTCGAGTCGCGGGCGCTCAGGCCCGCTGGCGGCGCGCTCGGCCTGTGCGCCCCGTTCGGTGCCCGACTCGGGCCGGCGCCCAGGCTCCGGGGCGCGCGGGAGATCGGGCGGCTTCGGCCGCGGAGCCAGGCTCATTGTTCGGCAGGTCCGGGGCAGGGCAGCAAAAGTGGGAGGAGGCCGAGCCTGGGGAGGAGGACGCCGGCCGAGAGCGAGACTAGTTGTCGGGGTTTCTGTTTTCTGTTTAAAAACGCCCCTTGGATGAGCTGGGGGTGCTTTCCGACCTCCTGGGCCCGCCGGGGACGTCCGGGCGGCGGCGGCCGCAGACGCGGGCCTGCGAGCGGCGCGTTCCCTGCAACTTGTCAGTTCTATTGTTGCCGAGCGAGTGAGTCACTTCGCATCTCCGCTCGCCGCCGCTCCGCTCGCTGGACGCCGAATTGCCCCTCACCCCGCTCCTCGAGACCCCAGCCGCGGCCGGGCCCGGCGCGCGGAGCACCCGGCGGCGGCGCGGAGCAGGGGGCGCCGAGGAGGTGGCAGAGACTGGCTCGGAAACTTGGGGGAGAGGCGGCGAGTTGCGGGAGCCGCCGCGTCGATCTCGGGCCGCGGCGAGGAACGCGTGGATTCCGGGACCCGGCGCGGGCACTGAGCCCTCCCGCCCCTTGCTCGCGCCGCGGTGGGAGCGAGTCGGGGTCCTGGAAGTCATCCCGGCGCCCCCAGCGCTCTTGCGTAATCTTCCCCAGTACCTCTCTCTGTTCCCTCACACACTTTGGGCCTCGGTGGTCTCTCGCTGAGCCCGTTTCCTCTGCCCTAGGACCTGCTAGAAGTGGCCGAAGATGAATCCCCAGCAACAACGCATGGCCGCTATAGGGACCGACAAGGAGCTGAGCGACCTACTGGACTTCAGTGCGGTATGAGAGCTTTCCATGGCATCTTGGGGTTCTGCTGAGGTTTTTGTTTGTTTGTTTGTTTGTTTCTTTTAAATAAAGGGTGAGGGGAAGCAACGTGGAGACTAGGCAGCGTGAACTCCATCTGCTTTCTGCTTAAGCAGTAGTTCTCAGGGCTGGAGTCCAGCTCCCCCAAGTTGGACACCTGAACTTTGATGTAATGTCTAGACTTGCACATTTAAAACTTTAATGCCAGAGGGGTCATTTGATTTAACCAGTTAAAAGGAGAACAATGTAATTATGACCTTTGGTTGAGTCACCCTCCCACCGCGATGATTATTGGGGATCTTGTACTTTATATGAAAAAGTGTTGTTTTTTTCTTCAGTACTCCTCACCATTTTCCTCTCCAGTATCAGATGTAGTTTATGGTACCTGAAAGATGTCAGCGACAAGAAAAGTAGTCCAGAGCTAGAATTTCGAGCCTTCTGAAACAGAGTACTTTTATTTTATACACACACACACGTGTGTGTGTGTGTGTGTGTGTATTATGTTCTTAACATGGGAAATGACTTAAAAACATCAACTGAAACCTAAGGGCCCACTGCTTTTATTTTTAATGGGTTTAATTCCTTTATTAACTGCTGTTAGGAGGCAGCACCTATACCTGCTTTATACAATTCAGTTATAATCCTTACTGTATGTAGTAATTTAATGGGCCATAATTCTGACTGTGTATATTGAGATATAATGTAAATGTAATGAAATTCACTTAGTTCTGCAGTAAAGATCATGTGTAATACTATACTGTTTAAACTTAATAATCTTGGACTCTTCCATGTAAATGATCGGGTCTTCAGAACAAAATGTAACCATTATTTCCAATTAATTAGGAAATAGTATCATTCAGTGTATTTGCCTCTCTGGATCTGAATGTATCTCCAATTTTATTTTAACTTCCCTCTGAAATTTAATAACTGATGGATGACTTTTGGTGGACTTTTGTTTGCAAGGAATCTAGAAGAATTTCAGGACTAACAGATATATTTGGGTTATTTTGCAGATGTTTTCCCCACCTGTTAATAGTGGGAAAACTAGACCAACTACACTGGGAAGCAGTCAATTCAGTGGATCAGGTAAGATGATGTCTTAAACTAAAGACTCATATTTTGGTGGTGTGATACATTTTAGTAGAAAAATAGAAAGCATAACATTTAAATATTATTGAATATATGTATATAAAAGATGGAATTGAGTCAAGTGATAATTAGTAAGATTTATTAATTTTAAAAGATGACAGTTCCCTCAGAAATCTGTAGGAAATCAGTAGTTTCGTTTACAATTATTTAAAATGTTAGTGGGGTAAATTTTCAAAATGAATAGAAACTTAGATTTATTTTTAAATGATAAGTATTAGATGACTGAATCCTTTCCTATATCCAGATTACATTATGATAATGTTTAGAGTAAGTTAAAGTAGATCTACACACTAGTGATCTTGTCTTTAAATTTACTTTCAATACATTTATGACTACTGTGCTCCATTTTAAAACATCCCATTTTTCTTAAGTATGCATTTTTTCTTTTTTTAACTTTTAAAAACTCATAATTTAAAAATATTTTAGAAGGAAGGTCCATTCCAGTGTGCAAAAGCTGTAACTTTTTATTTAATTTAAATTTATTTCTTTGTGCTTAAGAGATGAAAAAAATAACTAAAGCCATGACAGCATCATCTTAAGAAAACCAACTGTCAAATCTCTGGGCTGAAACTCAGTAATGCCTCTTTGATGGGTGCTTTTTATTTCCCCTGGTAAAATGATAGTTGGTTTCTTAAAATACTGTGAGAATAAAACATCAGAAAATAAGGTTAATTTCATAACCACCTAAACACTTTATACCACTTTACATTCTAAAAAGTTTGTTTTTAAAAATTGTATACTAATTTATTAAAATTCATTTTTAATTATGAAATTAGAGCTTATGGGGAAAGTATAGCATGTCCTTAATCATCTTAAGTAAGTGAAATGAAGGCATTTTTTGGATTTTAAGTAGGGTAAAGACTAGTATTATTCTTGATCAAAAGGACATCATGAAACGATAGGCAAGTCCCAACTCTTCTCTCACCTCCTTCCTTTTACTGGTAATCATTTGAAAATTGTTACTTTTTGGGGAGGGGGGAGAAAATTTAATAATCTTAAAGTTGTAGAAGATGGCTGTATTTCTTTACTGGTGTTGATACATCTCATTTTTGCAACTAATAATTCATTCTCAGGAACCTTCAGATTTACTTTGACTAATACATAGTAGATGATGCTTAGTATTTTTTAAAAATGAGTCTTGATATTACTGTTGCCTACTGTTCCAGCTTAAGTTATGGTAAATATATATAACTGGACAGTCACTGATACAATAACATGAACTCCAGGAACTTGCTGTTAGAAGTGCATTCTATTTTTAGAATAAAGGCAATTACATTTATTTCACTTTTTAAACTTAAGAAGGATTTATGTAGTCTGTGAAATTAAAAAGTATGTGAACTGGGATATAGATTATAAGCATGGCATTGGAGCAATTTTTGGACTTCAGTACGTTGCATTGCACAAAGAAAAAATTATTTTTCTACATTGCGAATGGTCACCATATTTGATTATTTGGAGTAGGAACTTTTAGTTTTAAAAGTTAGATTTGTTATCCATTGAAAGGTTTGAACTTACACACCTGTAGTCAGTGGACTTAGCAATATTTATCTGTGTGTTTTGTTTTAAATGCTACAAAAAATTGTAATAAAAAAGCTGTGACTTTTAATTAGTGAATGGATTTGAATTTGGGGAAGAGAAAATGCCATGTGATTTTTTTTCAAATCAAGATGTACTGGTAGATATAATTTTTCTGTGGCCAGTTCTTAAAGGGAATGTCTAAAAGAAATTGGTATAGTAACATTATTTTACTTATATATTTTATATTTATATACCTTATTGACATTTGAATAACCTTCTGCCCTGATTTCAAAGGATATTATGTAATACACTCTAATGCCTATGTATTTGCAGCTATTAAGGAGCTAAAGATCTGACTTTCCTTTTGAAGAGCTGCTGTAGTAAAGATTAGGGTTTTTTGTTTGTTTTCTGTTTTGTCTTTGGAGTAACATTTATAAAAACTACATGCCATTTGACTTATGAAAACTAGAGTTTATAGTCAGGTATTGTAATTTCCTTTCTTATTTGTCCTTTTTGAGGAAGACTCAATTTCACAGTGGGCTGTTTTTGAGAAACGATATATAATACTTTCAGAAGCTTTTTTAGCTGAAAGAATATATACTATAGCATGTGATGTTATCTTTAATCTTATTCCTGAAGCAAAACAAATAACTCATCATGGCTGAGTTATTTATGAGTGTCGGAAGTCACTCTGGAAAAGATAAAGGTGTGTTTACTACTACTAATTTGTCTTGAGGATCTGTTATGTTATTCCTTCATCAGGGTGTTAAAATTTTCTTCACGTTATGGTGAGAGTGAATTTGTTCACTTGGTATGATAGGCTCTGTGAAGTGTTCCTAAAGTGACCTTGAGAGAAACTTTTCTTTCTGTAGGAGTGAAAGGTCAGGCACTCTAATTAGGGCAGTGTATAGAAACAAAGGGCAGTGTATAGAAGGAAAGTTGGTTAAAAGGATTGACAAAATGGAAATGGTTCAGATGTTTAAATCCATGTCCTCAACTTCGGGGTTTGAGTGTGTATGTCTAGATTGTGATTTTGGGTTAGTTTTTAGTAGATTGTTTGTATGATATCTGAAAATTTCCTTTGTTTTTGAATCCAAGTAGTAAGGGATGTTGTCATTTTGTAAGCCATCTGTAGATATTGAGCATCTCTCTGGTGTTTCTATCTAGAATGTCATTTTAACTATTAAGTAAAGCTTCACTTTTTCTTATTGAATTCAGACGTTTGTAACAGTATAGTTTCTTTTTGCCCAAAATTTTCAGAGATAATTGTAGGAAGTATTTTCTGGCTCTTAATTTTTAAAAAGGAATACAGTTTTTCATTTTTCAGTTACTGATCTTTTTTTGTGGGGCGGGGGGTTATTTTTAGATGTACTTACAGGCTTTTTGAAAATATTGACATAGGGCCAGAAAAATGAATTCTCATTAAATTACTCTTCAGTATTTCTATTTTTAGATAGTTGTAGATTCATATGCAGTTGTAAGAAACTATACAGAGATTCTATATACCCTTTACCCAGTTTCCTGCAATAATAGCACCTTGAAAAATTAGTACAGTATCACAACTAGGTTATTGATAGTGATACAGTCAAGATGCAAAAACTGTTCTGTCACCACAGGAATTCTTGGTGTTGGCCTTTTGTAACTGCATCCACTTTTCAAGTAATTAAAAAAATGGTAAGATTACTAAATGCCTTCTTTCTCTGTTAAACGTGGAGTAAGCTTTTCAAATTGCTGTAGCATTACTTGAACATATCAAGAACAAAATCAAGAGAAAACCAAAATTGTACCACTGTAGGTTTTTACTGAACTGTGATAGAAATAGGAATGGTGATTTTAGAGAGGAAACCAGGTTTGACCTTTCACTTAAGGTATTTTAAGGTTATGAGTAGGGTGTGGTTCATATTATGTACATATTAGTGTTGAAATTTATAATAGCTATAATTTGTAGTAAATACATACTTGTTAATATTGAGCCATGTTAGACATTTGTTTCAGGTAAGCTGTAGTTATTAATGAGAGTAACCACAGAGTCAGCAGGTGTGTGGGGAAAAATATATTTTAGGACAAATATGGTCTGCTATTAAGTTGCTCATTTAAGGTAAAAGGTAGCAAGGGAGTCTTTTAGAGAAAACCTGTTTATGAAAACTCATACTTGGAAAACATAAAAATTAGAGACAAGATTACAACCATGAGTATTGTATACTTTTCAGGACAATTCCTGAACAATTGAAAAACAAGGTCGGGTGTGGTGGCTCATGCCTGTAATCCCAGCACTTTGGGAGGCCGAGGTGGGTGGATCACATGAGGTCAGGAGTTTGAGACCAGCCTGGCCAACATGGTGAAACCCTATTTCTACTAATAATACAAAAACTTGCTGGGTGTGATGGTGGGCACCTGTAATCCCAGCTACTCAGGAGGCTGGGGTGGGAGAATTGCTTGAACCTGGGAGGCAGAGGTTGCAGTGACCTGAGATGGCGCAGCCAGTGTACTCCAGTCTTGGCAACAGAATGAGACTCTGTCTCCAAAAACAAAAAAAAACCACAAACAAATGGTGTCCACCGCCCCCCCACCCCCCCGCCCCAACCCCGTAGTCATTGCTTATAATGGATTTGAAAAACAATTTGATTAGATCACAACATTTTAGGGGCTTGTTTATTATATATAGTGAGGCATACCTACAATTACTGTTTTTGTTTTCATTAGCCATTTAAACACAAATTCAAGTTTCTGTCTTCAAGGTATCCTTTGCTATATCTTTGAGTTTTTAAACAAGCCTTTTGAAATGAGAAGATAAAGATGAAGATATCCAACCTTGACTATAAACAACTTTCAAATTTTATACTTAATTGGGCAATAAACAATGCTGTCTTATTAAAGCCATATAGTCTTTTCTGCTCTTAAACAATTGGTAGTCTTTTCCTGGAATGTCATTGTCTGCCTAGTGTTGTCAAAGACTTGGGTAATCTTGCTGAAAGAAAGTAAAAGTAGCACTATTAGAAAGGCTCTCCTGAAAAAGAAAAAGAAGTGCTATTTGTGGACAATGTGTGGAATGCCTTTTTAAAAGATCATTTAATAAGACTGCTTTTGGGTATCACTTGAAAGTATGTTTATGGATGGGAATGTTGAAATTGCAAATCTAAATTGTTTGTGTTTAGGGAAGATAATGAGAAGACAAACACTTAAATATATTCAAAAGACTAATGAATGACAGTCTGCTTTGTTAAATAGTTGTGCCATAAGTATCTCATTTTTATCAGTTAACTATTTAGTATTTACCTATGCATTCTTCTAGCAGTTTTTGGGAAGATGGGAAATGGAGAAGGTCATTGCTCAGAAAAAGTGGAGACATTTCGTTGGCGTGGTGGCTCACGCCTGTAATCACAGCGTTTTGGGAGGCTGAGGCAGGCAGATCACTTGAGGCCAGGAGTTGGAGACCAGCCTGGCCAACGTAGCAAAACCCTGTCTCTACCAAAAATACACAGAATTAGCCAGGTGTTGTGGCTCATGCCTGTAGTCCCAGCTACTGGGGAGGCTGAGGCAGGAGAATTGCTTGAACCCAGGAGGCAGAGGTTACAGTGAGCCGAGATTGTGCCACGGCACTCCAGCCTGGGTGACAGAGGGAGACTCTGTCTCAAAAAAAAAAAAACAGTGGAGAAATTTATTATTTTGATGGGAAGTAAAATACTGAGGTAAACTTCTCTAACATAGAAAATGTCAACAAACACACATTATTGTAGTTTAAATTGAGTCCATAAGAAAGAGGCTGTGCTGAAGAGTCAGGGAACTGGCTTAAGGAAAACTCAAAAATGTTGAGTTTAGAGTTGACTTGTGATGGAGATATGGACAATGAATTAGGGAAGAGAAGAACTGGTCTTACAGCTGAGGAATAGCATGAGGAGAGACCTGGAAATGGGAATTTAGCTTGATCCAAGGGCCTGTACAGTTCAGAGAGAGAGAAGCTGGTTTTTATTAATCACCACTCCTTAATTCCTGGGGGAGCTCATATTTACATATTATTATCTGGAGCTGGACTACAGGTGTTCAGATCCAGAAATTACCAGTGAATAGCACAGTGATCTTGGGTATGTTCCTTTACTTGTCTGCTTCTGTTTCTTAATCTATAAAACAGGACTAATAATAGTCGTTATCCTTATAAGGTTGTTAGGAGTGTTCAATGAGTTAATACATGTAAAGTTCCAAGAATAGTGCCTAGCACATAGTTAGCTGTGGTGGAGTAAATTGTTAGTGGTGAGACACTAAAATAAGGAAGGCATTTATTTACTTTGGAGGCCTTTATGCTAATCTAGGATGAGCTGGTGAAGGGTTAGATTTGGTGTTAGTGTAGGGAATAGGAAGGAAAAATAACAGAAGTAAAGGATTGTTAGAATTTGAGGGATTGGCTTTCTGTAGGTAAGAGAAATGACTCAAGATTGCAGTTCTGACATAATTGGAGGATAGTAGTGCTGGAGGTAGTAAAGATGCTGAATTGTTTTTTGCATTTTATATTTCACATGACCTGGGACTCTTCTGGCTAATTTGGAGATGTATGAGGGAAGCATGCTCGGTAAAGATGTTGGTTAAAAAGAAGACCGTCTTTTTTCTGCATATAAAGTTAATACATAGTCATAATTGAAAAGAAAATTAGAGAACAGAAAAAGCAAAAGGGGAAAAATTAGCTTTATTTCAGTATCCAGAGAAAATTGATTTATTTCCTTTTTGTCTTTTTTTCTTATAGTTCCGTTTGCAAAGCTGGTAACTTAATGTTAGTTCATTTATGTCCTGTTTTTTGTTTCACTTAATCTTCTACCATTAACATTTTCTCCTGTTATTAACTTGGCTTAAAATAGTTGCATGCTCTTAAATGGAATGAATATAGCATAACTTAACAAATCCATTCTTTTATTACTTGACCTTTATGGATTTTTGTTAATTTGCTTTTTGATATGATAAATAATGTGGTACTGACCACCTTTTTGTGTATGTATATGTTTTTGCCCACATTCTGATTTCTTTTGGTTAGGAGATGCAAATTTTGTTTTTTGTGCCTACAAGTTAATAATTAAAACTAATGAATTCCCTTAGGGAAATGAACACAGAGGGAGATAAATTATCAGGCCAGGGATTGATGTTAATGGTGGAGTTACATGTATAAAATTAGTGACTTTGGTTGATTATTTAATGTAATAATACAAAATTTTATTAGTATGTGAATGGAATGCATTATGACATTTGGAGCACATTTGTGCTTGTATACAAATGTGTTGTGTGGTGACTGGAGGGAATTCCTGTCATTCTTTGACCTGTGCTTATAGAAATGGAGTGGAGTCTAATTGGAGTCTTGTCAGTGAGAGAGCCCTTGAATTCCTGACTTTTTGTGAGAGAGACAATATAGTGTATTGGAAAGAATTGGGCTCAGGAGCCAGACAACTGGATTGGAATCGATGACTTGCAGCTTACTAGCTGGATGGCCTTAGGTGAGATATTTAAATAATCAGAGCTATACTTTTTTCATTTGTGAAAAGTGGGTAATAATGCCCACCTACAGAATCCTTGTGAAGATTAAATAAGGTTATCTATATATTTTTTTCCTATAAAGCTGCTTAAAAAATGGTAGCTGCTATTATTGTGGTACCTTCTAACTAGCATTCTCGGTAATACTAGTGATTATATTAGAAATCATTATAAAGCCAGTATTATAGCTAGTGTTTATTGAACTCCTATTATATACTAGGCATTGTGATAAGCAATTTATGGGCATTATCTCATTTTACTTTGGATAAAATGAAATGTTTTGTCTGTGGTGTTGGAAGTGAGGCAATACCCCTACAAGAGCAACAAGTCAGAGTTGCTTTTAGTGCCATAAAATTGTGTATATGAAGTCTGAGAAGTAATCAGGCATACAAGTAGTTTTGAAAAGTCATGAAGTACCCAGGAACCTTAACTTTTCTTTTTTAGTTGATTTATTCTTAATGTTATTATTTTGTAGACTATACTTTGTAGAGTGCAGAATAATGAAGAGAATGTGTACACCTTTTGAAAATCCTTTTCCATGCTTAGGCATCACCGCCACTTGAATGTAGCATTTTGTCCATATTCTTTCTCCAGCTACTTGAAATTCTTTCTGGAGTGAGGCATAGTCTAAATAATTAAGTAAAATAAAAATTACTTGACTGGAAAGGATAGAACGCCTGGGAACAGGTTGGAGAGAATGTTAAGAGTCTCTAGGGTAGAACGTATTCACTTTTTTTCTTAATGGCAGAGAAGAAGGAACATAAACTCCCTTGGTAGCCTGAAGCAGCACGTTGCAAGTGAGTGGAAGAAATTGTATCTTAAAAATTCATGTACATTTTATTTTCTACTTGCTACCACAAACATATCTGTAGTAATTTAAATATGTTTTCATTAATCATTGAGTAAAACTGAAGTTCTAAAGTTGCATCATTTTTGGGTTATGGCATTACCTTCCTCCTGTTTTGGTTTGTATCTTTGGGGATAAGGGTCAGGGTGGAATGGAATGCTGGCCAATCCTTAATGAGAAGCCCAACTCTAGAGCATATCTTTAGCTGTATTTTTTCATGCACCTTTTCTTGCTCCTATAGAAGCCTGTAAAAAGGGATCATTACATCAGGGGGAAAAATGGTTTTGGTAGAAAGAAAACTGTTATTTTCATAAACTGAAGCACAGATAGTTTTGTTAATAACATGACTGTTATTTGAAACTTTCTTGTTTCCAGCCAGATCATTCTGTAATTTTTAAAGATACCCTTGACTTGAAAAGAAAATGTAATTTTTATAGAGAGAGCTTTGGTTTTTTTTTGTTCCATGTTTAAAATGTGCTCTCATGTGTTCCAGGTTAAAAATGTGCTCTCATAAAGACCATGGTGAGTCATCCAAGCTACTGTAAGCTGCTTGGGGACCTAAAGATCACATTTAAAGATCCCACAGAAAAGAAAATGCATTAGAGATTGGTTACTAATTTTTATTGCAGTGGGTGGTGACTCAGGGATGAAACCTTCAAAATAATATAATAAAACAATTTGAGATAAGGTACAGGACAGAAAATACTACCTTTTTTTCCCTTAAAAAACCACTACTACCATAACTTACTGTATTTTGGTTATTAAAATTGGGATAATTTGGCCCAAGATGTCATTTTATCAGCTCTGTGGTGTTAGGAAGGTGCCTGAATTTGAACTGAGGGAGTTTCTCTAAATTTGTGGTAATCTATGGAAGATCATTCTAGTTGCCAAATGGAAGTCTCTCTGGAGGCGGCCTCCCTCAAAAGTTGTCAGTGTATTTGCTTCTGTTAGTTTTGCCTGTGAGCTATTTCCAGGCTTTAAAAATGAACAAGATTGACTCATAATTACTCTTTCATCACTTCATTGGTAGCTGATACAGTGAACACAGGTTGGACTTAATATAATCATGGCTACTCCAGTCAGTGAGTGAATGTGCTGCTGCTGTCGGCAAGAGTTGTGAATGTTGGTTGGGCATGGAAGGTATCTCTGCTGGGAGGGAATTACAGTCATCCAGCTTCTTGGTCCCAGAGGCATATGTTGTTGTTTTGAGGTGGTTGGGGATGAATAAGTGGTTGGTTTGTACCTTTGGAGTGTAAAAAATGCTAGGCTCACTTTAAACAGTAGCGTGGTTTGACCACAGGTCAGTTTAGAAAATCTGAGCTTATATGGGCACTTGTGCCAAGGGTAAGAATCTTTGAGTTCTCCTGCAGGATCCTTTTAGGTTTTTCCTATTTGGAAACCCCACTATATCTAGCCAACTTTGTCATGTGGTCCGGAGGCCCATTTACTTAATCTACTTGGTACTGACATACTCGGATTTTAGAAAATGTTTTTTAGTGTTATTCTCAGTTGGGAATAGAGTTAAAGGGAAAAGTGTTTCATGTTGAATCTCTTGATAGGAACATATAAGTTAAAATGATTGTAACTTTCCAATTAGGTAGATAATTAGAGGCATTGCAAGACTGTTCTAAGTATCCTTAATATCTTTTATCTAAGTATCAGCTAGTTTTTTTTTTATTCTAGGTGATAGCATATTTTATTTGTCAAGATCCCCTTTTCCCAGTTAGAGATCCACAGTCCCTTATCTGCAGTTTTGAAATCCAAAAAGATCTCAACCACAGTTAACTTCAGCATGAAGTATTTTGATGGCTAAATCTGATCTTATCTGAAGGGAGGCCATTGACATTCTCTATTTTCCTAGTTCCTGTGTGGTTGCCAGTAGCTGATTTGTAGCGTGTGACATATATACCTATATACTATGTTTCCTTTCTAAAATCTGAAAAACTGAGTTCTAAAACCCACCTGGCCCCATGGATTTTAGAAAAGGTATTATGGAGATCTGTCTCTCTCTCTCTCCTCCTCCTCTCCCTCGTTCCTTCACCCCCCACCCCAGGGATTGTTTTCAACTCACAGTAAGAACTTTTTGTTCTCAAAAGTCTCAACTAGAGACTTCATCATTTTAAATACAGAAAAAAAAATTGTGGTGGACTTGTTTATATAAAGCAAATTCTTCTTGGAATATAAGCTTTTCAGGCTGAGTTTTATTCTTTGAGTAGTCCACCCAATACATTGATTTAGGGAATCAAGATCTGTTTTGAGGAGAGAGAAGCTTTCTCATCTTTTGGGCCAAGGAGTGTGCTGATATTTCTCTGGTCAGTTAAAGCATGCAGAGAAATTTTCAGGGTAAAAATCAGGAGTGTAGAATTCTTTTCATTTGGTCCCCATTTTGTATATATAAGAAGCATTATATGATCTCTACCATAAGGAAGCCTCAGCCCTGACCATACTTTTTTGAATTTTTACTGAGAGCAAACAGTTAAGAAAATCCTAATCATCTTCAAGAAGAAAAAGTAGAGCCAAGATACTTTGCTGTAGGGAACAGACAAAATCAGTCTTTGGTAAACTTTATTCTTTCCTTTTATATTGGTGAAAAGTTTTCATAGATTAGTAGCATGATGCTTATTCCTGAAATATACTCATTACAGGCATCTTAATTAAAAACAGGTTATGATTCTGTTGAGTGTAAAATTTTCCTCAGGAGCTTGTTATTGGCTCAGACCCACTACTGTTTAATATAAACTAAGAAAGTAGTAATGAAGTGTGTAATAAACTAGTTTGCTGTAGTCTGTTTTGAGAGGTAGACCAGTAAGCCATTGACTTTTCTGGTGGCTTTGCAAGCCTGTTGCTTGTACTGTTGCTAGTGTTATTGTCTTAAGAACCATGATACAATGTTGAATAATTAAATCCACTTAAAGTTTGTAGGGGTTTGAGATGCTGTACTGCAGGAACACAAAACATGCCATAGTGCCAGGGTCTCTCTTGCCTTCATATTTGTATAATCCCTCTTCTCAAGCTTAGGAACAGTGCCTGTAGCGAGCAGACTCTATTCTCACTGAGTTTGACTCTGGAGACTTGCCAAATAAGTTATAATAGCAGTAGGACTTTGTCCACTGAATGATTGGGAGAAGGGGAGGAATCTTATTGTTTTAAAACAAAATCAGTGATGATAAGAGTGCTTCATAAATATTTACTCATATGCTATTTACTTCATAACTCTTGTAGGAAGTTGGTAACTGTTCATTTTACAGAGGAAATAGAGAAATCAACAGTGAAATACATTTGCCTGTGGTTTCTTATTGCCCCTCAGAAGTAGCAAACTCTAATCAGTTGTAGTTGCACCTGCACTGATACCAATCTACAAGAGCATGGTTTGTCTTGAGGAGGAATTTAGTATCTCTAGAAATCTTTGAAATTTGTTATAATAAGAAGTCTTATCTGAAGCCAAGGTGACAAGAAGAAAAAAAGAAGTCTTAAATGGGGTACTGTTGATATTCTCCAAAAGTGCTTCAAGATTTATTTATTTAATTATTATTATTATTATTATTTTGGGAGACAGAGTGTGGCTCTGTCGCCCAGGCTGGAGTGCAATGGTGCAATCTCAGCTCACTGCAACCTTTGCCTTCCGGGTTCAAGCGATTTTTGTGCCTCAGCCTTCCAAGTAGCTGGGATTACAGGCACCTGCCACCACACTTATTTTTGTAATTTTTGGTAGAGACAGGGTTTCACTGTGTTGGCCAGGCTGTTCTTTAATTCTGCCCACCTTGGCCTCCCAAAGTGCTGGGATTATAGGTGTGAGCTACTGTGCCTGGCCGATTTATTTTTATTAAGGAGAAAACAGTATAATTAAAAGCCTCCATAAAATAGTTAATTAAGGACTTTATTTTTAGTATTTCAAGACATTAAATATAAATAGCTACAACCTCAGATAGCTTTATAAAAGTGTAATTCTTTTTTTGTGTGGTCTTATTGTTAAGCTGTCTTTAGACTTTGTGAGTTGGGAAGAATATGAAATTTGATAGTTGGAAGATATTGGAATATTCACAGCTACCATTTAGTTGAGGTCAGAGAAAAGAATGGTTACTTCATAGTATGGAAAATTTTTATTATTTCCCCTTTTTCAAAGATTTAGTGTTTAGTTATAAAAACAAGTTAAAGTGGATGGAAAATATTTATTCCAAAAGTAGTTTAAAAATGTTATCAAACATACAGAAGATACTTTAATAGAACAGAACTTTTAATTCATTAAATGAAAGGTAATAATGCTAATATTGAAAGGGTTAAGATTAGTTCATTTTGTATTTTTATTTACTTAGAAGTAGATTGGGCTGTTGTTTTGTTAAAGAGCATCTGTAGGTATTTGAGCGAGTACCTACTAATGCTCTGTTTTTTGTTCTGTGTAGAATGGTTTGTTTAAGGTAGTGGAAAATAAAGATACATTGTGGTATATTTGAAAGAGGAGCAGTTTGGAGATTCGAAGTCTTGCTTTAGTGTTGGCTTTATTATTTACTAGATATGTGATCCTAGGGCAGAATATTTTAACCTCTCTGAGTCTGTTTATCTTATGTCTAAGATGAGGACAATAAAAATACTGCCTGAGGGTGTTGTGATAATGAGCAGATTAAAAGTTTTTATGGAAATTCTAAAATGTGGAGGTTTGTGGTCTGTACAGATATTAGTTATTAGGTGGCATAGCAAGTCTTGAAAGGGATTCCAAGCTTTTCATATACATATGGAGAGAGGGAATCTTCATATAAAACTTAAACATTTCTGATGGTCAGTTATTGAAGATTAAATCAGGTGACTGAGAGGAACACTAGCCTATGGAACTCCTTATAATTTTTAATATGTAATTTACATATTATTTTACATATAAATATATATTTCATCAGAATGAAATATATATAATATTTGTATATAATTCATCAGAATGTCAGAATTCTGATGAATCATCAGAATCTCTTATAAATTCATCAGAATCTCAGAATTGTTTGGATGAGTCTTTTTGGTTAAATGGGGGAAATTGAAGCACTAAAGTAAAATAAATCCTCAGACATAGTCTTTGTGAGGATTCTGTTAATTGTATTCCAAACCATAGAGCCCCCATATTAGTGCCCTTCAGTCCTTTATTCTCAGCTCAGTTTTTAAAATGCTTGTTGAGGATCTGCTGTAGTGACAAAGTTAACCCCAGGCTTAAGTATGAATGTGTGACAGCTGAATAGTTCCTAGGAATAGTCTGCTTCTACTTTGTACTGATAAGCAGTAATCTCAACAAAATTTTAGTGACACTAAAGAGTTAACGTTTTAAAGAGTTAAAAAGTTCAGATACACTTTTATACTCCTGAGTGAGGAGGAGACGATACAAAGAGGAGGTTATGAAACGCTAGAGAAACTCTTGTCTGCTGTAAGCTTATGCTTGAAGGAAGAAAGTCTGACTTAGTCATATCCATGAATGACAGGACTTGGATCTGTCTGCTGATGACGCTGCTGTTTCCTGGTTCTTCGTGATTAGGACTTTGTGATGAAGATGCTCCTGCAGCATCCAGTATTGTCCCTTTCCATTTAGAGTGTCTGTCTGGGTATATAAAATAGCTGTCTTACCTTATATTGGGAAATATTGGGATTTTACATGACTTCCTAAGTATCTTATGCGATTGTATTGTTTACAAGTTTTTACATTATTTTGAAGAAGGGAATTGACAAATCCAAAGTAAGGAGACTACTGGGTTCCTTTGGAACCCAGTGCCGGTAGAGCCATTGAGGTAGCTTTGATGGAGGTCAGTGTACTTGTGGCCTTCATAGGAGCTATTTGCTGATTGTTCTTCAGAATAAGACATTAACTGGGTTTGGGAGAAAAGGGTCATGGAACGATTTGACAGTTGCGTGACTGGACTCAAGAAAATTTTGGGGCTTCTGTCTCAGCTTCTCTCTTTGTAATAATTCCTAATGCTTTCTTGAAGATCTATCTTAAATTGCAACGATGAGAATAGCTGGTAGGTGAAACAGCAAAACTAAAGACCTTGGAAACGGATAGTGAGGGTTCTTGAATATAACTTCTAAGAATCTTGGGGCCAAGTGAGGTAGCTTATTTTTCTCTGTAGCTAATTGCTTGCTGTGTAATCTGTTGCTTTGCTACTGGACATTGCAGTAGTCTCCTTACTTGGTCTTCTTGCTGCCAGTTGCTCTCTTTTTCCAATCTGTCTTAGTCTGCTTGGGCTGCCATAACAAAATACCATAGATTTGGTGGCTTACACGACAGAAATTTATTTTCTCACAGTTTTGGAGGCTAAAAGCCTGAGATCAGGGTGCCAGCATGGTCACCTTCTGGTGAGGGCTCTCTTTCTGGCTTGCAGAGGGATACCTTCTCACTGTGCCCTCAGTGTATGTGTGTGTATGGTGGGAGGGTCTCATATGTGCCCTTTGGTGTCTCTCTTTTTTTAAAAAAATTTTTTGTTTCCGTAGGTTTTTGGGGAACAGGTGGTATTTGGTGACATGAGTAAGTTCTTTAGTTGTGATTTGTGAGATTTTGGTGCACCCATCACCCAAGCAGTATACACTGAACACAATATGTAGTCTTTTATCCCTCACCGCCCTCCCACCCTTTTCCCTGAGTCCCCAAAGTCCAAGGTATCATTCTTATACCTTTGTATCTCATAGTTTAGCTCCTGCTTATGAGTGAGAACATACGTTGTTTGGTTTTCCATTCCTGAGTTAACTTCTCTTAGGACAATAGTCTCCAGTTCCATCCAGGTTGCTGTGAATGCCATTAATTTGTTCCTTCTTATGGCTGCACAGTATTCTATCATGTATATATATACAGATTCTATCATGTATATATATACAGTTTCTTTATCCACTAGTTGATAGATGAGCATTTGAGCTGGTTCCATATTTTTGCAATTGTGAATTGCTATAAACGTGTGTGCAAGTATTTTTTTCATATAATGACTTCTTTTCCTATGGGTAGATACCCAATAATGGGATTGCTGGATCAAATGGTAGTTCTACTTTTAGTTCTTTAAGGAATCACCACACTGTTTTCTGTAGTGGTTGTACTAGTTTACATTCCCACAAGCAATGTAGAAGTGTTCCATTTTTACCGCATCTATTATCTTTTTATTTTTTTATTATGGCCATTCTTGTGAGAGTAAGGTGGTATTGCATTGTGGTTTGGATTTGCATTTCCCTGATCATTAGCGATGTTGAGCATTTTTTCATATGTTTGTTGGCCATTTGTATATCTTCTTTTGAGAATTGTCTATTCATGTCCTTAGCCTACTTTTTGATGGGGTTGTTTGTTTTTTCTTGCTAATTTGTTTGAGTTCCTTGTAGATTCTGGATATTAGTCCTTTGTCAGATGTATAGATTGAGATGATTTTCTTGCACTCTGTGTGTTGTCTGTTTACTCTGCTAACTGTTCTTTTGCTGTGCAGAAGCTCTTCAGTTTAATTAAGAGCTACCTCTTTATCTTTGTTTTTGTCACATTGCTTTTGGGTTCTTGGTCATGAAGTCTTTGCCTAAGCCAATGTCTAGATGGGTTTTTCTGATGTTATCTTCTGGAATTTTTAAAGTTTCAGGTCTTAGATTTAAGTTTTTGATCCATCTTGAGTTGATTTTTGTATAAGGTATGAGATGAGGATCCAATTTCGTTCTCTTACATGTGGTTTTCCAATTATCCCAGCACCATTTGTTGAATGGGGTGTCCTTTCCCCACTTTAGTTTTTGTTTGCTTTGTTGAAGATCGGCTTTAAGTATTTGGGTTTATTTCTGGGTTCTGTATTCTGTTCCATTGGTCTGTGTGCTTATTTTTATACTAGTACCATGCTGTTATGGTGACTATGGCCTTACAGTCTAGTTTGAAGTCAGGTAATGTGATGCCAGATTTGATCTTTTTGCTCAGTCTTGTTTTGGCTGTGATGGCTCTTCTGGTTCCATATGAATTTTAGGATTTTTTTTTCCAGTTCTGTGAAGAATGATCATGGTATTTTGATGGGAATTGCATTGAATTTGTGGATTGCTTTTGGCAGTATGGTCATTTTCACAATATTGATTCTGCCATGATTCATCTGTGAGCATGGGTTGTGTTCCCGTTTGTGTCATCTGTGATTTATTTCAGCACTGTTTGGTAGTTTTCCTTGTAGACGTCCTTTACCTCCTTGGTTAGGTATATTCCTAAGTATTAAATTTTTTTGGCTGCTGTTTTAAAACAGGTTGAGTTCTTGATTTGATTATCAGTTTGGTCGCTGTTGGTGTATAGTAGAGCTACTGATTTGTATACGTTAATTTGTATACGTTAATTTTGCTGAATTCATGTATGAGTTCTAGGAACTTTTTTTTTTTTTGAGACGGAGTCATTCTGTCTCCTCGGTTGGAGTGTAGTGGCGTGATCTTGGCTCACTGCAACCTTCTAGGAGCTTTTTGGAGGAGTCTTCAGGGTTTTCTAAGTGTACGATCATATCATCAGCAAACAGCAACAGTTTGACTTCTTTACTGATTTGGGTGCCCTTTTTCTTTCTTTCTCTTGTCGGGTTCTCTGGCTAGGACTATATTGAATAGAAGTGGTGAGAGTGGGCATCCTTGTCTTGTTCCAATTCTCGGAGGGAATGCTTTCAACTTTTCCCTGTTCAGTATTATGTTGGCTGTGGGTTTGTCATAGGTGGCTTTTATTACATTGAGGTATGTCTCTTATATGCCAGTTTTGCTGAGGATTTTAATCATAAAAGAATGCTGTATTTTGTCAGATGCTTTTTCCCACATCTGCATCTATCAAGATGATAGATGACTTTTGTTTTTAGGTCTGTTTGTGTGGTGTATCACATTTATTGACTTGCATATGTTAAACCATCCCTGTATCCCTGGTATGAAACTCGCTTGATCATGATGGATTATCTTTTTGATATACTGTTTGATTCGGTTAGCTAGTATTTTGTTACAGATTTTTGCATCTATGTTCATCAGTGGTATTGGTCTGTAGTTTGCTTTTTTTTTCTTTTTTTTTTTCGTTTCTTTTCTTTTTTTTTTTTTTTGAGACAGATAGCTAGTATTTTGTTACGGATTTTTTGCATCTATGTTCATCAGTGGTATTGGTCTGTAGTTTGCTTTTTTTTCTTCTTTTTTTTTGTTTCTTTTCTTTTTCTTCTCTTTTTTTCTTTTTTCTTGCTCTGTTGCCAGGCTGCAGTGCAGTGGCGCGACCTTGGCTTACTGCAACCTCTGACTCCCTGGTTCAAGTGATTGTCTTGCCTCAGCCTCCCAAGTAGCTGGGATCACAGGCACGTGCCACCATGCCCAGCTAATTTTTGTATTTTTCATAGAGACGGGGTTTCACCATGTTGGCCAGGATGGTC
Source organism: Homo sapiens (assembly GCF_000001405.40). NCBI lineage: Eukaryota > Metazoa > Chordata > Mammalia > Primates > Hominidae > Homo > Homo sapiens. The sequence goes on from NC_000015.10 coordinate 56,938,379, forward strand.
TTGATCTCCTGACCTTGTGATCCCCCTGCCTCAGCCTCCCAAAGTGTTGGGATTACAGGCGTGAGCCACCGTGTCTGGCCTGTAGTTTGCTTTTTCTGTTGTGTCCTTTCCTGGTTTTGGTATTACAGTGATACTGGCATCATAGAATGATTTAGGGAGGATTCCCTCTTTCTCTGTCTTATGGAATAGTGTGAATAGGATTGGTACTAATTCTTCTTTGAACGTCTGTTAGAATTCTGCTGTGAATCTGTCTGGTCCGAGACTTTTTTTTTTTTTTTTTTAGTGGTAATTTTTTTATTACCATTTCAGTGTCGCTGCTTGTTTCTTTGATTAGGGCCCCCCTTCATGACATCATCTAGCCTAAACTAACTTTCAAAGGCCCTATCTCCATTGGGGATCCATCACATTCAGGGTTAAAGCTTCCACATATGAATTTTGAGAGGATGCAAACATTCAGTCCATAACACAGTCCATTTCATACACTTAAAACCTCTTCTTCTGTGATTTGTCTCAGGACCTACTTTGTTCCCTGCTGGGTATCAAAACAATTAAAAGTGTCACCTTAGCATTTATGTTCTTTAATAATCTGATGGAGACTTACCTTAGCCAGTCTTATATTCACTGCTTTTCAATCTGAATTGTGTGGTTCTGTGACACTGGTCTCTCCTCACCTGACCTCCTACTTCCAGTTATTCTTCACTCTCAACCTGCAATACTGTTTGCCATTCTTGTGCGGTTTGAATTTTCTTTCATTTACGAAATCTTCCCCAGCCTTTTCAGGTGATAATTTTGTAAAAATGTATTCCATTAAATAAAACTGTCTTTGTATTTGTATACATTGTATACAAATGTATACATTACAAATGTAGCATTCACTTATTTTAAGGACTCTTGGGTGGAGGACAGTACTAATTCTTTTTTTTAACCACTGAAGACAGAGCTAAGGTCAGTATGGCAGCTATGCCTAGTAGATTTTGAGTGCAACTAATTATTGTATAATAGCTGGTCAGCCTCCTGAGTTTTAACCCTATAATTAAAAAAAAAGTCTGATGCCTGCTTTTGATGAATATTGAACAAAGTATTTCTGTTGGGAAATTCTGAGGTTTTACTTACCCTAACATTTTTTAGAATACTGTCATTTGGATTTTTTTGTTGTTTACTATATGTATATTAGACAGATTATAAACTCTGTGGAAGCAAAGATAGTGCTTTACACTTGTGTTTCTGCACAGTACCATGCTTTGAGGTTAATAAACACTTGGTAACTGGCTATTTGATTTAGGGTTGGAGATGTGTGATAGGTTGGTGGAAAGATTTCACATTCCCCAAATTGCATTTTCTTTCCTAGCACAAGCTGCATGGTGAGGCTTTAAGGAAGCACCGAAACTTACGTTGATTAGCTGAGTGGAGACGTGAGGTGTTCATTTTTGAGAATGTTCCCTTGTGTTCTTACTTACTCTGCTCAAGGATGAGCAAGAAGTGGCCAAGTAGTAAAGCCATGGAGGTTGTATGTGAAAACAGCTGGTTCTGTAGAACCACAGTCAGCTCTAGCTCTGAAAAGCAAAAAGAAGTGATACTTTAATAGCGTGTTTTTTTTTTTTTTTTTTTTTTTTGACAGGGTATATAGCACTTTTGGTCTTTAGTAATGTGAGACTGAGGGGAAAATGGCTTGTGTGATTCTGGGATTCATTGGCTAGAGGAGCTCTGTTTTATGAGGACTCTAGGAAGCCAGTAGCTGGCCAACACTTTGGAAACAATATTTTTTCTAAAACGACCTTGATTTTTAGTCCAGTTGGGCCAGGGAGGAGAGGTTATATAATCTAGTATTATAGTCAATGTGAGGAAGCAGTCATAAAAGCAGAAGAAGATAGTCTTATTTAATGGAATTATGAGTTCATTTTCCTGGTCAATTTGTGGTAGAGGTGAACCTTTTATTTAATACTCTAAATCGTCTTTGGTTTTAGAATTTGGGGCCAAAGCTGCTTTTGTTGATTGTAGGAAATATGTTGTCTTCATATTTTGAAGTTAGACTGCACATCTAGACATGATGTCTTTAGCAATTGTTTCTTCTTCTTCTTTCTTCTTCCTCTTCTTCTTCTTCTCCTCCTCCTCCTCCTCCTCCTTCTTCTTCTCCTCCTCCTCCTTCTTCTTCTCCTTCTTCTCCTTCTTCTTCCTTTTCCTCTTCCTCTTCTTCTTCTTCTCCTTCTCCTCCTCCTCCTCCTTCTCCTCCTTCTTCTCCCTCTCCTCCTTCTCCCTCTCCTTCTCCTTCTCCCTCTCCTCCCTATCCTTCTCCCTCTCCTTCTCCCTCTCCCTCTCCCCTTTCCCCTCCTCCCCCCTTCCTATCCCCTTCTCTCCCCCCCCTTCTCCTCCTTCTCCTTCTCCTTCTCCTTCTTCTGAGATGAGGTCTAACTCTGTTGCCCAGGCTGGGGTACAGTGGTATGATCATAGCCTACTGCATCCTTGAACTTCTGAACTCAAGGGATTTGCCTGCCTCGGCCTCCTGAGGATAACAGGTGTGCGTGACCATGCCCAGCTGCTCTTTTTTTTTTTTTTTTCTTTTTGGGTAGAGACAGTATCTCACTATGTTGACCAGGCTGGTCTCAAACTCCTGACCTCAAGCAGTCTTCTCACCTCAGCCTCCCAAAATGCTGGGATTACATATGTGAGCCACCGTGCCAGGCCTTTAAATTATTTTTTATTATTTTAGGCCAGGTGTGGTGGCTCACATATAATCCCAGCACTTTGGGAGGCTGAGGTGGGTGTATCACTTGAGCCCAGGAGTTTGAAACCAGCCTGGGTAACATGGCGAAACCCTGCCTCTACAAAAAAATACAAAAATTAGCCAGGTGTGGTGGCATGTACTTGTAGTCCCAGCTATTCAGGAGGCTGAGGTGGGAGGATCACCTGAGGCCAGGAAAATCAAGGCTGCAGCAAGCCAAGATCGTGCCACTGCACTCCAACCTGGATGATAGTGTGGGACCCTGTCTCAAAAAAATTTTTTTTTTTTTTTTGAGATGGAGTTTTGCTGTTGTTGCCCAGGCTGGAGTACAGTGGTGTGATCTTGGCTCACTGCAACCTCTGGCTCCCAGGTTCTAGCAATTCTCCTGCCTCAGCTTCCTGAGTAGCTGGGATTACAGGCATGCACCACCACACCCAGCTAATTTTTTGTATTTTTCAGTAGAGACAGGGTTTCATTATGTTGGCCAGGCTGGTCTTTAACTCCTGACCTCAGGTGATCCGCCTTCCTCGGCCTCCCAAAGTGCTGGGATTACAGGCGTGAGTCACGTGCCTGGTCTTCTTCTTCTTCTTTTTTTTTTTTTTATTAGGAATTGAGTTGACTGCTCTGATATGGAGAGACCTGTTAGTCTTGTATATAGTGCCCAGCCGGAAAAAGCATCTCTTGAAGGTTAGGGCATTTTGTGAGGAGAGCTCTAGGGCTATATCAGTCTGGAGGTATGATCTCTGATAAAGATTATAATTCTCATCTCAGTAATCTTCTTTAGAACAAAACATTCTTCATTGTAAGCTTCTCATTAACTGAAGGCCACCTGATCTGAGATTTTGGCTCTTAGAATACTCTTTTCTGTGTCTCAATCCTCATATGGTTTACCTCTGAAATATAGAATATATTTTCTTGTGTAGCCTGGTAGAGTTGGTTTTGTTTTGTTTTTCAAACAGTAACTTTTATTGATTGTAAAACTTCCAGATTTCTGAGATGCCGCCTTACCAGTCTTAAGGTTGATTTTTGGTACTCTGAAAGTGCCCATTTGCTCTGTGTGAAAAGAGCAGGTTTGCATTTATTCAGTGATTCTAAGATGAGATAATTGGTATTTTTATGATTTGAATGGAGGCTTTGTATTTTTGAATTTTGTGAAACAAAGCTATGTTTGTAAACACATTTCAAAAAATATAAATGCCACTTTTTGGTGAAGATACTGAATAGCAAGAAAGTTCAGAAAAAGGAGCTTTTGTTAACATTTAATAATAATCTGACTGTTTTCATTGACTATCTCATTGATGTTTAAAGAGTACCTGATGTTTAGAACTTTTTGTATTAAAAATAATCTTCAGGCTGGGTTGTGTTAGGAAAATATTTTCTGGTATCAAATGCTTCTTTGCCAGTTTGGAGTTTTTCAGCTATTGTCTTGGTTTAGAAGAGGGTATTATAAACAATATATTTCAATGTAAAGATAGTTCTTGGGAAACTGTAGGAAAGCATTTGCTTAGTGCCTGATGTAAGATGAACAAGTTGCTTTAGTATCGTATGTGTAACAGAACTATTTTGATATGGCTCAACTGGTTTAGGTGTAAATAGTATAAAAGCATTGAGGCAAAATCTAAAGTAAGTCTTCAGTTTTTTAAAATTAAAGTGGTTTTAATTTTATATTCCTTTCCATTTCTTTCTTTAAAGACTTTATTGGCTTTTTAATGAAATTGTCAGTTCAGATATGAACGTATTATTTGCAGAGGAAGTGCTTTATATCTATTTGCAGTGGCTTTCACCAACCTTCTAGGTGACATGGGAAGAAAGTGTCAAATTTAAAAAATTTGAAAGCCTGTATCATGTGACTGAAAATGTTTTAACTACTTCTGAAAAATTGCAAGAACATAAGCCTAAGCTAAAAAATTTAAACAGTATGGAAGGATATTTGGTGAGAAACACAGTCATTCCTTCCTATACCTTATTCCCACTCCTTGGCAGAGGTTTTCCTCTGTTCAGTTTCTCCTGAGAGCTTTTCGTCTATATGTAAATGATGCATAGCCTCTTATTTTTTACACAATAGGGAACAAATAGTTCTGCAACTTCACCTTTTCATTTAACAAGAGGATAATAGGGGATCACTATGTGAAGGACATTATTGAGCCCATACTGATTTTAGTAGGATCTGTGATTTTCTAAAATATGTGTAATGATTTGACCTAATTATACATGATTCTACATGCATATGACTTAAGCTAAAAAAAAGAAGAGCATTAGCATTTCTTGACAATCATAAGATTTCAGTTTTACCAACTTATATAATTATTCTCCTTGTTTAGAAAACAGACAAGTCCTACTGTAATAAAAAGCCTTCAATAAAATGTTAGTTCCTTATGTATAGGCCCTTGTACAGGGCACACTTTTATATGAATTATTTAACATACTCTTCATAATAACTCTTTGAAGCTGATTCAGTTTTACTCTCATTCTTGCAGAAAAGGAAACAGGCTTCAGGAGGTTGAGTAACAAAGCTAGTAAGTAGCAGAATTAGGTTTCAAAGCTGATCCATGAAATAATGCAGCAATAGCTAGTTCAAATTGTTTAAAAGCGAGTCTCATGGACAGTGGTTTAATATCCTGTTACCAAATATCTCACTTATTTAATATAAAAATTTGGTAAAGTCATTATTACAATGTATTTGATGGTGGGATTGGTTCTAGAAAGGGAACTGATTCTTGCTTAATCCATACCCAACATTGTATTAGTGTCACCTGGGGAGCTTTTAAAAAATTATTCCTGGATCCCCAACCCCAGGCATTCCAGCGGCATGAAGCTGGTGTTGAACCTAGGAATCGTAATTTTTAACAAGCTACCTACTTAATTTTTAGGCAGCCAGTCTGGCTGCAGTTTAGAACCATTGAAGTGTGTGTCTTTTATTTCAAATTTATGAATATGAGGTCTTCATTTTCCACTTGTTTTCTTTCTGAAGATAATGAACCATTACCTAATGGAAACAAACATGAAAAACTTGAAATTTTATTTAATGTGTTCAAAACAGAAGTTTTCATTTGTTGAGCTATGTATTATATTGTGTTAAATGGATTTTATTATTTCCATAGGGCCATATTATAACAGACAGTGAATTAAACTGAAAACTTTATCTTGTCTCTTGCAGAAGCAAATACTGTGAAAATACTTTGTAAAACCACTTTGTAAAATGTATAGGTTGGAACAGAATTAAGTGATTGAGACTCTGAAGGCTCTGGAAATGGGTTGTCAGTTTTATTTTCAGCCGAGAGCAAGATAATACTTATCTAAATAAATAATTGTGGGTTAGATATGTTGTCTTGTAATTGCTTTAAACGTTGAGCCTAGATTACCAAGCTGCTAAGACAAGGGAATTAAAAAATAAGTCACTTAGTGGCCTTTATTTTGTATATACATATTTTTTGCATTTTGATAAACCTGTATAAAATTAGTAAAAAATTACTTTCCCTTCTTTAAGAGTTCTACTTGCCAGGAGCCAGAGTAGAAAGATTGGCTGGCAGTATTCCTGGCATTGTAATTTTTAGTGCACTAGATATTTTCGTAGAATATTGATTGTTCTGTGAACCTTCTTACCATGGGGACAGTGAAGTCAGCAAGTCACACTACATTAAACAAACACTGAGTAACATTAACTGCAAAATAGTATGAGAAATAGAGAAATATGATACAGACTGTGTAAAAAATGGTAAGTATAAGTGTTTGGAGGAAGGGGTTAATTCTTCCATTTGATATATTAAGAGATTCTATTTCCATATAAATTGTAATTACCTTGTCGATTTCTATTAAGCCTGCTGGGATTTGGGGAATATTGATATCTTAACAATACTGAGTCTTGCAATACATGAACATATCTCTTATCTATTTAGGTCTTCTGTAAATTTTCCTTGGTAATATTTTGCACTTTCAATTTATAGGTCTTACACTCATTTTGTTAAATTTATCCCTAAGAGTTTTTACGTTCTTTGGTTCTATTATATGTGGCATTAAAACTTTTCCAATTGTTTGTTGCTGGTATATAAAAATAGTGATTGATTTTTATATTGACTTATTGGTATGAAATTATTCACAATATTCCATTATTGTTTTATTGTGTTTAAGATATGTAGTCATGTTTCTTCTTTTCTGCCTGATACTGGAAATTGTGTCTTTTTGCTTTTTTCTTAATCCGTCTTAAGAGAGAGTTTATATTAATCCATGTATTTTCAATTTCCAGTGTTCTTCATTTCTTTGTGTATATTCAGGTATTCATCTTGTCTCATTTTCCTTCTGCCCGAAGAATTTTCTTTACATTTTTTATAGTGCAGGACTGCAGGTAATAAATTCTCTTTATTTTTGCTTATCTGAGAGGTTTTAATTTTGCCTTTGCTTTTGAAGGATATTTTTGCTAGATATAGAATTCTAGATTGACCTTTTTTTTTCCTTTTGATGATGAAATAGTGTCTTTCCATTGTATTTTGGCTTTCATTATTTTTCAAGTCTGCAATAATGATCTTTATTCTTTTCTATATAATATTTTTCCTATAGTAGCTTTTAGATTTTCTAGTTTTCACTAATTTGATTGTGAGGTTTGCCATGGTTTGAATGTCCCTTCCAAAGCTCACATTGAAATTTAATTGCCATTGTAATGGTGTTAATAGGTATTAATAGGTATATTGTTAAGAAGTGATTAGGCTGTGAGGGCTTCATCCTCATGAATTGATTAAAGTCATAATCTCAGGAGTGCATTTGTTACCTCAAGAATGAGTTATAAAAGTGGGTTTGGCCCTCTCTGTCTCTTTCTTGCATGGTGGTTCTCTTTTCCCTCTGCCTTTTGCCGTAGTATGATATAGCTACAGCATGAAGGCCCTCACCAGATGCTAGCACCTTAATGTTGGACTTCCACCCTTTGGGACTGTGATAAGACATTTCTTTTCTTTATAAATTTCTCAGTCTCACGTACTCTGTTGTAGCAGCATAAAACAGACTAAGGCAAGGTTTCTCTGTGTATGGGTGTTTGAGATGTATGTTTATAGTTGTTCATCAAATTTGAAAACATTTCGGCTGCTCTATCTTTAAATATTTTTTGGTCCACTCTCTTACCTTTCCTTCTAGGACTTCAATTACACATATATTAGCACTCTTGATACTGTTCCACGGGTTCTCTTAATTTTTTAAAATATTTTCCTTCTCTTTACAAGTCAGTTTTAATAGTTTCTCTTACTGTGTCTTCAGGCTACCGATCTTTTCTTCTGCAGTGTCTAACCTGTTTATTCCATCCAATAAACTTTTCATTTCACAGAGTGTATTTTTTTATTTCTAGAAACTCTTTTGTTTTTAGATTGTCTTGCATTTCTTTCCTCAAGATATTCCTGTTTTTCTTTTAAGTCATTGAGCAATTTATAATAGTTGTTTTCAAGTTTTTGCTGGTATCACCTTTTTATTCTGGGCCTATTTCTACTGACAGATTTTTCTTCTGGTTATGGGTCACATTTTTCTGCTGCTGCACATGCCTTGTAGATTTTGATTTAGTTCTAGACATAGTGAGTGTTACATTATTGAGTGTTTGGATTTTGTCATTTTTTGTTTTTTAGAGATGTAAGGCTTTTTTTCTGGCAGGAAATTAAGTTATTAGGGATCAACTCAGACACTCCAAGAGTTGTTTTTAAGCTTTTGTGAGTGAGTCTAAAGTACCTTTTTTTTTTTTTTTTTTTTGAGACAGAGTCTTGCTCTGTTGCCCATGCTGGAGTGTACCATGATCTCAGCTCACTGCAACCTCTCTCTCCTGAGTTCAAGCTATTCTCCTGCTTCAGCCTCCCAAGTTGCTAGGATTACAGGCGTATGCCACCACATCCAGCTAATTTTTGTACTTTTAGTAGAGACAGGGTTTCACCATGTTGGCTAGGCTGGTCTTGAACTCCTGACCTCAAGTGATCTGCCTTCCTCGGCTTCGCAAATTGCTAGGATTACAGGCATGCACCACTGTGTCCTGCCTTAGAGAAACTTTTTTGCTAAGAATAGTTTAGCTCTATTGCTAAGCATTCTGAGGTCTTTACTGAATGCTTTGGGCATTCAACGTTTAGGCTGTATTCAGACTGCTTCCAGCTGAAAACATCTCCCAATCCTGTTTGAGCTCTGGGAATTGTTGAATTTACAACTCTGGTTGTTTTTCGCCTGCCATTGTGGAGTTTTACTGTGTGTGTGTGTGATTTGCTCTTAGTAATATAGCGGGACTCCAAGGTGACTCCATGCACGTTTCTGGAGATCCTTCTCTGCGTAGCTTCCTCCTCTAGACCTCTGCTGTGCAAATTCCAGCTGCCTTTTCCTCCCAGAACTCTAATTTCTGTCCCCTCCATTCAGTATGACTGCTCTGCTCAAAAATCCCTTTTCTTCTGCACAGTAATCTACAAATTGTTTCCAGATAGGAAATCAGGATGATGGTAGAGTTCACCTAGTTTCTTTTTTCTCAGGGATCACAGTCTTGTATTATTTGTTTTCCAGTGTTGGGAAGCAGTCTTTTGATGTGTGTTTTCTAATTTTTTAATTGTTTGCAGTAGAAGGTTTATCTAGTCCCAATTACTGCATCATGGCTCAAATCAGAAATTCTCTTTCCTTTTAGGAAGGTAAATATGGTTAACAGAAAATGTGTAGTGGAAGAGTAGAGGCAGGGTGCTTGAAGGAGGGCAGTATTAATGAAGCCATGACAGCCACATATATCTGGTCAGGTATTACAATGCAATGTAAGTGATGCCCCTGGGGGTCACTGTATTTGGGTGCACAGCCTAAATGGTGGCCTTGCATGGAGCAGAGCTGGGTGAGAATACAAGTGAGAGCCTGCAGATGTAATTGACAGGAACTTATCTTAATTTAGTTGGCTCTAAGGCAGAGTATATCATCTGAGATGATGTCAGGGTTTTTATTTTGTGTGACTTATTTATCACTTTTGTAAGGGTTATTAATAAGCTTCATTTATAAGGATTTTGTGAAGTTTAAATGAGATGATGCGTACAAAAATACCTTTTTTTTTTTATTTTTTGAGATGGGATCTCACTCTGTTGCCCAGGCTGGAATGCAGTGGCGTGATCATGGCTCACTGCAGCCTTGACCTCCTGGGCTGAATTGATCCTCCCACCTCAGCCTCCTGAGTAGCTAGCACCTGAAAATGCTTTTTAAATGATGGTGCAGTGTACAATGTGAAGTATTATTTATTGCTAAAGTCCATGCTTTGAGTCTTTACAGAAAAGCCTGCATAAGGTTGCTCTGATGTCATAATGATCGGAAAAAATGATCTAAAATCACCGTAACTTCAGAACATCAGAGTTCATATTTAGGGAAAAGTTTTCTTTTCTTTCTTTGAAGAATTTAGTATGTAAAGGTTACTTAGCCTCAGGGAAATCTTTGTATAAAACAGTCCTTTAAAAACAATACCTTGACTGTAGAAGAGAATGTTTAAACTGGAGTGAATACCAGTGAAGTAACAAATATCAGTAAAGTTTCGAGTGAGTTGAAGAAAACAAACCAGTGATCTCAATGGCGCAATCACCTCAGAATGAAGCTGGGGCCTGAAGTTTATAATGGAATAAGCTTAGAGGTTACAGCCAGAAGTACAGAGGTACCAAAAGTTTTTAGACCTCTGTAGGAACATCAAAATGTATTGCAAGCATTACTTGCCTATTCACCTTCCGACATCTTCCACTTTCACTCATCTTGCTGTATCACTAGAGGGAAGAAAATGCTTACTGTTTTCCCTGGTAAGGACACTAAAAGTCACACTCTTTCCCCAGAGAAATTATAGCCTAGAAGAAATAGACAAGGCCACATATCAGATTACCTTTAAGTTAACTGAGTTTCTGGCATGATTTCTCTTGATTCCAGGCAGATTTTTTTGGGTGACTATGCATGAGGGAAAATATCCAATTTCATGACTTCCAAGAAAGGTCACTTTCATAGACCTCTGAAAAGGCAAAACAGTTGTTAACTATAAAAAATACATTGAAATTTTGGATTTTGTCTTGATTACATTAAATTGTTTTAAATGTTTATGTTTTTAGGTGTTCTGAGCTATTTATTGCATTGACTTGTTGCATTACTCTGTACGCTAATTAAGCACAATTTGTATATTTCTGCATTTGCTGGTATTTTTAGGAATATGTCTTAATGTGCAGTTTTATCCCAGTAATTAAAAAAAGTTACCAAAAGCATGACAGTCCACTGAATGTAAACTCCTTTTTAAAAAAACTTTGTTTTATTTAATATTTATTCTGAGCACACAGAGCATTGTTACACACATTCAGTAATTTTATTATATGAAAATTATAGATGTAAAACTCAGTCTGCAAAAAGGAAAAAGGCTTGAAACTCAGTTATGTATGAATTAAAAGCATTTCCTTTAGGCAAGGATGATTTAGTAGTTTTCTTATATACATGTAGTTAATTGTCATGGTGTTTCTTGGAAGAGAAAAACAGTGTAAGAAGACCGGCTTTTGAAAAACTTGTTTAAAAGAGTTGAGCTGTAAGCTTTATTTAACCAACATTTACTTAACATATACTTAACATATAATTTGTGCCAGGCTCTGTGCTTGGTTTCAGGGATGGAAGGGTGACATAGATATGGCCCTTCTGGAAGAGCTAATTTGTTTGGGAAGGCAGTCATGTGAACAGATAAATACTAATACAACCTGGAAAGTTCTTTAATAGAAATGGTTAAAGTGTCATGGGGTTATAGAGGTTAAAGCAGCTACTTGTGTCTAGAGAATTGGTGCATGTTTTGCTAGTGTGCTAGACAAAGGCATGTTTAGTGGGGAAGACAGGAAAAGGGAAAGGCTCTAGATTTACTTTACAGTAGGCCTGTGCTAGTAAGTACAGTAGCCATTAGCAATATGTGGTTAAATTTTTAGCAACTATTTAGCATAAGTAGCACATATTTAGTGTAAACTTTAAATGGGAAACCATCACCACAATCAAGGTGATTGAATGTATACATCATTCTCAAGAGCTTCTCCTGTGCATTTGTTAATTCCTCCTCTCTGTCCTCCTTCACACTCCCATCCCTACTCCCACATAACTACTGATCTGGTTTTTGTCGTGGTAGGTTAGTTTGCATTTTCTATACTGTGTTTTTTTGTTTGTTTGTTAATTTTGAGATGGAGTCTCACTGTGTCACCCAGGCTGGAGTGCAGTGGCATGATATCGGTTCACAGCAACCTCTGCCTACCGGGTTCAAGCGATTATCCTGCCTTAGCCTCCTGAGTAGCTGGGATTGCAGGTGCACGCCACCATGCCCAGTTAATTTTTGCATTTTTAGTAGAGACGAGGTTTCACCATGTTGGCCAGGCTGGTCTTGAACTCCTGGCCTCAGGTGATCTGCCTGCCTTGGCCTCCCAAAGTGCTGGGATTACAGGCGTGAGCCACTGCGCCTGGGTGCATTTCGTGTAGTTTTAAATAAATAAATCACACAGAATGCTCTGTTTTGTCTGGCTTAAATCGGCATAATTATTTTGAGATTCATTTATGTACCAATAGTTTATTCTTATTTCTTAATTGTAATTCATATATCACAATTTGTTTATTTCCTCTCCTGTTAATGGACATTTGGGTTGTCTCCAATTTTGGGATATTACAAATAAAGCTATTATGACCATGTTTTTTTTTTTTTTTTTTTTTTTTTTTTAAGTTAGAGTTTTGCTCTTATTGCCCAGATTGGAGTGCAATGGCGTGATCTCGGCTTACCACAACCTCTTCCTCCCAGGTTCAAGCGATTCTCGTGCCTCAGCCTCCCGAGTAGCTGGGATTATAGGCATGTACCACCACACCTGGCTAATTTTGTGTTTTTAGTAGAGATGGGGTTTCTCTATGTTGGTCAGGCTGGTCTTGAACTCCCGACCTTAGGTGATCCGCCCACCTTGGCCTCCCAAAGTGCTGGGATTACAGATACGAGCCACTGCGCCCGGCCATTATGACCATTCTTAATGCAAGTCTTTATGTGGACATTCATATGGTAGATATATCTTCAACTCACTAAGAAACTGCCAAAGCGGTTGTATCATTTTACATTCCCACTTATAGTGTATGAGAATTTCAGTTCCTCTATATACTTTCTAATGGTTTGTATGGTTATTCATTTTAATTTTAGCCATTAGAATAGGTCTGCAGTGCTGTCTCACTGTGGTTTTCATTTGTGTTTTTCTAATTACTAATGATGTTGAGTATCTTTTCATATACTTACTTGCTATCTTTTATCTTGTTTGCTGAAATATCTTCATATCTGTTGTCAATTTTAAAAATTAGGTTGTTTGTTTTTTATTATTGAGTTTTGAGATTTCTTTATGTATTCTGGGTACAAGTCCTTTACGAGATACATGGTTTACAGATATTTTCTACTAGGTGGATTGTCTTTTCATTCTCTAAACAGTGTCTTTTGAGGAGCAGAAGTTTCTAATTTTGGTGAAGTTCAGTTTATCAGGTTATTCTTTTATGGATTGTGCTTTTGGTGTTGTATCTAAGAAATCTTTCCTTAATTGGTCACAAATGTTTTTTCTTATGTCTACTTGTAGAACGTTTTTTTGAGACCAGGTTTTGCTCTGTTGCTCAGGCTGGAGTGCAATGGCATGATCATGTCTCACTGCAGCCTCGACCATCCAGGCTCAAGCAATCCTCCCACCTCAGCTTCCTGAGTAGCTGGGACTACAGGAATGAGCCTGGCTAATTTTTATTTTCTTATTTATTGTAGAGATGGGGTCTTGCCATGTTGCCCAGACTGGTCTTGAACTCCTGGGCTCAGAGGATTCTCCCACCATGGGCTTCCAAAGTGCTGGGATTACGGGTGCCAGCCACTGCACACGGCCTTACTTTTAGAACTTTTAAGATTTTCTTTCACATGTAGGTCTGTGATCCATTTTGAGTTAATTTTGTAATATGGTGTGACGTATGGATTGAAGTTTTTTTGTGTGTGTGTGTATGATGAGCCACTGTTCCAACACCATTTGTTGAATAGATTCCATAAATTACTCTTTCTCAAGTGAATTCCTTTGCATGTTTGTGAACAAAAATAGTTTATTGTTTATAAAAAAGGCTTTTTTGTGTATATACACACACACACACACACAAATACATGTGTATGTTTTTCTGTATTCTATAATTTAGTCCATTGATCTCTTGTTTTTATGTAATATCATACTTTCTTGATTCTTGAAGCTTTGTAATCTTGAAATCAGTTTGTATAGTCTTCCAGATTTGTTTTTTTTTTTTTCAAAGTTATTTTGGCTATTCTAGGTCCTCTGCATTTTCATATAAATGTCAGTACTGTTGTGTCAGTTTCTACCAAAAGTCTCCAGAATTTTTATTGTAATTCCATAAAATTTATAGATCAATTTGGGGAGAATTGACATCGTAATAGGGTTTTCTGATCCATGTAGATGCTGTAGCATTCCATTTATTTAGGTTGTTTTTAGCCTTTCTCAGCAGTGTTTTGTAGTTTTCACTGTATAGGTCTCAACATATATTGTCAGATATATCTCTGTTTCATACTTGATACTGTTATATATGGCATTGTTTTAAAAATTCAATTTCTGATTAATTTTTAGAATATAGAAATACAATTTTATATAGCGACATTGTATACTGTGCAGACTAAACTCACTAATTCTGGTACTTTCTGTAGATTCCATTCCATGGGATAATCTTCATAAATGGTCATGTAGTCTGTGAATAAAGATAATTTTACTTCTTGCTTTCCAATCTGGATGCCTTTTTTAAATTGCCTGATTGTACTTTCCAGAAACTCCAGTACAATTTTAAATAGTGGTGAGAACAGATATCCTTGTCTTGTTTTAGATCTTAGAAAGCATTAGTCTTTTACCTATGAGTATGTTAGTTGTAGGCTTTTTTTTATAGTACCTTGTATTAAATTGAGGGAGTTTCCTTCTATTCCTAGCTTCTAAGAGATTTTCCTAGAATAGATGTTGGATTTTGCCAGGTATCTTTTCTCTGTCTATTGAGATTGTCACATAGGTTTTCTTTGTTAATTCGTTAGTATGGCTTATTACAGTGGTTACTTTTTGATTGTTAAACTAAGTTTGCATTCCTCAGATAAACCCCATGTGGCTATGAGGCATTATTCTTTATATGTGTTGTTATATTAGATTTGTTAAATTTTATTTAGAATTTTTCATGTGTGTTTATGAAGAATATTGCTTTGTAGTTTTTTTCAATGTTTTTGTCTGGTTTTGACATCAGTGTAATGCTGGATATGTAAAATAAATGCAGAAATATTTATTTTCTAGAATGTTTGCTTTAACAAATTTTTCTAGAGGAGTTTTAGTTTTCTGGAAGAGTTTTCTTATAGTTGGTATGTTTCTTTTTTTCTAGAGGAGTTTGATTATAATTAGTATTATTTTCCCCTTAAATCTACAACTGTTTGGTAGAATTCACCAATGAAACCAACTAGGTGTAGAGTTTTTCATTGGAGGTTTTAAACTACAAGTTTAGTTTCTGGAATAGTTCCAGAGCCACGTTCTTTAGATAATCTGTTTCTTCTTGATTGAGCTTTGATAATTTGTGTTTCTCAAAGATTGTTTATATCATATAAGTTGTCGAATATATTAGTTATTTATAACATTAACTTATTATCCTTTTTAGTATCTGTAAAATCTGTAGTGATGTTACTGCTCTTATTCCTGAAATGGATTGTTTCTTCTTTTCTTGATCACTGTGGCTAAAAGTTTATCAGTTTTTTTTTTTGATGTTCTCAAAGAACCAGCTTTTGAGTTCCTTGGCCTTTTTTTTTTTTTTTCTCTATTTTTTCCCCCATTTCTTTGACTTCTGCTGTGACTTTATTACTTGCATTCTCTTGCTTAGTTTGGATGTAATTTAGTTGTTTTCTGGTTTGAGGTACATTATGAGGTCATCAATTTGAGACCTTTCTTTTTTTCTAATATAGGCCTTTAGTGCTATAAATTTTCTCCTAAGTTCAGCTTTAGTAGCATTACAGCAATTTTGATATATTGGATTGTTATTTTCATTTAGTTTAAAATATTTTTCATTTCATTTTTCTTTAACTTACGGGTTATTTAGAAGTGTGTTATTCATGCTCCACATATTTTGGGGAAATATTCTTTCTAGAGATATTTCTCTTACTGATTTCTAGTTTAATTTGATTGTGGTTCACATCTACAAGGATCTGATCTTTGACAAACCTGACAAAAACAAGAAATGGGGAAAGGATTCCCTGTTTAATAAGTGGTGCTGGGAAAACTGGCTAGCCATATGTAGAAAGGTGAAACCGGATCTCTTCCTTAACACCTTGTCCAAAAATTAATTCAAGATGGATTAAAGACTTAAATATTAGACCTAAAACCATAAAAATCCTAGAAGAAAGCCTAGGCAATACTATTCAGGAGATAGGCATGGGCAAGGACTTCATGACTAAAACACCAAAAGCAATGGCAACAAAAGCCAAAGTAGACAAATGGGACCTAATTAAACTAAAGAGCTTCTGCACGGCAAAAGAAACTACCATCAGAGTGAACAGGCAGCCTACAAAATGGGAGAAGATTTTTGCAATCTACCTATCTGACAAAGGGCTAATATCCAGAATCTACAAGGAACTCAAACAAATTTACAAGATTAAAAACAACCCCATCAAAAAGTTGGCAAAGGATGTGAACAGACACTTCTCAAAATAAGATATCTGTGCAGCTAACAGACACATGAAAAAATGCTCATCATCACTAGTCATCAGAGAACTGAGATACCATCTCACGCCAGTTAGAATGGCAATCATTAAAAAGTTAGGAAACAACAGGTGCTGGAGAGGATGTGGAGAAACAGGAACGCTTTTACACTGTTGGTGGGACCGTAAACTAGTTCAACCATTGTGGAAGACAGTGTGGCGATCCCTCAAGGATCTAGAACTAGAAATACCGTATGACCCAGCCATCCCATTACTGGGTATATACCCAAAGGATTATAAGTCACACTACTATAAAGACACATGCACACGTATGTTTATTGTGGCACTATTCACAATAGCACATACTTGGAAGCAATCCAGATGTCCATCAATGATAGACTGGATTAAGAAAATGTGGGACATATACACCATGGAATACTATGCAGCCATAAAAAATGATGAGTTCATGTCCTTTGTAGGGACATGGATGAAGCTGGAAACCATCATTCTCAGCAAACTGTCACAAGAACAGAAAACCAAACACCGCATGTTCTCACTCATAGGTGGGAATTGAACGGTGAGAACTCTAGGACACAGGGTAGGGAACATCACACACCCAGGGCCTGTCGTAGGGTGGGGGGCTGGGGGAGGGATAGCATTAGGAGAAATACCTAATGTAAATGACCAGTTGATGGGTGCAGCAAACCAACATGACACATGTATACCTATGTATCAAAGCTGCAGGTTGTGCACATGTACCCTAGAACCTAAAGTATAATAAAAATAAATAAATAAAAATAAAAAAAAGCATTTGTGGTTAGAGAACATGCTTTGTATGAATTGAGTGATTTTAAATGTATTGAGTCTTGTTTTATGGTTTGAAATATGGTTTGCCTTGGCAAATGTTCTGTATGAACTTGAAAATGTGTGTGTCTTCTGCAAGGTTTTGTGGAGTGTTTTCTAAGTATCAAGTGATTTTAGTTTGTAGTGTTGTTCAAGTCTTTCATGTTCTTTTTTATTTTCTGTTTTGGAGATCTATCAATTATTGAAAGAGGGAAATTGTAATCTGTAATGTGAATTGTGAATTTTGTATTTATCCTTGCAGTTTCATCAGTTTGTCTTTACATATTTTGAATCTCTGTCTTTAAGTGCATTAATGCTTAGTAGTATTATATGTACTCTTCATCAGGTGACTGTTTTATCATTATAAAATGACCCCTTTTTTTCTGATAATGGCTTAGAAATCCACATTGTGTGATGTTTATATATACACTTCAGGTTTCTTTTGATATGTTAGCACTGTACACTTTTTTTCTTGTTTTTACATTTAACTGCATTCTACCTAAAGAACAGTTTATTTATTTTTACCAGCATATAATTGGGTTCTGCGTTTTTTATCTAGTCTAAAGTCTTTGCTTTTAATTTGGAACATTTAATGTAATTATTGATATGACTGTGTTTGAATCCATTATCTTGCCATTTGTTTCTTTTTATCTCGTGTGTTCTTTGGTTCCCTTTTCCTCCTTTTATGCCTCCTTTTATATTAATAGAATATTTTTTATTCTGTTTTGTCATCTTTATTGCCTTATTAGATATAACTTGTTATTTTAGTGGTTTAATGATTTGCAGTATTCAGTTTCAATTTTTATCAGTGGACTTCAGGTGATATTATGTCATTTCCATATAGTTAATGGAGTTACCATTCCATTGCTCCTCTTATCTTTCTGTAGATTCATATTTCTATCTGGAATCATTTTTCTTGTACTTCAACAACTTTAACCTTTTCTGCAGTAGTGATCTGCTGGTAATGAATTCCTTTCAGCTTTTTCATGTCTGAAAATGCCTTTATTTTGTCTTAATTTTTAAGAACATATTTTTCCTGGGTACAGAATTCTAGATGGACAATTTTTTCTTTCAGTATATTAAATTTTGCTTGTCTTGTTTTTGTAATATCCAGTGAGAAATCTAATGATAGTCTTATCTTTATTCCTCTATATAAAGTGTCTTTTTTCTTACTGCTTTTAAGATTTTTTTTTTAAATTACAGATTTTGAGCAATTTTATTATGTGACTTGTTACAATGTTTTCATGTTTCTTTTGCTTGGTATTTGCTCAACTTTCTGGAACTGTGAATGCTATGGTTTCAATGTTCCATTCAAAATTCATGTTGAAATTTTATTACCATTCTGATGATGTTGAAAGGTGTGATGTTTAAGAGGTCATGAGGGCTCTGTCTTCGAGAATGGACTAATGCCATTATCATGGGAGTAGGTTTGCCCCCTCTTGCTCTCTGTCTGTTGTCCTCTTTTTGCCTTTCTGTGTTATGATGCTTCCATCATGTTACAATGCAATAAGAAGGCCCTCGCCAGATTCTGGCTCCTTGATCTTGGATATCCAAGCCTCTACAACTGTGAGCCAATTTCTTGTCGTTATGAATTACCCAGTCTTTGGTATTGCATTATAGCAGCACAAAACAGACTAAAACAGTTAGTTTATGGTTACCAAATTTTGAAAATTTTTGGAAGTTTTTTATTTTTTAGATAATTTACTGGGCCTCCCCCACCTTCAGAAACTCTAATTATATATATATAGAAGAACACTTGAAGTTTTGCCACAGCTCACTTCATTTAAAAAATTCTGTTTTCTCTTTTGTGTTTTATATTGGATTGTTTCTTTTCCATGCCTTCAAATTTACTAGTTTTTCTTCCACAATGTTTAATTAGCCATTAATCCTGTTCAGTGTACTTTTCATCTCATACATTATGGTTTTCACCTTTGCAAGTTTGATTTGTGTCTTTTTATATCTTCTATGTCTCTAAACATTTTGAACATATAGAGCACGTAATAACTAATTTAACATCCTTGTCTGTTGATTCTAACATCTCTGTCAGTTCTGCTTAGATTTAATTGATTAATTTTGTCCCTCTATATGGTTTATACTTTTTTCTTTTTTATCTGCCCTGTAATTTTTTATTGGATTCCAGACATTGTGGATTTTATCTTGCTGAGTGCCGTATATTTTTTATTTCTAGGAACTTTTAGAGATTTGTTCTGGAATTTAGCTAAATTACTTTGAAACTACTTGATCTTTTCTGGTCTTGCTTTTAAAGATTTGTTAGGTAAGTCTGGAGCAGTGCTCAGTCTAGGGTTAATTATTCTCCACTACTGAGGAAATGTGTTTTGTGTGCTCTTTCAGTGCCCCGGGATTCCTGAAATTTTCCAGTCTGGATGTTGAGAATAGGCACTATTACTGGCCTTGTGTGAATGCTTGGCACTGGTACCTTTTATCTTTTAGAGTTATTCAGTCTCTAGCTTCAGGTAGTTTCCTCAAATGCACGTGCCAGTTAGTACTCAAGTTGAACTTTTTGCAGGAGTTTTTACCTGCTCTCAGGTTCTCTGCCCTGCCGACTCTATGAGATCCGTAGTCACGTTCTGATCTCAGTGAGTCTGTCAGTCTCCCATCTTCTTTCCCCTTCCTGCACCCTGGCCTGCAAACTTTCTTAGCTTAGTAAGTTTGTGTGTTTGTGGAGCTCATCTAATTTGTTTCTTTTCCCTTAGAGATGACTGTCCTTTGTTGCCTGTTGTCCATTGTCTGGAAGATAGTTATTTCATTTATTTTCTCCATTTTATCCTTTTTTCACATGAAGTGTAAATCTATTTCTGTTACTCTGTCTTTATGGCAGGCAGAGGTTCTAACTATTTACATTTAAATTAGTTAAAAAAATGCATTCCTCATTTGATATAGCCACATTCCAAATGCTTAAAAGCCGCATGTATCTAGTGACTACCATACTGGAGAGTACAAATATAGAACTTTACCCGTCACTGCAGACAGTTCTGTTGGATTGTGCAGCATTGGACAATATATACAGTTTGCCTGTATATGAGAAAGAGAGAGAGAGAGAGAGTGTGTGTGTGTGTGTGTGTGTGTGTGTGTGTGTGTGAAGTGCAATAAGGCTGACAGGCATCGTGGCTCATGCCTGTAATCCCACCACTTTGGGAGGCCTGGGATGCAGAGACAGGAGGATCACTTGAGGCCAGGGGTTTGAGACCAGCCTGGGTAATATAGTGAGACCCTGTCTCTACCAAATAAATAAATAAGTAAAATAAAATAAATTCAGCTTTTAATTTTGGGGATGCCTGGTTTATACTACTTATCTAGTGGATTGTGAAACTGGAAATGAGTTTCAACCTCAGTGCCCTTTATATGTATATTAGGCTGTCTTCTACAGCAGTGAGAAATCTCTGGCTTATTGGGTCATACCTTATTTTGAATTTTTTTGTTTACTTCTGGTGGCAGGTATCATTTGGATGATAACATTGTTGTCCCTTTTTAAGTCAGACTTTGTCTACATTCTTGAAGTATTCTTAGGTCCAACACAGTGTCTGGCACACAGTAGGTGCTCAAATATTAATACTTGTTTATTTAAAAATATTTAAACATTTACTATGAGCCTGGCATTCTCTTTGGTATATATGGATGAAAAATTGATTTCTGCTACGAATATAATAACCTGTGAGTATCCATTGTTTCCATGGAGAGGCTACAGCTTTCTAACAGTAGGATATATCTGCATCTCAAAAACTTAAACTAGATTTTCAGTCACTCTGTCACCTGAGGTGTGGAATGGCAAAGCTGAGCAACCTTAAAATCTTGAGAAAAATAGTGCTCTCCCTTCCCTAGTAGCTGTCAGCTGTTTCATGTGGAGAGAACAAAGTTTCTCTTTGATGACAACTGTTGAGGTGCTAGGAATGTTGGTTAACCACCTAGGTTCATGAAAAGCTGAAGCAATAATTCAGTTTTTGTAGGAGAAACACCTTACATACATATTAAACCTTTTTTTCTCAAAGAGTCTAATCCAATGTAAATTGAGAAATTGGGGACAGTTTAATCAATATTGAAGTTTCTTGTTTTGACTCGGCTTTTTAATCTACTTACAGAGGAACAGTTTTTACATTCGGATATCAAATGCTTATTTTGTTAAAATGGTTCTATTTGTTATTTACAAATAAAAATAATAAAATTGTTTAGAAATTGGTCATGTATTGGTAATGGTACAAGCAAAACACTCCTTATATATTGAATTAGAAGTTCACAGGCATCTGTGTCAATTGCTTTGGTTTACAAAAAAATTAGCAAGATTATTGTTCCAATTTTTTGACAACTTGAAAAAAATCAAAAGAAATAGCTGCTGTAAACTTAGGTTGGTGCAAAAGTAATTGCAGTTTTTGCCTTTTTTAGTTAAAAAACCGCAGTTACTTTTGCACCAACCCAATACTATGTTTTACAGATAAAATCACTGTCTTCTGAGTTGTAAGATTTGAAAATGCATTCGTCAAATAAGTAATTTATTTGTATTCTGACTTAGCTCCCAAATAATTTGAATTGGACATATTTACTCAGTATAGAAATCATTAAATTACAGTTTCCTAATGGTGAGATAAATTTCTTTTTTAGGATAGTGATTTCATTAATACCTTATGGAATTTGGTTTAGTTTGAGTCATTTTTGCAGTAAAGTTCTATTTTTGTAAGTAATTTTGAAAGTCCTACGAAATGTTTGCTGCAAGTTAGTCATACAGAGAATTGCTTTGATATTTCAGGTATTTTGATGTTATGTCCAAAAGTGCTTTTGTTGACCCAAGGCTACTGTATTGTATTTTTTTTTTTTTTTTTGAGATGGAGTCTCACTCTGTCACCTAAGTTGGAGTGCAGTGGCATAATCTCGGCTCACTGGAACCTCTGCCTCCCCGGTTCAAGTGATTCTCCCACCTCAGCCTCCTCAGTAGCTAGGAGTACAGGCATCTGCCACCATGCACGGCTAATTTTTGTATTTTTAGTAGAGATGGGGTTTCACCATGTTGGCCAGGCTGGTCTCAAACTCCTGACCTCAGGTGATCTGCCTGCCTCGGCTTTCCAAAGTATTGGGATTACAGGTGTAAACCACCATGCCCGGCCTACTGTATTGTACTTTATCCCAATTCTTTGATATATAAACCCTTTCCCTCTCTTTAATCATGATTCTTTTAAAAATTAATATTTGGATTCTCAACCTTGAAGAATTAGTTTAAAAAATTAATTTATTAGGCCGGGCACAGTGGCTCACACCTGTAATCCCAGCACTTTGGGAGGCTGAGGTGGGTGGATCACCTGAGGTCAGGAGTTCGAGACCAGCCTGGCCAACCTGGTGAAACCCTGTCTCTACTACAGATGCAAAAATTAGCTGGGTGTGGTGGCGGGCACCTGTAATCCCTGCTACTTGGGAGGCTGAGGCAGGAGAATTGCTTGAACCTGGGAGGCAGAGGTTGCAGTAGGCCGAGATCCCACCTGGGCAACAAGAGTGAAACTCTGTCTCAAAAAAAAAAAAAAAAAAATCAGTTCATTAAATAAGTACCTACAGTATGCTAGCTAGACACTGTGCTGATTGCTTTGAGCATAACGAAGGTGTATTGGATATGGTCATTATAGCTCCATACATCTGATAGATGAGAGAAAACTTGTATGCTGTGCTAATAATTGCAATAGAAATATATACCGTTTTGGATTTGTAAACATCTTAGAAAAAATACCTAGAAAAAAACTCTTAATGAGCAAATGGATTAACATGTCTGCTTTCCATTTTTAAGTATCAGGTATCCAACCATATTATTAAAATAAAAACCACCAGAGTACAGTCTCCATAGTTAGATTTGTATAAGCAACCGCAAAACGATATAGTCCAGTATCTAGCACAGCATAGTCAAACACATAGTATTATGCATATGGTAAATGTTAATAAATGTTTGTGGAATAACTGCCTATGAAAACTTCTTTTTGAGGCTTGTATTAGTAATGTAATTTACCATAGATAACTTTCCTCATGTTTCAAACTGCTGGTCATTACCAATTAGTGGGTTGAGAAAACACTTTAGATCTCATACAGCATGGTAAAAAAGTAGAATAGAATGGAAGCTATGAGAGTGTATCACATGTAGTTAGAGGATTGTTTTTTATGACATTTTAGTTTGTTGTATAAATGTTGTATATAAATGTATGTTATGTGAGTATATGCTTGTGTACACTAGGTGGTGATATAAAATATGTTTAATGGGCCGGGCGCGGTGGCTCACGCTTGTAATCCCAGCACTTTGGGAGGCCGAGGTGGGTGGATCACGAGGTCAGGAGATCGAGACCACGGTGAAACCCCGTCTCTACTAAAAATTAAAAAAAAATTAGCCGGGCGTGGTGGCGGGCGCCTGTAGTCCCAGCTACTCGGAGAGGCTGAGGCAGGAGAATGGCGTGAACCCGGGAGGCGGAGCTTGCAGTGAGCCGAGACTGCGCCACTGTACTCCAGCCTGGGTGACAGAGCGAGACTCCGTCTCAAAAAAAAAAAAAAAAAAAAAAATATGTTTAATGGTGAATTGTGGTCAAATAACTTGGAAAGCCACAGCTTCAGTAGTTAATTTTAGCTACTTTTAAAGTGTGATTTCTCTTTACTACTTAGTAAGGTGTGAAAACGATTGAATTTGTGTAACTGATGTTTGATGGGTTTAATTGTTGTCAGTGCTGCTTAGCAGAGTGCTCTGTGTTGCAGTTTAAACACTACTCCGGATTTTCCTTTATTAGATAAAAGTCTACTATAACTTTTTTTTGTTCTTAGTCGCCTTTAGTCTTTAGAGTTACTGATCTTCAATTCATGTTGGACAGCTTCCTTTG
Source organism: Homo sapiens (assembly GCF_000001405.40). Classification (NCBI taxonomy): domain Eukaryota; kingdom Metazoa; phylum Chordata; class Mammalia; order Primates; family Hominidae; genus Homo; species Homo sapiens. The sequence goes on from NC_000015.10 coordinate 56,962,467, forward strand.
AAGAGAGAAAACAGCTTTATTGGCAGTGGGGACAGTCAACATTACTATCCATGTTAAAGAAAAGATCCCAGAAACATGAAGAAAAAGACTAGAATGTAATTATGTAAAAAGCAAATCAACAAAAAGCGAACCCAGACCACCACAGTTCAAATAAGAGAAAATGCTTCCAATTAGTGATGTAACCTACTTAGGCCTCAGTTTTCTCATTGAACAGAAAGAAAAGGTTGTTACTAGATCATCTCTTAAGTTACTTTCTGATACAGAATTGCAACTCCTGAGACATCTTTATGTCTCTTTAAGCTGTGGAATCCTACCAGATATTTAGAATGATAATGTGAACAGCTCGACTTTCAAGAATTCAGTTCGGTGAGAACACCTAATGAAGTGGAAATTAGTGTGTTATGTGTGCATTTAATGACTTTATTGTAGCCTGTGTCTAGACTGTTGATTTGATGAAGTTTATACAGAAGAATTAAATGCTCATGATTTATATATTTAAAAAATCTATGAGTTTTCCTGGAAGTGAGTGTTTCTTTGAAGCAGATTTAATGTGTTAAGGTCTTTTTTTTTTTTTTTTTTTTTTACCTTCTGTACAATCATTTTCTGAAATTGTAATAAAAATCAAGTACAAAAGATAATCCAGCATTTAAATACTCTTTATTCTAGCCTTTTCTATTATAGTACTTGTTTTTGTTTTTTTATTGTCGTGGTATTTTGTGTTAACTTGAAGACTAATTGAGCATACAGAAAATTTTTTCAACTTGGGAATGTGGGGCAATATAACTTGAAAAGAGATGAAAAAACAATTTCTTTGGGTCAGAAGTATTTTACATCTGGAAACACACCCTTGAACTCTGGCTGTGGTTTTTCCACATGTGCCATTTATTAGCAGATACGTTCTTTATGAAATTTTGACAGTATATGCTGCTTTTTGTCTGAGGAAAGCTTAGTTCTAGGCAGAATTTAGCTTTGTTGTTTTTGATTCAGGAGTTAAATCTTTAGTCAAGTGAAAATATAAGGATGGGGACATTCTTAACTAAAGTGCCAGGCTTCTATGGTTTTTATCTTTGCTTTATTTTTTAGGAAGAGTGTTTTGAGATATGTGAAAAGAGGGAGCTCTTTGATTAAGTTTGATTTGGACTCAGTGTTTTATTTCATTGGCTTTCATACTTTAGGGCATCTGCTTTGTAATATGAAAGGAGGTTCCTACCCACAACCTTCTCTCACCCTTTTGGATGCACCTACTTATTTTTAAGTAATCTTTGTTCTTTATGAACTGTCAAATACTATTTGATACCCTGTGTTATAACGAGTAGAAATTGGTAGTTGTGCTAGGCTATGCCCTGTGTCTCAAGGAGGAATTGGGGAGATTGGGCAGCGTTCATGTATGTATCGTAACTTGGTTCCTGGGAGAACATGAGATTGCTATGGCAACAAAGGTTCTTTGAAGGCAAAAATTTTGGCAGAGTGGTTGGGTCTTTTGAAGTGCTGGGTGTGTTGACAGGAAAGGAATAAGCATACATCTGTAGACTAGCAGTCAAGGAAAATAAGCATTTAGTATTAGCTTTAACTTGAGGTCAAATATATTTTGAGCTGTAACTTGAGCGCAAATATGTTTTGAGTTCCACCTCAGTGCTAATTTTCCTTCAGAACTTTTATTTGTATGAGGTTTTCTCTTCTCAAGTCTGCTGTTTCAAGAACAAGTTTCGAAGAATGTACCATGTAATGTTTTAGCTGGCCTAAAATTGTCTAAAGTTTTGGTAGAATCAGTGTGGTGTAATGCATTCTGATATGAGTTGCTTCTAATTTTAAGAGTAGATAAAAATCATTACAAATTACTCAGCTTAGAATTTGGTATCGCTTAAAAACTGGTGACAAAAATAAATTCCCAGACTCTGTGATCTGCCTGCTGTTTTCAAGATCCTTATCTTACCTCACCAACTTTCTCTCTCTCTTTTCCATTCTCAATCTCAACTTTCACTCCTGGTTTTGCTCTGTGGCTGTTCATGCTTGCTTCCCAGCCATTGCTCAAGATGTATCTCCTGCCTGGCATGTCTTTTCATTTTTCAGCCTCTCTAAACACTACTCAAGTTTTACTTTTGTCATGAAGTTTCCCTGACTTTTATAACCAACAGGGATTTCTTCCTTCTCTAACTCTTGATTAACATTTATGTATTAAATCATTTGGAGCTTAATAAGATTTTACACATTTTTGTTTATGTGTTGTGTGTTGAACTTATTGCCTTAGTAATAAGTTTGTGGTCAGAATTTTTGTACTCTTGTGCCTTATAATAAAGGACCAGGCACATAGTTAATACCTGGTAACAACTAGTTGATTGATGGTTTTAATTTTAAATGGATCAGTGGTAAAAATCATATTCAAATAATAGATCATTTATTTAGCTTTTTAATAAGTTGTATAAGTAGTCACCATAGATAATGTCCTGTATCAGGGATACTCTTATTTTTAATGTTTGGTCCCAGAGCCAGTGATAATTTTGTATAGATCTTTTCCCAACCACTATTCATTTAAACTGAAGAATCCAGAAAATGATTTAGGTGACTGTTTTTTCAGTTCTCTCAAGAATGACACTTAAGTGGTAGTATTCTAGATGCTTAGGAGATGCCTACAGTGGATGACTAAAGGCACTAGCACTTAATTCTTATGTGAAACCTTTCTTGAGAATGGGACATATAGTATCATTTCTATGTTATATTCAGTTTCCTCATATTTGGCTTGACTGAATCTATGTATTAATTATATTATGCTCTTCTATTTTTTTTTCCCAAGAAGTAAATATTGGTAAAAATGGCAAGGAAAGTAATTCTAGGGACCTGGTAGAAGTTTTGCTATTTTGATTTATTAGAAAATATTGAAACAGTAACCCAGTTTTGAGCAACACTACTGTATGCAAATGCAAAATACAGTTCTCACTTTTTAGACCCATTTATTACAAACTTGGGAAGTTTTTGGTACTACAAAAACTTTTTGAGATTTTTCTTTCCACAATCTGAATGAAGAGGAAGGTGAAACTAGCTGCTGAATCAAATATTTTTAGAATTTTTTTCATCCTGTTTGGAAAAGAATCATTAGTTATTTGCATGTATATTATATCTGGAAATGGTAATAAATATTCATTGAAGAAATAGTTAAAATACAGAATTAAGTTCAAAATCACCATTTGCTCTTTGCTTTTGTTTACTGAGCAGGTCTAGGGAAATGTCTAGGGCTTAGAGGAGTGCCAGGGTTTTTTGGGTCTGATAAAACTTTAGGGATATTCCCCATTTGCAGGATAGTTATTCTCTTATTGCAAGTCGAGTGAAAAAAACTCTTGCAGTTATCCATGATGGGAAATGGTTTGATGGTTAATAATTAACATACAATTAGTCACTGGCTCTGATAGCATAAGTTATATTTATGTGAATTTTCTTGAAGAAGTAATATTTTATATTAGTGATTTTTGATTGAAATCTTTAGAAAATGTATTGCAATTGTATTTTATTTTCTAAAACTTACCAAATATATAGTTTTACAGGGATACAGTCATGAATATTTGTTGTATTTTGCATCATGAGACCATATAGTGATAATTTATAGTCTTATGATGAAGGTTGAAAGGAATGTTTGATTATATGCTAATCTTTTTACACTAGTGTGCATTTATATGTAGCATTTTGTTTCCTTATTAACTATAGTTATTTCTTAATTTGTGAATTTTTAGTTGCCCTATTTTTTTTGGCTTCTATTTAGGTTGGTGCAAACCTAAGTTTTGCTATTACTTTCAATGGCAAAAAAGCTAGGTTTTGCCATTAATTTCAATGGCAAAAAAGCTAGGTTTTGCCATTACTTTCAATGGCAGAAAACCTAGGTTTTGCCATTACTTTCAATGGCAAAAACCGCAGTTACTTTTGCACCAACCTAATATCATGCTGTGTAATCTAACCTGCTAAAAATGGACCCCCTAAGATTAATAAGGTAGCTAAGCCTTGTTAAAATCAGAGATTGTGTTGATATATGACAAGAGACCATGGGAATGGTTTTTGCTTTTCTTGTGGAGAAGAATGCATGAGCTTTGTTGAAACTCTTTTTCTATCTTATTTCTCTGTTAGTCTCTGGGTATAGTTGATTGATTGCAGTCACTTGATGTCCGACTACCAGATACACGGACTGTTGTTATTTTTCCTTCAGGTGACTTTGATACTAAAAACACTTTCACTTATTTTTTTTCTCACATAGCAAAATTTGAGAAAATATAAAAGTAAATGGCTTATATATATTAAATGTGTTTGAACCTGAACTGTAGTGTCAATAATTATAAATTAAGGTATCAAGAACTTATTGAATAGTAGAAGTATTTTTGGAATAAAAAAGTTGGCTGGGCACGGTGGCTCACGCCTGTAATCCCAGCACTTTGGGAGGCCTAGGTGTGTGGATCACTTGAGGTCGGGAGTTTGAGACCAACCTGGCCAACATGGTGAAAACCTGTCTCTACTAAAATACAAAAATTAGCCAGGCATGGTGGCAGGTGCTTGTAATCTCAGCTACTCGGGAGGCTGAGACATGAGAATCGCTTCAACCTGGGAGGCAGTGGTTTCAGTGAGTCGAGATCGTGCCACTGCACTCCAGCCTGGGCAACAGAGCGAGACTCGGTCCCCCCGTGCCCTTCCCCTCCCCCACCAAAAAAAAAATATTAAGTTGACTTGGTTTCATAATTATTGATGGTGATTAGAAATATTTAAATGAACTGGATTAAATTATAATATACCTTGCTAGTGAACATTGTTTTGACTACCTGTGAGCCTGTCCTGGTGTGAAGTAATTTTTCTGTAAATACAAAGAAAAAAAAAAACGCTGAAGTTGGGATTTTGATTATTGAGAATAGAGACTGGATTCGCCAATTGAGAAATACTTGTCAAGGACATTTTTTGGTATTGGATGGAACATAATTAGCTTACTGATTTGATGGTTCTGTGTAGTTCCTGAAACTCTTGGCTCTTGTTTGCCTTTCTTTAACTCTGGCTCCTTCTCCTTCTTCTGTTTGTGTATCTGTTTAATTCATTGAGTGAGGAGGACAGGCAGAACTGTGTCTGCCAAGGACCGGATGTACTTCTTTCCTTGCTCTTGGTTTTTTGCTCACTTTTATATGTAAGGTATTAGTACAAACCTAAAGGAGAGAAAGTAGAGGATCAGATCATTGGGACTTGTTCTGGTTTCAAGAAAAAATTAACAAATTGCCGAGGATGGAGGGGCTGGGGTTGTACAGCTCAACTGCACTAGGATACAAATTGAAGATCAAGTATCAAGGCAGATGCTTTCTAGCCATTGGAACCTTTCTTATCTGGGAAGAACTTAAACATAGTAACCATAGTAGAATTTCCAGAAAAGTGTGAATGTTGTTTTTTTTTAAGCGAGTTAAGTAGAGGAAATTGTCTTTTAGCTAGATAAAAAATATCATTTTAGCTTCTCATTGGTTGCTAATTATGTTTGTTTGTTTGTTTGTTTTTTTGAGGCAGAGCCTTGCTCTGTGGCCCAGGGTGGAGTGCAGTGGTGCGATCTTGGCTTCCCTGCAACCTCCGCCTCCCAGGTTCAAATGATTCTTGTGCTTCAGCCTCCTGAGTAGCTGGGATTACAGGCATGTGCCACAACGCCTGGCTAATTTTTGTATTTTTAGTAGAGATGGGATTTTGCCATGTTTGCCAGGCTGGTCTCGAACTCCTGACCTCAGGTGATCCACCTGCCTTGGCCTCCCAAAGTGCTGGGATTATAAGCGTGAGCCACTGCGCGCAGTCAAGAATGTAATTTTGATTTTTGTTTTGTGGCTTGTGTTTCATAAGAAAAAGTTGAAAAAGCTGGCTCTCATTATTTTCCTTTGCATCCATTCATATTACCTTTTTTTGTTTTTTTTTTTTTTGAAATGGGGGTCTCACTGTGTTGCCCAGGCTGGAGTGTAGTCACTGTTCACAGGTACAGTAATAGCTACTGCAGCCTTGAACTCCTGGACTCAAGCAGTCCTCCTGTAGCTGAAACTACAGGTGCATGCCACTGTGCCTGGCCTCATATCACTTTTATAGCACTAAGCTAAGAGGAATAAGATTGCTTTTCAGTCAATTTGAGAAACATGGCTATTTGGTTTGTACAACATGGCTTTGGCTTTTATTCTGAGTGAAATGACAAGACTAAGAGACAGTGACATCTGACTTTCATTCGTGAACCCCAAATATCTGAGACAGGTCTCAAGTCAATTTAGAAAGTGTATTTTGCCAAGGTTAAGGATGTGCCAGTGACACAGCCTCAGGAGGTCCTGATGACATGTGCTCAAGGTGGCTGGGGACAGCTTGCTTTTATACATTTTAGGGAGACATGAGACATCAGTCATTATGTGTAAGATGTACATTGGTTTGGTTTGGTTTGGTAAGGCGGGACAACTTGAGGTATGGGCTTCCAGGTCTTAAGTAGATGAGAGACAAAAGGTTGCATTCTTTTGAGTCCTTGGTTAGCCTTCCACTGAATAGACACTTTAGTCTGGCTCAGTTAATCTGCATTCATAAACAATAGGGCAGAGGAAGCAGTTATATGTATTTGTCTCAGGTGAGCCTCAGAGGGATGACTGTGTTCTGTTTGTCCTTTGTCAACAAGGAATTTCCTTGTGGGCAAATTGTGAGGGAGATATGTAGCTTTTTATGTTTGTAACTATCTTATTTAGGAATAAAATGGGAGGCAGGTTTGCCTGACACAGCTCCCAGCCTGACTTTTCCCTTGGCTTAGTGATTTTGGGGTCCTGAGATCTATTTTCGTTTCATAAACTTCAGTAGGATCACTCTGGCTGCTGTGTAGAGAATAGGGTAGAAAGAAGAGACCAGTTAGGAGACTACAGAAGATGTGATTAAAATTTGGATATATATCGGAGGTAGAACTGAGGATCTTGGGCCCGTGCTACAGAAAGAGAATAGAGCTGTTATTAATTGAGAATGAAGAAAACTGGAGGAACAGGTTTTGGTTTCTTTTTTGAGACATATGATTCGGAAACCACGTTTAGATACACTATACTATTAGACATCCAGTTGGAGATTTTTTTTTTTTTTTTTTTTGAGACGAGATTTCATTCTGTCACCCGGACTGGAGGGCAGTGATGTGATCTTGGCTCACTGCAGCCTCCACCTCCTGGCTTCAAGCAATCCTCCCACCTCGGCCTCTAGAAGTGTTGAGATTACAGATGTGAACCACTGCACCTCGCCCATTTGGAGATATTAGTGGAGAATTGGTCTGGTCTTGATCTCTGGGTAGAGATGTGAGTGGGAGTTATCAATTTGGGAGTCATCTGAATAGATAATGCAAATTTAATCTGTGGGATTGGAGTGAGTGTTGAGAGTATAGGATGAAGACGAGATCAGAAGACTGTGTATGCAGTTCAGCATTTAGAAGTTGGGGTGATGAGCAAAAGACACTTGAGAAGGCATATCCAGACATATAGGCAACCTAATTAATGGTGGCTGTGTGTGTGGTTTAACTTTCCTTTTAAGAGTTAGATGGAAGGAATCTTAAGCTACATTTAGTCTGTCTCATTTTGTGAATTAGATTTTTAAAAAAGGTCATGTGGACAGACTAGTGGAATAGAACTAAGGTATAGACCTAAGAGCATATTGAAACAGTGTATGGTAAACTTGGCATCTCAGAGCACTGGGGTAAAGGTGGACTTTTTAATAAATGGTTAACCATTTGGAAAAAAGATTACAGCTGGGAGTGGTGGCTCATGCCTGTAATCCCAGCACTTTGGGAAGCTGAGGTGGGTGGATCACGAGTTCAGGAGTTCGAGGTCAGCCTGGCCAATATAGTGAAATCCCATCTCTACTAAAAATACAAAAATTAGCTGGGCATGGTGGCGCGCACCTGTAGTCCCAGCTACTCGGGAGGTTGATGCAGGAGAATTGCTTGAATCCGGGAGGTGGAGGTTGCAGTGAGCCGAGACCACGCCACTGCACTCCAGCCTGGGCAACAGAGCGAGACTCCATCTCAAAAAAAAAAAAAAAAAAAAAAACAAGATTACTATCTTTGGCCCATTAAATGAAACAATGGAACAGAGATCCCAATGTAAAAGAATGAAACTACAAATATAGGAAGAATATATGGATGAATTCTTCTGCAACCTGTGTAAGGAGAGTTTTTCTCTATATCTCAAATCCCAATGTAAAAAGAGGAAAGACTGATACATTTGACTATGTAAAAATTAAAGATAAGACTTTTGCATGGGGAAAAAACAGTAATTACAAAGTCAAAAGACAGATAGAAAATTGGAAGAAAACAGCTGGGCGTGGTGGCTCATGCCTGTAATCTCAGCGCTTTGGGAACCTGAGGCAGAAGAAATGCTTGAGCCCAGGAATTTGAGACCAGCCTGGGCAACATAGGGAGACCCTGTCTCTACAAAAAATAAAAAAAAAAATTAGCTGGGCATGGCAGTCCACGCCTATTGTCCCAGCTACTCGAGAGGCTGAGGTGGGAGGATTGCTTGGGCCTGAGAGGTTGAGGCTGTAGTGTTTGTGCCACTGCACTCCAGTCTGGGCGACAAGAGTTAGACCCTGTCTCAAAACACAAACAAACAAAAAATTGTAAGAAAAACATTTATCACAGAAATAAGGGCTATCCTTCATGTATAAAGAATCTTTGAAAATAGAGGGTGGGCTGGGAGCCTTGGCTCACGCCTGTAATCCCAGCACTTTGGGAGGCCGAGGTGGGTAGATCACTTGAAGTCAGGAGTTCAAGAACAGCCAGGCCAACATCGCGCAACTCCATCTCCACTAAAAACAAAAAAAAAAATTAGCTGGGCGTGGTAGTGGGTGCCTGTAATCCCAGCTACTAGGGAGGCTGAGATAGAGAATCGCTTGAACCTAAGGGGTGGAGGTTGCAGTGAGCCGAGATCACGCCACTGGACTACAGCCTGGGTGACAGCGAGACTTTATCTCAAAAAAGAAAAAAAAAGAAGGCGGAAAAAGAAAACAGCAAGACACCCAACAGAAAAATAGGTCAAAGTTATGGACAGTTCCCACCATGGCCTGAACTACTGTTTCAGGTTTACTTTAGAATGCCCTGGGCTGAGAGGAGGGGTCCATGCAGTTAGTTGGGGGGCTTAGAATTTTATTTTTGGTTTGTGCTAGACAAAGGGATAATTCATATTCTGTTGGAGTGGGAAAGTGTAAGATTTCACCATGCTACTCAGACGCTACTAAGAATGGCACACAATTTAAAACATATGAATTGTTTCTGGAATTTTCCATTTAATATTTCTGGACTCTGAGAAGTCTTCCCTTATCTGTAGTTTCACTTTCTGGGGATTCAGTTACCCTTGGTTAACCAAGATCCAAACATTTTTATGAAATGTCCAAACTAGGCAAATGTGTAAAGACAGAAAGTAGATTAGTGGTTACCTAGAGTTGGGTAGCGGGAGTAGATGGAAGAAGGGGGTATGACCACTAGGGATATGGGGTTTTTGGAGGAAGGGGTAATGAAAATATTATAAAATTGCTTGTGGTAATTTGATGGTTGCACAGCTCTTACGAATATACTAAAAACCATTGAATTGTGTATTTTAAATAGGTGAATTATAGGGTATATGAATTTTATCTCAATAAAGCTGTTATAAAAGAAGTGAGTTACCTATGCTTAGTGATTTATGGCTCAAAACGTTTTTCTCCATCACTAAAATGTCTGTGATTCATTCCTGTACATTGCTAATGAGAATGCTAATTAGTACAGCCCTTTTGGAAGGAACTTCGGCAGCATCTAACAGAACTGCATATGCATTTTCTTTTGATCCAGCAATTCCACTTCTGGGCATTCACCCTGAAGATTTGCTTCCAGCAATAAAATAATATGTATTATTTGTAATTGCAAAATACAGTTATATCTAGGAGACAACCTAGTTGTCAGTACATAGGAAAGTGATTATATAAACTATGGTATAGCCACAAAATGCAGATGTGAAAAAGAACAAGGAAACTTCTATGAATTGATAGTGATTTTAGGATTGTGTGATTAAGTACAGCAAACAAAGTGTAAAAGAGCATCTATACCACACTTGCTTAGGTAGTAAAGAAGCCAAGATAAGATAATATACATCTGTCTGCAAATGAGCCATAGAAAAGATAAGCCAGGAACCACAGACACAGTTAGTAGGTTTAGGGTAGAAATAATGAGGGATGGGAATCTGATGAAAGGAAATGGAGGAGGTTGTGACAGTACTGAGTATACCTTTGTATATAGTTCTAACTTGGAACCACGTTAATGTTTCTCATACTTAAAAAAATCACAGAGAAGAATCAAAATAGACTAAAGCAGAGACAAATGAACTCATCTGTATTTCAAATGAGTAACATAGTTATGGAGGGGAGGGGAACAGACTAACACAACTTTTGAACACAGTGTTTGGACTATATAGCTTCAGGACTGAAGACAAAAGTAACTTTAAAAAATATTGAACTCTAGTTTTTAGGCTTTCCGTTTTCCTGGAGAGCTATGGGCTAGCAAACCAAAACTATGTTCTGTGGTATACCAGGATTGAGCAAATAGGTAAATATTTTATGGGTAATAGAAGCCAGGTTTTTGTTGGAGGAGGGAGTTTTAAAAGTAGAAAGGGAGAAGACTCGAAGGAAGAGATCCTGTAATCTTCCACTAGAGTTCATAGTATCAATGTAAACTCATTTCCCTCCCGCCTCCCTCCCTCCCATCTGTCAGTCGATCAACAATCAAAATAGTTATAGATGAGACAGGTGTGTACATATATGAATGTGTATGTATGAGTATGTATGCATGTGTATACATTAATTTATTTCCAAGCTGTATCTGGTAAGAGGTACATACAAAGCATTGACATCTGAGAAAGTCAGGAGTGCTCAAAGAATAATAGGGATGAGCAAAAGGGCACAGGATATTTGTAGGACTCCCACTGGCCTTATCTGTGCTACTGTCAGCATCAAAATAAATAATAATAGTGATGGCTTATAACATTAATAAAATAAGAATCTATGAGTACATACAGATGTAAATAGATGAAGAGGGCAATGTTCCTCTTTTGTAGTCGAATAACAACTAATGTATATAAAAGGAACAATAGATTTAGAAAATCACCATTTGGCAACCATTATGGTAATAAGTGATTCATGCATTGGTTAGTAATTGATTAATGGATGTTAAAAACTACCAAAGTGAAAGTTTGATGAGTAACAAGATACTTACATAGATAGATTGAAGATACTGCCTCACAAGATACTATTTCCAGAGAGAAAGTTGTAACTTTACAGTGGAGAAATTTTGCTGACAGGATTGTAACCATGTGATTAAAGTTTTATCACCAGTAAAGGGACAAGTTGACAAGTGTCTCCTGATATAGAGCACTGAGAAGACACCATCACTTTTGTGTTATTCCTGCCAAAAATCTAAAACCTGAATCTAATCATGAGAATGAGACAGGCTCACGTTAAAGGTCATTCTACAAGATAACTGAGAAGTACTCTTCAAGTATGTCAATATCATGAAAGACAAAAATTTAGGAATTACTCAGATTAAAGATGCCACAAATAAGTGCGTTCAGTGTTCGTGGCTTTTCTTTTCCTGTGAAGGACATTATTGGGACAATTGGTAAAATCTCAATAAGGCCTGTATATTAAATGGTAGTATTGTTTTGGTGTTAAGTTTTAAGTTTCCTGATTTTGAAAATTGTATTTTGATTTTAAGAAAATATTCTTTTTAGGAAACACACTGAAATATATAGAGTAATAAAGTATCATGTCTGAAACTTCCTCTCAGATGGTTCAGAAAACATATGCAGGTAGACAGGAAAACAGAGAGGAAAAAATGGTTATAGCAAATGTGATTCTTTGAAAAAGAACAGGATAAAGTAATTGTGGTAAAATGTTACCACATGTGGGATTTAGGTGAAGACTCTATGGGGATTCTTTGTGCTAGTCTTGCAGCTTTTCTGTACTCTTGCAAATTATGTCAAAATAAAATTTTAAAAATAAAAAGATACTTTACAGAAGGTTTAATGAAACTGCATATGTTTTTGAGAGAAGGAAGAATAACAAAATTATTAAATATCCACTTTGTTAGATTCTTTGAGAGATACTGTGCAAAGTACTTCTGTGTACTTTAGTATTTACAACAATCCTGCTTTAATATTTACAGCAATCCTAGAGGTTAGATACTAGTTTGTAAGTTTTTATATAGGAGGAAAATAAGAAACAAATGGGTTGGAAGACTGGTCTGTAGTTGAAAAAGTAATGAGGCAGAGTTAGGATTCCAGCCCTAAATTGTTTGACAACTAATTTCGTATTTTTTTTTCTCTACCAACCTTTTACTTAGATCCGCTTTCTAAGTGATTTTTATGAAAAAGTTTTATCATTGGTTAAATTTGTGTGGTAAGGCATTACCAAAAAATTCATTTAGAAGCTATCTTTGCTTTTGTAGTTAAGCCATTTACAGAATGTATTTGTTTAATACATTTTAAAAAATCATTAGCCATGTGGCTCTTGAGTTTCGAATAGTGGACCTCCTTAAAATATATTTGGTTTAATTTTATAAATGTTTTCCCATCATTTTCTTTAATGAAAACATTTGCAATATTCATAAAATGTTAGTAAGGGACAATATATAGCAAACATTTTTAGCTTATGTACAAAGGGCAACAACATGTTTATAGTATCTTTTGTGATTAGTAGATTAAGTTCATTTTGACATTGGAATTTATGTACTGGCATTTGGCTTATGGCCATGATCTAATAATAAGGGTATGGTAACAGGTCTTTAAAATATTAGTAATCAAAATGCTTTTATCTGTAGCTGACAAAATGTAGTCTAAAGCAAGAATTAAAGCCATATTAGAGTGATTGAATTTGCTGTTAAACCTTGCATTTAAAATAGTTAATGATAAACTTTCTATACAATGGCATTCCTGTACTTTGAGAAGGAAAATATCTGTGAATGATGGGTCTTTTAATGATTGTTAATAACTAGCCACATAATGATTGAAATTTCTTTTAGCAATTTCAAATTATTAGAATCTCATTATTCTAAAAAAATGAATTTACCTAATAAAGCCTGCCTAGCTGTATTATCTGTGTGAATATGTTAAAAAATAAAATATGCCAGTAGCTAAGCATATGCTAAAAACTAGGGGTTTTTTTTGTTTGTTTGTTTTTTGTTTGTTTCCTGCTATTTAATGTGAGGCACTGCTAAACTTTTATATCAGACAACCAACAGATAGCCAATTACAAGTAATAATTTTAATAAAACTTTAGGTTTTAAAAGTCAAATTTTCTTTGTATCTAAATTGAGCTTCCTACGTATTTATCGCTAAATATAATCAGATACTTGGGCAAATGGCTGGTTTTATATCTGAGGCAAGAAATGTACAAGAGAAACATGGAACATCTTGTCACACTAGATAATAGGAAGCTTCAAACACTACTGGGCTTTTGCAGAAGGACTCAGGGTCCAATTTGAAAAACTAATAGCTTGGCTAAAAATGGGACAACTTGAGCAGGAATAAAGATGATATTTGCAATGGATTGAGCCACACCGTATATGTTTAAATGGATGAGTTCATAATGACTCTTTATAAGATCACTAGTTACACTGGTGGAGGATGCTAATGAAACAGTCATTTTTTTTTAAAGTGGAAAATGGAAGGAAAGAATTGAGCATTCATTCTGTCTTTTCTATAAGAACTGTACCGTTGGACAACTAAATAGTAGATAAAAGGAAGTTTCTTTTTTTTTTTTTTTTTTTTTTTTGAGATGGAGTCTTGCTCTGTCACCCAGGCTAGCGTGCCGTGGTGCAATTTCGGCTCACTGCAACCTCTGACTTCCGGGTTCACGCCATTCTCCTGCCTCAGCCTCCCAAGTAGCTGGAAGTACAGGCGGCCGCTACCACGCCTGGCTAATTTTTTTTTTTAAATATTTTTAGTAGAGATGGGGTTTCACCATGTTAGCCAGGATGGTCTCGATCTCCTGACCTCGTCATCCGCCCGCCTCGGCCTCCCAAAGTGCTGGGAGGAAGTTTCTTTTTATAGAACTATTACAGCTAATACATGAGGAAGGAATTATAAAATTATAATGTTACAAATTTGTATTTAAGCCCTAATAAATCAATGAATCTAGGCATTGAGCATCATGAATACTAATATTACCAGAAGACAGCTAGACACATTTGCTTCCTGATGTAAGACAGTACCACGTGTGAAGTGGTCTCTCCCACCCAGACAGTTGAATCTTAATCAGATCAAACATCTAAATTCACCTAGTAACTTAAGGGAAATACTGAAGATGAAAATAGTAAAGAATAGCAAGGAGATACAACTTTGCTGTTAGTAGCAAGAAAAATTGAGATTGTGGGACACTGTATAGCACAGACAACTAGTTTCTTCCTCCCTCCACAAAATCTCAAGGAAAAAATGTGAGGGGACATATTTTAAAATTTTAATTAATTAAAATAAAAATTTAGATCCTCATTTGCACTAGCCACATTTCAAGTGCTCAATAGCTATATGTATCTAGTGGCTACCATATTGGACAGTGCTGATTTAGAACATTTCCATCTTTGCAGAAGGTTATATTGAGCAGTTACATTAGTTTCTTAAGGCTGCCATAACAAATTACTACAAAATGGGTGACTTAAAATAACAAATTTGTTCCCTGACGCTTTTGGAGGACAGAAGTTCAAAATCAAGATGTTGCAAGGTACTGGCAGGACATATGGGGGAAAATTTTTTTGTTTGTTTGTTTTTTTAAATAAAAGGCCAGGTGTGGTGGCTTATGCCTGTAATCCTAGCACTTTGGGAGGCCGAGGTGGGCGGATTGCTTGAGTCCAGGAGTTCGAGACCAGCCTTGGCAACGTGGCAGAATCCCGTCTCTACTAAAAATATAACAAGTAGCCAAGAGTGATGGCATGTGCCTGTAATCCCAGCTACTCGGAAGGCTGAGACAGAGGTTGAGGTCTCAGTGAGCTAGAGGTTGCTGTGAGCCAAGATCATGCCACTGCCCTCCACTCTGAACGGAATTAGAAAACAGTTAATTTAAAAATTCGATATTCTGTGTGTGTGTGTGTGTGTATGTATGTGTGGAGAGAGAGAGACACACACACACAGAGAGGTGGAGACAGCGTTTGTAGCTTTGTGTGTGTGTTTTGGCTGTTGAAATTGTTTTGAATCCAGTATTTTTGAGCTGAAGTTTGTAAAATTCAACAAAAGGAAAAAGTAATCTGTTTTTGGCAATTGAGTATTGGCTAAACGTTAGAAATGTGTTTGTTCATGTTTTTAATATCTTATGTATACTGATGTTAGGATACTTCTATAGAGCTTCTCAAATTGTAGCACATATCAGAATCACCTGGAGGATTTTTAAAAACAGACTGCTTGACTTCATCCTCAGAGTTTTCAACTTACTGGCTTGGAGATAGGGCAGACAGAATTTGCATTTCTAACAGGTTCATATGATCTGATGCTACTGGTTGCGGGACCACTCTTTGACAACCGCTGCACAATAATTAAAAAAATTAAAAAAGATAAAATATGTACGGTAACAAAGATCTGTCTTCGATGCATGAAGAAGCTATTCTCATAAATGTATATTAAAAAGCATGCATTTGTCTGTTAGAGAATCATTTGGAACCTTATGTCTTGTGTTTGTAACTTGCACAGCTTCAATACTGCAATGATCATTTCTACTTTTCTCTGAACAAAACTCGGTTCATTGTACTGTATCGAGTAGTAGTAGTATGTACATGGATGAGAGAAGTTCAGAGTTAGTGAAAATAGTGAAAAGAATACATAATATAAAGAAAAACCGTGATTCCACTAATAGTTATCCAGACAAAACAATAAATTTTTAGGGAAATGTGTTTGCCAGAATTGTTTTAAATTGTAGTATTAATATTTATATGAACGAGAATGAAGTTCAGAGTTAGTGAAAATAGTGAAAAGAATATGTAATATAAAGAAAAATCATGATTCCACTAATAGAGAGTTACCCAGACAAAACAATACATTTTTAGGGAAACGTATTTGCCAGAATTGTTTCAAAAAGCAAGGGATGATAAAAACTAAATTCAGCATTGTGGTTACTCCTCCAGGAGAGAATATTTTTATTCCATTATTTGTCTATACCTCACATACATGATACAAATAATTCTTTTGTTTTTAGTAGTCAATAAGAATAGTTAAATACTAAAGCAAAATACTCTTATTTCCTTGATAGAAAAATATCTTATGAAGAATGAAAGCTCTCTTTGGCTCTTTAGTGGGGCCTACTATCCCTTAGGCCAGATATTGCTGGCCTAAGTATTCAGCAGGCCCAACTAAAAAGCCCAAGGGAGCTTTATTCTTCATAAGAAATTCTAAAGATAGAATTTCTGCAATGATGGGAAATTTTCTTTTTAATTTGTCTTGTCAAATGTGGCTGTGACTGAGCAACTGAATTTTTAATTTTAATTATGTAGTTTTAATTGTGTAAAATGTGCTGGTGGCTACCTCATTGGACAGCACAACTCTAGGCAGTTTAGAACATAGCTTATCACTTGAGTTATTTAGTCTGTTAATTCTTTTATAGAACATGCAGTGTTTGGATGGCCGACATTTTGCTTAGGTCACTCATTTTTGTTTTCTTGTTTACTTTGACTCATACCTTTGTTTCTTATGTTTAACAGGAAGTTTGATTTACTTTCTTATGCTTTACATTCTGAAAATTGAGTCTTTAGGATAAGAAGCTACTGGACAAAGTTTATTGTCAACAGTAATATGTACCCATAATGTTATTTGAAATTTTCATAAAATCATGTTTTTTTGGTCAGTTTTTAAATTACTTTTCATCTTTTCATTGACTTTATTTAAAATATCTCTCCCATTGACTTTCCTGAGCCCCCAAACAAAATTATTTTTATTTAATTTAGTCTATACCTTGAGTCATTCAGTAAATATTACTTGCTTGTTGTGAACCATGCATTCCTGAGAGATGGGCAATGATAGTAGAAATAGATCCTGACTTATGATATGCTTATAAACTATGGAAGGCAAACATTCTGTTGTAGCATGTTTGAAAGTGTTTTTAGGAAGCAGAATGTGTCTGAGAGAAACACGTTGAATGGTCATATAATAGTTAAAGAAATACAGTAAGAGAGTATGTGAATCAGAAGGGGCCAATGAAAAATGTTTATAGATTTTTAGTATTGCTTTCCTTAGAAGAAAAAAATTACAGATTTCTACCTTGTATGTTCTTTATTTGGTCACTTGATGGTCAAGGAGATTGTGCATCAAAGTTCTTAGCAGTATTATTCCTGCTATCTAAATGTTGTGAATTCTTAATGTATGACTTCTGTGACCTGTACCCTGAAAATCTTCATTACTTGTATTCATTTGCAGAAGTTTTATTGGATACTCTGTGTAATGTAACTGAAAATTTCCTGTTAATCGTAACAGTGGATTTGTGTCTGTATTGTATTTCCTTAGTATGTCCAGCTTTGAAGGCCAGGTCCAGAATGTAGAATAGATGAAGCTATTATAGATTTATATCCTCATAGTTTACATATGTATCAGCCATTGTTCATTTATAAGTCAAGATTTTTGTTTTGGCTGAGCACGGTGGCTCATGCTTGTAATCCCAACATTTTGGGAGGCCTAGATGAGACGATTTCTTGAGGCCAGGAGTTGGAGACCAGCCTGGTCAACATAAAGAGACTGTCTACCAAAAAAACAAATTATTTTTTAAATTAGCTGGGGGTAGTGGCATGCCCTTCCGTCTCAGGCTTCCAGTTAGCTTGGATGTTGAAATTTAATTGCTGTTGTAACAGTATTAACAGGTGGGACCTTAAAGATGTTATTAGGCCATGGATGGGATTAATGCCATTATAAAAGGGTGAGTTTGGCCCCCTTTTGGTTCTTGCCCTTCTGTCCTCTGCCGTGTAAGAATCCGGGCAGTGTGCAGAGTGCAATCTTGGAAGAAGAGGATGGCCCCACAATACATTGAGGCTGCTGGCGCCCTTACTGTAGACTTTTCAGCCTCCAGAACTGTGAGCTAGTAAATTTCTGTTTATAAATTACCCAGTCTCTGGCATTTTGTTGTTGTAGTACAAAACAGACTAAGGCACTTTGCTCATGCTGCGCCTGCTGTTCATAGTCTTTATCTGACACCTTAGACTTAGCATTTCCTCAACTCCCATGTTTTACTCCCACTACTGTGACAGCCAGATCAGTTGTCATGTCATCTGTGCACACAGCCTCCAATTTCAGTTGTCTTCTCTTTTCCTGTAGGATTTTGTTCATTCTGCTAGTCATGTTTGGCTGTTTACTCATGTGGCTCTCTTCTCTCAGATTTGTGCTTTCCGTGAAGATAGATATTATTTGTATGTTTATTTGGGATGCCTAGCATAACACTGGACATGCAGTAGATAGTTGTTGGATAAATTATTGAATCACCTAAATTCTCAATACTCAAGACTAGAGGTTGATATTTGACATTTATGGAAGATTAGGTAATCACTTTCATAGATTTATTTAGGTTTAGAGCAGGAAGCCTCATATTTCTGCATTTTCAATAATAAATTCCGGACTAATGATGATTTATCTAACAACATGAACTTGTAATAGTCATGTGGGGGACACTACATTTATCAGAGGCTACTGAAATAATAATCTTGCTTCAGGAGAGTCTTTACTGAAAGTTTACTATATATCTTGGTTTGTTATGTGCTGCTATAACAGAATACCGGAGACTGGGTAATTTATGAAGAACAGAAATGTATTCTTTCACAGTTCTGGCGGCTGCCAAGTCCAAGATCAAGGTATCAGTAGGTTTGATCTCTGGTTCTAAGAGATGTCTTGATGAAGCCATGCATTGATGCCTCTTTGCTGTGTCCTCTGGAGAGAACGGATGTTGTGTCTTTATATGATGGAAGAGCAGAAGCAAGAGAACAAAACCACTTCTGCAAGCCCTTTTTATAGTGGTGTTAATCTGTTCATGAGGGTGGAACTCTTAAGACATAAACATCTCCTGTTAGGCCTCACTTCTCAACACTGTGGCATTGGGGATTAAGTTTCAACATGAGTTTTGGAGGGGCCAAAAACACTCAAACCATAACACTTATATACAATTGGTCTTTGAACAACATGGGGGTTAGAGGCTCTGACTCCCCACACAGCAAAATCTCTGTATATAACTTTTGACTCCTCCAAAACTTAACTACGAATAGCCTTTTGTTGACCAGAAGTCTTACTGATAACATAAACAATTAATACATATTTTTCATGTTATATGTTTTATATGCTGTATTCTTACAATAAAATAAGCTAGACAAGTGCAAACATTAAGAGAATCATTGGGAAAGAAAATATATTTACTAAGTGTAAGTGGATTCTCATAAAGATCTTCATCATTGTCTTCATGCTGAGGAAGAGGAGAGGTTGGTGTGGCTGTCTCGCAGAGGTGGAAGGGGCAGAAGAGGTGGGGAGATAGAATGGGAGGCAGGATAGGCAGGTACACTTGGTGTAGCTTTTATTGGGGGAAAAAAACACATGTGAGTGGACCCATGCAGTTCAAACTTGTGTTGTTCAAGGGTCAACTGCAGCTTTTCTTGATTCTAAATTTAGATATAATTTACCAATTCATTCATTTAACATTTATTGACTGTCTACAAAGCTCCAGAGACTCAGGTAGGCTTTAGAGATAATAGTGGGGAGCAAGAAACACATAAGCTCTTGGGGCTTATTTTAAAAAAGAATAAAGTAGGTAAAGAGTGACTGTGATGAATAATTCAAAACTCTAAAGTTTCTTTAGTTGATATGACTGAATTTAATTTTAGACAATCACATTTTATGTGTTTAATTAAGGTAATTAAAATGCTCCAAACAAGGTTGAGAATTCTTACGCTTTTTAAAAATATAGGTAAATTCAAAATCTTTTAATTTTGATGGTGATTACATGTAATACAGATTTGCAGAAAAATCCATAATTATAGAATTGGTGCTGACTCACTTTCCAGTGACCTGATAACTGTCTGCATCATTTACCATTGTGAATGAATTACCCAAGTCAGTTTTCAGACAAATTTGCAGAATTAACCTTAGTAACTGTTGAACACATTGCTGCTTTAAACAACATATTGTTACATTTTTTAAAAGAAAAAAATTAAATTTGTACCTTGATTCTGTAAACCATACTTTAATCTTTCAAGGAGGAAGAATGCGTTCTCTGTAGAAAATAGATTAAATAGAATCTTCTCTCCTAGTGATTTAAATTGGTTTAATTAAAAACAAATTCTATATCTGCAAGAGAAACAGTTGCTCATCTAATTCAAAAAGTAACTGCTAATTGAGAAGTCATTTATAGTCTGTCTTACCATACATTATCTGATTTCCTTGTAGTAGATATACATTCTGAATTGCTTTTGAAGTAGCATCAGAGTAGGTAGTAAATATGTGGTAGGTGTTAGTTTGGGATTAAAATATGTAACAATTCTGCAAATGAATTATATAAAATGGTCATATTGAGGGACTACACAGTATATGAAGGTCAGATGACATATTTGGAAGCACATTGAGAGAAACAAAATATTCTTACACAAGGTTGTTGTTAGAAATAGTAGTAGCAGTGAGAATATGGGACATTCTTAATGATTCAGAATTGCTGGCATGCCTATTTTCTGTGAACCTTGATATGTATTCAACTCTGTCCTGTTACCTTTGTCTCCCGTAGTCATTCTTTGACTGCTGCTGCTGCCTGTAGTCCACTGTAAGCCTCTCTTGGCAAAAGAGAGATTGGTAACTATTAGAGAGAGAAGTTAAAGACATGAGCCTTATTGTGGCTTGTTTGCTTCCTTCCTTCTTTCCTTCCTTCCTTTCTCCTTTTGTGAATGGAACTGATAGAAGGTTGCATTTCTTTTTGCAAGAAAGCTGTAGAGGGAAAATAATTATATAAACCTGTTTTTTAAAATACAAAGATATTACTGCACAGTTCTTTAGCCTCAAACCTTGAAATTGGATTTGCCTTGGAATCCAAAATATTCTGAATTTTAAAAACTGTATTAGTGGTAAATACTATATATTATGTAACATTTCCTAGAGAGATCTATTGCAGAACCCTATAATCAAATATATCAGCAATTCTGAATTGAAAAATACTAATATGCATTTCAGTTCAGGTCAGGTTTTACCGTCAAATAAGTTATGTAAAACTTTAGTCTTTAGAACTTTGTGGATTTTAGGATTTTGTTCAAGGGGCTAGGCACGGTGGCTCAAACCTGTAATCCCAGTGCTTTGGGAGGCCAAGGCAGGAGGATCAGTTGAGCCCAGGATTCAAGATCAGCCTGGGAAGCAAAATGAGACTCCGTTTCTACAAAAATAAAAATGAAATCAGCCGGGTAGGGTGGCACATGCCTGTCATCCCAGTTACTTGGGAGGCTGAGGTGAGAGGATCACTTGAGCCCAGGAGGTCAAGGCTGCAGTAAACTATGATTGTGCCACTGCAATTCAGCCTAGGCAACTGAGTGAGACCCTGTCTCAAAAAAAAAAAAAAAGAAGAAGAAGAATTTTGGATCAAGGATTATTGACCTCTTTTTGTTTAGTGTTTCTTAGGATATGTAGAACCTATTCTTGTGAAGAGAGAAAGATACGTTGTTCTTCTGTTTTCACCTTTATGAACCATATATGTTTCTGGTTGAAATTATGTGTATAAACACGTGAACACATTTATACATTATACATATATGTGCATACAACTATATACAAATTTAGGAAAAGCATGTGCATGGTGTGTGTGTGTGTGTGTGTGTGTGTGTGTGTGTGTGTGTGTGTGAAGGGTGGAGAGGGAGAGAAAGGTGGATGGTTGGGACAAGGGGAGTGGTTAACCGGGCCTGTTAGCATTGTTTCATCCTTGTGCTAGCTCAGGTTTGGTACCTAACATGGTGTGAAATAAGACCTTAATTGCACTTTCACAGCTGTGTTTAGCACGTAAGCTGATCATGAACAAATTCTCTTGTCAGAGATAAAAGCTTGAAATTCCAAGACTATGTAAAATCACAGACAATTAGAGTGTTCTGTGTACCGTACAAAATAATGGTAAAAAAAATTCAAACGGTCATAGCACAGTATAGTTTAAACTGCTGTTTTACTAATTCTTCTGGAGTGAGAAACATTTTCTGTAGTAGTTAAGCACCCAAAGAAGCCATTTTACCTTGCCTGTTAAAAAATGTGTGCAAGGTCTGTGGTTCAAGATTGAGAATGAAGGATGTGTGAGCCAATTGAATAGGTAATAGGAGTTCAGGTAAGCAGTTTAGGTAATGGTTTAAATTGGAGAAAGGCCAGACCATAGGGATTAACACCCTACCATTATGAAAAGTCCCATAAGATCTCAGATGACCTCAAGAGGCTTGTACTTTTGTTTGTTAAGAACCTTTGTAAGATTGTGCTAAGACACCGTGAAAAATACTGAGGCTGTAATGTTGCTTAACCATCTAAGTACCAGTAAATGTGGTAGAAATTATCTTTCTACTCAATTATAGCAACTAAAAGTCAGGCCCTGAATCAGTCAGAGGAAATGAACTCTTGGGTTGGAATGCACATAATTTCTTTTTATATATCAAAATGTTCAGTATTTCTTTGAGGTCCCAGATC
The DNA here is from genome assembly GCF_000001405.40 of Homo sapiens. Taxonomy (NCBI): domain Eukaryota; kingdom Metazoa; phylum Chordata; class Mammalia; order Primates; family Hominidae; genus Homo; species Homo sapiens. The sequence continues at coordinate 56,985,113 of NC_000015.10, forward strand.
TGAACAAACATTATTTCATGAGAAGATACACTTTTATTTCCTTCCAGTGCTTCTACAATGCTTTTTCTCCAATCCCGTGTTCTTTGCTGACAACAGCAAGTGTGTGTTCTTTGAGAGGTCAATAAATGCTGATTTCTGCAAGAAAACTCTTAGGAAGTGAGCCTAGACATTGTGAAGAGGAAGTACAAAGAATGAGGCAATTAAATGAAGAATATTGCAAAGGATTATTTTAAATTGTGAGTCAGAAGCCAAACTAATTTTGACTACTAAAATTGTGAGTCAGAAGCCAAACTAATTTTGGCTACTAAATTAGTTACTTCCCTCGGGCCTACCAATCTTCATATGTATACCATGGCTTATTTTGACTTAGCTGGTTAATTTATCCAGATACGTAGATGGTAGCAAATTGGCATTATCAAACTCTACTTTTTCATACCAAAGAGCAAAATAAGTGTGCTTATAACCGTAGTTCCTGTCTTTATAAAAATGTATGAATAAATTTGAGCCATGTAAATTAAGGTTACAGAACAGATAGCATTTAGTGAAGAAAAGCTGGTCCTTAGAGTATATCATTATTTACCCCATAGTACCTACCTAATGAAATCTAGTTTTAATGATTCTTTTTAGGACACCAAAGCTCATGAAGCCTATTACAATAACGTGTTTAATTCTGAGTAATTGTTTTTCCTATTTAAATGAAGAACTCAGTGACTAAAAATTTATTTCCTGCAAATTTTCTTAGATGATAGAAGTTATACGTAGTAAAACCAACAGGACCAACTGTGAGGCTGAAGGAATTTCAGTTAAGAGGTTTTAATTTTTATCAATTTAAACTGTGTTTTGAGGAGTGGACAGAAAGGGAAGAGGGATATTTTGAGATCACCCAGCAGTTTTTGATCTTTTGTCAGTTCTTTTGTAATGCTATAGATGACTACAATTTGAAACTTGAAATAAGAAATTTTTTGTATTGGGTGATTCACAAACTGTTGGGTTTTCTGAATGGCTTAAATCCTTTAAAGAAACAGTTTTAAAAAGACATAGCATGAGAACAGGATCATAATTATTCTGTAACCAGCAGTCTGTGTTGGTTACAGAAAGTATGCTTTTGTTTAACATTATAAATAAATTACCTTATATTGCTGCTTACGTTTCTGGTTTTTGGTGTGTATGTTATCAATGTTGACCAAAATTAACTGAATATGGTGACAAAACCAGAGAAAAAATTTGAGCTTCTGTTGATAAATAAAATGTAAATGCTACTTTTTGAAATAAAACTTTACACTTATAGGCTTTTATGTATGATCTGTGTTTTCTTGAGGAAATGTTGATTAAGTAGTTTCCATTTTGGTATTACAGTATGTCCTGTTGTAAGTAGCTGACTGTGTAAAAATCTTTTAAGTCAAAAAAGCAGCTCAGCTTAAACCCCTACTATTTATTATGGCAGAAACCAGAAATAGAAATCTTCCAGAAGTTTTATAATGTATTACATTCCTGCATATCTTTTGGAGTAAAATTAAAGTTTTAAAAAGAGGCTGTTCACAACAGAAGTTACTTTATGTATCCTTATGTATATCCTTATATACACAGTATCTTTTAAACACAATTTACTAAATACTTGTCTGCATTTTTTAAAAAAGAAAACCCTAGCCCAAAATGAATGACAAAATTGTCTCGTTAGATTTGTAAGATGTGTTGTTAACCTATAAAATAGGTGAATTAAGTATAATTCTGACAAAATTAGTTACATGTAATACATAGCAGGATGTACTTGTTTGGGATGAAACAAAAAATCTTCAAAGTTTTCTATAGTGTTTTCTGTTAAGGAACTCGTTTATTGATTTATTGAAGATCTTTGGCTGTTTTTGATAATAAAAGAATCTTGGTCTATAATATTACTAATTAATAAATAAGTTTTTGAGGATAACGCCAATACTTGAATTTTGATATCTACTTGCAACATGCAGTAATGCAATATTTAGTGAGCTTAATTAGTTGCTTTTTTTTTTTCCACCCTGAGACAAGAGTTTCGCTCTTGTTGCCCAGGCCTGGAGTTCAGTGGCGCAATCTGGGCTCACTGCAACCTCCACCTCCTGGGTTCAAGCGATTCTCCTGCCTCAGCCCCTTCTGAGTAGCTGGGATTACAGGTGCCCGCCACCACGCCCGGCTAATTTTTTGTATTTTTAGTAAAGAGAGGGTTTCATCATGTTGGCCAGGCTGGTTTCGAACTTCTGACCTCAGGTGATCCACCTGCCTTGGCCTCCCAAAGTGCAGGGATTACAGGCTTGAGCCACCGTGCCTGGCCTAATTAGTTACTTTTAAATGTTACTAACAGAATCTGAGGAGCGTGGTTTGTGTCCTCAGAATAAATGTTTAAGCTTTGAGTGTCTGCCTGTGTCATGAGGAAAACAGGGAGAGGAGAAAATTTCTTGTTGCTGCTATTTTATTTGCATTTAAGACTAGTCATTGTTAGGTAACTATGGAATCTTCACTGCTTTACAGTTTTGGTGCATGTCAGGTTCAATAATTTTTACTTTAAAAAGTTATTTTTACATTTTAATGAGATTAAATTGTTTACCAATTAACATTGTACTATAAAAGGAACAGAAATGTGACTGGCACTTGGAAAGAAAAGCTGTCATCTGTAGACTGATGTGTGGTATTCTAATTTAAATTCGTGGTTTGGCAGAATTAAATTTGGATTTTAACATCATCCAGAAGTAAAAGTTATGTGCATTTTCAAGATAAACTCAGGAAATAAACCATATAGGAAAGACTCATTTTTGCTTCAGAACACAGTAAAGATGAAACTTTGAAAATGCTTTCTAATCATTCAGTGTAAACCTATTTACCAAGTTAAACTGGTCATGTGATATTTCATATATCACTTGTATTAGTATGTGGTCTTATGCTTATAAAGTTAATGTGCTTAAAAATAACAGCTAAAACATATAGGCAGTGATTATTAAACAAGAACATTAAAATACGATTCAAAATTGTTTAATTGTACCTTTTAGCAGAAATACCATTTTAAAAGATAGTAACATTTTATTTTCTGTCAGTAAAAATATAGTCATGTGTCACTTGACAGGGATAAGTTGTAAGCAATTAGTTATTAGGTGATTTGGTCATATGAACTTCATAGATTGTACTTACATAAACCTAGGGGGTATATAGCCTACTATACACTAGACTATGTGGTATAGCCTGTTGCTCCTAGGCTACAAACCTGTACAGCATGTTACTCATCTTAGTATACAGAATACTGCAGACATTTGTAACAATGTGTATCTAAACATAGAAAAAGTACAATAAAAATGTTGTTGTAATCTTATGGGACCTGTCATATATGTAGTCTGTTGTTGACCCAAATGTCATTATGTGGTACATGACTGTATTTTTGTTTGAACTGTTTAGTGACTGTCAACAAGAAATTGTACTGTCCAATATGACTTAAAATGTTAGTTGCTATAGTTATAAAGAGCACAAAGAGTGTGCATATTTAGGATTTTGGTCACAGTTTTTGCACTGTGTTTTGAAAGAAACATTGAAGCTAATGTGAATGTAGTAGACAATTAGTATTTGAATTGAACTTTAAAGTGTATTATGTGTCTGAAATTAATTCCAGAGTAGTGACCTTGAAAGTCCAGATCAGCAACTCTGACTTCCCATGTTCAAAACAAAGGGCCTTTTCTTATTTATGGATGGTAAAAGATGTAAAAATACCATCTTAATTCTTAACAGTGTGATGTATAGGTAATGGTGAATACCACAGTGTTACTGAAGCTGTATCATATAACTCAATAGCTAAATTTAAGTAATTGATATTTTTGGTCTATATTTTCTTTTAAAAGTATACTATAATCGTGTTTAAACTGTTTACTGGTTATAGCAATGACAATTTACTTTGCAAAGTATATAAAAAATAAAGATTTTAAAAATAACATTTTCCAAGAGATGACTATTTATTGACATTTTGATGTTGATTTCCTAGCTTTTTTCTCTGCATATATTACATATTATGCATATTTATACCAACATTTAAATTAGGATCATACTGCTTCTGTAATGTATTAGATTTTAACATTAGAAAAAATATTTTAAGTCCTGCAAGCAGAGAATGGTGTTTGCATTTTAAATGGTTATAGTTTAAATGGTTATGAGACCCTACATTATATCCTCATTTTTCCTCTTGACCTGCAAAGCCTAAGATATTTTCGTATCTGGCATTTTAAGAAAAAGTTTGCTGAACTCTTCTCTAAAGGAAAAACTGTGTTCTCCTACAGATTCTGTCTGCAGCATTCTCTCCTTGCAGGACTTAAAACAAAACAAACAAAACAAAAAAACCAGGCAGCTGGGTGGATTTAGAAATCCTGGCTATAGTTTGCAAACCTTTGCTTTAGAAGTTTGTTTGCTTATATTGTGTTTATATTTTACAGTGTGTGTGTGTCTGTCTTTCTAAATCTTTCTTGACATTATTGCCTCAAAGGCACTGAGACAGCGTGTGTTAAAACCCAAGGACACAGATTGTAATTCTAGTCTTATTGCTGTAGGAATCAGTTTGCTGGTTTCTAGAGGGTGGGCTGACCTTGACTTAGTAAAGTATAGTACTTTTTGTCTCCCTAGTAGAAGTATTAACTGACCTTTAAAGTGAACTTGATGCACCCTCTTCAGGAAACAGGAAACTGTTACATTTGGGTGTGATATTAGGAGATGAGGATACTGTGTAGGAGGTGTTGGACCTGCCTAAAGTGTTTGGCCTTGAAATGTCAAGGTTGCTCTCCCAAACCTAGTTTTCCTTGACCTGGCTGTTTTTCTAACTTCAGAGACGGACTTAAACAATAGAGTTTATTAGATTATATGTCTGTGTAAACAAATGAAGATTAAAAGACAAAAAATAAAGTAGTTAAAAATGAAATGTCTTACTTTTTCTTGTTTTAGGATAAAAATTGTATTAATACCTTAAAATGTATTCAGCAGGCAAAAACTTCGGTAGTTTCGGTATTACAGTGACACCATTTATTTTTAGGCATAGTCTTGTCTTTTTTTTTTTTTTTTTTTGGTAAATATTATACCATTTTCAACTTAATGTGAAAAGCTTTTCCAGTTAATCTTTATCGTGTGTGTGTGTCTGTGTGTGCGTGTGCGTGTGTGTGTGTGTGTGAAAGAAAATGTGTTTTAGGCAGCATCAGTAGAGCAAAATAAGATTTAATGTTGTTACTTCAAAACTGTATCCCTAACAAGACGATACAAAATTCAGAGTGTTTTGGCCCCTTTTCTAGGACAGATTTAGAAACTTATAGACTTGTAGTTATAGGATAAATGTATGCCAAAGCTTTCTTCAAAGAAAGCTCCATCATAAGGTGGTTTTTCTTCGTGGTGCTTATATTTTACAGGAACATTTAGAGGGATGTGGTGTTTCTATTTTTCTTTGCCCTTCTAATCAGCAATTAAAAAAATATTGGATCTACAGGTTTGGGGGGTAAATTCTATTGCAGATTTGTTATTAACACTACTCTACATATCTGTTGGCCTGTAGCATACTTACTGCAGAACTTGTAGCTTGATAGCCCAATGTGTTCTTGGGTTATGATTCTGAAATACTGCTGAGCTTTAAAAACTTTAGCAGCTTTGACCAGAACACCTACGTTAAAATTTCTTTATAACTCTTCAGAATTTTTTTCTTTTTCTTTTTTTTTTTGAGACAGGGTTTTGCTCTATCACCTAGGCTGGAGAGTGAAGTGGCATAATCATGGCTCACTGGAGCCTCTACCTTCCAGGCTCAAGCAATGCTCCTACCTCAGCCTCCACAGTAGCTGGGGCCACAGATGTGCACCACTGCACTTGGCTAATCCTTAAATTTTTTTGTAGAGATGGGGTCTCACCATGTTGCCCAGGCTGCTGTCAAACTCCTGGGCTTAATCAGTCCTCCCACCTCAGCCTCCCAAAGTGCTGACATTACAGACGCGAGCCACTGTGCCTGGCCAGTCTTCAGATTTGTTAACAAATCTCAGGGGTTTGCTTTAGTCTCCCAAGCTCGCCTTACGTAAATGTGTCATGTAATGAAAGATGATATTCCCAACCCACCATCTCACATATTCAGTTGATTTTCACTAACCGTGAAGGATTTGCACTGATTTATGCATCCAATTCTCTCCTGATTTCTTTACTTTTCCTCCTCTTTTCTCTTTCCTCACCAGTCTTCCGTTTCCATCTAATGACTAGTGTCCCACATTGGACAAGATAAAATGGTTGACCAGTTAGAGACATAGGAAAAAGTGGAATATTGAATTTGCATTGAAAGGGCTGAACTTGTGACCTTATGTTATCTTCCATATAATTCTAATTTCTACAATATAAGGTTTTAATTTACTCAGTTCAGAAAATCTAATTGTTTGACAGTAAAGTTTGGACCTATTTATATAAAGTTTGGAGGAAATATGATCTTATCAATATGCACTATGGAAAATGTCCTTTTTAGTCTGTGAATTTAGAGCTATACCTACTGCTTGAATGAAGATGGTCTAAAGATTTAAAAGACATTTAGGGTTAATAAGTTTTCATGGCAAAACATTTAACATTTTTAAACTAAATTCAGATGAGTTACTCATTTTTTGTGTACCTTAATTCCTTCCAAATACTCTTCTGTCAGAACTACAAAGTTAAATCTCAATTATAGTGCCCTTTTTTTTATTTAGGGAAATAATTATCATCATTGATTAATACATTGTACAAGGGTTAACTGTCTTTTAACCATCAGGGTATAGAAAAAGTAAGTTGGTTAAAACAACTTTTAAGTTTATTATGGAGATAAACACTATTGTCATATGATTCTTTAGATTTCCTTAAAAATTGATCTCCTATGCCAGGCACAGTAGCTCATGCCTGTACCCTAGTACTTTAGGAGGCTGAGGTGGGAGGATCACTTGAGACCAGCAGTTCCAGATCAATCTTGGCAATACAGTGAGATCGTGTCTCTACTAAAAAAAAGCCAAAAAGAAAAAAAAAAAACCTAGTTGGGCATGGTGATGTATGCTTCTGGTCCCACTTACTCAGGAGGCTGAGGTGGGAGGATGATGTGAGCCCAGGAGGTTGAGGCTGCAGTAAGCTGTGATCATTACACTGTAGTCTAGCCTGGGTGACAGAGTGAGACCCTGTCTCACAGTAAATAAATAAATAAAAATTTAAGCCTTGCTTCTAAATCCAGTCTCCTTTAATTAAGTTTTATTGCCACATTCTTTCTGCTTTTAATTTTTTGTTGTTGTTGTTAAAACTAAATTTTACAGCTTTTGTTTCTCACGTAGCAGCCAGGGTTTGAAAGAGATTAAGGGTCATTCTTCTGAAATAAAACATGTCCTGAATAATTTTAATTTGAGTCTACTATTGAAAGTCACATAACATTTTGTTGAATGGTGATTCTTACCTAATCACCTGTAAATGGATCACAGACACAAATACCTAGTGATGTGCTATACATTATGCCATTGTGAATTTTATAAAGGCTAAAGAGTGAGGAAGTAGAGTTCTTCTTTTCTGATAGTGCACTACAAAATTTTGAGGACCTTGCAGTGATCATCTGTAGTCATAAAAGCTGTTTAGCCAAAACATGATTGGATTTTATTAATAGTGTTACGGCTATCTTTTCATGAGTTAGTTACCATGTGAATTAGTGCAATTTTGGTGAATAGAAGAATGCTTAGGACTATTGTCTTATTTTAAATTACCGATTATCTTTTTATAAGGATATTTGAGGAGTTCATGTGTCAGTGAGAATTGAGCAACTGAGAAGAAGTTAGAGGTTAGTTCCCTTTTCCAAGTATGATGGATTAACCACATGCACCCCGTCTTTCTCACTGAATGCATCTATAAAACCTAGGCAAAATGGATGGAACTCTTCTGGACTCTGCAGAATAAATAATACCAGGTGGGATATGAATGAAGACTAGCATTCAGAATACCATCTCACTGGCTGTGAGTTTACCATTTTTTTTTTCTTCCAGCATCCCCAGACAACTTAACACAATCTAAAACCTAAAAGTGGGGCAATCTGAAACAGAAAGCTCTAAAAGACGCCTGCTACTTCTGGCTCAAGGAACAGGAAAGATAACTGCTAAGTTCAGAATGAAAATTTTGTCATTTTTTTTGTCTTCTCCATCTCTCATGCCCTATTCCCAAGCAACCGTGTGGTAATGGCAGCAGAGACTACAGCAGGAGCCCATGGTCAAAACTGAGGGATGAGAACTTTCCTCTCCAGTTGACAAATCCCATTGCTTTTTCTTTTTCCTTCTTCATCTCTTTGTTCTTCCATTTCTTGTTTCCAAGTCAGATACAGTATCAGAAGTGTGACCCAAGAAGAGTACCAAAGATGCAGCATTCTGGATGAAGGAATTAAAAGGGATGCCTCAGAGAATTGGAAAGTACTGAGACCACGTGTAAAGAGAAGCTTGGAAAAGCAATACCATAAAGTTCTTTATGAATTCCCTGAACTATACATACTTGGAAATAAAGGCTGTCACCCAGGCTAACCATTCGATGATACAAAAGTGGGACAAATTCAGATGGCACAGCATAAGCCTTTGAAAGTTGAACTGATGCTGGAACCATGGCTATAGAAGCCATGTTAGAGCTCATGGCCTAATCCTAACCAAATGAATCACTTGTTAAAACAAATATATTACCAGTGTCCACAGGATTTAAACAGGAACCAGAGTTTCATAGCAATATGTTAAAATTCCCAGGTTATAATCCAAAATTAGCTAACATATGAAGAACAAGGAAGATTTCAACTCACATGAGAAGAGGTGATCAACATATACCATCATGATAATAACGTTGGAATTATCTGACAGAGATTTTATGGTAGCTATTATAAAATGTTTCAACAGACAATTGTGAACACTCTTGAAATGTATGAAAAAGTCTCAGCAGAGAAATAGAAGATACAAAGAAATGGAAATGTTAGAACTGAAAAATACAATAAGTTAGGGGAAAAAGACCACTGGATGGGTCAATAGCAGAATGTAATGGCAGGAAAAAAATCAGTGAACTTGAAGATAAATCAATAGAAATTTTTAAATCTGAACATTAGAGAAGAAAGAATTTTAAAAAATTGAACAGAGCCTTAGGATATTATGGGAAAATAACAAAGTGTTAGACATTTAAACAAGAACCAAAATTTCATAACAATATTTTTAGACATCCAGGTTGTAATCCAAAATCTAACATATGAAGAACCAGGAAGATTTCAACTCACAATGGAAGAGGTAGTCAACATATAGAAAGAATGTAGTTTTGAGAAAATATTTGAAGAATTAAATGGCTAAAGACCTCACAAATTTATTGAAAGACACAAACATACAGATTCAGAGAATCAGAAATGGAATAAATCCAAATAAATTTATGCCCAGATATGTCATAATTAATCTGAAAACTAAAAACAAGAAAAAAACTATTGAAAGCAGCCAGAGGAAAATGACATTGCTCCTTGGGGGGAGCAATGATTCTAATGACTTCAGATTTTACATCAGAAACCATGGGAGTAAGAATAAAGAAGAAAAAACAATTTGTTCAGTACTGAAAGAAAAGAACTGTTTATAACTAGCAAAAGTATTTTTTAGGAATGAAGGTGACATAAGGGCATTTTCCGGTAAAGGAAAAACTAAGAATATCTGTTGTCAGCAGACGTGATCTAAAAGAATTGCTAAAAGATGTTCTTAAGACAAAAGGGAAATTTATATCAGAAGAAAACTTGACATTAGGAATGAAAGAAGATAAACAGAAATGGTAAATATTTGGGTAAATATTGTAGATGGTTTTTCTCCTCATGAATTCTTTAAAATACGTTGGATAATTGAGAGGAAAAGTTATAACATTATCTGATGTGATTTTCAGTGGCTGTGGCATCAAATATAACATCTATGATCCACTTGAAGAGTAAAATATTGATTCCAAATAGACCCTGAAAAGTTAAATATGTATGTTATAATCCCTAGAGCCACTACTTACAAAATAAGTAGGTAGGTTAGAATTACAATGGATAAATTAAAAAATATTCAAATATCATGCTGTTTTGGTTACTGTAGCCTTGTACAGTTTGAAGTCAGGTAATGTGATACCTGCAGCTTTTTTTTTTTTTTTTTTTTTTTTTTTTGCTTAGGATTGCTTTGGCTATTTCGGCTCTTTTTGGGTTCAATTTGAATTTTAGAATAGTTTTTTTCTAGTTCTGTGAGAAATGACATTGGTAGTTTGATAGGAATAGTGTTGAATCTGTAAATTGCTTTGGGTACTTAGGTAGTGTGGTCATTTTAATGATGTTGATTCTTGTAATCAGTGAGCATAGGATGTTTTTCCATTTATTTGTGTCATCTCCGATTTTCTTTCAGCAGTGTTTTGTAATTCTCCTTGTAGTGATCTTTTACGTCCTTGATTAGCTATATTCCTAGATATTTTATTTTTGTGGCTATTGTAAATTGGAGTGTGTTCTTGTTTTGGCTCTTAGGTTAAATGTCACTGCTGACTTTTGTACATTGATTTTGTACCCTGAAACTTTATTGTAGTTGCCTATCAGCTCTAGGAGCCTTATGGTATAGTCTTTAGGGTTTTTTAGGTATAGAATCATGTAGTCCATGAAGAGAGAGAGCTCATCTTCTTTTCCTATTTGGATGGCTTTTATTTCTTGCTGTTGCCTGATTGCTCTGGCTAGGACTTCCAGTACTACATTGAATAGAAGTGCTAAGAGAGGCATCCTTGTTCCAGTTCTCAAGGGGAATGCTTCCAGCTTTTGCCCATTCAGTATGATATTAGCTGTGGGTTTATCATGGATTACTCTTATTATTTTGAGTTATGTTCCTTCAAGGCCTAGTTTGTTGAGGGTTTTTATCATGAAGAAATATTGGATTTTATTGAAAGCTTTTTCTGCATCTATTGAGATGATCATTTGGTTTTTGTTTTTAATTCTGTTTATGTGGTGAATCACATTTATTGATTTGTGTATGTTGAACCAGCCTTGCATCCCAGGAATAAAGCCTACTTGATCATGGTGAAATACCTTTTGATGTGTTGGGGGATTCAGTTTGGTAGTATTTTGTTGAGGATTTTTGTGTCTGTATTCATCAGTGATACTGGCCTGAAGTTTTCTCTTTTTGTTGTGTGTCTGCCAGCTTTTGGTATCAGCATGGTCTTGGCACAAAAAAAGATGATGCAACAGAATAGAGAACCCAAAAGTAAAGCCACACACCTACAACCATCTGATTGTTGACAAAGTCAGTAAAACTAAGCAGTGGGGAAAAGACTTCCTATTCAATAAATGTTGCTTTTAATAACTGGCTATCCATATGTAGAAGAATGAAACTAGACCCCTACCTATCAGTGTATACAAAAATTAACTGAAGATGGATTAGGGACTTTAAGACCTCAGACTTTACAAATCCTGTACGAAAACCTGGAAATACTCTTCTCAACATTAGCCTTGGCAAGGAATTTGTGGCTAAGTCCTCAAAAGCAGTTGGCAACTAAAAGAAAAATTGACCAATGAGACCTAATTAGAGAGCTTCTGGACAGCAAGAGAAACTATCAAGGGAGTAAACAGACAACCTACAGAATGGGAGAAAATATTCACAAACTATGCATCCAACAAGGTCTAATGTCCAAAATCTTAAGGAACTTAAATCAACTAGCAGATAACCCCATTATAAAGGGACAAAGGACATGAACAGACACTTCTCAAAAGAAGACATACAAGTAGCCAACAAACATATTAAAAAATGCTCATAATCACTAATCGTCAGAGAAATTCCTATCAAAACCACAATGAGATACCATTTCATACCAGTCAGAATGGCTTTGTTAAAAAGTCACAAAATAACAGATGCTGGCAATGCTATGGAAAAAAGGGAACACATAACACTATTGGTGGGAGTGTGTAAATTATTTCAGCCATTGTGGGAAGCAGTTTGGAGATTTCTCAAAGACCTGGGAGTTGAACTACCATTTGACCCAGCAATCTCACTGCTGGGTATATACTCAAAGGAAAATAAATTGTTCTGCCAAAAAGACACATATACCCGTATGTCCATTCTAACACTCTTCACAAGAGCAAAGACATGGAATCAACACATGTGCCTATCAGTGGTGGATTGGGTAGAGAAAATGTGGTACACATACGCAATGGAATACTATGCAGCCATAAAAAGAACAAAATCATGTCCTTTGCAGCAACATGGATGCAGTTGAGAATCATCCTGTGGGAACTGATGCAGAAAAAGAAAACTGTACACCACTTGTTCTCACTTACAAGTGAGAGCTAAATATTGGGTACACATGGTCATAAATGAGAACAGTAGACACTGGGGAATACAAGAGGGGGAGGAAGGGAAAGGAGTAAGGGTTGAAAAATAACTACTTATTAGATATTGTGCTCACCACCTGCAGGAGGGATTCATTTGTCCTCCAGACCTCAGCACCATCCAGTATACCTATGTAACAAACCTGCACATATACCCCCAGATTCTAAAATAAAAGTTAAAAAATATTCAAATAACCCAAAAGACAGGAAAGGGGAAACAGGGATTAATGAGAAAACAAATAATAAAATGGTAGATTTAAGTTCTTACACATCAGTAATTACGTTGAATTTTTAAATGCTGTAAACAAATCAATTAAAAGTTTGTCAAGAGTCCATAGAAAAAACCCACTTTATGCTGTCTATTGGAAACTTACTTTAAATATGGTATAGGTGGGTTAAAAGTGAAAAGATGGAAAAAGATATAGCATGCAAACACTATTGGAAAGAAAACCCTAGTGGCTATATTAATAACAAAGCAAACTTCAGAGCTAAGCTAATACCCAAATAAAGAGGAACATTACATATTGATAAAAGAATTGATTTGCCAATCCTAAATGTGTAAGTAGCTAACAACAGAATTTAAAAATAGATGAAGCAAAATCTGATAGAACTTAAAGGAGAAATAGGGAATTCAATAATTATAATAGAAAATTTCCACATTCTTCTCTTACGAATAGAACTAGTAGACAGAAATTACTAATGGTATAGAATGCTTGAAGGTGGTCTGGGCGTTGTAGCTCATGCCTGTAATCCCAGCACTTTGGGAGGCCTAGGCAGGTGGATCACTTGAGGTCAGGAGTTCTAGACCAGCCTGGACAACATGGTGAAACCCCCTCTTTACTAAAAATACAAAAATTAGTTGGGTGTGGTAGCACGTGGTTGTAGTCCCAGCTACTAGGGAAGCTGAGGCACGAGAATTGCTTGAACCCAGGAGGTGGAGACTGCAGTGAGCCAAGATTGTGCCACTGCACTCCAGCCTTGGTGACAGGGGTGAAACTCTGTCTCAAAAAAAAAAAAAAAAAAAATGCTTGAAGGAGACTATCAACCAGATAAATCTAATTGACATTTGTAGTATGCTTTACCCAATAATAGCAGAATATACATTCTTTCCAAGTACAGAAGGAACTCAGCATTTATAATTGAAGACTTCAAAATTCTTTTCTTAGGAATAGATAGAACTAGTAGACAGAATCACCGGGGGTACAGAATGTCCGAACAACATTATCAACTAGATAGATCTAATTGACCTTTATGGAATACTTTACCCAACAGCAGCAGAATATACATTCTTTCCAAGGGAACAATGCTCTAAGACAGACTGTATCTCGGTCTTAATACAAACCTTAACAAATTTAAAAGAATTGAACTTACAAAAAATATATTCTCAGATCATAATGGAAATATATTAGAAATCAGTAACAGAAAGATAACACAGAAATCTCCAAGTACTTAGAAATTAGACATGGCTGGGCGCGGTGGCTCATGCCTGTAATCCTAGCACTTTGGGAGGCCGAGACGGGCGGATCATGAGGTCAGGAGATCGAGACCATCCTGGTTAACGTGGTGAAACCCCATCTCTACTAAATATACAAAAAATTAGCTGGGCGTGGTGGCGGGCGCCTGTAGTCCCAGCTAATCGGGAGGCTGAGGCAGGAGAATGGCGTGAACCCGGGAAGCGGAGCTTGCAGTGAGCTGAGATCGCGCCACTGCACTCCAGCCTGGGTGACAGAGTGAGACTCCATCTCAAAAAAAAAAAAGGGAGGGGGGAGCGGGGAGAAACTAGTCAAAGAACAAATAAACCCCAGTAACAGGAGAATCAATGAATTAAAAGCAGTAAAACAGTAGCTAAAATCAGTGACATTAAAAGTTGAGTTTCCTTTTTTATAGATCAGTAAAATTGATCATCTTTAGCAATACAGCAGAAAAAGGGAAGACATAAAAAACTAGTATCAGCAACCAAACGGGATATCATTACAAACTCCACAGGAATTTTAAGGATAAGTGATACTAAAAAACTCTATGCACATAAATTTGACAACTTAGGTGAAATAGACTAATTCCTTGGGACAGTAACTACCAAAACTCACCTAAGATGAAACAGATGATCTTGTATAGTCTTTTAACTATTAAGTTGAATTTGGCCGGGTGCAGTGGTTCATGCCTGTAATCCCAGCACTTTGGGAGGGCAACACGAGGGGATCACTTGAGGTCAGGAGTTCCAGACCAGCCTGGCCAATGTGGTGAGACCCCGTCTTTACTAAAAATACAAAAATTAGCTGGGCGTGGTGGTGCATGCCTGTAGTCCCAGCGCCTCAGGAGGCTGAGGCTGGAGAATCCCTTAAGTCTGGGAGGCAGTGGTTGCACTGAGACAAGATGGAGCCACTGCACTCCAGCCTGGGTGACAGAGTGAGACTCTGTCTCAATCAAAAAGAAGAGTTTAATTCATAATTAATAAAAAAAGAAATATTAAACTCCTGAGCTCAAGTGATCCACCCACCTCAGCCTCCCAAAGTGTTGGGATTGCAGGCATGAGCCACTGTGCCTGGCCTAAATTTCATTTCTTAATCAAATGCTAAACTTTCTCATTTTTCTCTTGTTCATAACTAGGAGTATTCATTCACTTGTGCAGTAATATTTGAAAGACAGAACACATTTCCTATACTTAAAATCTGTGAGCAACTTTCTTTTTGACCTTTTGTAATCTACTTCATCTCTTGAAATCTGTTTTGTTTAAATTTTAAAGACAGGATCTCTCTCTATCACCAGGGATGGAGTGCAGTGGCACCATCATAGTTCGTTACAGCCTCCGTCTCCTGGGCTGAAGCGATCCTCTCGCCTTGGCTTCCCAAAGTGGTGGGATTACAGGCATGAGCCACTGCACCTGGCCAGAAGTCTGTTTTTTTTTTTTTTAAACATATAAAATAAGGGATGATATTACTTTTCTAAATAACACATGGGTCAATGAAGAAATCTCAAAAGAAAGTGTTTTAAACTAAATGAAAATGAAAAGTTTATCAAAATTTGTGATGCAACAAAAGCAGTGCTTGGAAGGAAGTTTGTAGCATTGAATGTAGAAACTAGACAAAAGATTGAAAATTAATCATCTGAGCTTCCACCTTAGGAAGCTAATGAAGTACAAATTAAATCCAGTATAAGCAAAAGAAAACATGATAAAAATTAAAGCAGAAATCAATGAAATTAAAAATAAGAAATCAGTGAACATAAAAACTGGTTCTTCAAAAACATAAAGGATGATGTTTTTCCAGTCTAACTTTGTTTTTATTATCTGTGCCTCCTTATTAATGATTTCTAGTACTGCACACCAAGCCTGATTATTTTTGCCACTGAGGTATGATTTGTGTCAAATTTACCATTACCAGGGCTTGGCTCCTATTTCTTCATTTTAGTTTTTCACTGCTGAAATTCTTTCTTAGTGCTTTATTTTGCAGTTGTCCTGTTTATTATGACTCTACAGCCATTTTTTTCCTAGAAATAAATTTTGCCTTTTCTGTAATTATTCTAGTGCTTTTATTTTTAAATTTTTAAAAATTTAAAAAAAATTTTTTTTTTTTTTTTTTTGAGACGGAGTCTTGCTCTGTCATCACCCAGGCTGGAGTGCAGTGGCGCGATCTCGGCTCACTGCAACCTGTACCTCCCAGGTTCAAGTGATTCTCCTATCTCAGCCTGCTGAGTAGCTGGGATTACAGGCATGTGCCACCATGCCTGGCTAATTTTTGTATTTTCAGTAGATAGGGTTTTGCCATGTTGGCCAGGCTGGTCTTGAATTCCTGACCTCAAGTAATCCGCCCACCTCAGCCTCCTACAGTGCTGGGATTTCTAATGCCTGTTTATATTTCATTGTCCAGGAATTCCACAAATTGTATTATTTTTTGTAGGTTTCACAGATTTGAATACCAGCCTCCAATATTTCAGTAAGTATTTCCACCAAAAAGGACGTTCTTCTACTTACACCACATTATTTTAACAAAGAAAATTAACAGCAATTCGCTGACATGATTTCTATTTACATTCCCCAGATTGTCCCCAAAATGTCTTTCATAGATTTAAAAAATATTCGTTGGATTTGATTGTTGCATGTTTTAGTTTCTTTTCATTTAAAATAGTTTTCCTTATACCTGATGTTTCAGAAAGCAGAGCACCTGTCTAGGGATGTCTCACATTCTGGATTTGTCTGACTTTCCTTGAAGGGTCATTCATGTGTTCCACTCTCTCCCATTTTTCCTGAAACATTAATTTTTTTGTCAGTAAAATTTCTTAATTGATGCTATATATCATCACATCAATAGGACATATTTTCGAGTGACTGGTTCCTAGTTCTGCCTGCTTCCATTGTTTATTCTAGAGGTTGTCTTTTTTGTAAGAGTTCAAGGAGAAAGCCACAGGAGAAGGATTGCCACTGTCTTTGGAAAGCCATAGGAGTAAAAGAGTGAGTCCAGATATGGAAGGTGTTACAACAACCCTTACATAACTGTCCGGATTGAAGGAGAGCATGAAACTTTCTAGAAAGAGAGAAACCAATAAGCCTTGAATTTGAATTTGAGATTATAGGTATTTTGAAGTTGAGAAGCGTATCTATGTCCCTAGTTTTTCTAAATATAGTTTTCATTGTCCATGTTCAGAAGTCAATGATTGGAGCACAAGTGGTGACCTATGCTTAGTAGCTCTAAAAGACTAAAATTAGGAGTTGTCTCAATAGGCAAAGACATGATGGTGATTGTGTTGTGTGTGCAAGATGAAGAGATGGGGTGGGAGTTGTTGGGGGTATAGTTACCTGTTCCACATGCCCCATGAGAAAACAAACACTTCTTGCACATCTTACTGTCCAGAAAATTGAGAACACAAAGGAATAACCAAATACGCTTTACAAAAAATAAAAAGCCTCCGTGTTTCCTCCCTAGGCGAGTGCCCTTAAAATCATACTCAATCACAATGTTTACATTATTTACTATATAAAGTCTATTAAAACAAATATTATCCACCTAACACATATATCTTCATATTCATAAACCTGAGATTTTCTGTGTAGTGACATCTACCTATGTTGATTGACTATAATTAATTGACTCCTTCTGTATTTTTTGACACAATACAGAGTACTGAACTAGCAAAAGACAGTTATCGGTCAAGCATGTCATTTCTAGATTCCCACATAGATATATCCCAATTCAAAAAGAAAACTAAGTGACTTGAGAGAAGTTTCTAAAAGCTTTCCTTTTGACTGACGAACTGTCAATCGAAACGGAGACTTAGTTTTCATTCTCTGTCTCTATAAGGTTTCACGTTTAAACAGATAAATAAAGCAGACAGTCTATGGCGCTTCTCATGCTGTACTACTGTAGCAGTTTGCAGGTAATGATTGATTCAGATGAATCCTTTACATACTCGCACCTGCAAAACCAACAGATGATATGAATTCTGTATCTGAGAAAAGAGGATCACTTCTAAAATCAGTGAATTGAATTTACTGGTAAGCTGAGAGTTTACCATTTAAAACTACTGTACATCTTTCATAGTATGCCACTACTAGGTTAACAGCAAACTTAGAAAAATTCATTCTTCTACAAGAGGAACATGATAATTTCCTAAGGGCTTTTATATGAGAAATCTAACCAACATTTATTCATTTCTGAAAACTTTTTCTGCAGATGCCCACTTTTCTATGGGTTGAGGAAATCTGGAGGTAATGTAACATAGGGTAATGGGTAACTTCAGTGGCTTCTCAGTCAAGGTAGTATGGTCTATAAAGTTGTCATGGACACCGAATTAGTGAATACTGAACCACTGCTCCTAGGGGAAATACAGGGTTAGGTACCTGTGAGCATCTGGTCACAGCATTTTTGTTAACTGATCAATACATGTTTTATGTGTGTTTCTGTTTAAAGACATATATATTGTTGATTCATTAACATTGAGCTCACAATCAACAAAACAATAACTCATTCCTGAACTAAGTTTATCTAACACAGCTATTTTCTCCATGATGCACATTGTAGGTTTCTTGTGCTTGAGAACACTAGGCAGCACTTACAATGACTTGGGGGCCATGAAATAGTGAAATCATCAACAAAAACACAACAATGCAAAAACGTGGCACAAAATAGGCTACTGAAAGGACTCTTGTTTACATTATAAGAGCTGAAGCAAGAAAGCCTATTCGTTGTCTGCTGGGAATGTGCATGTTTGGTGACTCAGATTTTTTGTTATCCCGTGTGTGTCTGCAAATGACTGGAAGACCCAGCTACTGTACAAATAAATTTTATTAAATAGGCAAAGTTGCATATATTGAATCCGTGAATAATGAAGATCAACTGAATCTAATGGTCCTTGGGTACCTATGCAGACTGAAGAAGGAAGCTAGTGTTCTTATTTATTTCCTTTGCTTTCACCTTCTTCCTCTCTCCTCAGTATTTGGTTGGCTTCATAAGCAAACTTAAAATCAAATAGAACCTTTTCTTGAGATTCCATTTTGTAAAGGTTTGTTGGCTCGGGCTTCTTACATGGTAGTGCATCAGTCTGCCTTCATTTTGAGGGATAGATGGGCTGTTGACCTTAACTGAAGAAAATTGGTTTTTGTTTTTTTTTCCTCAGTGATGTAATTTCTATAAAGAGTGACTCTCACTTTAAGTTATGATAAACTTTTGCTTTTTTCATATAATTAATTTTAGCTGTATAATTATTCTCTTCTCTCCTGAGAATATTGATAATTAAAAATTGAGCTAAAGAACCTAAACGTAGGTCTTAACATTTGTTCATTTCTTTCTTTCTTTTTTTTTTTTTGAGATGGAGTTTTGCTCTTGTAGCCCAGGCTGGAGTTCAATGGCACCATCTTGGCTCACTGCAACCTCCACAGTTCAAGCGAGTTCAAGTGATTCTCCTGTCTCAGCTTCCCGAGTAGCTGGAAATGCAGGTGTGCACCACCATGCCTGGCTAATTTTTTTATTTTTTATTTTTTTGAGGCGGAGTCTAGCTCTGTCGCCCAGGCTGGAGTGCAGTGGCGCGATCTCAACTCACTGCAAGCTCCGCCTCCCAGGTTCACGCCATTCTCCTGCCTCAGCCTCCTGAGTAGCTGGGACAACAGGTGTGTTCCACCACGCCCGGCTAATTTTTTTGTATTTTTAGTAGAGACGGGGTTTCATTGTGTTAGCCAGGATGGTCTCTGTCTCCTGACCTTGTGATCCACCTGCCTCAGCTTCCTAAAGTGCTGGGATTACAGGTGTGAGCCACCGCGACCGACCCTATGCCAAGCTCATTTTTGTATTTTTAGTAGAGATGGGGTTTCACCATGTTCATCCGTCTGGTCTCGAACTCCTGACCTCAAGTGATCTGCCTGCCTCGGCCCCCAAAGTGCTGGGATTATAGGCATGAGCCACCGCACCCGGCCCATTCATTTCTTAAATTGTGAGTTTACATTCAGTTCTCTATGTTTTCAAGAAAATTTAGAAATTCATTCTGATCTTTAGAGTATTAGCTATACTATATGCTGTTTTAGAGGACTGTTTTTTCTTCCATTCATTGAAAGCATTTTATGTTCAAAACTTTGTGCCTGAGGGAGAGATACCAGCCAAATATTATGATATAAATATCTCTCTACTACTATTTTTAAGGATAGTCTTTCCTTTGAAGACATATGATCAGGGTGTCATTATTAGAAAAACATTAGTTGATACTTCCTAGTATTTCTGGGTGTTCTTAGGTATTCTTTAAATAAACAAAAATAGATAAAGCAACAAAACCCATGGTGGAATATTTGGAGAACCCTTGATTAAACAAAGTTAAATTGATTTCCTTAGCATACCTCTTTAATACTCATGTACATTTTTTTAATCTCCCAGAAGAATTCTAGTATTGCATATACTATATAAACACTGCACGTGTTTCCTAGATTTATATGATTGTGGTATTTTTTGTGAGAGGTAGCTTAAGGGATCAGTGGTCTGTGGAATAAACTTGAGGAAATGCTGACTTAGCCTTCCTTCAACTGTCTCCCATAGATCTCATTTCTGCTGTTGTAGCAAAACAGAATGAACCTGTATCCTCCTCTATATAACAGTTTTTGAGTATTTTAATAATTTTTTAAAAATGTATTTTAATTTTTGTTTTTGTTTTTATTTGTAGACAGGGCCTTGGTCTGTCACCCAGGCTGGAGTGCAGTGGTGCAGTCATGGCTCACTTTAAGCCTTGGCTTCCTGGGCTCAAGCAGTCCTCTTACTTCAGCCTCCTGAGTAGCTAGGATTACAGGTGCATGCCACCATGCCTGGCTAATTTTTAGATTTTTTTGTAGAGACAGGGTCTCACTATGCTGCCCAGGCTGGTCTCGAACTCCTGACCTCAACCCATTCTCCTGCCTTAGCCTCCCAAAGTGCTGAGATTACAGGTGTGAGCTACCACCCTCAGTCTGAGTATTTTACGGAAGCTAAATAGTCACCCTAAGCTTTTTATTTTCCAGGTGAAAAGTCCGCTGCCCTTCAGTGGATTCTTATTATACTCTTATTTGGTAGACCTTTTTTCCAAACTTACTGTATTTTATTGGATATATTGCTATTACTTTTATTAGACTGTAAGGTCATTTATGACAAGGGATGTCTAATTTTTCTGTGGTTTGCAATGTCTGTCATAGTACCATTCATGTACTATGTGCTTAATAATAAATTGAACTGAACACTCTTTTATGATTTTTATTTCAGTATATTATCACCACAAAAATTAAAAGGAACCAGTGATGTAATAGATATTTAAAATTCCATGTTGAGATTAGATAAGGTTTTTATTCTCACGGACTATACTTATTTTTACCAGAAATTATGACTTTGCCAGTACTGGATTTAAGATTGCTATTAATTTTTTTTTTGAGATGGAGTTTCGCTCTTGTCACCCAGGCTGGAGTCCAGTGGTGCTATCTTGGTTCACTGTAACCTCTGCCTCCTGGGTTCAATTGATTCTCCTCCCTCAGCCTCCCGAGTAGCTGGGATTACAGGCGCCTGCCACCACACCCAGCTAATTTTTGTATTTTTAATAGAGATGGGGTTTCACCATGTTGGCCAGGGCATGGAGGCTCACGCCTGTAATCCCAGCACTTTGGGAGGTCGAGGCAGGTAGATTACTTGAGGTCAGGAGTTCGAGATAGCTATTCATTTAAAATTACTTTCCTTTTGAAAATGATTGGCTGGGTGTGGTGGCTCGTGCCTGTAATCCCAGCACTTTGGGAAGCTGAGGAGGGTGGATTGCTTGAGCTTAGGAGTTTAAGACCAGCCTGGCCAACACAGCGAAACCCCATCTCTACCAAAAATACAAAAATGAGCGAGTGTGGTGGCATGCGTCTGTGGTCCCAGCTACTTGGGAGGCTGAGGTGGGAGGATTGCTTGAGTTAGGAGGCAGAGGGTTGCAGTGAGCCGAGATCGCACCACTGCACTTCAGCATGGGTGACAGAGTGAGACCTCATCTCAAACAATAACAGCAGCAACAACAACAAAATGAGATATGGCAATTAACAAGCTAGATAAAGCATATTTGGCACCATGTTAACTAGATTTTTTTAGGTAAGTACTTTGAGGAATTACTGCTTCGTAATTGTGTCATTTGTAAGGTTAATGAAATGTTTTAAAGATCTTAGCTTCTTTCAGAGTCTATACATTGTATTCTACAAAGTATAGGTATTCACATCGTATGTGAAACATTTCCTCAGTTTCTTTTTAAAGAAAATTAAGTATCCTGATATATAGCTAAATATTCTTCTGCAAGAAACAGTAAACCATGTAGATGAAAATAAGGTTATTTCCTTATCTACCAATATTAAAATGTTTTCAGAAAGGCAAGCATGGGGTCAGTATTTTCTGTCTTTCCCCACAACTATTTGTAGAAAGACATTCCTAGCAAACTACTTTGAGTAGATAAAAACAAAAAAGGTATGATGTGTTCTGTTTGACGTGTATTCTGTTTGAGGAGGACAATCAGTAAAAAAGATAAAATGAAGAATTTGTTTAAGAGAATTTTTTGGAGTATGGTAAATGTTCTTCACGTTGTTATAAGAGAAAGAATTATGTATTGAGATCCCTCACCCTGCCATAAACTGTTAATATTGGACAAGTCACTTTACCTTTTTGGTCCTAAGTTTCTTCCTTTGTAAAATGAAGAGGTAGTATTAGATTATCCCTAAGGTCTTTTCCAGCTTTCCAGTGATTTTTTTGTATAATGAAAACTGACTAATATGATAAGTCTGAGATGCCGACAGATTGAGAAATACCTTCTGAAAACTCAAGGAAAATGATGTAACAAATATTTTTCCTTCTTTCTTTCTTTCTTTCTTTCTTTCTTTCTTTCTCTCTTTCTTTCTTTCTTTCTTTCTTTCTTTTTCTTTCTTTCTTTCTTTCTCTCTTTCCCTCCCTTCCTTCCTTCCTTCCTTCCTTCCTTCCTTCCTTCCTTCCTTCCTTCCTTCCTTCCTTCCTCTTTCTTTGTTTCTTTGTTTCTTTCTTTTTTCTTTCTTTCTCTCTGTCTCTCTCTCTCTCTCGCTCTCTCTCTCTCTTTCTCTCACTGGAGTGCAGTGGCATGATCATGATCATAGCTCACTGCAATCTTGAACTCCTGGGCTCAAGCCATCCTCATGCTTTTGCCTCTTGAGTAGCTGGGACTACAGGCACATGCCACCAGGCCTGGCTGATTTCTTTTTTTTTTTTTCCCTGTAGAGATGAGGTCTCACTTTGTTGCCCAGACTGGTTGTGTACTCCTGGCATCAAACATCAAACATTCCTCCCTCCATTTCCTCCCAAAGTGCCGAGATTACAGGTGTGAGCCACTGTGCCTGGCTGTGTGTTTTTTTGGATATATTTTATTGTCTTAATTTTTTAAAAAATTGTTATTTGTGTTATATATGGTAACTCCACTCACATTAGCCATGTAAAAATACCCTTTTTTTTTCTTTTTTTCGAGACAGGGTTTTGCTCTGTTACCCATGTTGGAGTATAGTGGTGCAGTTATAGCTGGGTTGAAGTGATCCTCTTGCTTCAGCTCCCAAGTAACTAGGACTACAGGCATGCACCACCATGCCTGGCTACATTAACTATTTTTACTCAATAGGTTTTTCTTGAAGCCATCATGATTAATGAATGCTTATTTTTAAATTTTCTTAAATCCTTTAGACATTAGTTTATTGAAGTCCTTATTGTCCAAGTATTCATAATCCCAGGTTTTTACAGGTAGAGATTACAGAGGGAAACAAAAGTTTTCATCTCTACAGTCATTTCCATTCAAACATCCCACAGCTGTAGTGTCTAGCCATGTCCATTGCGTCAAAATCTTTATTGGTTGCTCTCTAGTGACAGTATACTTTAAATTGAACATAAAGCAAAATTGTAGATAATGCAAAATTGCAATATTTCATGATGTCCATGAAAGGGCCTTTGGTATCTAAAGTGGTTTAGATACCAAAGAATTAAGAGGTAACTTTGTGGAAAATTTACCTTTGTTTGGATAAGCAAAGTCAACTTGTGTTGATTCTCCTCAGAATTAGCACATGGTTATAATAATGACCTAAATTTGTAAAATAAAATGCTATAAGCTCTTCTAAAAATAATTTTCATTTTGAAGTTAAAGTCCCAGTCAAACCTTCTTTTCAATACTTAACTATGAAAATTTGGTCCTGCTTTTTTGTTGTTGTTTTGAGAGAGGGTCCTTCTCTGTCACTCACGCTGTAGTGCAAGGGTATGATCCTGGCTTACTGCACCCTCTGCCTCCAGGGCTCAAGCAGTCCTCCCACCTCAGCCTCCCAAGTAGCTGGGAGGACTACAGGCGCACTTCATCAAGCCTGGCTAATTTTGTATTTTTAGTGGAGATGGGGTTTTGCCATGTTGCCCAGGCTGGTCTCACACTCCTGGGCTCAAGCAGTCTGTCCTCCTCAGCCTCCCAAAGTGCTGGGATTACAGGTATGAACCACTGTGTGTGGCCTAATGGTCCTGTTTTTATATGGATGAACTAGGTGGCTTTTAAAAAAATCCAGTGCCAGTTATCTGTGAATCCTAAGTATTCTGTAGATTTATAGCCAAAGATGAGAATGGCGAAATTTCCTGATACACAGTACTATTTTTGCTGTCACCATTAGAAAGCATTTATTGAATATTCTTCTTTACTGTTTGTATGTGGTGTGTTAAATTGATGCTCTTACCTTTACAGCAAGGGAGTTGGAGAAAACAGAAGAAACACTGAAAAAATATCAGGATTATAGACAAGCAAAGATTAAGTTCACGTAGGACATTTCTTAATTTCTCAACTCAAATTTATTGTGCTACATGAAGTTCTAGGTTCCACAGGTGATGTCCTTTTTGTCCCTGGATGGCTCATATACTTAACCCAAGTCGAAGTTAAACATTTTTCATAGAATTTTCCACATACAATTTGAAAATAACATAAAGCTCTGTGTGACTCTATGTAAAACTAACTGTTTTATGGATGAAATAAGGTATTTGGATTTATATATTTGAGGGTAAATATAAGTAACCTGTTGGGGAAAGCACAGGGACTCTGTAAGTGTGGAAGTCAGGTTTACAGGTAGTGCGTTCTTTATCCATTGTGAGTTTGGACATTTAACATAGGTTTATGAGCAAGTTCTGACTCTTTACTCTGCATAACTGATTTTATTTCCTTTTGCACGCAGTACATGTTTTACTTAGTTGTGTCCAATCCCAAAGTCCCCTCCCTTTTTTTTAAAAAAACTCCTTAACTATAAGAGAAGGCCAGGGAATGTTCAAAATCTAAAATTTGGACTCAAGTCAAGAACATTGATAAAACATTCATTATATTTGCTGGTGGGCAAGCAGAAGTCAGCCTGTAATTCCAACACTTTGGGAGGCCACGGCAAGAGGATTGCTTGAGGCCAGGAGTTCAAGAGCAGCCCCCATCTCTACCAGAAAAAGTCCAGAAAACAAAAATAAACAAGACATGCAGCCTATCTTTAAGTTAAAAAAAATTATTTATAAAAGTAAGATTTTAAAATAAGCCTGCCATAGTACCGATATGACAAAGAGTAGAAAAAAGGGAAAAGGAAAGACACATTAGAAGCAGTTCACTTTCTTTCACTGGAAGAGGATTTTTTGACTCTTAGGTGGTCAGAGCTGATCTCTTTTGTAGGAGGTACTTTTTTATGAAGGGAAGCTTTTTTCCTGCTCCTTAAAGCAAAAATAAGGAAAATTGTTACTGCCTAATTTGCTGAGTATTTAAAAACAGCTCCAGGGTGAGTGAGAAACGTGTTTACTGAAGTTCATGGATAGTTTCTGATATGACTGATGTGGCCAGTCTAGTTCTAGAAAATGTTTGGAGACTCTTGATTTAGGAGGATGATTAAAAACCATTCTTTCAGGAGGGTAAGTCCTCAGATGTTCTTGGTGTTGTATAACTTAAAATATAATTTCTGGTAGTTCATGTGGCCCCATTTTTATGTAGTCGTATTGCTGTGAGTCAGAGTTGGACAGGTAGAACTGAACTTTTAAAAATTTTTACGAGTTGGAAAATTCCCAGGTCCTTTTTAAGGTAAGTGAGGTGGGACTTTGAGTTTGTGCTGGCTTTCTACTGGACTTAACTTGACACCATCAATCTAGACTCTGTATAAAATGGTTCATAAGAATTTTGTTCACTGTAGCAATCATTTTTTAAAAAAATTAAATGCTGAAGAAACAAAAGATACTAATGTGGTTTGGGTGTTTGTGCCCTCCAAACCTCTATTTGAAATGTGATTCCCAGTGTTGGAGGTGGGGTCCTGCTAGGAGTAATTGAATCATGGGGGCAGATCCTTCAGAATGGTTTAGAACCATCTGCTTGGTGATAAGTAAGGTCTCATTCAGTTAGTTCATGTGAGATCTGGTTGTTTATAAGTCAGGGATCCACCCCCTCTTGTTCCTGCTCTCCCCATGTGAGACACCTGCCCCCCGCTTTTCCTTCTATCATGATTGTAAGCCTCCTGAGGCCCTCATCAGAAGCACATTCTAGGTCTTTGCTTCTACAGCCTGCAGAACCGTGAGCCAATTAAACCTCTGTTCTTTGTAAATTCCTCAGCCTCAGGTATTTCTTTATAGCAGTGTGAGAACGGCTTAATAAAAAAACTGTGTTTTACAAAAGCATCTCCACCCTCCACAATTAGCCAGAGGCTTCCTTCATTAACAAAGACCCTTGTTCTTACCCCTCAAGAAGAAACCCACCATAACCAGCCCACTGTCACCCCTAATTTGCAGACACCAAAACAGTCCTGGAATGCTAATTACAGGACCCCCCAGTCTTCCTACCCTCTCCACCCTCAAGAAACCCCCAGTGCCTTGTATGCAAAAACTGATTTTCAGTTCAGGTGATTACAGAGAGTCTGTGGGCAGACTTTCCATCAATTTTTAAAGTATTTTATGATTTCAAGGGCTTGTAAGAGAAGTGATTACATTTTGAGAAACAGCTATGAAAATGGATTTGGATGTGTTTTCCTACATTTCTTCATGTAATTAATTCATATTCTAACCTTGCTGCTTGTAATGGTGTGTATAGGAAATGATACTTTTACTGATAGGATCTCTGAATCATTTATAAGTGTTTGTATTCTGCTATTAAATTTCAGGACAGCATTTTCTTCTTAAGCAGGGATCTTAATAGGAGAGTATCTTTCTGGTTTTTAATTTGCTTACAGAAAATGGAATACTTACATGGGGAATTTCTATTCTGATTAGAAATTAAAATATAAAAACCACATAAAACAGACCATGAATAATCTAACATTTAATATACTACATTAATATATATATTCAATTACTGTTATTAGAAAGAAAGAAGTGTTGTCCTAGCCTGGAAAATAATGGTAATAGATATATACACTGAGATATTTAATATGTTCATAACTTGGTATGTATTTTTTTAAAGGAAAATATTTTGGTTCAGTTAGAACTGTTAGAGAAGTAGTGGTAGCTTTTTCATTCTTCCGTATTGTTTCTTCACCTATTAAGATATATAAGTAGAAACTATTATTCTAACTCTTGTACGCCGCATTGATCTACAAGTGTGGCTCTCAGGAATTATTAACAGATTGGAATCCATGGGATGCCTGAGATAGAGTTTAGTGTGCAGGATATTCATTGAGTACCCTTTGGATCAACATCTGTGAAACAGAGGGGAAGGAAGCAGGATTGGACAGAGGGAAAAGTTGAGTTGTGATTCGGTTCCAGTGACATCCTCGACTAAGTCCTCAGCTGGACTTCAATTTCTAGGCCCTTATATAGCTTTGCATTGGTTGTGGGCTGCCCTGGGAAAGGAGCATAATCTTGGGCAATCTGCTCAGGCAGCCTGAGTCCTCCATTAAGGGGAACTTGGTGGTTTGTCAGAATACTCTCTACAGGAATATTCCATTGAATCTGGTTTGGTTTCTTTGCTTATTTTTCTTTCTAGTTTCCCTTATGCTTCAGGGATCAGTTATATTATTTTTCTTTATTTTTCTGTGATCGAGAGTAAGAGGCTCTGATTTAACTGCTTTAAAGATTTACTAAGTCTCTAAGAGTTAGTACTTTTAGAAATTGTTTTGGGATCATTATATGTAAGATACCGCAGATTTTTTTTTTTTATGTGTGTGAAACTGTATGATAGTATGGTATTTCCATATACATAGTCTCTTCTCTAGGTTTCTTGAGATAATCTGCCTCAGATGGCGTGGCAGTGTGTTAGGAAGGCAAAGAGAATAAAAATTAATATTTGGCATCAGACTTTCATTTATCCAGTAAATATTTATCGAGTGCCTACTATATTCCAGGCAATGTTATATAGACTTTGGGGAAAATAGAATTTTGCAGTAAGAAAATGAGCTTGACAAGCAGGTATTGCCACAATTGAAGCATTTTTTCCTTTTATACTGAGTCTTGCTCTGTCACCCAGGCTGGAGTGCAATGGCACGATCCCGGCTAACTGCAACCTCCACTTCCCAGGTTTAAGCAATCCTTCCGTCTCAGCCTCCCAAGTGGCTGAGATTATAAGTGTGCGCCACCATGCAAAAATTAGCCCAGCTGATTTTTGTATTTTCAGTAGAGATGGGGTTTCACCATGTTGGCCAGGCTAATCTTGAACTCCTGATCTCAAGTGATCTGCCTGCGTCAGTCTGCCAAAGTGTTGGGATTATAGGTGTGAGCCACTGCCTCTGGCCCAGTTGAAGTGTTTCAAAAGTCCTGTAGCTCATGAAGATCCGAGCCTGAAACAGTGAAGTAAGAGGATTTCTTCCATAATGTAGAGGAGATAACTATAGTGTAGAGAAGTTCATTAGACTTCTTTTTACCTGAAGAAACTACTTGTGCGTTTTTAAGTTAACACCTAAATTTCTAAATTACAAGTTGAATAATTGCATAAGATATAATTTGGATGTTTGGTATTGACATTTAAAAATAAAGTGGTTGCATTGCTCTTTTAAATGTATCCAGTGAAATCTAAATACCCTAGCAATTGGATACTTGCTTTCATCTCTTTTTTAAAAAAAAATGCTAAGGTGCAAGATGTTGGTGTTACAAAGTACTCTTAAGTTTCTGATGGAGAGGACACTACTGTATTTCAGACTTGTGGCTCCTGCCAAAAATTGACATTGTTGTGTTGCGATGATCTAGGTCACGTTGCATGGGTTCCTGTCTGCTGCTGGCATCTTGACTACATTGGACCTTTGACTCCTTGGGTCTATTGATACTACCTTACTGCTGTTGATACCTTTTCATATCATAGTGTTGATGTACCAGTCTGATAAGCCAACTTCTCCACACTTGTGAACTTTGAAACTAATTTGTGTTATGTGTTCACTCAGCTTGTGGGACCATTTGCACCCTGATGATGGTATGCCTTCTATCCCAAAAGCCACTCTACAGTGGGCTGTTAGTCAGGATATTTAGTGGGCCTTCCTCATTCCCTACCATCAGTGGAAATCCAATATTGTTGAGTGTTGGAGTGGTCACAAAATTGACTCAAAAAAAAAAAAATTTCTGACCTTCTCTCATTTCCTCCTGGTCCTTAGTAAGCAGTTTGGTCCCTTGAATGTGGCCTATCCCCAGAGAGGGAACATGTCCTATTTGCTGCTTCCTGGTTAATGATCAGGATGAAAGACCTTGGGAGTTACATAGATGTATTTTGAAAATTCCTGGGCATGATGTCTTTTTCTTTTTCTTTCTCTCAGAGGTTGCCACAGGCCAGCCTGCTAGGTACACCCTCCAGGTGGCAGCCTACCTAAAGGGGTCTTAGGGGATTAAGAATTATTTCTGGCTCAACAACTCAGATTCTTCTGCAGGGTTGACAGTCAGGTCAGAAGTATGATAACCATTTGGTGAATATACAGATAACTAAGTTTCCCTACAGTGGTCCTTATGGGTCAAGATATGGGGGTGGGGAGGTATAATGGTTCTCTGGACCTTTATTATTATTATTATTATTATTATTATTATTGTTATTATTATTATTATTATTAATGTTCTCGTTTCTTTTGCAGTGACTCTTCCAGATGAAGGGTCTGAGTCTGAGGAGGAGATTATTATCAACAGTTACAAGTGCCTTAAATAGTCCAGGCGTGGTGGCTCACACCTGTAATTCCAGCACTTTGGGATGTGAGGCAGGCAGATTGCTTGGGCTCAGGAGTTCAAGACTAGCCTGGCCAACATGGCGAAACCCTGTCTCTACAAAAAATAAAAAATTAGCCGGGTATGGTGGTACATACTTGTAATTCTGGCTACTCAGGAGGCTGAGGTGGGAGGATCACCTGAGCCCTGGAGGCAGAGGTTGCAGTGAGCCAAGATTGTGCCACTGCACTCCAGCCTGGGCGATAGAGCCAGACCTTGTCTTAAGTGAAAAACCAAAACCAAAATTCAGATGCTTTAAATTTAACATAGTGCTAAGTCTCCCACCCGTTTCCAGATGGCTCAGCCCATGTTTTGGTTTTCATTCCCCATAACCAATGATGGCCCCAGCACTCTAACCTTCCATGCAAAATAGCTGTCAATATCTTCAGATGTCTTGCCCACCCCCATTTTTGTAGCCATTGCTCAGTTATTCCATAAAGTGGCTGAATGCCACCTTGCTGTTGTGTGGACAAACAGGAGAGGTTTGGCTGGCTGAGGTTTGGCTGAGTTTAGAAGTAGGGCAAAATCTCAGGCCCTTCATGGTTGACACTGAGATTATGGGTGCTGTCTCTGGAGTGTCCATTTGTGGGCTACATAGCCCCATGTCATGTTTCTTAGACAGTTTCTCCAAAAAAACAAGGACTTAGAGACTCAGTTATTTGAACTAAAATAAGAATGCTAAGCCACACTATTCTGATGGAAGACCTTGTTTGAAGTACTGTGGGCTTGTGCCCTGACTGATTTATATCTTACTTGTGGAGTTCCAACCATTGTAAACAACACTTCTTTCCAGGGCGATCTCATGACTTCTTGGTCCCTTAGTTCTTATATAGAAGCCAGACATTAATTTGCCCCCTTACCAGAAACATAATGACTTGTATTGTAAGAGTGATTTTAAGAGACCTTTAGGTATTTAAGGAAACATCATATAGTTCTCATATGATTGCTGAGATTTCTCCAAAATCAGGCTAACCTAGATTACTTGGGGGAATTTCCTGGAGGGGCTGACTCATTCATTATTTACGTGTACCCTGCAGGTAGTTTATCTCTAGGATGGAGTCATCCGGTTAGGATAGGTATTATGAAATCAGTCCCTGACTTCAGCTGAAATGATTAGTGTTAGGATTTTATCTCTAAAAGGTATTCAGGTCAGCATCAAGTCACTAGCCAGAATTGTTATGTATGATAGAATTGCCTGGGACTTCTTCATGGGCCAGACAGATTACAAGGTAGATTCTGTGTAATTGCCAATGCATCTTCCTATACCTGGATTAATGCTTTAGTTTAAGTGGAAAGGTCAACACAGAAACATGAGGAGGAAGCCAGTTGAATTTCTAAGGTAGACTTTGATGGTTTATGGGATTTGTTTAGCTGATTTTGTCCAAGACCCTAGAGGACCTAGTGGAAGTCAGTACTGTAGATTGACCTCACCTTGCTGCTCAGAGTTCCTGTTTGTAGTAGCCTTAATTACATAATTCATAAGGCAAATTAAATACATTTGGTCCTCCCTTTGTTGGTCAGATTAATCAGCTTGGTTGATAGAATGGCATACTTATAGAAAAATTGACTGGGAGCCTAAGACAATGTAGAAGCAAAGGGTACATATTGTTAGAAGGTGATTTTCCTTGGGCCTCTTGCATTTCCATGTTTTACAAGCAGAAGCACTGACTGCCTTTGTTTTGGACTGTCCTTTCAAGGATGCTTGTATACTAAACAGCCATGGAAAGTAGACATAGTTTCTCCCTCTGGAACAAAGGGCAGGTATGTTTACTGTGTATATGGAGAGAGAATTTATCTCTCCAGAGCAAAAGTCAGCCATACTTACTGTGCATTATAGATCTGGGCTTCCTAAACTCAGGCTTCCTTTCCTGTAAACGCACTGGGCATGCAGACATCCATTTGGGCTCATCCGTGTTGCTGTCATGACAGTGGGGATAAGGGAACTGATGCAAATATGCTGATATATTCTTGCTGGGATGTGACTAATAAAGTCATTTGTCTCTGATCTGAGTCTCCTGTCTTCTACCTTCATCCTTGAAAGGGTGGCAGGCTACCTTGTTAGTTTACAAGTAGGGCAAAATCTCAGGCCCTTGACACAGTTGACACTGAGATTATGGGTGCTCTCTCTAGAGTGTCCATTTGAGGGCCTCGTAGCCCCATGTAATAAAAGATCCATTTGAGAAGTAAATAAAAATTTCAAAGGCATATACCCTTCAGCCTAGCAATGCCATTTAAATGTATATGCCCTCTAGCTGACTTAAGGAGAGTCACAAGTTATCGCCCTTGAGACAAATCTGGCTCACTGCTTATTTCTTGTAAATGAAGATTTGTTGTAACATAGCCGCACCAATATTTATTGGTATTGCCTATCATTGCTTTTGCACTACAAGGCACAATTGGGTAGTTGCAACAGAACCATATGGGCAAAGCCAAAAATAATTCTTAACTGTTCCTTTAAGAAAAAGTTTGCAGGGCCCTGCTTTAGCATGCTAGCCCAACATTGTTTACTTTAAATATATGTGCAAAAGTAGGTATACAAAGTAGGTATATCAAAATAGGCATACAAAGATGTTCAGTGCAGAATTATTGGTAATATTTTTTAAAACCCACCAGTTAAACTGTAAGCAACCTCAGGAGATGTGAGAAGGTCTAATTTTCTTTCTTTTTTTTTTTTTTTTTGCCTGAACATTGCCTCATTCTTTAGATTTTAAAAAGTCATACCTTGCAATGAATTCCTGGTGACTCTGGTATGTGGCCTTACATACTTGTTCTTTAAATATACATGTATATTTCTTCTTCTTCACCCAGTTTTAGAAAAGAAGGGATTGTCACATAATATAATCTGGGAAAGAAGGCAAGGGACACCAGATTATTTTGGTAAACCTCCATGTATCACAAACTCCAGGGAGTGTAAGAATCACCCAGTGAGGGTTGAGGTGTTACTGTTGAATTTTACATTTTAGTAGAAGGATCTTGGAAAGCCAGTCAAAAAGTAATTTAGGACACTAAAGTGTCGACCTAAAAGGAAGAAGCTGAGGCAAAATTAATGTAAGTAGAGAGCGTATTGGGGCCAAGCTTGAGGATTGCAACCTGGGAGCATAGATTCAAGTTGCTCTGAATATACACATTGATTAGCAGCAGTTACAGGTGAATTTTTAGAGGCAAAACAGGTGGACTGATACAAAGTTGTTAGGAATTTTTGTTAGTTTACAGAAATAACATTGATTAGTGATTGGCTATACATTGTTAAGCTATGTGTGTGGCATTAGGTTAATTTATAGCTACTTGTTGCAATAGCAAGCAGTTTCAACAGATGACTGCATAGCTCAAGAGGCAGGAAGTAGGATGTAATTGCTGTCTCATTTTAATGCCTCTCTGGGCCGGATTTATTTATTTATTTTTATTTTTATTTTTTTGAGATGGGGCCTAGCTCTATCGCCCAGGCTGGAGTGCAGTGGCAAGATCTCGGCTCACCGCAACATGTGCTTCTCGGGGTCAAGCCAGCCTCTCACCTCAGTCTCCTGAGTAGCTGGGACTACATGCACGTGCCAGCATGCCCATCTTGTATTTTTTGCCATGTTGCCCAGGCTGGTCTTGAACTCCTGAGCTCAAGCACTCCACCTGCCTTGGCCTCCCAAAGGGCTAGGATTACAGGCATGAGCCACTGTGCCCTAGCCGGGGCCTGATAATTTGAAAGGGCTCATATTCCTCAGATAAAAGTTCTTTTCTCAAAGTAAAACAAAAACAAAAGAGAGAGATTGAAACAATAATAACAAAAGTTATTGCTTTGGATGTTGATGAGCCACGCTAACTACTGGTTCTTTTTAGAGTAAGGAAGACCCTCTGATTCTGTGCTGAGATGTGTTGATAAAAATCTAGAATGGGGTGAAAGGCCTGGACTGACTAAGGCTTACGAGACAATTAAATTGACTTTAAATTGAATAAATCTGGTAAGAAAGTCAAGCCAAACTGTTTTTGGAATTTGGTAGCTGTTAAGAATGAGAGGAGTTGATACCTTGGTAGAAAAGAGTTTTTAGGAATCAACCTAACAAGAAAGTAGGCAAAGTTCTAATACTTTGGTAGC
Source organism: Homo sapiens (assembly GCF_000001405.40). Taxonomy (NCBI): domain Eukaryota; kingdom Metazoa; phylum Chordata; class Mammalia; order Primates; family Hominidae; genus Homo; species Homo sapiens. Next base: position 57,019,149 of record NC_000015.10, read on the forward strand.
CAGCACTGGCTAAAGTGCAACTTGTTAGCAGACAATATTGAAGGTATTTCAGAAGTATTTTACTCGTTGCCTTTTACTATCAATGTAGTGACCATGTGTTTTGAACAGATTAGTATTATTTAATTCCTTTGGTTAGACATAGGAATTAAACTTCTTTTATTCTCAAAGTCTCACATACTTGTAATCTCCTGATGGGCTCTTCTTACCCACTGCACAGATAAACCCAATTCACTGAGACAGTGTTATTGCAGTAAAGAAAGAGTTTAATGCAGGGCTGGCCAAACAGAAGGACAAGAGTTTATTATTACTCAAATCAGCCTCCCTGGGAACTCAGAGGGAGGCTAAGGTTTTTAATGGGTAATATGGTGGCCAGGAGGATAGGGAATTATCCTGTTGCTGATTGGTTGAGGATGAAATTATAGGGGTACGGAAAAACGGTCTTCATGTGCTGAGTCCACCCACCTCTGGGTGGAGGCCACAGGACCGGTTTGAGTCATGAGTCACGGGTCCCAGTGGAGTCAGTCTGTTGTCAGAATGAAAAATTTTGAAAAACATCTCAAAAGACCAGCCTTAGGTTCTCAATAGTGATGTTATCTATAGGAGCAATTGGGGATGTCACAAATCTTGTGACCTCTGGCCACATGACTCCCTAGAAGCAAAAGACTATAGAAACTATGCCTACATTTTATTAGAATTCATGCCCCTCCTGTAATTCTAACCTTGTGACCTTTCATTAATTTTCATTCCCTGAGCAAGGAGGGGGATTAGTTTTAGGGGGGGACTGTTATCATCCTTGCTTCCAAGTTAAACTATAAACTGCATTTCTCCCATGGTTAACTTGGCCTATATCCAGGAATGAGTTAGAACAGCCATCCTGTGAGGCTAGAAGCAAGGTGGGGTCAGCCATACTAGACTTCTCTCTCACTGTCATAATCTTTGCAAAGGCGATTTCACATTTATAAAAACCCAGTCATGTTTAATTGTACATATGACAACCTCATGAAAAGGAAGAGTATGTAAGATAGGAATTACACCAGAAAATCTAGGACATGTGTGCCTTATTTACGTAGCATAGTCTTAACAGATGTGGTTAGGGGATGAGTGGTGAACCTGCTAATAATTGGGATAGGAACAGAAGCAAATGTACTGAGCTCATCTTGAGGTCTTCTTGCAGAGCGTTCAGTACAGTGTAATCCCTGTGTTTCTATTTCTTAAAGTATAGAAGTGGAGAAACAGTATTTTGCATGGCAATGTTTTGCATGTGTTAGTAGGTTAACCCTTTTAAAAGGGTACTTTATTTTCATTTGGAAAAAGTGTGGAAGTAGTGAGAGGGACACCTATTGTTATTTAACCTGTTGCCTAATTTCTGTGTATTATATTTTGCTTCAAACATTAAATTTTCCAAGTGTTCAAGCCATCGAAGGTAGACAAGCAATGTAGAGAACCATTATGTCTTACTCAAAGCTAATATAACCATCTACTAAATAGATGGATAAGGTCGCTTGGGAAATGTGTTCAACGAAATAAACATATATTGTTTAATTGGTTTATTTTTTTATATGGGCAGTTAGGTAAGCATGTTATTTCAGGTGGCATATGTGGAAGCATTTTGGGACTATGTGTAGGTGTAACAATGCTAAGCTTTCTTTTAGTTAATCAGGGAAGACTTCATGGAAGAGCATGAGTAGGTGTGCATAAGAAACTGAGGGGGTATGGATTATTTTTGTGAAGAGCTTCAAAACCAAGGGGAACTATATCATATTTGAAATTAAGAGTAACAAGGTTTAATTTTTTATTATATGAGATAGATGAAGAGGGTGAGACATATCACCTTTTTTTAGACTTTATGTATGTTATACTAATTTCATGTTTACTTCTTTCCCTATATATTCTTCAATTACATTAAGAGCATCTTGAGAGTGGAAATTATCTCTTCTGTTTCTTTGGTGTCCCATATAGAACAAAATTATGAACACGCTTACAGAAATCTCAGTTAAAAAGAAGTTTAACTTTTCAGATATGGAAGGTGTGAGCATTTCTTGTTAGTCATTGGGCAGAGTATGGGTCAAGAGAGGACATGGGACCAAGAACTGGGGCAGAACGTTGATCGTGTTTCTAGCTTCGAGGGCCAACCTGAGGCCATTGTGTCATGCTGAAATGGGAAGGCATGGGTAAGCTCTGGAGCTAGCAGGTTAAACTAGTGATGGGACAGAAAACATTGGCATCGGGCGCGGTGGCTCACGCCTGTAATCCCAGCACTTTGGGAGGCCCAGGAGGGCGGATCACAAGGTCAGAAAACATTGGCATCAACAGTGGCTTAGCATACAGATGTGGGTCAGGATTCTTGCCAATCATAAGGAAACAGTTTGAGAATGCTATTCAGAATGAGCTACATGCCTCAGAATCTGTCTTAGGAAAACAGGCTTATATAGGGCAGCACCAAGGATAAAATGTTCTTTACACAGAAGTGACTTGTTTGGTCTTTCTACGATTTTACCACAGTGACTGAAACCTAACAGATAGGAGTTCTTATATTTAGGACAGTTGACTGTTGAACAACATGGGTTTGAACTGTATGGGTCCATTTATACTTAGATTTTTTTTTTTTCAACCAAGCGTGAATCGAAAATACAGTGTTAATGGGATGTGAAGTCTGAATATATATGGAGGGCCGACTTTTCCTATAGGCGGGTTCCACAGGGACATGAGTATGTGCTGATTTTGGTATGTGCAGGGGTCTTTAATCAGTCCCCGGCTTGTACTGAGGGATGACTGTATACTGTATTTATTTTGTGGGTTTGACCTATAATGGTAGGAAGTGTGATTTCAAATAGTTTAACTTATTTTTTTCTTTTAATCATAAACCCTGGTGATCAATATTTGTCAGGCAGATCTTTTCTTTTTTTTATGTATGTATGTATGTATGTATGTATTATACTTTAAAGTTCTAGGGTACATGTGCACAACGTGCAGGTTTGATACACAGGTATACATGTGCCATGTTGGTTTGCTGCACCCCTCAACTCATCATTTATATTAAGTATTTCTCTTAATGCTGTCCCTCCCCCAGCTCCCCACCCCCCGATAGGTCCCGGTGTGTGATGTTCCCCATCCTGTGTCCAAGTGTTCTCATTGTTCATTTCCCACCTATGAGTGAGAACATGTGGTGTTTGGTTTTCTGTCCTTGTGATAGTTTGCTGACAATGATGGTTTCCACCTTCATCCATGTCCCTGCAAAGGACATGAACTCATCCTTTTTATGGCTGCGTAGTATTCCATGGTGTATATGTGCCACATTTTCTTAATCTAGTCTATCATTGATGGACATTTGGGTTGATTCCAAGTCTTTGCTATTGTGAATAGTGCTGCAGTAAACATACATGTGCATGTGTCTTTATAGCAGCATGATTTATAATCCTTTGGGTATATACCCAGTAATGGGATCACTGGGTCAAATGGTATTTCTAGTTCTAGATCCTTGTGGAATCGCCACCACTGTCTTCCACAATGGTTGAGCTAATTTACACTCCCACCAACAGTGTAAAAGTGTTCCTATTTCTCCACATCCTCTCCAGCATCTGTTGTTTCCTGACTTTTTAATGATTACCATTCTAATTGGCGTGAGATGGTATCTCATTGTGGTTTTGATTTTCATTTCTCTGATGACCAGTGATGATGAGCATTTTTTCACGTGGTCAGACAGATCTTTTCTTGTTGGGCCATGTGACTAGTAGAAGGAAATAGTCATACCCTAATTTAATGAGATTTCTGAATTGAAAGGAGAACAGGTTACTATTTCTAGCTTACACAGGTGGGAGTTGAATAATGTACACAGCTCCAGGTGGTTTTCCTTCTCTTTTAAGTGCATTGAGGCTCTTCCTGTTTCTGTTGTATAAGAGACATTAAATGTCATAATTTGCTGTTCAGGAATTTTAAATTTTTGTTTTGGTTGACATACTAAAAGTTTAGCTGGGGTTATAAGAAATAATCCTAGACAACATCTCCAGTTTTTACCTCAAGCAGATTATTTGAACAACATTCACTTGTTTCATAGAGATTATTTTTTAAGTATGGAGTTTGATTTTATTCAGTGCTTGTTTAGAGTATTTATTGAGCACTTGATATGTGCCAAATACTTGTAGGTACTTTATGTCTTTTATTTAATCCTCATGGGAACTTCAAAAGAAAGGAAGTGGTATTTTCAGTTTTAAAAGGTGAGGACATTGAAACTCTCTTTACCAAACAGAGTAACCACCCCTCCCCATTCTGCTTGAAAAATACACCAATTGATGATCACAACTTACTGATCATTGTATCTGGTCAGTTATATTCTAGTTTACTTTCATACTTCTGCACCAACCATATGAGTTGTACCCTTACCAAGAGCCAATTATATTGGTTCCCAAACCTCTTAATAATTATTTATTTAAAATTAAGCAGATTGGATTCATAAAGAAGTTTTTTTTATGAAAACCGAGGGAATGTTTGGAAAGACTCAAACACAGGGAGGTACAAAACTTGCTATTGAATTAGGTGTAAATAAGAAAACAATAAATTGGAGAAAAAACAAATCTGTGTGATTCTGAATTTATTTCTTTGCAAATACATTAGTTTTTGTTATAGTTTAAAGGTGCCAACCTTTTTGGCACCAGGAACTGGTTTTGTGGAAGACACTTTTCTGTGGATGGTGAGGGTTGTAGGGGATAGTTTTGGGACATAAGTATTCCACCTCAGATCATCAGGCATTAGATTCTCATAAGGATCGTGCAACCTAAATCCCTTGCATAGTTCACAACAGGGTTCATGTGCCTATGAAAATCTAATGTGACCACTGATCTGACAGGAGGTGGAGCTCAGGCCTTAATGCTCTCTACCCACTGCTTACCTCCTACTGTGGAGCCTGGTTCCTAATAGGCCACATATTGGTAGTAATCTGTTGCCCAGGGGTTGTGGACCCCTGCTTTAAAGAAGCAAGACAAATAACTGTGAACAATGTGTTAGGAGTATGGCTCAGGCAAGAAAGGCAAAGTGCAAAACTAATCTGAGGACCCATACTCAAAAAAGTGTCTTTTTTTTTTTTTTTTTTTTTTTTGAGACGGAGTCTCGCTCTGTCTCCTAGGTTAGAGTGAGGTAGTGCGATCTCGGCTCACTGCAGCTTCTGCTAGGATTCAAGCTATTCTCCTGCCTTCTGAGTAGTTGAGATTACAGGCGCCCGCCACCAAACCCAACTAATTTCTGTATTTTCAGTAGAGATGTGGTTTCACCATGTTGGCTAGGCTGGTCTTGAACTCCTGACTGCAAGTCATCTGCCTGCCTCAGCCTCCCAAAGTGCTGGGATTTCAGGCATGAGCCACTGCACCCAACCCAAAAAAGGTTCTTGATCCTGAGTTTGGAACCAAATGAAAAATAAGATACAAGAGAGTAACATAGTAAGACTGGAATGTCAGCTTTATTAATGATAAGATGATCAGAATTCATGGCTTTAGAGCTGCTGCCAAAGGAGCTTGCCGGTACTGCAAAGAAAATACCCAGAATTTCTGACTTAGACCATTCCATAGTAAGAAGAATAGTGCCAATCAGTAATTGGAAGAATAGTGCCAATCAGTAATATTGGCAGCTTTTTATTACATTAGCTCCACATATAAAAGAACCATGCACATTCGTCAACAAGCTCACTTCCCTTTGGGATAAGGTAGGTAAGGGAGAGGAACGAATTCTTCAAGCTAGAAGGCTGAGGTTAGGAAAAGGTAAATCCTACATTAAAATGTTGGGTTATGTTTTATGTTTAAAGGTAGTCAAGGTAATATCTGGCTTATTCATTGTATTTTTAATCTGCTTTTGAAATTATGAAAATGTGTTGCATAGCTATGATGGAACAGCACCTAAATTCAAATCTAGTCCTATGTGATTTATAAGTTTGTGTCCCCGCTACCTTTTTTTTTTTGAGACCAAGGCTCAGCTCGCTCTGTCGCCCAGGCTGGAGTGCAGTGGCACGATCGCAGCTCATTGCAGCCTCTGCCTCCTGGGTTAAAGCTGTTCTTTTGCCTCAGCCTCCCTAGTAACTGGGACTACAGGCGCCTGCTACCATGTGCGGCTAATTTTTGTATTTTCAGTAGAGAGGAGGTTTCACCATGTTGGCCACGCTGGTCTCGAATTCCTGACCTCAAGTGATCGCCTGCCTCAGCCTTGCAAAAGTGCTGGGATTACAGGCATGAGCCACCGCCCCCAGCCTGTGCCCTTTTCACTAAAATCACATTTATTGAGGTTTCTTTGGGGCACTCCTGCTTGCGTTTTCACATTTCTTATCTATGCACCTGAATTTTCCCTTTGGAATTTTGACCACAGAACCTGTTTTGTTTCAGTTAGAATAATCCTCAGTCTGGAAATCATGTATTAAATGACACAATGGGATGGAATTGTAGCCTATAATAAGTGAAGAGAAAGAGAAGATTACCACCTAAGAGCTTTAAATACTTGAAATGCGCCTGGTCTCCAGATGCAGAGAAGTTGTGTTGAAAGAATTTGTATGATAGCTCCTCATACAGTGTTTTTATTTATAAAAGTAATTCATGTACATCAGTTTACAAAATAAAAGTTCTTACGTAAGAAATGTTAGTCACCAGTGTGATGAAACGTAGAATGAAACCTTAAACTGTGTTAATAGAAATGTGGTGTCAGAATCATAGATGGTAGTGGTTCCTTTGTAATCTTCGCTGAGATGATGAATTCATTTTCATACTTTAAGAGGGTCACTCGTCAACTGTAGTGACTTAGAAAGGCATGTTTAGGATTTGAGCTACTGAAAATGTTCTTGTAGGAACAGTTAAAAAACTGGGAATGGGAAGACTGAGAATGTACAGGAATAATACTCTCCAGAGTTTTAAATGCTGTCATGTAGAAGATAATATAGATTTCTCTGGTGTTCCTCTAGAACAGAGATAGGAAAATTCTTTTTGGAAAGGACCAGGTAAACATTGTGGGCTTTGTGTCACCACTTAACTCTGCAGTTGTAACATGAAAGCAAGCAGCCATAGACAATATATGGTAAACAAATGGGAATGGCTGTATTCCAACAAAACCTTATTTGTAAAAACAGATAGTGGGCTGGATTTCACCAGCCAATAGTGTGCCAAACTCTTCTCTGAAAGAGCATCATTTCCATGTCAGGTTAAAAGTTTAGCTTAAGAATTTAAGAGAACTTTCAAGAGAATATGGGTTTCAGCAGTGAAAAAGACTGTCTTGAGAGGCCTAGTGTCCTGTTACTGATTTATTATAAGCAGCAGTCCAGCATGCTGTTGGTAGGACTCTTGTAGAAGAGAGGACCAGAGGAATCCTGACTTCTGCCAACTTTTCTCCACAAATTGTCTGTGCTTCTCGGATAAAAATTTTCTGATTTAGTCGTTAATATTTACAGTTTAAGGGAAAAACATTCAACTCAGTAAATAAGTCTGTATTAAACTTTGCTTTGTATGACTCTGCTTATTTTTTAGTTTCATTGTATTTTATCCAGTACAGTATTTCATTTTATATATTTTAATTTACGTATACATTTTACATAATATGTATTTTATTGTGTATATGTAAATATTGTATATATAACATACATACAGTCATTTCTTGATGTCCGTGGGGGATTGGTTCCAGGACCCCTGCAGGTAACAAAATTTGTGGATGCTGAAGGCCTTTATATAAAATGGCGTAGTATTTGCATATAACCTGTGCACAT